>NC_000001.11:33303835-33928835 GCF_000001405.40 Homo sapiens
AGTGGCTCATGCCTGGAATCCCAGCACTTTGAGAGGCCAAGGCAAGTGGATCCCTTGAGCCCAGGAGTTCGAGACCAGCCTGGGCAACTTGGTGAAACCCCGCCTCTACAAAAAAAAAAAAAAAAAAGCCTGGTGTGGTGGTGCATGCCTGTAGTCCCAGCTACCTGGGAGGCTGAGGTGGGAGGATCACCTGAGCTCAGGGATGTTGAGGCTGCAGTGAGCCATGATCATAGCCACTGCACTCCAGCCTGGGCAACAGAGTGAGATGCTGTCTCAAAAACAAACAAACAAAAAACAGGAAATGACTGTTCTTTGGCAAATCCTTTGCACTCTCTGAGCATGCTGGAGAAAGGGCAGGCACGGAGAGGAAGGCAAGTTGTGTTTTCTAGAGCACCACCACAACCCCTGCAGGGAGGAAGAGTGGCATCCACATTTCACGTATGAGAAAACTGAGGCCAGCAAAGGTAAGGAACTTGTCTACCCACACACAGAAGAAGAGCCAGTTCACATCATCTCTTGCTGGCTCATGCTCAGGTATTGAATGGCCCAGCAATTGTTAGGGTCTGCAGCAATTGTTAGGGTCAGCACGTGTGGCCCTCAGTGAATGCTGCAGGGTAAGGTGGAGGACACACATCTTCCCCAGCTCACAGGCAGAAATTTTTTTTTTTTTTTTGAGACGGAGTCTCGTACTGTCATCCGGGCTGGATGGAGTGCAGTGGCACGATCTTGGCTCACTGCAACCTCCGCCTCCCAGGTTCAAGTGATTTTCATGCCTCAGCCTCCCAAGTAGCTGGGATTACAGGTGCCCACCGCCACGCCTGGCTAATTTTTGTGTTTTTAGTAGAGACAGGGTTTCACCATGCTGGCCAGGCTGGTCTCGAACTCCTGACCTTGTGATCCGCCTGCCTCAGCCTCCTAAAGTGCTGGGATTACAGGTGTGAGCCACTGTGCCCGGCCAAATTGCCTGTTCTGACACACGTGGCCCATTCTCATCTCTAATCCTGAGTCCAGAAGACCTTCTGGGTTTTGCTAATCTAGTTTAGACAGGAGACATTTTGAACTGCTTTTGAGAGGACAGATCTCTCTTATTGTCAATAGCTGGGCCTGGTAAATAGCAAGAATTGCTGCCCTACCTGGGAGTGGAGGCTATTAAAATGCAAGGTTGGTGACAATACTACATAAAAGATTCAGGAGAGCCAGGGTGAAATCCCAGTCTCTCAGGGCCCCAGTTTTCCCAAATGTCAGACAAAATCTCAGGGGCTTCAGTGGCTACCTTCCCTATCTCCTTGGCTCTGTGACCACCTTCCTGGGAGGGTCTGACGCCTTCACACTCCTATTCAGAGCCTGTGTTTCCCCACTGGGGATCAGAAGTCTAGACAGCTGCCGCGGATGTGGAAACTTCCCTCCCAGATACTGTGGCCAAATGTCGCCCTGCTATCGCCCCCAGGCCAGAAAATGTCATTTTGGACTTTGTCTAGGAGAAAAAGCCATAATAACAATTTGGGAATGTCAACTAAAGAATAAAAGTAAGTTTTTAAATAATTAAAGTTAGTGTCACTTAGAAGTCTTATTGAGGACCATCGACCAAGGCCTATGGCCCGGGAGGAGCTCTTTAGAAGGTTCTATCAGACGCTTTGAATGTAGTATTTTATTTATTTTATTGAGAGAGAGTCTTGCTCTGTCACTCAGGCTGGAGTGCAGTGGTACGATCTCGGCTCACTGCAACCTTCGCCTCCCGAGTTCAAGTGATTCTTGTGCCTCAGCCTCCCCGGTAGCTGGGATTAACAGGTGTGTGCCACCACGCCCTGCTAATTTTTGTATTTTTAGTAGAGATGGGGTTTCATCATGTTGGCCAGGCTGGTCTCAAACTCCTAACCTCAAGTGATCTGTATGTCTCAGCCTCCCGAAGTGCTGGGATTACAGGCATGAGCCACTATGCCCGGCCTGAATGTAGTATTTTAGTTTAGAGTTTAGATATAGGTGGTGAAGCTTCAGTATGCGTAAAATTATATCTAAGTTTGTATGTAAGAGTGTATCTGGTTATAGTTTATAGAAGCATGATCATTAACCCCAACTGACATTATCTTATATGGAGATATATCTAGAGTCACTTATTTTTTTAGGGAATATAGTGACTCTGGCAAGGGACGTGGGGAGCTGTGTTGTTTTGACAGCTATATGCTGTCACAGTTAGGGTTTTGTGAAATTATGCTGGCAAGGGAAAGGAGCAAACATGGCTTCTTATGTTTGCTACTTTGTCTCGCAGCACAGGAATAATTTATCATAATATTACTGAAATATGTACAAACCATGCTTATGAGCAGGGGAGGTAAAAGGGCAGAGCGAATGACGGGGTGCCCCCTGTGTTTCTTCCTGTGGCTCCTGCCCAGAGACATCCCGAGGGGCCAGCCACGCCTCTCCAGCCGCTGACATCACAGTGACTCGGACCCTCTGTGTCCTTGGGCAGTTATGTTTCCTCTTTTGTATCTCAGTCTCCTCATTTAAAAAAGGGGTTGCAGGTGGGACTAAAACATCTCCAGAGACACCAGCTGCATTCTGCAGGCTCAGGGGTGAAAGGTCTATAGGCTGATAGCTCGGGGCTCTACTGCAGTTGAGCCTCGCTCACTGCTAAGCTAAGGGAAGGGGATTTTTCTCTTGAAGTGAGGAGCTCCCCAAAGGCGAGGAGCTCTCCCTCCTACTCCCACTCCCACGGACTGGCGCACACGAAGCGGGTAGGGCTTTTGTATCCAGTATCTCTCTGCTCTCCAGAGCGCCATCAGCGTCCAGAAGGGCCCCGCCCGGTTTCAGGATCTCTTCCTCTAGTGACTCCCACTCCACACCTTCCCGGGGCCGAAGACGCCCGGAGCGGGAGTGAGGCCGGGCCGGCTGGGCCGGCGGAGAAGCCGGAGGGCCGGGAACCGGCGGCGGCGCTAGTTCCGCAGCAGCCGGTACCCCTTGGGCGCCCACAGCAGTCGCGGGCGGCGGATCTCGGCCCGCGGGCCGATGTCCGGGCTCCAGCAGAACTCGGGCGACAGCACCTTGGCGGGCTTGTGCAGCCAGAAGAACTTGTTGAGGTGGCTCTCGTCGTGCCAGCGCGCCTCCAGGCCGCGCGCGCGGTCCCAGTCCAGGCCCCCCGCACAGTGCGCCGTCAGCCCGCGCAGCGCCGCCACGCTGCCCCCGAACACCGCCGCGTGGTTATAGAAGTCGCCCTGGCCCCACGCCATCGCGGCGGCCGAATGCGCGTCGCGTTCGAAGGGCAGCAGCCACGACGGCCAGTGGTAGTGCCAGGAGTGCAGCTGCGCCACCGACTCGGCCAGCGCCTCGGGCCCAAAAGTGCCGCTGAAGTGCTGGTCCACGTCCATGCAGAACATGAAGTGCGCCTCGCGGCCCGGCAGCCCGCCCAGCGCCGCGTGCAACGTGCGCATGCGCGCCATCGACACGTCTTGCCAGCGCCGCTCGCGCGCCACGCGCTCCACGGGCAGCCGGCGTCCCGGGCCCAGCGCCACGCGGGGCACCGCTCCCGGAAGCTCGGTGAACACGTAGTACATCACGCTCTGGCCCGCCATGAAGTGCTGCTCCGCCGTCTCCAGGAAGCGCTCCAGGTACTTCTCCAGGTATCTAAGGGCGCGGCGCCACCGTCAGCCTGAGAGTGAAGCGAGGCGGGCCCGGCCTCCCCACCTCATCTCACCTCTACTCCCACCCCACCCTCACCCCCACTCCCACCCCACCCTCACCCCCACTCCCACCCCACCCTCACCCCCACCTCATCCCACCCCTCCCAACCCTCACCCCCACCTCACACCACCCAATCCTCACCCCCACCCCACACCACCCAACCGTCATCCCCATCTCACCCTACCCCAACCTCACTCCATCCCCACCTCACCCCACTCCCACCTCCCCCCCACCCCCACCCCACCCAACCTTCACCCCCACCTCAACCCACCCACCCCAACCCTCACCCCCACCCCAACCTCACCCCACCCCAACCTTATCCCTACCCCCACCTCAGCGCGCCTAACCCAAGCTCACCCCCACCTCACCCCCACTGCTGCCCCACCCAGCCTTCACCCCCTTCTCACCCCACCCAACCCTCACCCCCACCTCAACCTCACCCCACCCCCACCCCAACCTCACTTCACCCCACCTCACCCCTACCCCACCCCAACCTCACCCACCTCACCCCCACCGCAACCTCACCCCCACCGCAACCTTACCCCCACCCCACCAGTGCTGCCTGGTCCTCCCCACACCCGGCCTTGGAACTCCGGACCCTCTAGCCCTAGCATCTTTCAACTTAGATGGGGCAGGGCAGGTTGGACTGAAGATGCTTGCAAATTGCCTGCCACTCCTGCCTCATACTGGCCCTTTGGACGACTGGCAGCGTTTCTCTCTTTAGAGCTCTAAGCCTCCATATAAGAAGTCCCAGAACTTGGGTGCTGCCATGAGTGAGGAAGCCTAAGCTGGCCCCCACCAGTCTTCAGCAGTTGGTCTCCCAGCTGAGACGCAGACATTTGAGAGCATGAGAAGAGGAGCCCTTCCTGCTGAGCCCTGTCTGAATTACTGACACACAGAATTATTATTTTTGAGATAGCGTTTCGCTCCTGTGGCCCAGGCTGGAGTACAGTGGCGCTATCTCAGCTCACTACAACCTCTGCCTCCCGGCTTCAAGCGATTCTCCTGCCTCAGGCTCCAAGTAGCTGGGATTACAAGTGGCCACCACCACGCCCGGCCAATTTTTTTGTATTTTTAGTAGAGATGGGGTTTCACCGTGTTGGCCAGGCTGGTCTCGAACTCTGACCTCAGGTGATCCTCCCGTCTCGGGCCTCCCAAAGTGCTGGGATTACAGGTGTGAGCTACTACGCCTGGCCCTCCACAGAATTATTATTATTATTTTTTTGTCATGTCAAAGTTGTTTTTTTTTTTTTTTTTTTTTTTTTTTTTTAGTATTTATTGATCATTCTTGGGTGTTTCTCAGAGAGGGGGATTTGGCAGGGTCATAGGACAATAGTGGAGGGAAGGTCAGCAGATAAACATGTGAACAAGGGTCTCTGGTTTTCCTAGGCAGAGGACCCTGCGGCCTTCTGCACTGTTTGTGTCCCTGGGTACTTGAGATTAGGGAGCGGTGATGACTCTTAACGAGCATGCTGCCTTCAAGCATCTGTTTAACAAAGCACATCTTGCACCGCCCTTAATCCATTTAACCCTGAGTGGACACAGCACATGTTTCAGAGAGCACGGGGTTGGGGGTAAGGTTATAGATTAACAGCATCCCAAGGCAGAAGAATTTTTCTTAGTACAGAACAAAATGGAGTATCCTATGTCTACTTCTTTCTACACAGACACAGTAACAATCTGATTTCTCTTTCTTTTCCCCACATTTCCCCCTTTTCTATTCGACAAAACCACCACCATCATCATGGCCTGTTCTCAATGAGCTGTTGGGTACACCTCCCAGACGGGGTGGCGGCCAGGCAGAGGGGCTCCTCACTTCCCAGACGGGGTGGCTGGGCAGAGGCGCCCCCCCACCTCCCAGACGGGGGGCTGGCCGGGCGGGGGCTGCCCCCCACCTCCCTCCCGGACGGGGCGGCTGGCCAGGCGGGGGCTGTCCCCCACGTCCCTCCCGGATGGGGCGGCTGGCCGGGCGGGGGCTGCCCCCCACCTCCTGGATGGGGCGGCTGCTGGGTGGAGACGCTCCTCACTTCCCAGGTGGGGCGGCTGCCGGGCGGAGGGGCTCCTCACTTCTCAGACGGGGCGGCCGGGCAGAGACACTCCTCACCTCCCAGACGGGGTGGCGGTCGGGCAGAGACGCTCCTCAGTTCCCAGACGGGGGTCACGGCCAGGCAGAGGCACTCCTCACATCCCAGAAAGGGCGGCGGGGCAGAGGCGCTCCCCACATCTCAGACGATGGGCGGCCGGGCAGAGACGCTCCTCACTTCCTAGACGGGATGGCGGCCGGGAAGAGGCGCTCCTCACTTCCCAGACTGGGCGGCCGGGCAGAGGGGCTCCTCACATCCCAGACGATGGACGGCCAGGCAGAGACGCTCCTCACTTCCCAGATGGGGAGGCGGCCGGGCAGAGGCTGCAATCTCGGCACTTTGGTAGGCCAAGGCAGGCAGCTGGTAGGTGGAGGTTGTAGCGAACTGAGATCACGCCACTGCACTCCAGCCTGGGCAACATTGAGCACTGAGTGAGCGAGACTCCGTCTGCAATCCCGGCACCTCGGGAGGCCGAGGCGGGCAGATCACTCGCAGTCAGGAGCTGGAGACCAGCCCGGCCAACACGGCGAAACTCCGACTCCACCAAAAAATACAAAAACCAGTCAGGCATGGCGGCGCGCGCCTGCAATCCCAGGCACTCGGCAGGCTGAGGCAGGAGAATCAGTCAGGGAGGTTGCAGTGAGCCGAGATGGCGGCAGTACAGTCCAGCCTCGGCTCGGCATCAGAGGGAGACCGTGGAGAGAGAGGGAGAGGGAGAGGGAGACCGGGGAGAGGGAGACCGGGGAGAGGGAGACCAGGGAGAGGAAGACCGGGGAGAGGGAGAGGGGAATTATTTTATGAGCTATAATAATAAGTTGTTTTAAGTCACTGTCTTTCACTATATAGATAACGAGGCTGCCTGGAATACTGTATGAACAGACCTTGGGATCCTAGGACTTTAAAATAGTAGTAACAGTGCCTAATAATACTTTGAACTTTTATCATGTGGCAGCCACTGCTTTCTATGTCAATGTGCATTGTCTCATCTAAAGAGCGTTAGAAACTTGTATGTACCATTGGTAAGTGGTTGAGCCAGGATTTGAACCCAGCTTGGCCTTAGAGCCTGTACCTTTACTTGCACTTGCTCTATTCCTGGTGACTGTGGGAAATGGGAATCAGAGACCTAGGAAATCTCAGCATTTCGTGGTGTTGGACTCAGAATCTTGGAACTCAGGACCTCAGTATCCCAGAATTTTCTGTACATTGAGTGTCTGACCCTAGGGCTGGGGCAGGAACGCCCTACTCCGCATGTGTGATGGAAGTGGGAGCACCGAGGCCTTGGGAGAGACGAAGGCCCAAGTAGCCCAGCAGTTCTGCCCGCCTGGTCCACGGGGCAGCCCTTGGTCCTTTTCATCCCCTTGCCTGTCAGTGGCACTCCTGGCTTTCCCTCCCTTGTAGGGTGTGGGGGACAGAGTTCGAGGAGCCTTGAACAGTTGTCTGGGGTATCTGGTAACAAAATTCCTTCCCCATCCTTCCTGAATGGGAGGCTCTCACCACCTTCCCAAAGCAACTAGTTCCACTTTTAGAAATGCCTCTTTTAGTTGCCCGAAACTAGGTTATAGGATCTGACTGCCACTGTCAGCCAAGAGTCCCCTTCGTGTCACTTCAGGAAGGTCGACACCCAGTTTAGACACTCCCTGTCATCCATAGTGGGGAGGTCAGCACCCCGCTGCCATTTCTTCTCTTGACCTCCTTTCCTGTAGTGATTTTCCCGTGCCCTCCACGGTCACCTGTTCCCTTCACAGTTACCTGTTCCCATGGCTACTCCCTCAACTTGATCTTCATCAGTGTCTGTCCCACTCTGTAAGGACCTCGTTCTTCTAGCTCACTTACTGTGATTACCACCCCCAACCCAAAACAGTCCTACCTCACTGAATCCTCTAATCTGGTGACCTTGCCACTTCAGTATTTGTCACCCCCTTCCTCTCTTCACTTCCCTCTGCCCAGTTCAGATTCACTCCCTTGCAATCCTTCAGCTCCCCAGCCCCTCTCCCTTCATCAGACTTGCTTGGCACCTGCCCCCACAATCCTATGTACCTGCACCTGAGCTGCTGACCTCCAATGGGCACCGAATGCAGTGAATCATCCCTCTACTTACCCAGTCACACTCCCCTCCTCTCACCACTCTCACCTGAAAGACTCCATCATTTTCTCACTACAAAACCAGTGCCTCCAGATGGATGAGTCCCAGCCCCTAGGCAGGTCCCTTCCAGATGTGGTTCTAGAACAGCCCTGGCTGCCTGTGTTGGGCGGGCTCTATGGTGTTGGTGTCCAGGGAGGAGGAGAAGGATGGTCCTGTGCTCATCTGGGGGTGTGGGGCAAGAAGTGTTGTCTTTGCTTCTCGCTTCACTTTGGGATCCCATGGCACAGGGGAGCAGGGTGCCCCGCCTCCTTCATCACATGCACACCCCTCCCACTCACAGCTTTGACAGCACTGCTCCCCTTCCCAGGCCTTACCTGCCTACAGCAAAGATAGTCAGCCCAATGGTGAGGTTCTGCTGTCTAGCCTCTTGCTTGGCCACATCTGGGTCGAAAGAGCCATCCCAAATAATGGGAGCCCCCCAGGGGGTACAGGTCAGAACTTCAGGCCGGGCCCTGGCCAGGGCAGGGATGGGAAATGGAAATAGCTCCATTCATCCACCCACTTGGTGCATGTTCACTGCCACCTCCCCAGTGCTGAGCCCTAGGGACCCATAGACCGATGAGACCTAGTTGCTGCCCCTGGAAGCCTCCAGCTCAGAGCAACACAGAGGACTGGGAGATGTGTGGCCCGATGGGGCTGCTGGACTTGGTGGCAGAGTGCCTGGCTCTGCTGGGGTGGGAGATGTGTGGAGGGCAGGGACATGGGGCAGAGCTGTGTAGGGTTTGGGGGTGCCCTTGGAGTAGGAGGGATGGGAGCTTCTTACCAGGGACGCAGGGCACCTGTGAAGTTGTCTCTCAGCTGGGACATTGTGGCCGAAGGGCAGACGCCCATGGGGATGAGGGCTTCCAGATGCCTGTGGTGGGTTGAGGGGCGGGGGGCAGGCAGCCGTGAGAAGCATGTCAGCCTGGCCAGGAGCCCTCTGGCTTTGCTTCTTACAAGGAGAGAGAGCTCACAAGGACACTTGAGCTGAGTTAGCCACTGCCCTCCATCCCTCAAGGAGGCACTTAGACAGATCCCCTTTAAACCTGACTGTGGTCCTACCTCAAGTGCTGGGGAAAGGGGCTTTTACCTGAATTTAGGGAGGCCATACAGAAACAGGCCTAAGAGGCCAAGTGTAAGTAGGATCTGCCGCCAGAAGATTCTCTTCCAGGCCCTGGGGGCGGGAGGGGGGCATCAGTAACTCATTTATATGTATAGACACAAATATTTATATGCACACATACATGAAAAGTCTTTCTTACTTCCAGCCAGCTGGTTCTTCTGCATGAAGGTAGCCAGTGTTACCAGTTTCTTGTGCAGGGGCATGACCTTGGGCAGGTTGCGGGGATGATAACGTTAGGGGTTGAGGTACTTACTTATCCTGGGTGGAAGGTGGGACTGACCTTGGACAGGAGAGGCCAGGAGAGGATGCACAAGTGTTTGTGGCTCAGTGACGGAGTTTTTTTTTTTTTTTTTTTTTTTTTTGAGACAGCCTCACTCTGTCACCCAGGCTGGAGTGTTGTGGTGTGATCACAGCTCACTGCAGCCTTGAACTCCTGGGCTCAAGCTATCCTCCCACCTCAGCCTCCTGTGTAGCTGGGACTATAGACGCCTAATTTTGTATTTTTTTTTTTTTTTTAGAGATGGGGTCTTGCTATGTTGCCCACGCTTGTCTCCAACTCAGCTCAAGCAATCCTCCCGCCTCAGTCACTGGGAGTTAAAAGCTGTCTGGGACTTAGAGAAGAGTTACTGGGCTGGCTGTGGTCAGAGACCAGGTGTCTGTGGTGGCTCCAGTCACCAGGCCAGGTGAACTCCTCCAAGCAGAGCTCAGCAGCCCAATTCTTGGCTCAGAAGAGGTGGGCTTTGGGATTTGTCCACACTTCGTTTTCCAGGAAGGGCTCCAAATGCTGAGAATCTTAATAAGCTCCTTCTGGGGAGCTTGTTCCACTGTCACCCCACCTTCCTGAGTACTCACGTATCTAGAGCAACTGGAGCCACGTGGTAAGGAGCACAGACACGGGGGCCAGAGCCCTGGGTTCGAATCCCAGCTCCACCACTCATTAGCTCTCTGACCCTGGGGCAAGGTCTGGTCCTCTGCACATCAGTCTCATCTATAGGATGGGGTAATAAGAACTCCTGCCTTAGGGCTGTCATTGCCTTCACACAAGCTAAGCGTTGAGAACAAGGCCTCTCATGTTGCAATAGTTCACTCAGCTTTATCTAGTGATGACCATTCTTCCTGAACACACCCTGATCGTCACCTGGGCAGCCTCCTCACTCCACTCCCTGCCCCTACAAATCCATCCATCCATCCATCCTTCTTTCCTTCCTTCCTTCCTCTTTTTTTTTTTTTTTTTTTTTTTTGAGATGGAGTCTCGCTCTGTAGCCCAGGCTAGCGTGCAATGGCACAGTCTCAGCTCACTGCAACCTCTGCCTCCTGGGTTCAAGTGATTCTCGTGACTCAGCCTCCCGAATAGCTGGGATTACGAGTGCCCACCACCTTGCCCAGCTAATTTTTGTATTTTTAGTAGAGACGGGGTTTCGCCATGTTGGCCAGGCTGGTCTCAAACTCCTGACCTCCGGTGATCCACCCACCTCGGCCTCCCAAAGTGCTAGGATTACAGGCGTGAGCCACCGTGTCCGGCCTACAAATCCTTTCAAAACCTGGCTCCCCTGGTCTCTTTCAAGAAGGCCGCCAGCTTCAGACCCTCCTGCCCCTGCCTCTCCTGCTGCCCCACGTCGCTGTTCCTCAGCAGGTGTGTCTAGTAAAGAGTGCTGCGAACTGCCTTGCAGGTGTGTGGATCCACCTGGGCACTGTCTCTGAGCACAGCCCCTCCTCCAGTTCACTGCGCCAAGCCAGAAACCTGGGTGCACCCTGACCCCTCCTGCTCTGCACCTGCTGTCTGCTTTCAGTCCCGGGTTGACCTGGTCTCCTTGATCTCTGCTCCCCCTGCTCTTCCCCGTGCCCCACAGTGACCCTCGCCTGCTCCTCCGTCACGGGATCATTGCAGCAGCACTCTTCATGCTCCTGGTCACTTCCTCCACAACCCCAGAGTCATCTCATAACAAGTCAGCCTGCCTTAACAGTTTCCATGTCACACAAACAGGTAAATCCTCAAAGAAGAAGTGCATTTAGTAGGCAAATATATGGAAAAATGTTCACCCTCACTGGCAATCAAAGATATACAAATTAGAACAAGGTGGTATGTTTTGCCTATAAAATGAGCACTTTTTAAAAAAAAACATAATAGGGCTGGGAGGGGCTTGTGCATGTAATCCCAGTGTTTTCGGAGGTCAAGGCAGGAGAATTGCTTGAGGCCAGGAGTTCGAGATCAGCCCGGGCAACGGAGCAAGACCCTGCCTCTGCAAAAAATTAAATTAGCCGGGGCTGGGCGTGGTGGCTCATGCCTGTAATCCCAGCACTTTGGGAGGCCGAGCGGGTGGATCACAAGGTCAAGAGATCGAGCCCATCCTGGCCAACACGGTGAAACCCCATCTCTACTAAAAATACAAAAATTAGCTGGCCGTGGTGGCACGCGTCGGTAGTCCCAGCTACTTGGGTGGCTGAGGCAGGAGAATCACTTGAACTTGGGAGGCGGAGGTTGCAGTGAGCTGAGATCACACCACTGTACTCCAGCCTGGTGACAGAGCAAGACTCTGTCTCAAAAAAAAAAAAAAAAAAAATTAGCCAGATGGTATGCACCTGTAGTTCCAGCTATTCAGGAGGCTGAGGCAGGAGGATCGCTTGAGCCCAGGAGTTACAGGTTACAGTAAGCTATGATCATGCCACTGGACTCCAGCCTGGGTGGCAGAGGTAGACCCTGTCTTGATTTTAAAAATAAAAGGCATAATGAGAATAGCCAAGCTGCAAGAATGCAGTGAGATTGGTGCTCTTACACTTGCTGGTGGGAGTGTAAATTGCTACAGCCATTTGGAAAGCTACTTAGCTATGGGAATTGAAAGTGTTCAATATTCATCCACTTTGATTCAATAATTCCAAGCTTCTGGGAATCTGTTCAAAGGAGATAATCTTCAGAATGAGAAAAGTTTATGCATCAAGATGTTCATCAGTTTCTGTTAAGTCGTGCATTCAACGTATATTTATTGGACACAAGCTCAGCGTCAAGCACTGTGCTAAGTCAGGGATTCAGAGGTGAATGAGACACAGACCCTGTCTTCAGGGTGCGGAGTCAGGAAGATGTGGGTGTAGTTGGGCGGGGGGGCAGTGGTGAGGGTATGGGTCACATGACACACTGAAAACAGATGTGTGGAACACGGCACAATGAATGCTGTGATTGGGAACAGTATCAGATGCTATGAGGCAAATTGGAGAGTAGCACCTGAGCCTTCGTAGATGAGGAGGTAGTTGGGGCCTCCTGGAGGAGGAGTTGACTTCTAAGGTAGGACCTAAAAAATTATTAATAGAAGTTCTTCAGGTGAAGAAGGCATGGAGGGGGAAGAGAGGTCCATGGAAAAGAAACAACAGTATGCAAAAGTGAGGAAGCCTCACTCCTGGAATGTCTGTGGAACTGCAGGGTGGAGTGTAGTAGCAGATGAGGAGGGAGGGATGAGGCTGCAGAGGTGAGCCGGGGCCAGGTCACCCAGGGCCCGCATGTCAGGCTCGGGGAATTGGACTTCATCTTGAGGGTCATGGGGAGCCCTGAAAGGTATTTCCTCTGGGGAGTGACTCAGTCAGATTTTTATTTGAAAAAACAAAACAAAACAAAACAAAAAACCCAAAAACCAACAAACAAAAAAACCCTCCACAAACCTGAAAGTACTCCAGCTGAAATCTGGAGCCTGGCCATGGTGGGGTGGCAGGGAGGGCACTGCTGGAGGCAGGAAGATGAGTTAGGTGCCAGCCCCTGGGAGGTATCAGGGGCAACACCAGGGAGTTGGCAGCTGGATGGGGAGGAATAGGTGGTGAGGGGCTGTCAGGGAGGGCACATGGGCAAGACTTGGCCATGGATTTGAGGGACGGGGCTGAGGTACCAGAAAGGAGAAGATGCCTGGTTGTCTGGTTGGAGGAAGGGGGCTGGAGCCCAGAAGGCAGGCAGGCTCAGGAGAAAGTTCTGGGATTTGCCAGGAGGGCAGGGATGTTATGGGAGAGAGGGAGAGAGTACAGAGGGAGAGGAGGCCAGGGCCCAGGCCTAGACCAGGTGGGAATGGGAGGGAGACTGAGGAGGTAGAGGACTTAAGGAGAGGCACATGGGTTGGGTGGGAGTGGGGCTGTCTTTCCAGAAGTCGGGCTGTAAGGAGGACAGAGATGGGGTGGCAACTGGAGGGGACAGGGTGGTTGTATTGATGGGTGTGTGCTTGTTTCCCTTACACAAGCGAGACTTGAGCTTGGTTGAATGCTGCCTGGAAAGCACCCACAGAGAAGGCGTTTTGGGTCACAGGGAGAGGCATTATCTCAGCTCCTCAAATATAACTGAAGAAGGCTTTAGTGTCCAGCTGAAGGGACTGGCAAATAAACGTGTTAGGAAGACTCTGCAGTCACGTAGAAAAATGCTCATACAGGAACATGAAAGGAAAAAAGCAGGATCTAAAATTGAGGTGCACTCTGATTACAATTTAAGCAAGAATAAAAACGTGCATCAGAAAATAAGACTAAAAGGAAGAATGTGTTTGTGCAATAAAATTAGTTTCTTATTTTCTCCTCAATTTTCTGTAATGTATTTACAGTAGGTTGCTTTTTTAATGAAGGAAAAATTCAAAGTTAGCAATTTACACACAAAAAAATTGAAGTTATTTTGTGGTTTCCTGCTGAGTGCAGGACACCGTCCACATCTCTTAACCATGCCTGAGAAGCCTCCCAAGTCCAGCTCCTCCACTGTAACACTGTCAGTGCTCACAGCCCCTGGCCAGCTTGCCTGCAGCTAGGAATGGAGACTCTGCAGTGACTAGTCCCAGGATGTTCCCATAGCCTTCTCTGAAAAAGCAAACTAATGCAACAACCCCAGGGTTCATCAGTAGGGAACTGGATCAATGAATTAGGCATCTCTATACAGGTTGGGTATCCTTTATCCAAAAGTTTGGACCAAAAGTGTTTTGGATTTTGGACTTTTTTGGAGTTTTGAATATTTGCATTGTATTTACTGGCTAAGTATCCCTAATCTGGAAATCTGAAATTCAAAATGCTCCAGTGGGAGCATTTCCTTTGAATGTCCTGTCAGTGCTCAAAAAATTTCGGATTCTAGAGCGTTTTGGATTTCAGATTTTTGGATGAGGGGTGCTCAACTTGTATAATAGAAATCAACATGGCTATTGAAAAGGGTGAGGTAGATTTATATGTACTCTCTGGAAAACAGACCCTAATGTGTTAAGGTGAAAAGGAAGGAATAACTAATACGGAGAGGCAGACCTTGCTTCTGGCAGGGGGAAGCATCTGTGCCTGTGCACTCGAGCCTTTGCAGTCACGTATAGCCGCGTTCTTTCATGAGTGTAGGAAGAGATCTTGAATAGCATCATCCAGTGGAAGTATAGTGTGAGTCACATGTAATTTAAACATGTCTAGTAGCCACATTAAAACAGTGAAACAGGTATAAATTCGGATGTGCTGGTTTAAATAAAAATATTGTTACAAATAATTTAATGCCCCACATGCAGCCCATCAGCAAACCCTGGGGGTTCTCCCACTCACTCTCCTCCGTCCCCCTACTCACTCCTCCCCCATCCTGCCATTCACTCTCCCCTTCCTGTGTTCTCAGCGATTGATCCCAGTGACCCAAGTGGGACCCCTGCTTTCTCTCCCGACAGCCAAGTTGTTGCTTTTGCCTCCTTCCTAGTGCCCAAAACTCCCCTCCTGGCCTCCCTCACTGTCCTATCTGTGCCTCCTTGTTTCTCACTTGGATTCCTATAACAGCCTCCTGACCCTGCCTCCGAGTCTCCATCTTTTACCCTTCACTATGAAGTCTCCTAGGCTTCCCCACCTCTGTATTCTGTTCTGATTGCACTCTTCCTTCCATCAGCCAACAAGCTCCGCATCATTCCTCAGCACCCAGCTTCCTCCTGTCTGAAGCTGGCCTTGACATCTCCTCCGTTAGGTCCCTCCCCCAGGATGTGCCTCTGTCCCTTTCCCAGACCTCTCCTCCAGTACCTGCCAAGCGATGCTAGGGACTGTCTGCCTCACTCATTATGCCTCTGCCTCATAATTCATGCTATTGATAATTATTTGTTCAGCAAATGAATGAAACAACGAATGAGTTATTTGTGTTCATTCTCTCTTCCAAGTTGACTGGTACTCCTTTGCTTAAAACTCCATTTTCTTCAAGATTAAGTCTGCACTCCTTATGCATAATCCCAGACACTGAGACGGATACCTGGCCAAGTGTATTATGTGCCTGTCCTGTTAAAGGCACACCACAGCCCCTTGAAGGAGATGCTGTGCTTATGTCTACTTTATAAATGAGGAAACTGAGGCTTAGAAAGGTTAAATCACTTGCTTAGGGTTGCAGTTGCTCAGGGGAGAAAGCAGGGGTCCATTTGGGTCACTGGGATCAATCGCTGAGAACATAGAAGGAAAGATCAAGGAAATGCAAACTGCAGCTTGAGAAGCACTGAGTTGGGACACTCAGGTGAATACTGCTGTCCAGGGGACACACAATACCTCAGGGCAGCGCTCAGCAAGGGGGCTGGGCCAGGGTCACTGTGTGAGAGAGGATGCATGGAGGCTTGGAGCAGATCTCAGTGACAGCTCACCTCTGCAAGGCTGGGCGGCCTCATTGGTGTGAATCAGATGCACCACATCTTCTTTTAGGAGTAGGTTTGGTTCCCTCCCTCTTTGCTACACATATAACAAACTCAGGTGGGGCCTGGTTTTCATTTTCTTCCATAAAGGGAAAATTAAGGTCCAGAAAGTGAAAAGAACTGCCCAGAGTCCTATAGGCCAGTGGTGCACCTGCGCACGTGGCCTGCACTCCAGCAGCAGGAGAGGAGGCAGCACATGGGGCGTTCGTTCTTGCCTGGGGGCTCCCCACGGCTCACTCCCCAATCTCAGCATCCTCTCCTCCCCTGTCAGCTCAGGGTCCTGCCAGTCATTCCCTGCCTCCTGGGGCACCAGGCTTTCCAGTCCCTAGTTCTACCCCCTGGGGATCAACTAATCAGCTTGTTTCTCCTCCAATAAGTATCCGTGTTCTTTAGGTGAAAAGCCCCAACCTACTGCAGGTTTTCAGGGTGCACCTTCAGTAGGCATTTGCCATTCCTGTTTACACTTTACACCAAGGCATTTGCACGGCGGGTAATGGGTGGGGTTGGGCTTTGAGTAGGACTGCCCGATCCCCCAGCCAGAGCTTCCAGCATGGCATTTGGGTTCCATTTGACCTGGGCCTAGCTCAGCCCTGAGGCTCATCTCACAAGGTTCTCGGCCCTGTTATTTCTCCCCGTGGGCTTGGCTTCTTCCCTTCGCACTCTATTCAGCTCCTGTCTGAGCTCCTGGAGGGCTGGCTGCAGCTGGGCTTCTCTGGTTCCTAGAAGCCTGGTCAAACCCCGTACTGGGAGCTGGCAAGGCTGCCTCGGGAGGTGCACTGTGGGAGGTGTGCGAGGTACTGCGTAAGGTACTACAGGAGCAGGAAAAGGCTGGAGGGGCTTTCTCCCCCTCTGTGGCTGTCCCACCCTCTTCACCAGCCTCCTCCCAACCAGGGTAGGGCAAACCGATGCTTATTCTGGGCTCTGGGCCTCAGCCAGGGCACACAGGCAGAGTTGGTCTTGTGAACTCCTGTGGTCAGGCCTGGGAGGGTGCTGAGACCCAGGACTGGGTGGGACCCACCAGCTCCTCCTGCCCCTCCTATGCCCCAGCCTGGGAGCCCGTGGTCTGTGGAGGCCCCTGATCAGTCCACTCCTCCACATTTCTTGTTCAGGTTCTACCTGCAGAAGGTGGTCCCTCAAGCTCCACCCTGTGCCCTGCTCCCCACTCTCGTTGGCTTCAAGAAAGGGTTAAAGATCAGCCATTAGGTCTTAAGGGGGCACAGGTTCCTAGTCCTGGACCATCAGTCCCAGTGGGGATAGAGGGAGCTCTCAGTTACAGTCGGGGAGGGAATGTACCCCCGGGTCTCTGCTTTCCGGCTCGCCAAGGGGGTTTAGAGTTAAGGGAAGCAAGGGGAGTCCAGCTTTTCATTGGCTACAAAATCTTGTGGAATACAACCTCCCCCACCCCGGTGTCCATGCACACGGATTGTCTTTCTTCTCCTGGGGCAATGTCCCCTCTCGGAGCCACCTTTCCCCAGGACTGGAGGCTCAGCTGGTACTCCTGGGCTCACTCTGGTGCCTCCCCTTGGTACTGTTTTAGCCATCAGACTGGATCCCTCTTAGCTCAGCTGTCCCCAAGCTTTCTTCCTCTCCATACCATTGTCCCCCCTCACCTGAGTCCCTCCTTGAGAGCCATATGGGGAAGCAGGTAGGATGGCCTGGAGCAAACTTTCCCAGCTTAGAGCTGGGGAAGAAATGGCCTGCTCCTGGAGATCTGGAACAAGCAGCTCCTCCCCCTTTACCTGAGGAGCTGCACCCACAGGAGCAGTCAGGATGGACTGCCTGCGAGGGACCTGCCGGGGATGCAACCTTTTGGGGGAAGCTGGCCCCAAGGTGGAGTGGGGCTGGCAACCCTTTTGGGGCCAATCACCTGGAAGAGGGTGGGTCTGAGTAGGCCAGTTCTGGTTGGCTGGAGGCTCTGTCATTTTGTACAGACTCCTCTTCCCTCCCCAGGGGAAGTGTCTTTGGTTCTTGGGAACAGCTGGCAATCAAGGTATGGTGTTTGCCACGCAGGAAAAGCCGTTCTGCACAGAGCCTCAGCCAGATCTGAAGGGCACTCGGCACCTGTGACCTTGGACAGTTCACCTAGTGGAGCCCTTTACCTTCTCAGTAGAATGTACACCAGTACATACACCAGTCACCCAGGAGAGAGAACCATGTAAATTCGTGGATGTTGAACCGTTGTGATTTACTCTGGGCAGTGCTTTTTAAAGTTCCAGTTGTGACCTATCTGAAGGCCGTGTAATGAGTTTAGTGGGTCGTGACCAAGATTTTTAAAATACGAACAGGAATACAATGGAAAATATTCTATATTGTACGTAAGGGTAGGTTTTGTTTCATGAAATGTTTGTTTCAGTTGATAGATATTGAAATGTGTATACAAGTTTGGGAAATATTTCTTTAAATTGTGGATCATGATGGAAATAGGTCTGTGAAATTCAGTGTGAAGTGTAAACAACAGGAATAGCAAATGCCTATTGCAGGTGCACCCTGCAAACTTGCAGCAGGTTGGAGCTTTTCATCTAAAGAAGATGGATACTTATTGGTGTGAATCAAATTCACCACATCTTCTTTTAGGAGTAGGTTTGGTTCCCTCCCTCTTTGCTACACACAACAAACTCAGGTGGGGCCTGGTTTTCATTTTCTTCCATAAAGGGAAAATTAAGGTCCAGAAAGTGAAAAGAACTGCCCAGAGTCCTATAGGCCAGTGGTGCACCTGCGCACGTGGCCTGCACTCCAGCAGCAGGAGAGGCGGCAGCACATGGGGCGTTCGTTCTTGCCTGGGGGCTCCCCAGGGCTCACTCCCCAATCTCAGCATCCTCCTCCTCCCGTCAGCTCAGGGTCCTGCCAGCCATTCCCTGCCTCCTGGGACAGGCTTTCCAGTCCCTAGTTCTACCCCCTGGGGATCAACTAATCAGTGTGTTTCTCCTCCAAGACAGTTCCATTTTAATAGGCTTTCCAAAGAGGAGTTATTAAGATGTGAGTGTTGGTTCTTGAAAGTTACTTTCAAGTAAGTAATTGTCCTTTAGAGACTGTGATTCAGTAGGTTGTGGCCTGACCCTCAAACCACCCCCACCCCTGCTTTTTTTTTAAAAAAAAATAGGGTTTTTGTCTGTCACCTGGGTTGGGGGTGCAGTGGTGCAATCATAGCTCACTGCAGCCTTGAACTCTTGGGCTCAAGTGATCGACCTCAGCCTCCAGAATAGCTGGGATTACAGGTATGCACCACCTTGCCATTTTTTGGTATTTTTTTGTAGATATGGGGTCTCTCTATGTTGCCCAGGTTGGTCTCAAACTCCTGGCCTCAAGCAATCCTCCCACATCGGCCTCCCCAAAGTGCTGGGTTTACAGATGTGAGCAGCCATAACCTAAATTTTTAACAGGTAGAAATGGTCCCTTAGGGAAAAACCTGATGAAGGGGGAGGAGCAGTAAGGCCAAGCTGCCTCTTTTTCCCCTCCCCCCATAGATGTGGGGTAGATTTCACTCCACGCAAGAGGGCACATGGTTATTCTGTGCTTCACCCCAGTCTCATTTCTAGCACAGTGCCTGGTTCAGAGGCATGTGGTCAACACAGGTCACGGTTAGCAGCACACACGTCTAATCCAGCCAGCTCACCTGCCTCTCATTTGCACTTCCACGTTCATGCTTGTGCCTTTGCACTTATGCCTCGGTCTGGAATGCCCTTTCTCCTTCTTTATTCAAGGCTTAGATGCCTCATCTCTGCCCTAATCATTTTCTATTTGAGCATGCAAAAGTGCTCAGTGAACCAAAGCCATCCCAAGGCTATTCTGGATGCTGTGCAGCTCTATCGAGAGGTGTGTGCTGGAAGATGGGAGAGTCTGGGTTCTGCCCCAGGTGTCCAGAGGCTGCTAGCCCAACAGTCATCATCTCCCAAGTGGGAATGGCGGGTAGGGGGGCGCAGAGCAGAAAGGGCTTCTGGACCCTCTCACTCCAAGGGACACCGTGTGAAGAAAGCTGGTATCTACCGTGTGAACTGCAGCTGAGGGCACCCTCAAATGACCCAGCTCCAGAAAAGTGTGGAGGATATGCCATCCACTTAAGGTCCCTTCCCCAGCCCAGGGACCCACCTGTCTGTATGGGTGAAAAGTAGCCATTTGGGCCCAGAGACAGGCATTCCTAGGGGAGAAAGGCACCAAAGAGACAGATTTTACAGATTTATTTTTAAAAAACAAAACAAAGGTTAAAAAAGTCCTTCATTTCCAACCCTGCCTGGGGGTGTGGGTGGGGAATAGAATAAGCTCAGAAAGGTGCCTACCTCCTTCCTGCAAAGGACACGGCAGGTCAGAGGCAGGCCCTCGCCCTTTCTGCCCTGCCTCCTCCTCAGGTAGCTCAAATTGCTGCTAGGAAGATTTATAGGCAAAGAAGTGTGGGAGTGGGAGGCCAAGAGCTGCCTTCTTCACATCAACAGAAACTCCAGCTGTTCTTTCCCCTTAGCAGTTCTCTGAGCCTCACCACTGGGACTCCCAGGGTGGGCGGGCAGGCAGGCCAGGAGGCTCAGCCCTTTGGGCTATGTTGCTCAGACCACCGCAGCTTTCTTAATGCTCTTTGTGAACCAGGAGGGCGGTCAGGGGAACTTCACAGTGCGGGGAGGGGTGTCTGGAAAGGAAACTCTGAAGCGCCGTCTCTTTCTGACCTTGCCTCTGCGCTGAGGCTGCCATTCTTGGCTATTCCCCATCCTGAGGCTGAGTGGAGTCCAGGACAAAGCACTAAGTGGCTGTTTGCTACAAAACACCTGGAGATGCCAGAGAGTAGCCCTTGGCCTATCTGTCAGTCCAGGCTCCCACACAGTCACACAGTCATACACACAGCGTTAAGGCGTCTGTGCCAGCAGGCACGGCCCGGCTGGGCCCAGCTTCTCTCTCTCCACCTGCAGAGGGTGTAGGGGGGAGAACCCTGGCTGCTGCAGAAACAGGCTGAAGGGGGAGAAGCTGACAACGGAAGAGTTAACCAGGCCTGGAGAAAGAAGTGGGAGGAAGGAAGGCAAGGGCTTTCTAGGCCTCCATCCAGGCCTGCTGGCTGCCCTTGAAGTAACCCAACTCAGGTTGGGGAGCCCTGACCATATACCCCCTGGAAAATGGGGGACAGAAAGAGGGGAAGAGAGCGGGGCTAGAGTATTGGGACTTTGGAGGAAGCCAGTGCTATCAATATTTACAAGCATAAAGCCCCATCTTCTGTGCCACCTACCTCTCTGCCCCTCCCACAGAAATGAAAGGCCCCTGAGAGCCATGGAGGAGGTGCCCAGACCTCCTCACCAGCTATGCCCCTAGGGAGAGCCCCTGCCCTCCAACCGGCCCCATTTCTGGGCCCCTCAGGAATGTCTGTCTGGCTCTGCTCAGTCGGGAGGAGGCGCCCTGGGCCAGAATCCTGGCTGCCACCAGCCCTAGGAGTCCTTGAGCATGCTGATGCGGGCGTAGATCTTCAGGGCGGGCCCCAGCTTGATGTTCATGGCGCTCATCAGGTGGTCCTCCTTGAGCAGCAGCAGGGCTTGCCCGTCGATTTCCTGGGCACGGAATTCCTCTGCTATCTCCTGGCAGCCTGAGGGGGTACCACCAAAGACAGTGTCAATCCAAGCCGCCAGTGTTCACCTCTGGCAGCCACTGCATCTAGTTATCTAGATCTAGTTATCTGCATCCATTATTTCTTTTAGTCCTCATAACCACGCCTTGAGGAAGGCGCTGCTGTTCTTATTTTGCAGCTTGAGAGAGGCTGTGCAACTCACCCACAGCAGCCGCGATCTGGGCCTCCTCCTATGTTCCCCTGTTCAGACCCCTGCTCCATGAACTGGGCGGACCCATGTCCACTAAAGTGCTGAGGAAGTGACAGCGTGTGATTTCTGAGGCTAGATCATAAAGGGCACAGCAGTTCTCACCTCACTCTTCTGCCTGGGTTACTGCAGAGTAAGCCAGCTACCAGTAAGCCACCCCAGCAACCCTTTGGAGAGGCATGCGTGGAGAGCAGCCAAGGCCCTGGTGGTCCCCGGCCTCCTTGCCGTGTGAGTGAACCGTGCTGGAAGTGGGTTTTCTGGCTCCAGACCTCAGACACTGCAGCCTGTATGGCGTCTTCCCTGAGACCTCATATGACCTCAAACTCATACACTGGGTCTGTGGAAGGGAGCAGATAACCTCTCTGTTTCTAGTTCTTAGACTAAGAGGAACTGGACACCAGGAGCCTCATACCAGGACTGCCCAGCCGAGCCACTCGATTCCTGACCCACATGGCCCTTGAGATGACAAGTGATTGCTGCTTAAAGTCACTGAGTTCTGGAATAATTTACATCATGGCAATAGGTAACTAATGCAGATTCTGGTACCTGGAAAAGGAGTGCTGACATCAAACAGCTCTATAGATGTGGGCGTGGCCTCAGAACTGGCCACAGGCAGGAGCCAGAAGGACTCTGTGGAAAGCGTGAGTGTCTAAGGTGCTTTGAGAGACTGTATATAGAAGTCTCATGGCCTTTAGGGAAGCTGCTGGGGAGGCCTAAAGGAAAGTGAGGAAACTCTTAGTGGAGATTGGAAGAAACAGGGTCTCTGTTATGAAATAAAAGAACATTTTGTAAAAATGTGGTTGGTAGCAGAAATGTAAGTTGAATGTACCTCATGAAGTGGGTGGTCTAGCTAAGGAGATTTTCAGGCAGAATGTGGAAGGTGTTGCTTGGCTTCTTACTGCTGCTCACAGTAAAATAGGAGAGAGAGAAGGTAAAAACAAACAAACAAAACTGTTCAACATAAAGGAACCGGGATCTGCCGGTTTTAAAAATGCCCAGCCTCTCCAGATGGCACATGATGCTAACATTAAGAAATGGTTTCTAGGCAAAGATCAAATTCAGGGCACAGTCAAGAAAACACGGTCTACAGATTAAACTTAGGATGTGACTTAAATCTTTTTGTGAAGACTTCAGAAAGATCTAAAGTGATGCCTCAAAGAGCTATTCAATCCAAAGGCTCTCGACGGATTTTCTAGGCATGCCTCGCAGATCCTCTTTTCAACAGCAGGGTTTCTAAGAATGTGAAGGGCACTGTCCATGCTGCCCCTCAGCTTCAGAAGAATACCAATGCAGACAACAGCTTACCCTTGAAGATAATTCTGGGTGTGGTTTTTGTCTAATGGAATGGACCCCAACAAGATTCCCAGAAAACCCACAATTATTTTAAGAAATACTGAATTACTGATTTTAAGAGTCAAAGGTAGGCCGGGCGCAGTGGCTCACGCCTATAATCCCAGCACTTTAGGAGGCTGAGGTGGGTGGATCGCCTGAGGTAAGGAGTTTGAGACCAGCCTGCCAACATGGTGAAACCCCATCTCTACTAAAATACAAAAATTAGCTGTGTGTGGTGGCGAATGTCTGTAATCCCAGCTACTCAAGAGGCTGAGGCAGAATTGCTTGAACCCAGGAGGCGGAGGTTGCAGTGAGCCGAGATCACGCCATTGCACAATAGCCTGGGTGATGGAGCAAGCCTCTATCTCAAAAACAAAAAACAAAAAAGTCAAAGGTAATATAAAATAAAAAGGAGGAAGCAGGCTGAGAAAACGACTACACTGAAAATACAGGCTACTTTTCACAGAAAAGGAAGGAGAACTCAGAGGGCAGAACCAAGACAGAAATCACTCCCAGGCTTTGAGTCCCAATTGAGGAAATGCCACCATAAACCCTAGCGGATTTCGGAACTGGAATGGATCAGCGACTCTTGTACGCTCCCTGTTTCTCCCTTTTTGGATGGGCATGTCTGTAATGGTTATCCTATGGCTGTCCCACTGTGCATTGGGTTTGTGGAAGGGAGCAGATAGCCTCTCTCTCTAGTTCTCAGATCTTCAGACTGAGAGGACCTATACTTGAAGAACTGGACCCCAGGAGCCTCATCTCACCTCAATGATGAGAGCCTGGACTTCAAACTGATGCTGTCATGGGACCAAACTGTCGGGGATTTGGTGGCGGTGAGGGTATTCTGCATGAGGAAGGAACACAAATTTCTGGGGGTCATGGTGAACTACATGGCTTGTCTCTGAATGGCTCCCAATAATCCTTGCTTCCCAGTTCATGCCCTCTCACAATGAGTAAGACTGACCTGTGTGACCCATAAGATATTGTGAAAAATTTTAATTAAAAAAATATATTGTGAAAATGCCAGTACGTGGCTTCAGAGGCTAGATCATAAAGGGCACAGTGGCTTCTACCTTGCACTCCTGGATCCCTACCTGTGGGGACATCCCACTGCCATGCATATCATGAGAACACTCGAGCAGCCCTCTGGAGAGGCCCATATAGACAAGAACCAAGGCCTCTTGCCAACAGCCAGCCCAGGGCAAATCACGTGAGTGAGGCACCTTGGAAGAGATCCCACAGCTCTTCAGTATTCACGTGACCTCAGCCTTGGCTGATAAATCTTAATTGTAACCTCATAAGACACCTGAGGCAGAACGGCCCAGGAAGCCACTCCTGAATTCCTTACCCACAGCAACTGTGTAATAAAAATTTTGGGGATGAAGAGATAACATACTAGGTTAAGTGACAGAGCCAGAATTTGAACCCAGTTCTGTGTGACTCAGAAGTCTGTGCTCTTAACCACACTGCAGTCTCTTGAGAAAGAGGCTTGTGGTTACCATGAATACCTGACCTGGTCGGTGTATGAGTGAGACTGGCAGAAAAACAGTAATGCATCCAGGCCCCACTGAAGGCATCTGTGAATGATGTAAGGCTTGCCTCTTACAGCTGGCTCCTAGATCCCGGGCCTCACCACCACTTGTGCTCCACCACGCAGGGCTCTGTGCCATGTCTGGCCATACCACAGACTTCCCTATCTTCATGCCTCTGCATGTGCGCCCTCTTGCAGTCTCTCCATCCAGCAAAGGCATACTTGTCTGTCTACTGTCATTTAGTTTACATTTTCTTAATTAAATTTTTTTTTTTTTTTTTTGGTAGAGACAGGTCTCACCATGTTGCCCAGGCTGTTCTCAAACTCCTGACCTCACGCAATCCTTCCACCTCAGCCTCCCAAAGTGCTGGGACTATAGGTGTGAGCCACCACACCTGGCTATTTTCTTAATTTTGATGTTCCTGACACATATCCTACACTCTACCTGACTCCCCTCCTAATCTCTCCCAGGAGAGAGAGACAGTTAATTACATTATCATCTCTGTATTTCACACAGATCACTTCCCATGCCAGAAAATATACAGAATTACAGCTATGGAATATTTATAGTTTGCATTCTATGCTGAATATAAGCAAGCTCTTATAGGCAGGGAGCTCATCTCACTCATTTCTGCACCCCAGTTCCTGAACCTGAGTCATTAACTAAACTACCTAATCCTCCTGGTGGTGGGAGGGTCTCTCATTTTCTCTTTCCTTGCTATTCCGGGGAGACATGGAATTTCCAAGGGCCTTACCTGGCAGAGAGCGGATGAATTCGTAGACGTCTTCTACATTCCACTTGGTGGGCTCACTTGGCAGGAAGTGGTGTCCCATGCCCACCAGGTCCCGCATATGCATGTCGGGGAGCTCCAGGTCCCGCTGGCCTTGTCGCCGGCGGGAAGTAGATGAGCTGGCTGAGATGGGTGACAAGGGTTCCTCATAGCTTGAGTTATCTGAGCAACGGCTGGAGTCTTCCTGGCTGTGTGTTAGCTGCAAAGCAGCAGTAACCGAAAGGGGCACAGTGCCTGTTGGCTGGGAGCAGAGAGTTTTCTTCAGGATGGGGGAACAAACCATCTCTAGCAGCAGTGATGAACAAAGGAGGTATTTCTCCTTTTTCTACTTGGCCTACTACTACACATCTGAGTTCCCAGATCTAACAGCATCTTCCATGCTGTCCTGTCTCCTACCCTAGGCAGAGTTAGTCCCTCTTAGTATTGTAGTGTCTACCACACAATACTGCAATTATCTTTTTCTAAACATGAGTTTTAAAGCAGGGCTCTGAGTTCTAGGAGGTGATCACAGAGCCACTTGAAATAGCATGTAACATTTCTTCTGTACGTACACAGCTTTGGACCATTCTTAAGGAGGTTTAAGACAAAAAAAAAATAAGGCAAAATTATACATAAGGTTATAAAACATCACACCATGCTGTGGAGTTCCTTTAAGGCGAGACTGTGTCCTTAGAGCCTAGTGCCTAACAGAGTTTCTGGCATACAGCTGGTGCTAAAAAATATTTAATGACTGAATACCCATGTTCCTGGTAGAGACCTTCAAGAACTCTGTGCTCGCGTGTTCAGGGAGGCAAAAAGGTGGCAAAACAAAGGGTGGAGGCTGCCTTCTCACCCAGCCCTCCACGTAAGGCAGGAGGTTACCTGAGCAGCCCAGGGGAGACCCCATTTCCGTGGCCCCAGAAGCCAAGGATGGAGGCAAACTGGAAGGTGGGGTGATGTTGAGGCAAGGCCACGGAAGGGGGCAGGGAACCTTGTAAGCACCCATGGGTCTAAATGAAGGGACCTACTGGGGTGCAGAAGGCTCGACTGGACAGGTCTACAAGGAATGAGAGCACAGCAGAGTGCGCTGAAGTCGGCAGCTGGAGGGGACCGTGGTGTCGAGGGCCATGGAAGGGAAGCTGTGGGGACTGTGGGGATGGAGCTTCAGGCTCTGCCCGCCTCTTACCTGCTTCTTGGTATCCTTGGTAAGTGGTGGCAGACTGGCTTTGCTGGCCCGACGGCGGTTGTGGGTCGCAGCTCCTGCCTTCTGCAGCTTGCTCCGGTCTGAGTGGAAAAGTCCCACCCGTTTGGTGCATCCCACGTTGTACCTTCAGGGACAGGGGAACAGGGGATGTCACAGTAGTCATTGTGCTTATGGGCCGTAGGCAGAATGAGCACAGCCAAGCTGTCTGACAAATTTTGAGTCCATCTATTGGTTCAGATCCTAACTCCATCACTAACTACTAGCTGTGTGACTTTGGGTTTAAGTCACTTAAGCCCTGATCCTCCGTTTCCTTATCTGGAGTTGGGGGTAATACCACTCACTTTCTAGGTCTGGTCTTACAACATGAGATAATGTCTGTAAAATGTTTGAGACACCTGGACTTGGACCAGGGCGAAAGCTCACACCTGACTTATTCCACTATAAATGTTACCCTGTGACGGGAAACTACTGTCCACTGTCCTGCTGGGGAGTGGCCTGGCTGCTCCAACAGCCTGAGGGGAATGAGGGCTGAAGATAGCTGAACTCTAGCTTGGCATGCAGAACACCTCTGTCTGGGACCTAGAGATTTCTTCTCTTCTGGGATTTCAGGGCTTCAAGGTCAGCTGTTGCTTCCATTGTGGTACAAAGACCACACATGGCTTTAGAATTGGACAAGCCTAAATCCCCAGGCCCATGGCTTATTAGCTATGTTATCTGAGGCACTACTACTCCTTTGTACTTTGGCTTCCTAACCTGTATAAAGGGGACAATAGTAATACCTGTCTTGGGAGTTATTTTGAAGATGAGATAATCGTATCAATTGACTGGCACAGTGACTAGCACACAGCAGGTTCTCAGGAAATGGCAGTGGTTTTTATGATGACCATTAGTGATCTATGCTGGGCGAGAGCTCACCAAGGGAACACTATAGCTGTGGTTCTGGGTAAGGCTTACCCTAACAAGGCAGGGGCTGTCAATGCTAGGAAAGGCGAATGGGTGCCAGTGGAGCCCAGGAGGGCCAGCCGAGCCAAAGCACTGCGGCTTTTCCTTGGACTCCCGCTGCTCTCTCCCACCTGCTCTTAGGGGTTCTGGCTTCTCGTGCTTGTTGAATTAGGGATGCCATCCTGCTTCCAGGTGGGTCGAGGAACTAGGAAACTGGAGAAGCCACCCCTATGGACCTCCTGGGGTAGACTATTAATGGCAGGAGGTGGGACATAAAGTGCAGTCCTGGGGAAATGGAGGGGGCTGGGGCCACTCACCTCTTTGCACAAGCCATGGAACAGAAGCGCTTGGAACGCTTGAACTTATAGGCAAAGTCCACCCGGCCACAGAGCTCACACTTGAGTTTGAGGGGAGCACCCTCCTCTTTGGATTCTGAAAAGTATAGAAATGGGTAGGGTGGAGAATGAGAAATTCCTGCAGGACTGTGGCCAGCCCCACCACGGGGCCTCCCTACTCCATCCTGCCTGGTCCTCCTGCTCCCACAGCTGTGACATACAGCAGCATTCTAGCATGGAAAATGCCAGTGGTTCTCACCCCTGGAATGCACTCAAGGGTGTCTGGGGATGCCCCTTGTAGACTTGACATTTTTTTCTTCCACGTGGTCTGAGTCTGAGGCAAAACACAGGTGGGGAAGAATCAGCATCAAATGACTGTGGAAGAAAGCAGGAGCCCCCAGGAAATACTCTGGATGCTGTCACAGCTGCTCCGCTGGCATCATCACACCTTGATCTATGCAGCTGGCTGCTGACCCAGTAAAAGACCTCAGGAGCCCACGCTCCTGCAGCTGTGCAGCTCTGTCAGTGCTTCATGTGGAAAGAGCAGCCTTGCCTGGTCTCTGCTGTGACCTAGAGCTGGCCCCAGTCTCAAGGCAGGGACGAAGGGCAGGACTTGCCTGGGGCCACTCCTACAGTCATGCCTAAAACTTGCCAATGATTCCCACAGGAAAAGCCATTCTTGGGATCCTGTGGTTGGCTGGAGGGGGATTGGGGGAGCAGAGGACACATGGTTCCCGTGATTTCCCCTATCCCTCTTTTTGAGGGAAGGAGGCTGAGGAGGTGCTGGGGGAAATGTTTACAGACTCGCTGGCTCAGGGTTCCTCTGGGGAAACAGAGAGAGGAAGTGTGTGAGGCCTGCCTTTCCAGCCACGCTGGGAGGCCGAGAGATTCAGGGTCTGAGATGCCCACCTTGCAGATAGGGCTCCTCCATCTCCGAGTCAGTGGTGGTGGTGTGATCCTGCTGTGGAAGTTTCTCAGGCAGGAACCCCTGTGCATACTTCTTCTTGAGATTCCCCACCAGCAGGGACGAGCGTCCCACCTAGAGGACAGGTAACACGGAGGCCGTGAGGGTCAGGTGGGAGCGGCTTCCTTGCTATCCATCCTCATCACAATTACACGTATAAAGTATCCAGGCACAGAGGCCAGCCCTCCTCAAACCTTCCCCCATGTCATCATCCAAGTGTGCTGGGCTCAAGGCCCTATTTTGCTGGTTGGCTCACGAGGTAAGATGCTAATGGGCAAAGTACAGGGATGGCTTCTGTCCAGGACCAACGGATGGCTCAGGAGATTAGGAAAATGTCTATTCCAGTAAGAGTCTAAGGGCTGAGATCAGGTTTCCCACAGTGCCAGATCAAGCACCAAGACCCAGTACCCACGCATCTCCAGGCAAGGACAGAGCGGAGTCTGTGTGAGGCTGTACATACGAGAGAGAGACTCAGCACCCATTTTCTGATTTTTTTACTGTTCTCCACCTTACCCCAATGCCTGACCCAAGCCAGAGGTACAGGCCGCCACAGAGTATAGCAGGAAAAAACAGACCCTGGGCCACAGAGCCAATGAACTCTCAGTTGTCAGAACCCCAGAGCAGCTTATTTACGCGTTTAGATCTCCTTTTGTGGCCTGTGTTTAGGCAGCCTGGTAGCCAGTCACGTGGCACCGACTCTAGGGCAATGCTGGGGGTGCTATGCAATCTGCCTCCACCCCATGAGATCAGGTGGTTTCTAGTGTTACTCTAGGAGGCCCAGTCTAACAGGGAAGGGATGTAACAGAGCGAGAGCCACTTCTAGCTAAGGTGTTCCAGGCAGATTTCTTTGCCACTGGCCTTGGACAACCTCCAGTGGGAAAGAAGACAAGAAGCTATGTGTCTTTTGGCATTTTACAGGAGCAGTTCACCCATCTCAGTTAATCAAGCTCCGCGTCTTCTGCAGACTAATCAAACCACTCATGGAACCAAAGAATGAGGAAAAGGCAGATGGTATCCCAGAAAGGTGTCTTCTCCAACAGCCAGATACTTTTCATCAGAACAGAGGCTGGTGTGCCGCTGGCTCTGGGCTCCTCCACACCCACAGGGCAGCACCACTGTCTCCAGTGCACACTGCACAGAAGCAGCTCTGGGTGCTTTGGTCAATAACCCATCTTCGTGGCTCGTGGATATTTCTTGTTAGTCTTAGGCTTCCATCGTGACCTTTCTGAGTGCCCCTCAATCTCATTAACTCCCCTTTCAAGGCTCTGTCCCCAGAAAACAAGCTTCAGGTTGTGACCCTGTTTCCTCACATTCATTTCTGATACACGTATCTGGAGAATTCTGTTCTGTGCAATTCCTTTTGTTCCTAACTGGCCGAAGTTTTGCCATTCAGAGGTTTTGGCATTCAAAACTCAATGAAATCTAATTTCCCAAAACCCATCATCTCTCACCAAATATCCCACAGTGAACTCCCTTTTAACCAAGGGTTCACACATCAACAGGCAGGGACACACCTGAGTTTGTGTGGGAAACTTCTAACCAAGGGTCTTGTCAATTATTCCTGATCACTGACCCCCCTCTTCTGGACCTTGGAAAGATAATCCTAGAAAGAAATGGCTCTATATTCTTTGGGGGAGGAAGTTAGCAAGGAAAGAGCAAATTGTTCACATTTTCAGAAATTTTACATGGAAATGTAAAAATATTCTAAGACACATCCAAAATATACTTAAAAAAAAAAGGGGAAAAGAAGTAGTCCGTACCGGGAAAGGCTCCGCCCCCTCCTGGATCACAAACCCTTCGATAACATGCGTCAGGATTTGGGGTTTCACAATGGCCTGTGGTGGTTTATTCTCACCATTCTGGGGGGCAGTGCCGGCGATGCTGGAGGCAGAGTTTCCGTTCCCTGAGGTCATGCCGGGGCTGCTGAGGTCGGTCAGTGCATGAACAATGCCCTGCCCTGTCTCTGCACGAGAGAGAGTAGGAAAACAAAGCAGGGGAGATCAGAACCAGAGTCCACGCCCAGGGAGGGACAGCAAGGACTCAAACTGCGCCCGGCTTTTACCGTGGGGCCAAGCGACAATGCAAACCAAGCAGTCCCCTCCCCTCAGTGACCCATTTAAAAGTGGCACAGTTTCAATGGACACATCACCAAGTATGAGTATAGTCAGTTCCACAACAACGCATGCAGCTAATCAGCTAGCAGTGTTTCTTCATTTCCCAACCGTGCTATGAACAGTTAACCCGGATAAACAGACGGGAATTCTATCTTTGAGGAGTTAAGACCTTGGTCGATACTGATTTGAACAAATAAGGTTAATACTCAGTTTGAGGGAGAAAAGTATTCAAGGTGACATCTAAAACCAGGACAAGAAGCTGAGCTAGGTATAGGGCTTTGAGTGTGATAAAGAGAAGCTTCTACGAGGTTCCTTAGAGGAGGGATTTTAAGAGCCCTGTGAAATGTCAAAACACTGAACCCCAGAAATTGATGCCAAGGGAATGTGGGTGCTGAACCCCAAGTAAAGGCTATCATGTATATTTGACTATTCAGAGACTGGTCATCTGGGGTCAGTGCATTGAAATATGCAGAAATTCCATTTCTCTGCTAAGAAGGCTGCTAGGCAGAGGCTGAGATTTTCTCTGCTGTTTCTGCTGAGCTGAGTGCTCTCAAAATCAGTCCTCATGCCCAGATGTCAGCTTCTTATCTAATCTGATCCTCACCAAATCATAGATCCTCTGTCTCTCTGTGGACAACCTTTCCTAATTCTCCTTCCCCATGGGCCTGCTAGCCTTCCTCTAAAAGACCTAACAGAGTGCTCCAGAAAGTGAGATTACATGCCTATACACAACCACACGACAGTGAACTTCCTCTCTTCCACTTCAAACAGCATCTCTCATGAGCTGTCTCATTGTCTTAGACGTGCAAGACTTCATCTCCTCACTTCTGTAACTCTCTCCCGCCCCCTTCCCAGGGCTGTTCTCTACCACCATCAACTGCCCCGTGAGCTGAGGCTGCCTTTAACCTGGAACTTCCTAAAAAAGAAAAGAAAAAGCCATTTCTTTATTGCAACAAGTCCATTAATATAAAGCATACCCCAGTGAGGTATGAGTGATATATACTTTAAAAGTGATTTCAGCACACTTGTTAAGTAATCTTTGCATAAAACTTTATATGAAGATGCTCATATTTCATGTTAAAGATCCATAATACCACCACAGAATAGGAATTCTTTGTGCTTAATTATATAGTATGGAAAAGTCAAAACAGACACGTTTGAGAAAAGGTGGTTTAGGGCCAGGCATGGCGGCTCACACCTGTAATCTCAGCACTTTGGAAGACCGAGGCGGGTGGATCACCAGGTCAAGAGTTGAAGACCAGCCTGGCCAACATGGTGAAACCCTGTCTCTACTAAGAATACAAAAATTATCCAGGCATGGTGGTGCGTGCCTGTAATCCCAGCTACTCAGGAGGCTGAGGCAGGAGAACTGCTTGAACCCAGGGGGTGGAGGCTGCAGTGAGCTGAGATCTCGCCACCCCCCTCCAGCCTGGGCGACAGAGCAAGACTCTATCTTGGGGGGGGAGGGGGGGAAAGAAAAGATGGTTTATGACTAGTTCATAATGGGTCTTGGTCCACTCAAGCTCATGTTTTTGTTGTTGTTGTTGTTGTTGTTTTTTTTTTTAGATGGAGTCTCACTCTGTCACCCAGGCTGGAACGCAGTGGTGCGACCTATGCTCACTGCAACCTCTGCCTCTCAGGTTCAAGCGATTCTCCTGCCTTGGCCTCCTGAGTAGCTGGGATTACAGGCACGTACCACCATACCCGGCTAATTTTTGTATTTTTAGTAGGGACTGGGTTTCACCATGTTGGCCAGGCTGGTCTCGAACTCCTGATCTCAGGTGGTCCACCTGCCTCAGCCTCGCAAAGTGCTGGGATTACAGGCATGAGCCACCGCGCCCAGCCTCAAGCTCATGTTCTTACTGGTGGTTCTAATGCTAACTAAACCAGGATAAACCTTTAATGAACAAGAGTTGACTATGACTCATGTCTTTAGTACTCAGTCCTCCATAATTCAGCTACATAATAAACTTCTGAGCTGAGCAGGGGCCATCTAAGAGAAAGGACCAATGAAGTTTTTTTTGTTTGTTTGAGACACAGTTATACCAGTAAGTTAGAAAGTTTCCATTAAGTGCCTATATTCACTTGAAAAAAAATTTTTAAACAGCTTTGGCTTTTCTGTAGAGATGGAAACATTTCCTTTCTTTTAGAATTAGTCTTTCCAATTGCAAAGGTGTCTGAGAACTTGAGAGCTTGTCTGGAGGTTCTAGCAGGGGAGGGCAGCTACTCGTATGCCCTTGACTGAGGGACGGCCCTCCTCTACGGGATGGTCGTCCTCTTTGACCCAGCTGCTGGTTCAGGAGGGACGCACATGGAGCAGTGAAGGAGGAAGGGGACACCTGCGTAGCCAGCCAGATCAGCGGAATCAACTCTGCCGATCAATGGGGTGACAGGTGTTGCAGCCAGATGGCCCTCACATCCATGTTTGAGAACGTAGAAAAAACCCCTTTCCCTCACAATCTATGAATAACTAGGAGGACTGAGTTGATGATTCAATCAAATTAAGTTTCTGTGCTTTTAAATTTTAAATATTTAACTCTGCCTTTACACAATTACATTTTCTCTGCTTTTATGTTTTGCATATGCTAAGAAACATCTATTTTATTTAAAATGAATTACTAACATAGATTACTATGAAAGCTAAAATTTTGTTTTTTAGATGATGGCTATTTCCTCCCAATTAGAGCCTGGTAAAAAATATTCCCTGATGAGTCTAATGAACTGCAGATTATACAATTATAGGATTGGAAAGTCTGGTTCGATCTCTTGCCAATGCTTGAAAATTTTCTATAATATGCCCACCCAATGATTTTCTGGCATTTGTTTGAATACCTCCAGCGACAAAGAAACTCACTACTCTGGAAGCAGTTTGTTCCCACCTTGGACGGCTCATTAGTGATTCCTTATATAACGAGCCCAAAATCTGTCTTTCTATTAATTTCTGCCCAGTTATCCTCGTTCTGTTCCTTAAACTCACAGAGAACAAGGCCAATCAGATTTGTCTAACAGGCAGAGACACGGGCTTAGACCTGGCTTAGAGACTGGTCTCTATCATTGAGTCAACTGCGGGCAAGTCATTGTCCCTCTCTAAGCCTCAGCTTCACTGGCTGTGAAATAAGGATCCTACGCCTACCTTAGAGTGCTGCTGTGAGGACTAATGAGCCAGTGAAAGGCAGTGCGTGCTAGCTTACGAGAAAATGCTTGAGAATGCTCCTGGTGTCATGAAGGATGTCACTCATGACCACAGTCTTCTCTCCTCCAGGACAAAGCCCTTCTGTTCTTTCAGGTATTTCTTACATAAAAAGGCTACAAATTCGTAATCATCCTAGGCCCTCTCTGCCCACATCTTTTAACATCAGGTACCTAGTTAATACTAAGCATCATCTGTCAGGTGTAGTCATGTAAGAGATCTGGTTGGTAAGATTTTTGGTTTTCTGTGTTTGCTTTAAAGACAGTCACATCTCTGACTGAGAGCATAGGTAGAAAGTATTAATTCCCTTGTTTCAGTTTAATGAATTCTTCCATGGAATTAATCCATTCTCCTCTTAATTCTGGGATCACTCCCACCTCCTGCCTCTTTCGCTGATAGTCATCAGAAAACAGCCCCCCTCTGACCTTGTCTTTTGTGGGATCCCTCTATCCTTGCTTGACTTCCCTGCCTCCATCCCCCACTCCTGTCTCAGATCTATGCCTATTAATGTTCACTGCAAGACAGAAGATCACTCTTGAGGTCAGAGTCTGTCTTCATGCCAGATACATTCGTGAGCAGATATGGTCACCAGCTCAAAGGCTACAGAGCCAATGCTTAACTCTGGGAAGCAAAACTTTTTGGAATTTGAGGTTGTTTTTTAAAAAAGATCTTGTTAAGAGAGAGAACACACTAAAAAACTCTTGCACCACATTAGAAACTACCACTCCCCATTGTAACCCAGGGCAGATCAAAGGAGAGACAGAATCCAAGGGACAGATGGGAGAGTGTTTTATGAATATACAAAGGTTCACAGCTACTTCGCTTTGCAGTCATCTTGTAGACCAATAGCTCCTCATCTGCTTTAGTAACAAAGGAGTTTGGGCTATTCCTGGAATGACCGAACACAATCTCGCCCCCTGCCAAGCTCAGCACACTGAGATTAATTTAATCTGCTTCCCGCTCTCCCAGACTGCTTTGCGGCCTTTGGGGAAAAGCAGCTTAACAGTGAAACTTGCAGAAACCTGCCCTGCTGGCCCTGAGGCCAGATAAAAGAGACAAAGAAATACTCTGAATTTGGTTCCTTACTCAATTCCCTTGACCAGTTCAGAGGCTATAAGTGCTGCCGGGCATTCCCACAGGTCTCAAATGCCTGTATACAGTCAGGCACCTGAAACCGAAAGGTGGAGGCAGGATAAGGCCGATGGGAGAGGCTGGGGGAGGGGAGTAAAGCTAGGCTTCGGTGGGGGAAGGGGGAGGTAAAATCTTGGCCTTTAGTTGACGCTGACCACAAAGGGCCAAGTATTCCGGTCAGAATGAACAGAGCAGCATGTTCCACGGAGTCTTGCCTAACATATGTCTCAACTTCTAGGCTGTTTCTCATTTCTGGTCTCATTCACAGGCTCTGGTACAAACAGCCCTTACAGGGGTGGGAGAAAACAGGAAGGACTACTCAGCTCCTGTTTGTGAAATTATCTGCTTTGGGACTGGTCACGTCTCCTAAGCAGAGCAGACTTCTCTAGGCAGGGGGCTACCACTCACTCAGTCACCTCGAGATCTTCAGGGGCTAACCCCATGTCCAAAATATGACAGGTGCTTAATGACCACTAAACTGGAATGTGTGGCATCCATGATCTCAGTCTTCACTGTCTACATATAGAATACAGGGCTGCCTAGTGCCAAGATAAGCAATTTGGCACTAGCTGAGATTTACAAGTTGCTTTCTGAAGCTATGATGTTTTGAGAGCAGCTAGGCTGGTGGTACCTGCCTACCGGAGCGGCATTTCTAGATACCTGATTATGAAGAATAAGAGCTATTTTTTGGCCCATGTCTTCCTGTTACAGTGGGGATTTCCTCAACAGAAAAGAGGTACAGGTGGACCTCTGAATTCCCTGTCCCCTTTGAAACATTTTTGCCAGACCCAGGCACTTGGCAAGGCAGGATGACCTCTAGAGGCAGAGGCAGGGAGGCTCCTAGGACCAGTGGGTTGATGTCCAGAGCTGACGGGCTCTCCAGCCTGCTGAGGACAGACGTCAGGCTGGTGCCAGTTATGCACAATTGGGCCACTTCAGAGCCAGTGCTGATGTTTTGTTTTGTTATACTGGAATACAGCTTAGTACAGGTTAAGTATCCCTTATCCAAAATGCCTGGGACCAGAAGTGTTTTTAATTTTGGATTTTTTCAGGTTTTAGAATATTTGCATTATACTTACTGGTTGAGCATCCCAAATCCAAAAATCTGAAACGCTCCAATGAGCATTTCCTTTGAGTATCACGTAGGTGCTCAAAAAGTTTGGGATTTTGGAGCATTTTGGATCTGGGATGCTCAATCTGTACTAACATCTGCAACAGGTATTTCAGATGGCCTAGCACTCATTCTATCTGACCCTAAGATAGCCTGAAGACATGGCTTCAAAGGCAATGGAGACCAAACGGAGCTTTTCCTTCTACCCCCTCACCTTGGTCAATGGCTGATTTCCACCTTATCATGAGAAGGGAGTATGTATTTTAACTTAAAAGACTTCTATTTACTGTTTGGTTGCAGTAGGAGTATGACAGAGCTAATGAAATGAATAAAGAATTTAAAGAAGCAGAGTAGATGATAACATGGCTCATTTTCTTACAACAAATTCTGCTCAACAAATGGCAAACAAGGTCACCTATAAAACCCAAAGCACACTCTCCAAGCCCCCAGCACTGAAGTCACGCTCACTGTGCTGCAGTTCAGCAGGCCCAGCCATGTGGCCAGGGTGGTCTCTGCAGGGTTCCCAAGGAACCATTTGCTCTAGAAACCGCCTCAGTGGAGCACTGCAGAGTGATGCCCAGTTAAACCATATCCAGGAGACAGCAGCAAACACAGCACATACCTGGTCCAAGCAACAGGCCGTACTGCAGTGCGGTAAGCTGAGGACAGAGTGCCCAGTCCTCATGGAAAGATCTGGGGCCACGCTTTACAATTTCTTTGGTTATATTTGGGCCCCCAAAGAAATTAATGCCACTGAAAGTGAGGAAGGCAAGAGATTTCACAAACACCTGTTTGTTGACACCTTCCCCCAGGGCGGGGTAAGTGAAGGGTAGGAAAGTGACTGAGAGGGAGTTGCGGGGAGGAGGGAGGGGAACAGGCAGGCTGAGCTCTATCTGGGACCCTGACAGAGTCCATCAATTAGAGATTCATTTGGTTAACAATTTCTTTAAAATGCAAGTATACATCTTACAGTCATTCACACTTTACTGTGAATTACTCGACTCAGATAAACAGATTGCTTTCCTCCCAATTTAGGGATGGGGTGGGGGAGGGGGTGGGTAGTGATTGTTTTGGATCACGGGGCACTAGATCCCAGAGGATTAAAGTTAGAAAGGCCCTGAGTTTAACATCTTAAATGTCCTAGATGAAGCAACTTGGCCTCAGAGGTGAGGTGATTTGCCCAAGGTCACAAAAGGTCACAAAAAAAGACTCTAGGCTTAAATCCCATCCTGTAATGCTGGGCAAGTTACTCTAGGCCTGTTTCCTCATCTATGAAATGGGGTACTTATATCTGTCTTACATATAGCTGTGGTGAGGATTAAATAATGTAATGCAGGCACAACACACTGGACTAGGCTGAGCTTGGACACAGGCAGTGGCAGAACCCACACTAGAACCCAGTGCTTTAGACTTTTCCGGGTGGGCCACACAGGTGGAGGGAGGGCTGCGCTGATTAGCCGTGGATAGCACGAGGGCACTTGGGAAAAGAGGACAAGACATGTAAACTGTATTCTGGGACCTTCTGAGGCAGAGGCCAGATATCACATGTGGGCTGGAGCATTTGGGTTGGGAAGCACAGGATGATCTAGATGAGTGATTCCCAAATTGGGATTCCTGGATGACTAAGCAGGATCCCTGAATCTAGTTAATCAGGACGCACAAGCTGGATTCAATATCTGAAGAAGCCGAAAAGGAAACAGCACATAATATATACCTTCAGGAGGGCAAAACATGCTATTATTTAATATCATGTTACCATGTTTCCCAAATTCTAAAATGCAGTCAGTTGTTAAGATGACCCATTTCCCCCACAACGAATTTACACATTGATTACGTGTGCGTCTCAAGTACAGATTGTAAAAGTGTGCATTTTAGAATAAAACAAACGAATGCCATTTATTTGGAAGACAGTATCTTGTAAAACATGCACAAAATGAACTCTTAGTGGTGGGAAAATTATAGACCCTTCCCACCTGGGGTCCTCTGAATACCAGAAGGCAGGGGGAACATCCAATGTCTGCAGCCTTTTCAAATCTGCTAAGGGCAGAGCTGTCAAAGGGACAAGGACTCCTTGCCTTGACACAGCAGGCTGTGGCTCCCTGAGGAACCTCTCTGAAGCACCTCCTCTGAAGGACCTCTCCCAGAGAAGGGAAGGCACAGCAGTGACAGAAGGACCCTGTGGGGCTCTTTGCTGAGAAAACTGGTGAGCTTTTCAGGCACAGGAGGGTCACTGGCTGCGGATGACTGAGATCCACACCTGAGTTCCTTGCAGGGGGCTGGCCAGCAGGATGAAGGAGAGGCCAAGCCAGGGGACCCTCCAGCCTTGCCCTCAGCGTCACTGCAAAATGCTCTTGCTGGGTCTGGGTTGAAAGGTTTGGAGAGCTTACTGGATTTTAAGCATCTGTGTTGACCAGCTCCCGTTAAGGCATCTGGCAGGGAGGGGGCTCCTCCCATGCTGGCAGCCATTACCATACAGCTGACTTTCATGCTGTCTCTCAGGACACAGGCAAAGAGAACGGCCCTTCTGACTCACCCACAATCCCCAGCTAAAGTGTACATAAGCTGAATTGTAAACAGCTGAATGTGCTCCAAGCTGCCACCCCCAGCTATGCAGGAAGGAATCAATGGAGCGAACAGCCACCCTCCCCCCACCCCATGCAGTTCAGGACAACGGGAGCAGTGGGGGATTTCCAAACAGCTGCTTGAACGCTTCCCAGCCCACAGGCTGAGGACTGCAAGAGGGGCCTGAGCTCAAACTCAGCAGCAGCACCTGCAGGACCAGAGTGACTTCCACCAGGTCAACACACCAGGGAATAATAGCTGGCCCTGGCTGCAGGGAGTCAGGGAGGAGTTTTCAAAGAGTTCTACTTAACCCTGGTGATGGAGGCCAGTCCACTGGTATCCAATGCCAGGGTCAAGGGCTCCCAGATAGTCTCACATCATAGTGCTCCGGCCCATGCTATGATTTCAAAACGCAAAATGTCTAGAACCAATGGGAGAGGTTCTACAGTAGACACTAAGATCAGGGGAGATAAAAGGAAGAATGGCAGAGTAGAAAGAGCATGGGCTCTGGGGGCCAGACCTGGACTCATATTCTGTTCCACCTTTAATCAAAGGTGTGTGGCTTCAAGCACTCACTGCCTGTTCTGAGTCTTGGTTTCTCCATCTGTAACAACGAGGCTCATACTACCTACCTGTCTGGGAGGTTTCAGTAAATATTATATATGTAAAATGCCTGGCACTGAATACACGCAGAAGCTGTGCTACATGGCAGTTAAGACTGTGGGATTAGAAAGACTCTAGGCGGCCAGGTACAGTGGCTCATGCCTGTAATCCTAGCACTTTGGGAGGCTGAGGTGGGTGGATCACGACGTCAAGAGATTGAGACCATCCTGGTCAACATGGTGAAACCCTGTCTCTAGTAAAAATACAAAAAAAAAAATAAATAACTGGGTGTGGTGGCGAGCGCCTGTAGTCCCCGCTACTCGGGAGGCTGAGGCAGGAGAATTGCTTGAACCCTGGAGGCAGAGGTTGCAGTGAGCCGAGATTGCACCACTGCACTCCATCCTGGCAACAGAGCAAGACTCTGTCTCAAAAAAAAAAAAAAAAAAAAAAAGACTCTAGGCTTAAATCCTATCCTGTAATGCTGGACAAGTTACTCTAGGCCTCTTTCCTCATCTATGAAATGGGATACTTATATCTGTCTTACATATAGCTGTGGTGAGGATTAAATAATGTAATGCAGGCACAACACACTGGACTAGGCTGAGCTTGGACACAGGAGTGCCAACGTCACTGAGACCTGTGAGAAGATTAGGAAATCATTCTAATCTCACTCTTTCACTGAGTCTGGCCTCTTACAGCCCCAGAGCAGGGCTAATCTTTCCGTGGCCCAAACTGAGGTATCTGAGGTTTGTGTTCCTCAGACGTCTTGGTCTACGTCGGTAGTCCTGTCCTTGCACTGTTGAGGTCAGGCTTCAGGAAGAAATGTTACCTCCACTGTGACTGCAACATAACAGAAATGCTTCTGTCCTAAAGGGCAAAGCAAAGTCTCAAGTCACCTTCAATGGCTATTAATCTAAAGGACAAGAAGACAAGCACCAGATTCTCTTTCTATGCAGTTTTTTCATAAAGGGGGGTTTTAAGCAGACAGTGCAGAAGAACCCTAGAAACCAAAAGAAAGGTTAACTTTAAGACAAATAAAAGGAAGCACTGCTTTACTTAGAAAATACTAAATTTATGTAACTTGTAATGCCAGATGATTTAGCTTATGAAAAGAAATTAGTTTAAAAGGCTAAAAATAAACCCAGTTTAAGATAAACTCATGGAAGATGGATTTCTACCGGTTTACAAAAGAAATCTAGAAATGTTTAGTAAACTCTCCAATTATTTTCAGGTTGATAACAGGGAAAGGCAGCCATGTTCCCCAATATGATGACTATTTTTTTGGTTATCAACTGCAGCATCACTAATATTGTTAGATAAATGTCAGGGGAGACTGGGAGGAGGGAACACTAAGCCTCAGTTGTCCTGTCTATATTATGGACTACATACTACATACCTTGCAAATCAGTTCTATTGATCATTTCTGCTCATGGAAACATTACTCCTTTCCTCCTTATAACCATTGTCTAAGCTTCCAGTCAACCCTATTTTGCCACCAGTCAACTGATAGAACAGATTAATACTGATTACTGGAGGCCTCAAAATATGGATTTAATCAAATTTTTTTATTTTTTATTTTTTGAGATGAGGCCTCGCTCTGTCACCCAGGCTGGAGTGCAGTGGCACGATCATGGCTCACTGAAGCCTCGACTGTCCACACTTAAGCGATCCTCCCACCTCGGTCTCCTGAGCAACTGAGACCACAGGCGTGTGCCACTATGCCCAGGTAATTTTTTTTTTTAATTATCTGTAGAGGCGAGGTCTTGTTATATTGCTCAGGCTGGTCTCGAACTCCTGCGCTCAAGTGATCCTCCTGCCTCGGCCCCCCAGGCATGAGCCACCGTGCCTGGTCCCAATTTTTTTTTTTAAAGTAGTTGCTTCATATTAGTTTTGTTTTAATTTAAAGTGTCATTTGCTTTGATTGTTCAAAAATGTCTTAATATAGCTGTGTGGCTTTAGGTCACATATGGATGGTTTCAAATATGCTAAAGATACCAGTAACTAGGGATAATTATATAGTATTTGAGACATAACAGCCATGCAACTAGAGTTTTAAAAATAACTCAAGCAGTCACGAACTTTCATTTTCTTGCCAACAGTTCCAATATTCAGTATCAGGCCTGGTCCTCCTAATCTACTGGAGAAGAGTTGGTTATGGCATGGCATCTAATAGTCATCTCTTCTTAATACAAATGATAATAAATTTCACTGCTAAGACGACAATCATCTGAAAAAAACAGACATTTGCTTATGTTTTAAAGTCATAATAGCAAACTGGGGCTCTCTTCAACATCTGGATTCATCTCAGAGCACTGGCAATCTGTGTTTAACAGCAGTCATGTCTTTACCAGATGTAGAAAGAATGTTCTCTTCTTTTGGACTTACCTAAATATCATTTGGAAATTGGAAGAACAGGAAAGCATATCCTTTTTCACTAACTATAAAAATAATTTGGAAGGAGAAGGAAACAAAAAAAACCTTGAAGTTTTCTATGCTGGTCTACATGGTCTTACAATGAATCTCAGAGCAACGGTTTATGACTTAAATTATATGCTGTGTTCCTTAGCATACTTTTTCTTCAAAAACTAGTAATTCTAAATTGTATAATTCTTGACTATGATAAAAGAGCCCATTTCTTGACCATGTCATTTATACTGGACTTTTGTTACTGATGGGGAAAAATCCAGAATTTGTAATAATTATGTCTTGGATATGCAAATGGTTGATTATTTTCCTAACAATTCCCAAAATATCCACATCATAAAGCAGAATTAAAGATGGTTTGCCTCTCAATACCTTTAGAAATATCAAATCAGTGTTCTGATGTGGCTAGTAATTCAAATGAAAAATGTTAAATAAGTCATTGCTTCAAGTGAAGCCTACCTCTGTTTGAGTTGTGAATAAGTAGTTATCTTAAATAGGCAACTTTTTTTAAAAACAGAAAACATATTCAAAAAGGGTTTTAACTGGTGACTCATAGTTTAAACCATGCCCTAAAAACATTTAAAGCATAAATCTATGTGTTCAGACTCCCATCTTGAGGGGTAGTTCAGTTTTGGGTTCCATGAAACAAGGTGTTAAGTCCCCAAAGAGAGAGCCATTTCTGTCATTGGCACAAAGTCCCCATCAGAGTAGACTGCATAACGCAGTCAGTTCTCACCCTGCTTTCCCATAGGGCTGGGGACTGGGGGGAGGTGGGGAGGGTGGGCAGGCTCAGAGGGGCACCTCACTCCAGGACAGTCTCCTGAGGGGTACACAAAAGCCTCTCTCTACAACCACTTTTGTGAGATTCCTCCTGACCACAGAAAGTCATCATCATGATCATCTTTCAGTAGCAAAATGGCACAAAACAAAGGGAATAAAAGAGAAACTATCAATTATGAAGACTCCTCATTCTCATTTCCCTACTCTCGTCTCCAGTAGGTGTCCTTTCAGAAGAGAATCTTTCTATGGCTGGAACTAAATCTGTCTGGAGATTAAATATTGAACAGCTGGGAGAAGTTTAATATAAATTTAGACTGACTCAAGAAGAGGGAAAAACTCTTGGTAAACACCGTACTAATGATGAGCAGCATTACAGGAACTGGAGTCACCAACCTATTCCCTAGGTTTTTTAAACTTTAACTTTATTTTGGCTTGCTGATCCATGCTGGATGAAAGTGAGGAGGTGGGGGAACTTTACTTGGCAAATGGTTACTGAACGCCTGGCCTGAGGTCCACAGCCTAAAGGAGGACAGAGACTTAAGGGAAGAGTTTAAGGCAGTGAGGTCATCCCCTTTACACATTCACAATAGAGAAAAGTAGACAAAAAGACACCTACGAGCACACCAGTAGGGGTTCCTAATTCTGAGACAATAATCATGTTCTGTGTTTTTCCTTAAATAAGAAAATGTAGAGAGGGGACAGCCTATGTAAGAGCATACAAGGCCAGAGGTAAGAAGAGTTCAATTGTGTAAGATCATCCATCTACTTACTCCTCTTAACATGCCCTCTCCCCCTGAAAGATCAGAACCAAGGGATCCAAAGTATCTGAGACAGGAAATGAGTAACACAGGAAAAAGGATGTGGTCTGAAAAAGAGTGGATTCTGGGGCTGAGCCAGAGCAAGGAACAGGCACAGGGTCATAGCTGAGGGAAGGGCTTGGTGGCAGGAAGAGAAATCTCAGGGTCAGTCCGCTTAGACTAGAAAGTCAATGACAGAGCAGGTATGTCAGGGGAAGCAGCACAGTGCCTTCCTAAGAGGCTCTCCTTCCCTGAAGGAGGCAGAGAATGCAGAAACAATGGCTGATGAGATGATGAGACCCACAGCCAGGAGAATGATGACTGTGACAGAAGGAAAAGGGGCTGGAGGTCCTTCTTTACTTAGAGGGAAGAGTAAATAATATATATGGAGTGAGCTTGACAAAGGTAAATTAAAAATTAACCCAGGACCTGGGAGAGAGTGGAAAGGGCCAGGAGGTGGGGACATGATGAAACACCAACATTCATTAAGCACCTTTGTGCCACATGTCAGTAAAGAACAGTTTGGGGGAAAAAAGAAGGGGGTGAAAACAGGAGAGAAAACATAGTTGGACAACTGAGAAACCGACTCAAGTACAACAGAAAGGACTAAGAAACTACCCCCTTTCTCAAGATTCAGGCTGGAGGAAAAAGATGTCTATTCTTCCCTGTGTGCATGGACGAGCCTGGAAACAGATCTTGGGTGGGCTGAGAAGCAGAGCTCATGTGATGAAGAGTGCCTGGAAAGGGCAGGTGCCAAAAGAGCACCACTCCCCATCTGCCCGACCTTCTGCGAAACAAGCCCGCCCTTGTGAGTGAGCCAAGCCAGAGGCCCCAGTTCCCGCCTTGCAGGGGCTGGAACTTAGGTACAGAGAAATCACCAGTGGAAAACACAGTTTATCAGCTGGTTAGAAAGGGTGAATACTCCCAAATGTAGATCCAGATGTTGGGAGCTATTTGTTAAAATCACTTTTATATTCCCCAGTGCCTAGGGCAGTACTTTACCTAAAATGGGAGCCAAATAAAAGTATGTTAAATCTAACTGAATGAAACCAGAACTGCTTTGCTGTGCTGGTTATCTTAAGGTTCAAGACAGCCTCTTGCCCGATAACCAACACAGTCAGGTACTTTATTTCTGTTCTAAAGTCAAAACGATGGGAAGCCCTACATCCCTTGTGACCTAAACCTAAATCCTAATCAATAGGGTCTGCCACAGGTCTGTTGCCCTGTACCAGAATAAAAGATGGGCGGGTGGGGGAGGTGGGAAGAAATACAAGAGCAAGAAGGAATTTCCTTGCCTCATTAGCCTGTAATGTTCATGCTGACCTAGAAATCCTGGCAGTTCCAACATTTGGGTTGACTCAGGCGGGGAAGAAAAATCCCAGGTGAATGATAATTGGATTACCCAGTTATGCTCCAGAGCCAAATGGCTGGAAAAGGCCAGGTCAGTAGGCTGTGGTACAAAGTGACATTATTTTTTAAACCAAAAATGGAGATACTCAGGCTGATGGACAATGGGATGGAATAGTTTAAATTGGGGCTGTCCTAGAAAAATCAGGGACATATGATGGATTTAGGTAGGTAGCTTATTTTGCAAGGGATCCTCTGGGCCCAATATGCTAATGGAGAGGGGATTAAAGATCAAACACGGGAGATATCCGAGGGGAAGGCTGTCATTGATTTGTAAGGGAAGAAAAAGATGAAAAGAGTGTGTTCCGTACACAGCACATGAAGGTACATATCGTAGGTATGGAGTAGGAAGGAAAGGAAAGTTGTTCAGAACCGAAAGTATGTGGGTGAGATCAGTTCAGGTTATGGAAGACGGGTGGGTGGGCAGTAGCAGGGCACTGACTGGTATCCGACACGGGGCCCAGGGCTTAGTTCAGATGGTAGCGTCGCCACTGGTTTGCAACCTGACCTTGGGCCAATTATTTCCCTGTCTGTGGACTTCAGTTTAAATACAGAATCTCACAAATCCCGATTTTAATGTAAAGAAGCAACAAATATAGTCTACCTTCATTTGGCATAGGAAGGAGAGAAAACGCTCTTCTAAAAATGGAAGAAAAGACACAGAACAGCTTGTCCCTTTCCATCCAATTAAAAACCTCGTGAGACTGAACTAGATTAAAAACAAAACTCTCCAGCGAAGCCGCAGGCGCCTCCAAGATAGGGAGTCCACCACCAATAAAGTACGGCAGATGCCAGCAGTCTCGTCCCCGAACGCACCGTCCGTCCCAGGGAAGTCGCAGCGGCGGGGAGGCCGGTCCTAGGTTGGGGCTGGGGTGGGGTGTGCGGGGCCTGGGGACGCGGAAGCTGCGGCGCGCCGAGGTGACACGGCTTCCAGGGGCGACGGGCGCGCAGGGTCCCCAGGCGAGCGAGGCTGGGGAGCAGGGCACCTCCCAGGCGCCGCGCGGACGAGAGCCGCGACTGGCACGGCCTGGCAGCCGCGTAGGCCCGGGCCGTTAGGGGCACCGAGGGCGGTGCCCGACTTCCAGTGCGGCGAGCGCGGCCCCCGGCCTCCCTACTGGCGAGAACCCCTCCCCCGCCCCGGCACTGACCTGTCCAGGGCCCGGCTGGGCCTGGCCGGGCGGGGCCTACGCAGCCCCTCGGCCGGGCGCCGACTCGCGCGGGGTCCCGGGCCCGGGCGGGCCGCCTCCTCTCCGCCGGGAGCCTCCGAGCCGGGGCCCGGGGCTGCCGCGGCGCATCCGACCGCACCGGCCTGGCCGGCGTCAACAAAGGGCGGCCGGGGCGCGAGGCCGGGACGGGGGCGCGAGGCCGGGGCGGGAGCGCGGGCGGCGGCCGGGGTTGCGCGCGCGCGCGCGGCGGGCGCTCGAGGGCTGCAGCCGCCGCGGAGACAATGCGGCGAGTCTGGGACGGCTCCCGCGGCCGCCTCCGCCGGGGGCGGGGCGAGGGAGCGGGGCGGGGAGGGGCGGGGCCGCGGGAGGGGCGGGGCGGACACGGGCCGCGCGCTTCCTTTGTGCGGCGAGCCCCGCCTCGCGCCCTCCGGAAGGCGGGTTAGGGACGCCCGGGGCTCAGCTTAGGGAGGCGGGCGCCACGCCACGAGGAGGCTGCCCTGATAGCCGGTGCAAGTGCTCCTTGGCGGGGCGGCCCGCGACTCCCGCCTTGGACCGTTCACTCCCTGAGGGGCCTGGGGGTCAGTCAGAAGACTAACGACCACCAGTCACCGAGAGCTCAGTTCGTGCCAAACCCTGCTCGCGCTGTCCCCGACTTATTGTTCACAACGACCCTACAAGTCATTCTCCTTCCCACTGGGAACCGAGGATCAGAGGGAAGTCATGGCCCGAGTGCCCCGGTCACACCTCCGTGAGCGGCCTCGGGCTCGCGGTTGAGGCTGATTGAGGAAGTGGGTTCAGGCGGCCCGCCGTGCCTGGCACACGGTCAGAGTCCCGTAAGTGTTGGTTATCTTCCCCAAGCGCACCGGGTGAACCTGCGCTGTCGTGGCGAAGCATACTCATTCAGCACGCGCGCGAGGGGCTGCGGGGGTACAGAGACGTGCAGCGTGACACAGTCCCCACCCTCAGGAGCGCGAGGCGCAGGAAGGTGCTGGACACACGCCAGGCACTTCTCTCCATTCTTGACTTCCCTCTGTTCCCAACATGGTCCCATTTTCTTGCCTTCCTTAGTATTCATATTCGTTGCCTGCCTTTCTTCTCCCCCCACCCCTTTCCACTCTCAGGCCTCATCCCATCTTCTTTGTTTACATTTATTTTACATTCCCCGAATATTTACTTAGCTCCCTTTCTCCTCTATTTTTCAAATTTTCAACCCCCCTTTTCATTAATATTCATATTTCCTTCTCCTCTGCCTCTGCATTTCTTACACTTATATTTTGTTTTATAAACTAGGGTAACACAGGATTGTATCCTCAACTCCTGTTCCCTAACATGCCCACACTTTCCTGCCTCCCTCTCTTAAGTTCCACCAGTTCTTCCTGGAATGCTCTTTCCTCAACTTTGCATGTCCAGGTCCTACCTATCCTTCAAGGTCCAGACTCAAGAACAGCAGTTGGCAAACTTTTTCTGCCAGGGACCAGAGAGTAAATATTTTAGACTTTGTAGGTCACACGGTCTGTGGCAACAACTCATCTCTGCTGTTGCCGCAGGAAAGCAACCACAGACAATATGTACGTGAAGGAGTGTGGTTGTGTTCCAATAGAACTTTATTTATGGGCACTAGAATTGGAATTTCAGATAATTTTCATGTATCATGAAATAGAATTCTTTTGATTTTTTCAAAAAAAAATTTAAAATGTAGAAATCATTATTAGCTTGCGAGCTGTACGAACACTGGCAATGTGATGGTTTTGGCCATTGGGCTGTAGTTTGTCAACCTCTGCTCTAGAACAATGCCTCGTCCTCCCTGAAATCTATCCTGAACATCTCTAGTTGGCAGTAACTTTTCCTGTTTTGTAGCTTTTAAATGACTTACCTCAAATCCATCTATGGCATTTATCGCATTTTACTTTCTATTGTAATTTTTTTCCTGTGCATTTTTCATCGTTTCAAGTAGACCTTCAGCTCTTGAGGTGGGGTACAGACCGTGTTTCTCAGTGTGCTACCTCCCTTCCCACAGTGCTTTGCACAGAGCAGGCATTCACACATACACAGAATGGGCCGGGCGCAGTGGCTCACACCTGTAATCCCAGCACTTGGGAGGCCGAGGCGGGCAGATCACCTGAGGTCAGGAGTTTGAGACCAGCCTGGCTAACATGGCGAAACCCTGTCTCTACTAAAAGTACAAAAATTAGCTGGGCATGGTGGTGTGCACCTGTAATCCCAGCTACTCGGGAGGCTGAGGCAGGAGAGTCACTTGAACCCGGGAGGTGTAGATTGCAGTGAGCTGAGATCACACCACTGCACTCCAGCCTGGGCGACAGAGTAAGAATGCATCTCAAAAAAAAAAAAAAAAAAAAAGACATACACAGAATGGATATTTAAGTCTTGGGTGGTTGACAGTTGTTTCCACTGTGTAAAGCTTACTTCTCTCATGAGATAGGACCTCAAGAGGAGGATGCTTGTTTGTATATCACCATGATTAGATTTCAGAAAGAAAATTTTGAGAGCTTTATGGAGGAGAAAGGCAAATGTCAGTTCATTTAGGGGTTTCTGGATTACAAACACTTGAGCAAAAAATGTTGATTACCACTGTTGCGGAGACAGGGCATGAGTACTCAGTGGGGTCCCATATGGTACTTCTATTAGCAAATTGGTAAAAGGCAAATAAAACATGCTATATAATTTACAGGTGGCAAAGTTAAGCAGAGGTGTTAGTATAATGAATAGCAGAATTCAGATAGAAAAGATTCCTGCCCCACCACTTGTTTTTTTCTATGCCTCAGTGGTCTTACCTTTAAAATGAGGATGATAAAAGTTGCTACCTCAGAGGGTTATTGTCAGGATTAAATGAGGAAATATGTGTAGTCTAGCAGAGAGGGCTCAGTAAATATTAACTATTAATCATTACTGTTTTCTTGCTAGGCTGGAACTATGGGCTGAATTTACAAGGTAACACTTAACAGATGTAAGCAATTATATTTTGGTTCAAACTATAAATTATACAAGTTTGAGACTAGGGAGAGCTGGCATGACAGCAGTTCCAGGTAAGACGAAACCTCAGAAACAAAAATGAAACCCAGCTCTCTGGAATTCAGGTGACAGTGCTCTGTGAACAACAGTGTCATTCCTATAGGGTGGGAGAGTTCACGGGGGCCATTCGTGCACCATCCTGATGAAGGAAGGTGAGCGAGTGACTACCGTAGGAGTCAGAGTCATGGCGCTGCCCTTTCAGAGCCGCGGGACCTGGAGCCCCTCAGCCTTTGTTTCTGCCTCTGAATAATGGGGCGATTCTACTTATGTCCTAGGGCTGTCGTGAGTGAGTAAAGGACTTGGAACAGTACTCAGCATATACTAAGTGTTCAACAAATTTTGGTTCCTCCCTACCGTAAAACATGGATCTAGGGAACAGCCCTGCCCCTGAAACAGGCCTCTAAAGACTAGTAGCTGTTTATATTTGGAATTAATGTGCTCAATTTTGGGGACCAAACGTTAGGAAAATTAATGAAAAGGTAGAATGTAGATAGACAAGCCTGACCAGAATGGTGAGAATGGAGGTCTTGATCTGTCATAGGTAAAAAATGAAAAAAAGTCTCAGATGTTTAGCCTGGAGATTTTCTCTTTTTTAATGGGGGGAGAGGCAAGAGACAGTCCGACAACTGTCTACAAACACTGTATAAGATGGACTCTTATAATTCACAAGACAGAATCATGACCAATGCTGGCAAATTCCAAGAGAGCAGGTTTTGACTTCATTTGAAAAGCAACTTTCTGATAATTAGAGCAAATCTACAGTGGAATGGACTGCTGTTCAAAACCCCTTCTCATCTGCAAGTGTGCAAAGAGAGAAGAGATGACCTCCTTCCCATCCTTTAATTTTCCTGCTGTCCTTTCTCCATATTCTCTTCCTTGATCCTGCTTCTGTTCCCTATAGAACCTTCGTACTCTTTTTGCCCTGCCTTGTGCTAAGGTATTTTTTTCTTATTTCTCCATCAATTTCTAAACTCTTTTTCTCTTTCCTGTTCCCCGCCCCTACCCCCTCAGCAAACACAGCACAATGACTGGAACTGCCTCCCTGAGTTGCAGGTGGTCCATGGCTCAGAATGTCACTGAGATCTGGGCCAACAGTGCTGTGCAAACTGGCAGAGAGGGGAAGGGAAGCAAATAGATCTTTGCAGAAGGCGGAGGTACTGCTGTGCCTCTCCCATCCGGGTGAAGGGACCCAGCAGAGTCTCCTGAACCCCAGGCAGGGAGAAGTCCACTTGTAACTGAGCCCGCACAGATGGACAGATGGGGATCCCAGAGCTGAGCAGTTTTCCTCAGAGATGCTTCCTGTGAGCTGAACTCATCTGAGTCCCCTTCTGCCTCCCCCTGGCATTTCCCTTATTTTTGAGATGTGGTAGCCGTTTTGCCATATTTCCAATATCAAGAACCCCCTTTCATACCAAAGGAAGCAGAGAACTGTGACAACTGGCCACCTGCCTCCACTCTCCACTTGGCATATGTCTATGTGGATGCATCTGACACCAGTGACATGCAGGTAGGCCCCAGTGTCTGGCTCTAGAACTTTCACCTCTTCTGTCTCCACCCTCTTGCTCTAATATCTTCCGTGTCTCAATTACTTTATCCCTGGTTCATCTTCTCACATCCCTCCTCTGTTTCCAACCCCCCAGCTTCCTTGCTTGTAATAGTTTACCCTCCCATTCCAGATGCCCAAGTGAAATGTGCCAGGGCATGGCAAGAAAGGCCAACTTCCTCCCCTCCCCCAGGGCCCCACTGTGCTTCATACCGTGAGCTGGGGACGGCTGGATGTTAGGGCTCGTGGGTACAGGCAGGCCACCAGGCATGGCAGTGACAATAGCCTGCTGATGTGGTGATGGGCCAGACCGCGTCTCAGGCACACTTTTCTCCCCTGGTGCCACTTCTTTCCAGTCATCAGGGACACACTGCTGGGGCTGTCAAAGGACAGGACAGAGAGGGGGGCCTCTCAGAAATAGCCTTTGCATTCTTGGATACTTCCCTGGTTTCCATGGAGCTTGGGAAGCAGGTAAGGACCTTAAGATTCAGTCATCCTCAAATTGGGGAAGGCCCTCTCTTCCTTCTTGGAATCCCCAAAGATGACTTCACCCGTCAGCCTACCCAGAAGCACCTCTTGACGGGGCTGTGGGGTCGTCCGAGCTGTGGCCACCCCGTGTGCTCCCTGGACCTTGGGGCTGGCTTACTCACCACTGGTGAAGCAGGCTGCAGTTGTAAGATGACAGCTGAAGTGTGCTGGAACCTGCGTTGAGGGGTGTGGGGCACGCCCTCGGGATGTCCATTCTGAGGCCCAGTATCAGGTGTGGGAGGGTGACACTGCTGACTGCCGCCAGGCTTGTGCAGGTTGGCAGTGGGACACTGGAGTGGCAGGGCGGGTGTAACCGGGCCTAGTGGCATGGCATGGGCCTCTGAGCTGGGCTGGAGGGCCACGCTTGGAGAGACTGAGGCGAGCTGGGGGTGGGGCTCAGCTTGGAGCACAGGCCGTGACTGCTGGGGCGGCGGCTGCTGCTGTTGTGGCTGTGGCTGCTGCTGGATCACAAATTGGGGCTGCAGGTGCTTTGAGGATGGCTGTGGGAGGAGCTGGTGTGGCTGCAGCTGAGCATAGGCTGAAAGGGGAAAGGCCAGGTTAGAGAGCATGGCTTGACCTTCTCTTCTGCTGTGTCTTCCAACTCTGCCCCTCCCGCATCCAAATAAAAATGGCTTCCCAAATTCAATGTCTCTTGTTTTCATCTCTTTCATTTTTCACCCTGAGCCTGGCCTGCTCATTGCCATGGCCTAACACATTCACTCTATTCCTGCTTTCCTCCTTTGCTGGAGGAACACTGGGCTCTTTGAGCTGTCCCCCATCCCCAAAGCTCAACTCCTCAAAACTAAAAACTCACCTCCTCTGTGATGCCCTTTGGCCATTCTGGCAGTTCAGAGAAATACTGGATTCTAAGTGTGACATGCTCTCGCTCTCCTCCATGCCCTTCACCTGCTGTTCTCTGTGCCTGCAACAGCTACAACCTTTCCACCACCCAACCCAGCTCTGTGTGGCTAGTCCTCATCCAGCCTCTGGCTCTGCTCAGGCGAGGCCTTCTCCAGGAAGAGCCAGTAGACAACGGTGGTTCTTGGATCCTGGCATCAGACAGACCAGGGCTGGATTACTGGTTCCCTCTGTTATATACCAAGGGACCTGGAAATAACTACTCTCTGGGCCTCAGCTTCCCAATCTAAAAATTGAAAATATAGTTTCTGTACAGAAGTTGCTAAAAGGATGAAATGAGAAGAAAATGACAGAAAAATGACTTAATGTGCACAGCACAGTGCCTGGCACATGGTCATATTCAGTCATTTCTAGTTATAACTACTATATCAGTCTGGTTTAGGTTCTTAAAGTATCCAGGGTCTACCTCTATCATAATAATGCTTATTAAGGTGAGTTGTAATTGTTTCTTATCTGTCTTCCAGATCATGAACTCCTTGCGGTCAGAAACTTTGTGTATCTCTTTTTCCAGAACCTACCACAGTGCCTGACAGGAATTTGTTTTTTGGCATGTGTTGCTATGCTAGCTTTTCTCTCTTCTATTTTAAGCAGGCTGACTCTTTGAGGTGAAAATTCTTATATATATATATATATATATATATATGTATATATATATATATATTTATTTATTTAGTATTTATTGATCATTCTTGGGTGTTTCTCGGAGAGGGGGATTTGGCAGGGTCATAGGACAATAGTGGAGGGAAGGTCAGCAGATAAACATGTGAACAAGGGTCTCTGGTTTTCCTAGGCAGAGGACCCTGCGGCCTTCCGCAGTGTTTGTGTCCCTGGGTACTTGAGATTAGGGAGCGGTGATGACTCTTAACGAGCATGCTGCCTTCAAGCATCTGTTTAACAAAGCACATCTTGCACCGCCCTTAATCCATTTAACCCTGAGTGGACACAGCACATGTTTCAGAGAGCACGGGGTTGGGGGTAAGGTTATAGATTAACAGCATCCCAAGGCAGAAGAACCTTTCTTAGTACAGAACAAAATGGAGTCTCCCATGTCTACTTCTTTCTACACAGACACAGTAACAATCTGATTTTTCTTTCTTTTCCCCACATTTCCCCCTTTCCTATTCGACAAAATCGCCATCGTCATCATGGCCCGTTCTCAATGAGCTGTTGGGTACACCTCCCAGACGGGGTGGCGGCCGGGCAGAGAGGCTCCTCACTTCCCAGACAGGGCGGCCAGGCAGAGGCGCCCCCCCACCTCCCAGACGGGGCGGCGGCCGGGCGGGGGCTGCCCCCCACCTCCCTCCCGGACGGGGCGAAAATTCTTATATTTTTTAGTATCCCTTCAGTGTCTAGCTCATGCCTTGTTTGGAGTAGGGATTCAGGAAATTCAGCTCAGAGATTGTCTTTGCACAGATCACTCTCTGGCTAGTGCCAGGCCAGCCTAGGATGAAGCAGCTCAGCTGAATCTGTCCTGTTTAAAAACTGCCCTCCACAGAGACTTCCACGGCTGGAGAGCTAGCCAAGTGCATGGCAGGCCACAGCTGGAGGCCCGCAAATGGATTTTTACAACTAAAGCCTCATGCCAGTAAGGATAAAGGTGAATTCTGGGTCCTGAGCTCACGTTTTAAATGGATCCTGTGATGCAACAGGTGCAAAGTAAGCAGGTTTCAAACTGAGTTAGGGGAGGTGCCTTCCTTCTTGAATTTTGTCTGTTCACATGCAAGTTTTGAATGGTCTCATCCCAGCCCAACGTGAAATTCCAAGCAGAATTCCAATAGGAATGGAAAGGACAGAAATAAGATGTGTTACAAAGGAAAAGCAAAATGGTCCTTGGTGACTGACTGTCGTAGTCAGAGAGAGAGGGACTATGGATGGCCCAGAGGGGTTTAGTATGGATGATACTGAATGACAGGTTTGGGAAACTTGGACACCAGTGTGATGTTGAGGGAAGTGTGTTGGGTTTGGGTTGATGGCGGAACCTTTGTGGAAATGCCAGCAGACATTTGGTGATTATAAACTGACCCCAATCTAAGCTGTGTCTCCTTATCTCACATTGAATAGGTCGGAATTTAACAATCAGGCACTTTTGAGAAGACTGTTGATAAGGCACCTGGGAGACACTGAAGAGGCCACACAGGACTTTGTTAGGCCCCCACAGCCAAAATGATCTGCAAATGTTGGGCATGTCACTGCAAATGCAACCAAAACTTTTTCTCCTGTAATGCAAAATCATGGATTCCTGCTCCTGGGATGTGGAATCATTCTTAGGGGCTGCCTATGTGAGGTGGGAGCTGGAGATGGTTCCAGGTCAGGGAGGCTAAGAGGATCAATGGCATGCCCCACTACTTGCTGGCTGTGCGGCCTGAGACAAGGTACTCTTCTTTCTCAGGGCTTCAGAGTTTAATCTGTGAAAGAGGAGGTCTGGGCTAGGTGATCACATAAATCTCTTCCACATCTAGAATTTGATGGAGTGGCTATAGCAGAAAAGTAGTTTACAATTCAGGGTTAATAAGGAGGAAAAAGGATTACAGAGGGAAAAGGTTCTAAATCTCTACAGCATAAAGAGTATAGGTAGGGACAACACACATTTGTTTTCCCAAAAGACTGGGAAAGGGGACTGCTTGCCTGGCTTCTATTCCTGTGCTTCCTCTCCTATCCCATTCCCTCCCCACCCTGTGCTGCTCATGGAAAACTGAAAGCAATTGTTTTAGGACAAACGAGGCTACTATACACCAAGGCTGGAAATCAAGCTCATAAGGCTTGAATCAATTTATAGATCAGAGACCCAAAGGTATTTGGGGTATATATTAATACATCCTTAACTTTTTGAGGTTAATAAAAACAAAGATCATGATTTAACTCCAGCATTATCCTGGATCAAAAAAAAATCCTTTTGTTTCGAGTACTGCAGTAGAGGAAGGGTCTTCCTGATTCCAGTTTCTTCTCTCTGTAATCCAGCTTAGAGAGAGCAAACTAATCTTCCTAGTGCACAGATCTGATCTCTCACTAAAAACCGCCAGGGACTCTCCTTTGTCTACGGTTGTCTAAAGCCCCTGGCAGACATTCAGGATCTCTTTACAACATAAACCAACCTTTTAATTTTTATTATTTCTTTGACCCAAGCAATCTTTACTGTTCACTGTACCCTGTACAGAGTATATGCCTTTTCTCATACTGTCTAGAGTGCTACAAATCAAATTCTAGTCACCATTCTCTGGTCTTTACAGCTGACAGGACTTTCCCCTTTCTCTGAGATGACAATCAGGCCGCTTTGCTTTGCACTGCCCTCAGAGAAGCAGTGTGCCCAGAAGTCAAGTGTGAGCTCTTGAGTCAAAATGCTTGGATTTGAATTCCAACTCTGCTGCTTACCAGCTGTGTGACATGGGGTGAGTGAGTTACCTGACCTCTCTGTACCTCTATGTCATCATCTTTAAAATGGAGGTAAGGATGACACCTATCTCAGAGTTATTTCAGTAAGTGACTTATCTCTTTTAGTAGGCAGAATTTATGTGAGACATTTGTTTCCTCCAAAATATCTTGAATTTAGTAGATGCTCAATCAATATTGCTGAATGAATGAATGAATGACAGACAACATGGTGGGACTTGTTTATCCTACAAGACTTGTTCTCAAGGCTTCAAATATGCAGGAAACGACTCACTGTCCCAGAAATGCTGGGACTCTTGCCGCAAAGTATATGGGAGCTGCAAGCATACCAGTTATAGTTACAGGACTACTTATGCACTCATTTTCCTAGAAGTCCACTATAGTTGACTAGAGTTTGATGTTACCTGGCCTACCAGCAAGGAGAATGTGCCTGTGGGAGAGGAATGGCAGATCTTTTTACTAGCCACTACCCTTAAGGGAAGATACACTTTCAACCATTCACTCACTCAACAAACAATTTATTAAGCACCCACCACACACCAAGTACTATGGTTGGTACTGGCTAAGACATGGTCCCTAGAAGAGATTACAGTTTAGTAAAAGAGATGGAAGACAGATACTCTCACCATAATTTGGTAAATATTATGATAGGTGATAAGCACAGAATATTGAGAACACGGAAAAGGGGATTCAGCTTTGGAAGGAGAGCAGAGAAGGTTTCCCAGAGCAAGTAAGTGTTTAACATGATTCAGAGTTAGGAAGATGACAAAAGGAACAGCATTCGGGAAGACTCAGAGGCATAAAATACTATGGTGAATTCAGGGATCTCCAGGGCATCATGTATAGTTGAAAGCCAAGGTGTCTAAGAGAGAGGAGTCAGAAAGGAGGCAGTTTTTGGCTGGGTCTAAGTTACGCTAGCACCTTCTAGGGGCTGCTTATCCCTAAAGATGTCTCATGTGATTAGGCTTCATGAGGTAACTAAGGTTAGAGTTAGCTCTAGAGGTCAGTGCTCTGCATACACAAGAATAGACAAGGAAGCTCCTTTTAGAAAACCCTAAAGCAATAGCCACACAAATTTTCCATGATGCATTCCCTTGGCATGGGGTCAGGAGGAGTTTGAGAGGGGAAGTAGAGCTAAGGGAAGTTTACCTGTAAGAAACTTGCAAAACGGTGTTGGGTTGCCAGCTGCAGGGGCACTCTATGATAGTCTGATTATGCTTGAAGGTTCTTAGGCCTGTTCTGCAGCCCTCTGGAAAAACTACCAAATACTTGCTGTGTACAGGATACTTTGCTAAGCAGCTTGGAGCATTATAAAAGAAAATGTTATCTGCATCTCTGCCCCTACCCTGCCCTTGGCAGAGGATGGCAGGATAGCATAAGTGGATAAACGCATGGGTTTTAGAGTCAGTCAGATCTGGGTTTAAATCTTGGCTCTGACACTGATAGGCTGTGCAATCTTAGATAAATTGCTCAACCTCTCTGTATCTTGACTTGCTGTTCTGTAAATGGTGACACATACCACATAGTTGTTAGTATCAAATGGACTATTTTGTTTAAACCACAAAGAGATTCACTGCCTTTGCTCAACACTTGGTACCTAGTAGATGCTCAGTAAATGGTAGCTATTCTTAAAATACTACCTGTTATCTGTGTGTTGCTTTGAACTTCTCAAAGAATTTTTATCATTTAAATCTAATTTATTTCTAACAAGAAGCCCATGAGGCAATTGAGAAGTGTTTTTATTTTACAAGCAAGAGCTGAGAGTAGTTTCCAAGTGACTTGTACAATGCAGTAAGTGAAGGGGAACTTGACTTCATTTGACAGGTGAGGCATGGTGCCTTGCATATTACAAGACGCTGATGGCCAAGTGAATAACACAAGTCAGTAAGGACAAAAAAGGTCAAAAATGCTGATGGCCAAGTGAATAACAGAAGTCAGTAAGGACGAGCGAGTACCGCAAGCCTAGGAGTATTAGTTGCAGGCAGTTGAGAATACTGGAGGCAATCTTGGAGGTATGGACAACAAAAAGGGATTGTTAACGCCAGGAGGCAGGGAGGAAAAGGGCATATGACAGGCCAAGAAAGTCACAAAGGGGTAGGAGTGGGAGAGAAGAGACAACAGCATATTTGCTTGGCCATAACAGAGCGTCTGCATGAGGACACCACGAGCAGTCAGGTGCAGTGGGCAGTGGGGGGAGGGTCTTTAAGGTCCCCCATGAAGTCAGATAGTCAGAAGTCATTAACATGATATTGAGTGAGCCCTTACTATAGACTAGGCATTCCAGCTGATCAAGGAGGACATAAAGACACAGTGAAGGTTTTTGTTTTTTGTTTTTTTGAGATGGAGTTTCGCTCTTGACGCCCAGGCTGTAGTGCAATGGCATGATCTCTGCTCACTGCAACCTCCGCCTCCTCGGTTCAAGCAATTCTCCTGCCTCAGCCTCCCAAGTAGCTAGGATTACAGGCATGAGCCACCACACCTGGCTAATTTTTGTAGTTTTAGTAGAGATGGGGTTTCACCATGTTGGCCAGGCTGGTGTCAAACTCCTGACCTCAAGTGATCCGCCTGTCTCGGGGCCTCCCAAAGGGCTGAGATTACAGGCGTGAGCCATCGTGCCTGGCCACAGTGAAGGTTTTTAAACAAGAAGGAAATAACAGTCTCTGAGGGAGATAATTCTAGCAGTTGTGAGTAGGATATCCTGGCGATCAGTTCAGCCTCATCCCGTCAGCAGGCCTTAAGCAAAGCAGGAAGCCAAAACAAGAGGAAGTCTCATCAGAACCTGGTGACAAACTGGTGATAAGCTGGGTGGTGATGGAGCGTGGGAATGAGGGAGGGCTTTCTCTGTGCCGGTCACTTGCACAGGCCATCTCAGTCATTTACAGCCCATAGGAAATATAATCACCTCTGTTTTACGGATGAGGAAATGGAGGTTTACAGAGCTTAAGTAACTTGATCATAGTCATTAAACTAATAGGTGATGAAACTGGGGTCTGAAACCAGGTTAACTCCGAAGCCCACTGCTTTTCCCACTGTAACGCTCTGCCTCCCTGGTAGCTCTGACACCAACAGGTGGTGCAATCTTAGATAAATTGCTTAACCTCTCTGGATTTAGACTTGCTGTTCTGTAAATGGTGATACATAGCACATACTTGTTAGTATCAAATGGAGTATTTTGTTTAAACCACAAAGAGGTTCACTGCCTTTGCTCAATGCCTATTAGATGCTCAGTAAATGGTAACTATTTTAAAAATACTACCTGTTATCTGAATGTGAAGTCAAAATAACTCTGTGAGTCTGGGGTGCAGGAGGACCTCGCAATTGTGGACAGTGCTCAGGAAACTGGTAGAGGGGGCCTTTCCAGAGAGGAAGATGCATGGTTTTTGTTTTACAAATTCTCCAGATTAAAAAAAACTTGTATGCAGTGGGGTGATGTCTATTTATAGACAGCTGAAATGTATGGGGAGAAGAGAGGAGGACAGGGATGGATGTGTATTAGGAAGTCACTGGCAGACAGGTGGTGGATGTCTGAAAGGTATGAACTGACAAACTCCTCTGTAAGTGAAACACAGGGGCACAGGACTGAGTTTTAGGAGACCCACAGCTAATGGCAGAGGCAAGGGAAAAGGAAGGAGGGTCCCGCTTACACACACAGATGGTCACACGCGCACACAGCCCCTCTGGGCTTAGGTGCTTCCCAGTGCCAGCTGAGATACTCCTCCTCCTGTTCCATTCTTGAAACTTAATCATGTTTCAAAGCACAACTCAAATGTCTGCAGCTCCCATTAGAATTTAAACTCTTGTTCATCTCTTTAACACCCATAGTGTTCAGCATAATGTTTGGCACATAAGAGGTGCTAAATGAGTATCTGTTGAGCTACATAATTAAAGGGACAAATGGTTTGGGGATGACAGTGACTCTGAGCCATACCTCTTTCATTTGTGAAGTGGAATAATCACTGTTAAGATTAAGTGAGATATGTAGGTAAAGCATTTAGTGCAGTATGTGGAACATGGCTGTTCATTAACTGGTAATTATTACTATTAGCCCACAGCAACCAGGGAAATAGTCTAACAGAAGCCTAGGATGAAGAATTTCGGGAAAGAAGAAACGTCCAGCAAGGCCAAGTCCCTTTGTGTGTCAGTCTGCTTTCTCTCTCACACATACGTGCACACAGGCTCGTACACACAAAGATGTTAAGCAAAATATAAAGCCCCTCCACTGATAGCTGATGATTGTGGATTTTTCTCCTAACATAAAAAGAGATTCTTAGTCATCTAGATTTGGTGCTACAGTGGATAGCTGAAATGACCTTCATCAAAATCGTTGGGGATTTTAGCAGATGACAGTCCCACCTGTATGCTTTGGTTTTTATTGGATTCCCTAAGTAAAAGTGTGCTTGCAGTTTGGAGGCTGCTTTGGGAGGGAAATAGGGTACCCAAGAATCCTGGAATCAGCAACACTGCATTGTCCAGCCTATCACAGACAGAAATCACTGCCCCCTGCACAAAACGCTCTCTGTGTTCAAACAAAGCAGCTGTGTGGCCTTCCAGCAGAGTTCTCGCTCCTCAGCTGAGACCTGAGGCGGGCTGAGGATGCAGAACAAAGACCTGGCATCTGGAGGCCCAACTGGGTGAAAGGGCCCTGGCTTTTCAACAACCCGACAGTTCCCTTTTATCACAGCATATCCCTCCCAGTCAGCAACTTTCTCCTCACCTTTGGGCCTGAGTGTGCACCCAAAGCCTGGAGTTTATCCACTAGAATGAGGACTCCAAGAACCAAGTCTCCTATCTGGGGCTGTGGCCCACTCCCTTAGGACTCGGCTTCCCTGAAGGCCAGGCCCAAGGGACCCCTGCTGCCTGCCTCTCTTCTGCCCTCCATTGCTCAGTCCTCATGTCAGTGAGAAGGGCAAGCCAGGCCCTTCTCCTTCCCCTCCAAAGCCCAACCTCTTAGGCTCTGTTCTCCGCCCCTTACTCCCCTCCCCCACCTGCTCCCCCACCCCTATTCTCGGCATAAGGGACCTTTTCTATTTGCAGAGCCTGAAGAAGCCGGTTGCCAAGGTGACAGGAGCAGGAACAGCAGGGAGCTTGCCATGGGGGAGGGGCTTTGCCCCCAAACAGCTGTCAGTGGGAGCAGTCCCAGCTGGGACTGGAGGGTCTGCCTGCTCTGGGAGGAAACAGCCCCCAGGAGAACACATTCCTCACTGCCATACCCCCTCCTACTGGCCCACTGCAAGTCTCCACTGGTTACTTTCCCTGGGGGCAGCCAGCCAGCCAGCTCAAAAAATGCTCCAATAACAAACAAAAAATGTGTGCGCGCTCGCTTGCTTTCTCTCTCCCAGACACACACACACACACACACACACTTGCTTTCACACACACACACACACACACACACACACACACACGCTCAAGCACGCTCTTCTCTCCTGCTCTCAGATCCCTTGGTTCATTGACAGTGGGTTGGCTGGGCAGGAGGCCAGAAGTCACCTCTGCCCAGGGAACTGTATAGCCCAAGACAGGTGCTGCTCCTGGCTGCCGTGCACTAGGTCCTAAGAATGATTTCAGTCTTTTTGTCCAGAGGCCCTGAGAGGACCTTCCCCTACTAAAACTCCCCAGCTGCCTTCCATATGGGAGGTGGGAGTGGGGCAGCGCCATCTCTGGGCTTACAGAGAGGAAGGGGTGGGAGAGAGGAAGAATGAACAGGATGGTGGGAGGCAGGAACAATGCAGGCCCACTGCTTTGTGTCTCTGGGGAGAGGTTCTTTGTGGAGCTGCAGCTCACAGCTGCTCCATAGAAAGTTCTGTGGAGCCACTGGTCTCTGTACTGCATTCTAGCCAGGCACTGTTAGCCTTAGGCCCTCGGGCCTCAAGCCTGTCACCTGCTGGTGTTTACCTTTACATGGGGTCTCCACCAGACTCTGCAAACCCTCAATAGGCTTAGACCCCCCAGATACTTTCAGCTTTGGGTCAGAAACAGGAAAGGCTGAGGAGGCCCCAGATTACTGTAAGAACTGAGAGGGACGATCTGGCTTGAGATGAAGAACAGTGTTTGACTCAGCCAGCTATGGCCCCCAGTCCTGCCACTTACTACTTAGGTGACTTTGAGTGCGTGACGGATGTGGTAAGCTCCTGGAGAACCTCTCTGAGCTTCAGTTTGCTCATCTGTAAAATGGATAAAGACAGCTACCGGACAGGGATCTTTCCAGGGTTTAAAGAAGCGTGATGCATACAATGCAGGGCACGTTATCTAGCACACGACGGACGTCCTGTGAGTGCTGGTCCCGTTTCTGTCCAGTTTTCTTGAGAACTGAGTTGCCTAGCAGCCTTAGGAGGAACCCAAGAACTAGTCTTTCTTTTGAACAGTGTTAGAACTTGGGGGGCTGGCTTAGATTTAGAGAGAGGTTACATTTCGGCCTGGGCTGGAAGGGGGTTCTCAGGAAGGCCTGAGACGCAGATGGTCCGCCAGGGCATGCGGATTGAATGAGAAACTAGAAGAAGTGCTCATCTGGGGTCTCAGCTGTAGTCCAAGCTGCTTTCAACGCATTGAAAGAGCCCCCAGTCTACCCTTCTGAGCCTCACTTTCTTTTTCCATAAAAGGAAGAGGCTGGGCCACTTTCTGGAGAAAGCCATGCCAGACAGTGAGAAACATCTGAAGCCACAGGGCCGTGAGGCCTCCGTGGGGAGGTGCCTTTCTTGGCTCAGCGGTGACCACTGGAATGCAGCGACTGACCCTTTGCCCCTGGGTGACTTCTGAAGCCTCAAGAAGGTGAATGAGGGATTTTGACCCCGTTTCCTCCTAACTCAGTGCCATGTGCGCTGCTTTGCTTTTCTCTGCCTGGGAACCTTCCCCACTCTGTCTGTCAGGTCACATGCTCGTGCCGCAAGGCTCATGTGCCATGTCCTCTGAAGGACGGCATCTCTGACCCATTCTGCCTGACAGGCAGCTGACCATCTGTGCCCACACTGTACCTGGTACTTAGTCCTAAAATAGAATTTATGAAGTGGAATGGATTTGCTTCTATATCTGGTTCCCTTCTTTTGACTGCACACTCTAGGGAAAAATAAAAATCCTATCTTATTTTGACAAAGATGTATTGAGATATATTCTTGATGTATTTTCTCAAGAAAAAACCCCACAGATTAGATTGGATGGTAAAATGGTTTGAGAGAGGACTGAGGTTAGTGGTTGTCTCAGGGATGCGATCAGCGTGACCCTCTCTTTAATGCAAAGCCATGTGCTTCGCCACTCTATTTATTTCTATGGTAAAACAGGGTGGTCTTGTTACCTAGATCGATAGGCCTGGCTTCTTGGGCTCTTGGCAGATTTTCCCATTAAAGATTGCCTACAATGGGCAGCACAGGGAGAGTTTTAGTAGGCAGGGAAAGGGGTCTAGCAGGGCATGTGGATTCATCGGACCTGCCTCACAAGCAAGCTCCTAGATTTATTCTCAAGTGTTACCCTCACTAGCAAGCCTTTCCTAGCTCCTCTCCTCAAGCCACATAGCTCTTCTGTTCTGACAGTGTTCAGAGCTTAGATCTATTATGGCATATGCACTGCACTCTCTGTCTCCCCAGCTACACTGTGGAGGGCAGGACCTGAGTCTCATTTATCTCTGCACACCTAGAATTGGCAACATGATTGGCAAATACTAATCAACAAATGCTTGCTGAATGATGAGAAAAATAAACTTCCTACATTCCCATCTCTCTGTCTGGTTCTTACATGCTTCTGGCTAGCCCCTGGCCTTTTTGCTGAGTCTTGGAGAATTTCAAAATAGTTCAACTGCCTGCCTCCAGCCACTCCAGGTTGTGCCCACAGCTCCACCGCTGTGGCTGCGTACCCTGATTCATCGCTGTGCCTACAGTGCAGAAGGACTCCTTTATTCCAACTAACATGGCTGCCCTGCGTAAAGTTAGACCAGAAGCATGGCACAGAGCCAGGAGCTGATGGACATTTTGAGATAGGGAGGGAGGAGAGAGAGATCCATGGCTGGTATCTTTGCAAATCCATGGGAAAAAGGAAAGTGTGAAAGTCTCCTCCTGACTCACGGCCCTGAGTTTTCTGGGAAAGGATTCCTGCTTCCTGAAGACCTTACCTGGTGCAATGAGGGGGTGGGCAGCCACAGCAGGAACCGTCCGGCTGAGCCCAGCCCGGCCTTCCATGCTCCCTGGCACACTGCTGTTGCCATCTCCTTTCTTGTGTGGCTCCATCACACTGTCAGCTATGCCAGGCTTGGCACCTGCAGGGGAAGCCTGAGCAGTATTTCTGCTCTGTGCTGGGGTAGGCAGAGGCTGGCTACCGCCCGGCGTGGGTTTCAGGGCCAAGCTGGGCAGGACAGGCTGAGTGGGGGTGGGGCCCGAGGCTGCTGCCGCTGGTGTCTGCTGTGTTCGGAGGGTCAAGTTCTGTACCTGGAAAAGAGGGGTCTGTGGGAGTCCAGAGAATGTGGCAGGAGCAATGCCAGTATACAACTAAGAGGGAGAGAGGGATGGATCCAGGAATGGCTGAATAGAACAGGAGGTTGTCAAATCAGAGAGAGAGAATGTGTTAGGGGCTAGAAGAGGAACCAGAAGCACGTGGAGTTGCTAAAGAGGGCCAGAGGGTTCGCTGTGACTGCATCCAGCAGCAGAAGAGGCTGAGTTCTGAGAAGGACCTGCTGCCCAGCTGGGCGGGCAGGGGTGGGGAGGCCAGGCTCTGTCCCTTCTGTTGCCCTCCCTCCTCCCCAACACTTTCAGGATTGGATGCACACCACCCAGAAATAATTCCCAGTGAGGGGGAGCATGGGGCTTCCCACACTGGAAAAGGCCAGGGCAAAAGTGGAAGTTAACTGACCAGGAAGGCCACCGGGCAAATATCTTGTCTCAGAATAAGGTTGCCACCGGCTCTTCCAAGACGGCCGGCATGCTTACTCAGCCCGGTCCCTGGCGCCCTCTGCTGGACACAGGGAGGCTGTGCCAGACTCTGAAAATCCGGCTACCAGCCCTGTCCCATCACCCTCCCCATTCCGTAGATGAGGATGGGGAGATGCGAGTGCTAGGGGTTCCTTCCCCGGCTGCCCACAGAATCTTCCCAGCCACGGTAGTATCTGTGCGCTCCTAGCAGAGCAGGACACGTCTCTGCTCCCTCTTACATGTCATTTTTCTCGAGTCCTAGCAGCACTACCGTGTGTAACCGGAGCGGGACTTTCCACTTATGAAGCAGCAGCAGCCAGACCAGCTATGCTGGGGCAGGTGTAAAGTATGGAGGGTAGCACAGCCCACCCCTCCCTGGCAAATCATGCTGGCCTCAGCAGGCTGCCCTCTGGCTCCTGACCTGTGTTTGAGGGAACGAAACAGAGCCAGGAGGGACTGAGGCCTTCTGGAACAGGGTAGACGCGCAGGCCTGGGGGCATTGGGGTGTCCTGTCTCCCGCCTGCTTTCCTAGCTGATCCCGGCCTCTCCTTGTGCCCCTCCCCAGTATCAGTGCCCCTCTACAGGGGTGCCCACCCCCCTGCCCTCCCACAAGCATGGAGTCCTCACCTGGGCGGGGGTGGGGGGCCGGGCGGGGGAGCCAGTGCCGAGCTCAGGCTGCACAGTAGCGACGGTGGCCGTGGGCGTGAAGATGAGCTGAGGGGACAAAGGAACAGTGCCGCCTAGGCTCCTAGCTACCTGCACCAGGTTACCTGGCTGGGCCTGGAATCACAGGAAACGAGGCGCCTTTTACCTGCTCGATGTGGACTCAGCCACAGGACACAACTGTTTAGCCCAGGAGCGGCTATGAGGAAGGGCAGGACAGTAGAAGCAGAAAGGAAGGGGGAGTCCAAGGGGAGCGCCTGCCTTTCTCTAGAGGCTCGTTGCATCCTGACCCAGGCTGGGTGCAGGGGTGGGTGGGGAGAGCCGCTCTGGGGCTACACCAAAGCCGAGTTCCCTTCAGAACCCTCTGTGAGGGGCTCATCCTAGAGGAGACCGATATCCCCAGGATACGCTGAAGCCACCACCTCCTTAGCGTCCTGGGAAGCGAGATGGATGCCCTAGGACCACCTTCCAGGTCTAACCCACTGCTGAACCCAGGGCTGAGCCAAGATGAGACTGCCCTCCAGGGGATCAAGTTCGATGTATCCTTTTGGTCATTTTCTAGTCAAAGTTAGATTCAGAGGGGCCTAGAGACAACAACAGCAGAGGAAGCGGACCGCCTGGAGCCGTCCTCATGTCTGAATCCCATCCTGCAGGGTGCAGGATCCATGGTGTTCTCTGCATGACACCTCGACCTCCGTGGGAGTCTAGCTCTGCATCAGTGTGGATGTGCTGGTGCCTTGACAGGGTGCTTTCCCTAGAACTCTGCGATAGCGCAGCTGTGCTTTTTCCTCTGTGGGTGTATGCCCTGCTCTGGGGAGGGAGGCAGACAGGCAGGCATCACGACCCCAGTGGAGTAGGACATAGGGACAAGCAACCTGCAGACACAGTCAGCTTTGGGCAGCAGCATCACAGTGTGGCTGTCCAGTTCCCGAGGAGATGGAAGTCTATTTCATGCCTTGTGTCTAAGAGGCTGTTCCCTGGGGATAGAGATGCGCCTCAAATGATGAACTCAGAGCCAAGAACAAATGTGCGGGAGCAAGACCAGACAAGCTCCGAGGGTCACGTCCTGGCCATAAGAGCAAAGGGAGGGGTGGGACTGTGTTACTTTCGGGATAGTGTGTCAAGAGCCCGAAGGAGCAGACTTCAGAATGGGAGGTATGAGACACGACCCACAGTGACTGAGCCCTAGCTGGGGCTGCATGCTACTGCCACCCAGGGAGTATGCTGCCATTTTCCCAGGGCATTCTCCTAAATCTTAGGGACCTGGTAGGCTCCTAAGGACCTTTGCACCCCTCAGGGATAGGTGCAAAGGAAAGAGTTGGTGCTATCCTGAGTATATCCTGCCCAAACAAGCTCACCTGACCCTGATTAGAATGGGGGCCGCTGGGAGGGCAATGGAGGCACGCTGAAGCTGGAAAGCATCTTTGGCCCTTGAGTTAGAGGTGGCCAGTCCTTGTAAGGATGGTGGGAAGGGGAAGACTCCATTTCTGTCAAGTATATGGATGTCTGGGTGTCCAGGACCACCTGGGCATGAACCACTCTGCCCATCCTGATTAATTTTGAGGAGTTTCTGATAAGGGGACACTTCTGTTTCACTCTAGGAGGAGAAGGAAAGGTGGCATCGCAGGAACTTTCTCTGTTTCAGTCTGGAGCCCCACCCTTCATGACTCTTCGAGGCTGTACCAAAGCTCCCACTCAGCCTTCCAGGCCCCCTTCTTTATCCCACCCCTTATCTCCTGCCCCTGCCCCTAGTGCTTCCTCCCCACCCTTCTCCAGCTCCCAGCTCCCAGCTTCTCTGCCTCTGTCCTCCTGGTGCCTCTGAGCCATGGCCCTGGCCATGGGTACTCACCATCTGTGCCCTCAGATACATCTGTGCTTGGCTTGCAGTCAGGGCTGGGGAAGACGTGTTGCCCAAGAGCACAGCCTGCTGAGCGATGCCTGAGGCTGCTGCAGAGTTCACACTCTGGGCCCGGTTGAGGAGCTGGGCTGCTGCTGGGGAGGCTGCCAGGTTGATCTAATGAGAGAGACATGTGCGGTAGGAGATAGGAGGTTCTGTTGGTGAGCTGTGTCCCCCTCATCCATTTCTTTCTCCCCCCTCTTTTGCTCCTTGGTTTATTCAGCCTCCTTCAGGAACGTCTGTGGTCCTTGGCTTTGGAGCAATCCCCCAGCCCTGTCCCATCTCTGACCTTGGTGCAGAGCTGCAGGGGGATCCCATGTTGAGAGAACTGAGCTATCCACAGAGAGCCCTGACACTGGGAGGATGACAGGGAGTTACTAACCTAAAGGTCAGTAAGAGACATGCCCTTTTCTTTTTCTTCCCGGTAAGGGCAATAGATTCCAGCCATGATGCTACATGGCCACGGATTCACCACAACTGGGTCTGGGAACTTGGGCATTTTGGTCCTGGGGCTGTGGACTCTGCTGCTGCTCCCCCATTCTACTCACCGAAGATGACTGGGCCGGGGCCTGCGCAGACACATTGCTGCCTGAAGTGCTTCCTTGTCTATTGGATACCAGGCTTGCCTAGGAAAGAACAAACTCCTCTTGCTAGAGTCCCAGACCTCCCCCAGTCACTCCTGGGCTCTCATCATCCACAGGAGGTGCTGCAGGCTGGTGTTAAGGACAACAGCCTCTGGAGGTCAGCCCCCAACCTGCCTCTATGTGGCCCACAGCAAGTATCCCGCCTCCTCTGTGAATAGGTGAGGATGCTAACAGTACCTGCCTGATAGGATTGCTGAGAGGACTGAATAAGGCAAGGCATTGCCACTGAGCACTCCAACTATTAGGCCACCGCCTTCGGTGTGTGGAGCCCTCCACTCCACCACTATCACACCCGGCCACCACCATCACACCCAGCCACCACCATCACACCTGGCCACCACCATCACACCCAGCCACCACCATCACACCTGGCCACCGCCATCACACCCGGCCACCGCCATCACACTTGGCCACTGCCATCACACCCAGCCACCGCCCCCCACAGAGAATTTGCAGACATGAGCTGGAGTGTCCAAACTGCCCTTCTCCCCATGGCCGGCTTCTCATCCTTCAAGTGTCAGCTCCAGTGTTACTCCAACAGACAGGCTTTTCCTGACCATGCAATGCAAGGCCGTCTACCTTGCCCTTCAGTCAGAACAATCTGTTCTTCTCTTTCATGGCGCTTATTGTAACTTAGAGATTTAAATATTTTGTTTCCTTGGCTATTCTGGTTCCTGTTTACTTGCTGTCTCCTATTGTAAGTGCCAAGAAGACAGGGTGCTCAGTATACCCAGTGCTTGATACAAACTTTGCATGCAGAAGGTACATAAAATGTTTTTCTGAATGGATAAATGAATGTGTTCTTCTCAGCTAAGGAGGAGAGAGAGCAACAATGGGCAGACAAGCTAAACAGGCAGTGCCCTTCGTTCACGAACGCTTCCCTGGAACCCACAGTCCTTTCCCTAGACCTGCGGTAAGGTGGTTAGGAGAGGGGCTCCCCGGCACTTCTTCCATGGGCTAGCATTCCGCCGCTATAGTCACTAGCTGCATGACCCTGGGCTCTGTCCTTCATCTGCCAAAAGGAGATAATGACAGTAGTGCTCGTGTCACAAGGACTTCTTTAGGTTGCAGGTAAGAGAAGGATGTGAAGCGCAGGTGCGGTGCCTGCTTCCTCTCCCTTTTGCTTCCACAACCAGGATGCCTGGCACCAGCCTCAAGGTCCTTCCCAAGTCTCACCTGCTGTACGGCTGCCAGGCTCTGGAGCTGGGCGCTGCTGAGGTGCTGCTGCTGGAGCGCCGCGGTCTGCAGCATGAGGTGCTGCTGCTGGGCGGCGTACATCTGCTGCAGGTACTGAGCGGCCGTGCTGGGCTGTCTGTGCAGGGCCTGCTGGATCACCTGAGAAGGGAGGGAGGGGGAAGAGCCAGGCTGGTAGCTGCCACACAGAACACCCCTTTGGCAGTAATGCCTTGCCCACCCCAGGTCTCTATAACTGCTCGGGAGACACCAAGATCTGTGACCACCACCACAGCCAATTGTGGCCACTCTCTAGGGCAGTGGGAGGACAGCTGTTCGCAGAGCTTCTTCATCATGTCTAACTTTGTCTATCTTGCCTCTCTCTGCAGCTCCTCCCCAGCACGGCCTGCTCCTGCATCAACTGCCTCGGTGAGGAGAATCAGAGCCGCACGCCAGTGCTTTAACCAACTCTTGGGCAGTAGGGAGGCTCAGGGAGACAGAAGGGTCTCCACCAGGCTTGTCAGGCACTCCTCTCCCTCTGTCACTCTGCAGCCTCAGATGAGAGTGAAGCTCAATAAGGCAGGGAAAAGAATGGGGGTGGAGGGAAGAGCCAAGTCAGCAGGGGGCCTACTCCAGCTTCAGCAACAGCCAGCCACAGGCAAACTTAGGTGGAGGCAATGCCTCCTTCTTGAGGCTGGGGCTGCAAGGCAGACTTGGGGCTGCTCCCCAGCTCTGCCCACAGCCTCTCAGAGTCCCATCAATCCCTTAGAATAAGGTTGTCTGGGCCTTACAGAGCAGGCCAGTGCCACAGGGACAGCACACTCCCCTTTTATTCTTTTTTTTGGAGGGGGGATGGAGTTTCGCTCTTGTTGCCCAGGCTGGAGTGCAATGGCGTGATCTCGGCTCACTGCAACCTCTGCCTCCCTAGTTCAAGTGATTCTCCTGCCTCAGCCTCCCAAGGAGCTGGAATTACAGGTGCCCGCCACCACACCTGGCTAATTTTTTTTGTATTTTTAGTAGAGACGGGGTTTTACCATGTTGGCCAGGCTGGTCTCGAACTCCTGACCTCAGGTAATCTACCCACCTCGGTCTCCCAAAGTGCTGGGATTACAGGCGTGAGCCACTGTGCCCGGCCCCCTTTAATTCTTTCCCTTCCTCTCTCTCTCCATCATTCCCTCTTTTTAGCTGCTGTCTCCCATTCCCTGGCCTTACTGCTTATTCCTTCTTTCCTGATGGGATTGGCCAATCTCCTGGAAAGGACAAAAGGCTGTCCTTTGATCCTCCCCATCCCCAGGAACAAAGAACAGCGAGTGCCTTTCCCCAGCCCTAAGATCCTCTGTCTTCTTCCTGTGAGTCCCAGAGACATTTCTCCTCCCTTCTCCCACTGGTCACCCTCCTGCCATCTCTTCCCAGTTGATGCCCTGCACTGGCCTTCACCAGGCTTCCCCCTATTTTCTACCCTTACCTCTGCTGAATCCCTGGCCACAGGCAGCTCCTGACCCTGGGCCCTGTCCCGGCGAGCAAGCCTTGCCAGAACGGGGCCCAGGGTCAGGTCAGGCTTTCCCCAGGTTGGTGTGACTTCTAGGGCTGACAGCTCTAGGACAAAACAGCCTCTGGCTCAGATTTGGGGTTCTGTAAAAACAGCCTGTTGTTATAGCAGATCCTCCGTGGGCTCTGGTGTCTCCCCAGACATCCCCATCCCAACTCTTCCACATGTTGCCCCCAGATTCCACTCCTCTGACGTGAACACCCCTCTCCGATACCCTGTTTTATTTTAACTCTATTCTTTTTCTCTCCTGCTCTCTCAGAATTATCTGTCTGTATTCCCTTTGCCTAGGCCTTTCTATTAGACTCCTGAAAGTGACCTCCCCAGCAGTCCAGCCCATGTAGTTGAGATCCTGTGACCCTTCCTCATGAGAAGATGTCAATGAAGGGAGACAGGAGGAGCCCAGGATGGTTCTGCATGCAACCTTGGGTGATTCCACTCGCCAGAACAGGACCCCAGACCCCCTTTTGCCTAGAATTGTGATGAGTGGCAGGAGTGGGTATATCTGAATGCCGTGGCTATAAATCAGAGCTAAGGTTCTCATGCATGATGGGCCAGGGCCAGGTGCTGGGGCTAGGGACAAGGGTAGGGGCAGGAAACATGGATTCACTAAGCACGAGGTAGAAATAAGTGGGAGAGGGAAGAGTCCAGGGTATCTGATGGCATCTTCTTTAACTTGGGTTTTCAGGCCCTCTTACTGTCTGTTGTGGGTTCTCCCTTGTTCCCTTATCTGGGCCTAAGTTCAAAGCAGGATGAGGTCACTTTTCTAGTATATCCAAACTGTAATAGCAAAGTCACTGGGAGTAAACACTTCTCAGCTGTGGTCTCTCTTTTCTGCCTGTATTATCCAGGAACCTCAAAAAAACATTGTAGTGATTAAGAACACAGGTCTGGGGTGAGAGGTTCAATTTTTTTGTCTTTACCTGAATGACCTTGAACAAGTTATTACCTTCTCTGAGCCCCAGTTTTCTCAACTACAGAATTGTGCCTAATAATAACCAAAAGGATAAGCGTGCAAAATGCTTAGTACCATGTCAGGCACACAGCAGATGGTAGTGCATGGCCCTGACTGCATTTAGGAGCAGTGAGCCGCCACCTGGAAGGCCTTCTGGATGACATTTGCCAACTGCTGCTTTAAGGGAGAAGGTAAAAAGCTGCAATGACAAAGGATTATTTGGGGGTTCTCTTTGGCTTTTGGTCTCTGAAAAACTGAGATGTGTTCTTCACCGGGCAATGGTCATTTAGAGAGTGGGTCTGGGTTGTGGCTGAGCAGCTCTTGGTCATGTATTATTTGTTATTGTTACTTGTCTGCCCTTTATACTTTCACACACGTGTCCTCCAAACTCCTTGATTGGGCCATTTTGCATCCTTCACCCCCTGTAACTATACACAAATGTGTATCTACGAACTCACTCCCATATGCCCGTTCTAGAGTCCACATCTAGATTATCCCACCAGACCATGCCAACACCTCCTCCTTGCTAGCCCTGGAGATGATTAAGGAGTATAATTCCCAGATCAATTAGACTCTTACCTGCACGGTCTGCCGGTCTGGAATACCACTGTACACAGAAATCTGGGGCCCGGTGGGGCGGCCACTTCCACCACTGCTGCTGTTGTTGCAGCCACTGCTGCTACTGGCCCCGCTGGTACTGCTGGTGGCACAGGCACTGCTAGATGTATGTGGGACTGGCAGCTCATTCTCCATGGCCTGCAGTGTGGCGCAGTCAGGGCGCTCGGATGGCAGAAGGGCAGGCAGATGCTAGGAGGGAAGAGGCAGAAGTGAATGTTTTGACAGACGCTTACTAGAGAATGTTCACAAAGTCAGCCTTTTGTATCTGTGGGTTCCACATCCATGGATTCAACCAACCACAGGATCAAAAATATTCAAAAAATACGGTGTCTGTACTGAACACGTAAACTTTTTTTGTGTCATTATTCCCTAACCAATACAGTGTAACAACTATTTGCATAGCATTTACATTGTATGAGGTATTATAAGTAATCTAGAGATGGTTTAAAGTATATAGGAGGATGTGGGTCAGTTATATGCAAATGTTATGCTACTTTATATTAGGGACTTGAGCTTCCATGAATGTTGGCATCCAAGGGGGTTCCTGGAACCAGTCCTCAGTGGATACCAGGTGACGACTATGCAGTATATACATCAGCTTTCCAGTCTGTGGTGGGGCCACTTGGGAACTGAGGTCTCTGTTTTTTGAGACTGGAGTTTTGCTTTATCACTCAGGCTGGAGTGCAGTGGCACAATCTCGGCTCACTGCAATCTCCATCTCCCGGGTTCAAGCGATTCTCGTGCCTCAGCCTCCTGAGTAGCTGGGATTACAGGCGACCACCACCACACCCAGCTAATTTTTGTATTTTTAGTAGAGACAGGGTTTCGCCATGTTGGCCAGGCTGGTCTCGAACTCCTGCCCCTGAGTGATCCACCTGCCTTGACCTTCCAAAGTGCTGGGATTATAGGCATGAGCCGCCATGCCCGACCACTTGGGAACTGAGGTCTTAAGACACACTTGCCCTCAGAAGGACAGGGCAGACTTGGTTCACTAGGTGAGATTTGAGATCAGGTCTGGCTGATTCTAAAGCCTATGACCTGTTTATTTTGCCAGAGGAAGCAAAACTAGGAAAGGAGGCAGACTTCCTATAACGTTCTCCCTAGCAGTGATCTCATGGATCACCTCTCACCCTATCAGCCTTTTCATCGTTGGGGTGGGGACACTGAACATCAGAGAATTTACTATTTGTCCATATTTATACAGCCACCTAGTGAAAGAAGCAGGACTAACAATCTACAGAGAAGGCCGGGTGCGGTGGCTCATGCCTGTAATCCCAGCACTTTGGGAGGCTAAGGTGGGCAGATCACGAGGTCAAGAGATCGAGACCATCCTGGCCAACATGGTGAAACCCCATCTTTACTATAAATACAAAAATTAGTTGGGCATGGTGGTGTGCGCCTGTGGTCCCAGCTACCTGGGAGGCTGAGGCAGAAGAATCACTTGAACCCAGGAGACAGAGGTTGCAGTGAGCTGAGATCACACCACTGCACTCCAGCCTGGTGACAAAACCAGAAGGCAATCAAATAAACTGAGGTGTTTATTTAGTTTAGTTTTCAAAGCCAGAAGAGCTCAAGTGTGTTTGAGGTATCTATCTTTATTAGGTATGTACTTACTGAGTGCCCTCTGGATCTAACGCTTAGCAGGGTACCATACTGACCAATCTGGTTAAAATCTCAGGTTGTGGAATCAGAAAGACTTGGCTTTGTCCTGGCTCTGCCACTTTCTAGCCAGGAAATCCTGGCATGTCACACCTGTCTGACCTGTTTCTTAATCAATTAGATGTGACAGGATATGGGCTGTGGTGAACATAAAGAAAAGTGATGATGAAAGGTGCTCAGCAGAGTGCCAAGCATATCCTGTGTGCTCTGTAAGCACTGGCTCTTGTGGCCTGGTTCACACTGCCCAGATCCAATAGATAGGGTCTCTCCTAAGACAGAAATGGCAGAACCTTCTGGAATCTCCTATCCCAGTCAGTAAGGAGGGCCATAAATTCCTTCAGGGCCCATCCTATGGTCTGAATACAGAACTGGAAATTCTACCTTCCCTTGAGGCTGTGTGCTTGGCAGTGGAGAGGGGTTGGGAAAGAAGGAAAGGGTGGTGGGAGAGGCACACCCAGATCTGAGTTTAAGTTCCTCTTTTTTTCTTTTTCCATGCTTTTCTTAAAAATCCTCATTTCTGTGTAGAGGCTGTTCCTTCTACCCATTCCTTCCTACATGGAAAAATAATATTTGTTTGTCACCCCATCACACACATTCAGTCATCTGCTTGTAGAGTATACCCATTTAATAGGTGAAGAAAATATAATTTTTCATACTAATGAGAGCATGATTAGTGCAAAGAGCCAAAGTAATCATTACTATTCTGCTGCTATCTCCCCAATACTGCTCAGTTTCAGGGTTATCATTGCTCAGGCTGCCTTCTTCAGACTGGGGGAATTTCACTGTGGGCTGAAAAAAGTGTGGGTAAAGTCTAAAAGACAGGAATGTTGGGAGTCTGGAAACCCAAGCCACTCCCAGGTGGCAGGCAGCAAGTTGCTTATGATTTCCAAGGCAGTGTAGCAGCCTGCAAGCTGCACTCTTGACCTTACTCTTTAAGCAGTGATTTTTCCTTATGTTCATATGTCTGCTTTTACTGCCATAGAGCAAGGTGCTTGTCCATGAATTAATTCCCTTTGTCCTGAGCTGCACGCAGTGCTGGGCCTTATTATGGCTACTGACTTGCTAAGGATGCTTATGATGATAATGATGATGCAGGAATCAATGAAGCAGCAAAGTCAACAAGTACTTCCTATGTCTTGGCGCTGTCAAAATCCACTTTATCTTATGTTCTAGGGAGGGAAAATTAGGCTGCATAAAAAGTGGTAGGAGGTATAATTCCTGATCTCACAGAAACTGAAAAACTAATTGTAAAGGTGAGGTGCAATTGAAATTATAAGGATCATCAAGCAACAAATCAGTAAATGATAGTTCCATTCAAACACAGACTACCTCACAGAATCCCAACATCTTCTCTTAGTTCAAAGTCTCACCTCCCTTTTCCCAAATGTTGGCCAGAATTGGGTTTCATTTCTTGCTTTTCATTACACACTGGAAAATCTCAACTGAAGTACTTATAAATATAAAAAATAAAATGGGAAAATAGGGCAGAAAATTAAGAGGGTAGAATAATCTACATCCTGGATGATCAAGTCTCAGTTCTATTTCTGTGAGTGTAGTTAATCATACTGAATTGCACACTTAAAATCTAGTCATATTCTGACCTTCCCTCCTCTATCCTTCACGTGATTGAGAGAGCAATCAAGAGAGTAAGAGAGCACACTTGAAAGACAGCCACAGCTATCAAAAGCATGAGCTAGAACAGAGGCTGTGTAGAGGCTGTTCCTTCTACCCATTCCTTCCTACATGGAAAAATAATATTTATTTGTCATCCCATCACAGACATTCAGTCCTCTGCTTGTAGAGTATACCCATTTAAGAGGGGAAGAAAATATAATTTTTCACATTAATGAGAGCATGATTAGTGCAAAAAGCCAAAGTCATCATTAATGTCCTGTTGCTATCTCCCCAGTACTGCTCAGTTTGGGGGTTATCATTTCTATTTCTTTTTTCCTTTTGTAGCAGCTAGGGCAGACACTGTGGAGAGTGTACACTCAAATCTTGTTAAGAAATAAGACAAAAGTCTTGAGGGAGCATGGCATTCCTTTACAGAAAAACTGTACAGGCCAGGACAGCCACTGCTCCCCATGCAGGGGAGAGAGACTTACTGCAGCAACCTGGGCACGTGGGCACAGTGCACTTCCCACACTCTTGTCGCCTGTCTCCTCCTGTGGGCAAGCATGCCTTTCCTTTCTTCTCTCTCCAGTTCTAGGCTTTGTCTCCCCGCCCACCGCCCCCCTGCCCCCCCACCCCCCCACTGCCCCCCTGCCCCCCACCCCCCCACCGCCCCCTGCCCCCCCCATCCCCCCTGTCCCCCCCTTCCCCCCGGTCTCCCCTGCCCACTGTCCCCCTTGCCCTCCCACCATTCCCCCTGTCCCCCCACCATCCCCCCCGCCCCCCACCATCCCCCCACCCACTGTCCCGCCCCTCCTCCCACTACCACCCCCAACCACCCGTGTCTTTTCTGTGTCAGTAGTTTTTGATTCCCCAGTCCCTGGTTTTCCCACTCTTTCCCTGCCCCTGGTCCCTGCCATCTCTCACACCTGTGCCCATGCTCCCTTTCACCACTGATTTCTCAGAGCTGCTCCTTGGGTGGGCCCATCCTCAGTGTGCTCACCCTCCCTCACTCTGCCTTGGCTCTCTGGAATACGAGCACGTCCTCCCCCTCGCTCTTGCTCCCACTCTTGCCCTCTTGCCCCGCTGTGATTGATCCAGACTGGTAGCTCCGTTTCCCTCTAATGAGCTCTCTCCCCTACTCGACCTTCTTGCTGCCTCCTGGGCTGCTCGCCCTTGACCAGTCTCCTGCCTCTGGCTCCCCGTGGCTCTCCCAAGTGCCCGCACCCTTGCTGCACATGCTCCAGCTCTCTCTCCTGTCGCTTGTAGTCTCCCCCTCCCTGAGCATCTGCCATCCCAGGCTTGATCAGCAGGTCTGTCTCTTCAATTCACACAGACACTCTCTCTTACTTCTTGGATAGTGCATGCTCATGTTGCTCTCTGTCCCCAGCTTGCACCCTCTGTTCTAGCTCACACTTTTGATAGCTGTGGCTGTCTTTCAAGTGTGCTCTCTCACTCTCTTGACTGCTCTCTCTCTCAATCACTTATGTAAAGGATAGAGAAGGAAAGTTCAGAATATGACTAGATTTTAAGTGTGCAATTCAGTACCATTAACTACACTCACCTGTTGTGCAATCATCACCACCATCTATTCCCAGAACTTTCTCATTACCCAAAACAGAAACTCTGTAACCATTAAGCAATAACTCCTCAGTCCCCCTTGTCCCCTGCCTATCCCCTAACCTCTAATCTACTTTCATTCTCTATGAATTTGCCTGTTCTAGATAGCTCATTTAAGTGGAAGCATATTAATATTTGTCCTTTTGTGTCTGGCTTGTTTCACTTAGCATAATGTTTTCAAAGTTCATTCATGTTGTAGCATGTATGAGAATTTCTTTCCCTTTGATAGCTGAATAGTATTCCATTGTATACCTACATACACACCACATTGTGTTTGTTCATCTGTTGATGAACACTGGGGTGGTTTCCACCTTTTGGCTATTGTGAATAATGTTGCAATGGAATGAACACGGCATATAAGTCCTTGCTTCTGTTCTGTTGGGTATAACCTAGCAGTGAAATCTCTGGGTCATATGTTATTCCATGTTTGGGCATGTGAATATCCATTTGTCCCTGCATCATGTGTTGAATTACCTCTGTTCTTGGGCCCACCCAGTGCCCCCACCCCACAAGCTGCTCCATGTGGGATGTGAAACCCTCCATGATCTGACCCATTTTGCCTTCCTGGCCTCATTTTCCACACTTGCACTCTCTCTGGTCTCAGCATTATGACCAAGGTGCCCAGGTCATTTGGAATTTGGCTGCCTTGCTACTTCCTACCTCTGTGGTTTTTACCGCTGTGGTTTCACTCACGCTATTCCCCTCCCCTGAAATGCCTTCCTTCAATTTTTCATGTAACCAACTCCTTAGATCTTCAAAACAACTTGAGTCTCTCCTGTGAAATATGCACTGAATGCAACCCCCCCAACTCTTCTCCTCTTGCTTCCTTCAAATTAGGTTCCAGTGTCTTCCTTTAAGCCATCCAGCTTAAAGGCTGCTCCCAGAGCACTCTGTGCCTGCCTGTCTCCTAGCACTTACAACATAGCCTTACAAGAAAGTGATTTGCTTGGGGGTGGGATCATGTCATATTTTCCCATAATACCTTGTGCTTCGTTCCATAGATGTTTGTTGAATAAAATTGCTTGAAATGCACCATACTCCATCCTACTCCTCATCTGAAAGCTTAATCTCTACCTCATCCACAAATTTCTCACCAACTAGTTTAAAACATCAGCCACCTGTGATTTCACTTCAGTACCTTCCATCAATGGTGTCTATACTAATAATAGTGATTATTTATTGAGCACTTACTACTTGTCAAGCACTATCATAGATACTATGACCTCCCTTATGGTATAGGTATGATTATCCCAATTTTGTCAATGAGAAATATATCTAAGCAATTTATGTAAGGTCATCATAGAACTGGGATTCAAAACCAAGTCCGACTCCAAAGCCAGAGCGCTTCCCATGATCCTCTCTGCAACTTCACCTTGAGCCATTATTTCAGCCACACTGGGTGAAGTCCGTGTCAAAGCATACTAGATTTTCAGTTGAAAACGAACTGATATCTCTGAATTTAATTCCCTAATTGTTAATTAATGTCCATTTATACTTACAAAATATTCTATGTAATATATATATAAAGGATAATATGCTTGTGTATCCATCAACCAGTATGAGAAATCAAAAATTACCATAATCTCCCTTGTTTTTTCTATGCAAGAACGGAGACCCAGTGTGGGGGAGGTAAGTGACTTGGGGTGATATGGCTCCCCTGATTCTCATCCAGTACCATGGAAGGCACCTCAGGAAACCTCCTGCCCGCATGGTGGTGGTGACTTATCAACGAGAGAGGTGAAGTTTGCCCTGCAGAGAAACCAGAAGCTAGGGTCCTGCCATATGTCACTTTATTGTTGGTCTCCTAGTAGAAGGGAACTTGAGTTGGAAGAAAACATAATTAGTAAGTGTGGACCCATATAACAGCTTTAAAACTTTTTTTTCTACAGTTCCCCTTTTTGAACCAGAGCTTTCATATCTCCCCCTTCACACCTTCCTTCCGCTCAAAGTTCTGGCTGCTGGAGAGTAGCGGAGGCATTCTGCAGTCTCAGTAAGGGCTACTGAGGCATCTGTGGACTCTCCTTACATCCTTCCCTCTGGTGACCCACATTAGAAAATCTGAATCCTTAAACTTTCACAGTATCTAGGCTTTCAGTATTCTACCCACCCCTTTTCAATTTCCTTTTAATTCCTACTCTTATTCTTTCCTTCTCTTCCAACTAGTTCTTTATTTCTTCCCCAAGGCCACCCATCCCTGCGGACTCCCATTATAAATCACAGCCAAATCTCATTAATGGCTAACATCAAGAACTAGAAGTCTGTTTTTCTCTGGGTTCCTACTCACTGTGTGGTTTTGTATGAGCCCGGGCTCTGAAGGGCTATGATTCCTATTTAAGTCACTTCTCCCCTCCTAACTGCAATGGGCCACTTTGAATGATGTGCTGAATATAACTGGCTTGGATAGTGATCTTATTACAGGTCTCTGCTGCCCACAGGGCCTGAGACCAGCAGCTGGAGAAACGCTGATGGTTCTGCCCTCCCAGGAGCCGCCAAGTCTACGAAACACTAGGCCTTTGTCCCCAGTGTCAGGGAAATCCATTTGCTGTGGATTACAGCTGTGACAGAGGTTCCGGGAAAGCAGAGGGGAAGGATACTGAAAACCTCTCTCCAAATCTAGCCTAAAGCCCTGGGGTAAGGCAGGGTGAGGTTTTTCCTAATGGAATCAGAGCTGGGCAGGAAATGAGAAGTCTCGTCAGCCCCATCGTGGCTGCTGGTATTATCATGAGGCGGCTTGGTATGGAGAGTCTGAAGAGATGGGTGAACATATTCCTTTGCTGTGGCTCTGCTTCTCCTTTCTGGATGCCCCTCCGCCAGAGGCATAAGGCAGTAATAACAGAAGATTCAGACTCCCTAGACTTAGGGGACCTGGGGGAGGCCTCCTTACACCTCTCGGCTGCTGCATGAACATAAGTGTCCTGATTTGTTCCAGTCTGAAGCCACTGACTCACTGGGAGCAGTCCAAATGGATGCAGCTCAAACCATCTCAAAAGGTCCCTCCCTCTCCCCTGTCCTCTGCATGTTGCCACCTTTAGTGTCTCTAGAAACCAAAGTAAGTAAATGAAGGCCAACAAAAATAGAAGTGAAGGATGAGGAATTAAAGCTGGTCATATAGTCCTAGCAATCCAAACAGAATGATTTCATTGTGATGCAAAACACTATAAATTTAAATGAGTAAACTTTCTGAAACCTTACTGTTTTCTTCCTAATTTATAAAAGGCAGGTTATATCAAGTATTTCTATAACAAGGTGGTGCTGGTTGGTTGAAGAATATGAGGAGGAAAAAGAAGGATTTGCTGTCTTTTGGAAGGGATGTACAGTGAAAGCCACACTGTGCAGATGCTGAATGCTTGGGGACGGGATGGATGAGTTTGTCTAGACTTGGGCAGCCCTGGACTCACTGCTGTAAGGCAGAGCAAAATATATTCTGTGTCTTCTATGGGCCCCTAATCAAATATAAGCAGTGTCCTTATAAAAGAACGCCATGTGAAAACAGGCACACACGGGGAGAAGCCAGCCACGTGAAGATGGAGGCAGAGATTGGAGCTATGCTGCCACCAGCCAAAGAACACCTGCAGCCACCAGAAGCTAGGAAGAGGCGAGGAAGGACTCAGGGGGAGCATGGCCCTGCCGACACCTGGATTTCATACTTCCAGCCTCCAGAACGGTAACATGATACATTTGTGTTGTTTTAAGCCACCCAGTTTGTGGTAATTTGTTAAGGCGGCCTTAGGGAACTATTATGCTGCCTAATACTCAACCTGACCAGCCTAAAAAGGTCAACTGAAACTAATGGTAAAAAAGGGTGCAAAGGCATTAAAAACAGCCTCGTTAATATCATGGCTTTGTATGCTCCAAGGCAAGGCTTCTCAAAAATGTGGTCCCTTGGCAACTCTCCAAAAATGCAAATTTTCAGGCACCACTTCAGACCTACGGAATCAGAAATTCTGGGAGCAGGGCTCAGCAGCCTGTGTTCTCACAGCCTTCTGGGAGATTCTGATGCTGATGAAGCATGAGAGCCACTGCTCTAAGGGGCCCCACTATCCATTTGAATATGAGATTTAAAAGGGGCAGTCATCATTGATGCCATAAGATGGTCATAATGAAGTCCCTGCAAAAAGGGGCTAGAATTTGAGATGGGAAGAGTTACCAAACATAGTTTCTTCCCTGCTGAAACCTCAAAATACCTCCACGTGGAAAGAAAATGTTGGCAGCACTCTGTTTAGGGATCTTCCTGTTTCTCTCCAGCTTCATTGCCTACCACGTGCTCCCACACAGCTGATTCCAGAATTAGTCATATGCTGTCTCACCCCTTGCCCAGACCTTTCCCTCTGCCTGGGCCACTCCCCAGGCCCCTCACTCTCCATCTCCCTGGCCGGAGCGCATTCACCCTTTGCAGTTCAGCTATAACGTCTGTTCCTCTTAGGGACTTCCTTTTTGTACCCCAGCCTAGATTTGGTGCCTTCTTCTGAACTTTAATAGCATAGCAGGACAGCTGATTTTATTTACTAGGTAGTGATTCCATTATTTTTAGATTCCTAATGCCTAACATGGTGCCGAGCCAGCAACAGTAAGATTTTGTTAAATGAGGAATGAATAAAGCTTGAAGCTCTTTGGGAAGCTCTTCACCTCCTGATGAGGAACCCAAGGTTAAAATACCGAAACACACTGTGCAAATACCATGTTATCTGAGAAGGGACCTTTGAAACTATTAGTAGCCATTAGCACCTTTACTCAAATTTGTGGGTCCAGATGGCTACTCTCAACAGGGCCTAGGACATGTAAATTTTGATTTGGGAATGGAGAGGGGAAATGAAAGATGAGTGGTGTTGAAGTGATGGGTGTGGGACTGTGGTCACTGCAAAAAGCAGATGTAGAAGGTCCTGGCCAAAAGGCTGGGACTAGACCCAGTCACACATTGACTAGGTGGGAGCTAGGCAGCAGCATTATGTGGAGATCATAATACCTTACCCCGACCTCCCAGAGCTTCCGGAAAATGAAACAACATAAATAGGAGAAAGCATTTCGGAAACAAAAATCACACAAAGGCAAAGTATCATGAGAGAGAGTTTAGAAAAGGGGAGAGACGTTCTACTCCATAAAAATGAGCAAACATTGCCAGGGCAGGGTTTACATACAGGAATGCAACCCTGGCCATGTTACGTAACCTTTCTGCGCCTCATTTGCCTCTCTGTAAAATGGACAAGAGTGCAGACTTCATTGGTTTTAAATAATAGGTAAAACAATGCATTTAAAACATCCAGCACAGCTTAAGCATGGATTACAAAGAGAGTACATTAAGGTAGGACAGAAGTTGACTTTTTTTCCCTCAGAGAAAAAAGATACTATCATTTCCTTCAATAAACTCAAAGTTAGATTTTGAGACCGGCTGGTCTCAGGCCCTGTGGGCAACAGAGACCTATAATAAGATCACTATCCAAGCCAGTTATAGTCAGCACAGTGTTCTCAGGTCTAGTAACTTTCTTGGGTCTAGTAACAGAATAAAAATTTTTTTTTTTTTTTGAGATGGAGTCTTGCTCTCTCGCCCAGGCTGGAATGCAGTGGCATGATCTCGGCTCACTGCAACCTCTGTCTCCCAGGTTCATGCAATTCTCCTGCCTCAGCCTCCTGAGTAGCTGGGATTACAGGCCTGCACCACCACACCCGGCTAATTTTTGTATTTTTAGTAGAGATGGGGTTTCACTATGTTGGCCAGGCTGGTTTTGAACTCCTGGCCTCAGGTGATCCACCTGCCTCGGCCTCCCAAAGTGCTGGGATTACAGGCGTGAGCCACTGTGCCCGGCCCAGAGTAAATTTTTTTATGTTATAATCTCAGTCAGCTCTTCCTTGTTTAGCCTTTGTAAGGGTATGCATTTTGGGGATTTATACATAGAAATCTCAGTACCAAGGTCACGAAAAAGACTGCTATAAAAAAAAGACCCCTGGCTGAGTGCGGTGGCTTACGCTTGTAATCCCAGCACTTTGGGAGGCCAAGGCTGGTGGATCACAAGGTCAGGAGTTCAAGACCAGCCTGGCCAACATAGTGAAACCCCGTCTCTACTGAAAATACAAAAATTAGCCGGCCGTGGTAGTGGGCGCCTATAATCATCCCAGCTACTCATGAGGCTGAGGCAGGAGAATCCCTTGAACCTGGGAGGCAGAGGTTGCAGTGAGCCGAGACCATGACATTGTACTCCAGCCTCGGTGACAGAGTGAGACTCTGTCTCAAAAAAAAAAGATCCCTATAAAAATCTTTTCAAGCTGGGTGTGGTGACGCACACCTGTAATCCCTGCTACCCAAACTGAGATGGGAAGACTGCTTGAGCACAGGAGTTCATGACCAGCCAGGGCAACATAGTGAGACCTCATCTTAAAAACAAAATCTCTCCATACTAAATCTCCCCACAGAGCACAACACACAGCACACAGTGCATACACAGTGTGCACACAAAGTGCACATAACACATACACAAAGCACACAGCACACAGTGCGCACACACATCACAGTGTGCGCACACACACCCTGCACACATACAAAGCACACACACAGCACATACACAAAGTGCACACACAGCACACATGTGCATGTGCACATACACATACACACAGCTACTATTTCTAGAGTTGGCCATTTTCTCCTGCTCCTGCTCAGCCTTGAACTGGCCTGATGGTTAAACCGTAGTATGCTGGCCATTCTGCCGCTGCTATGTCCTGACAAGTATGACTAGGCCAACACAGGGATCATGGGAAGTGGCTAATTATCAGGCTTTCAGAATAAAGTTCAAGGGCCTAAAAACTTATCTAGAAATTTTTTACTGGCCTTCTTTTTCTCTTCCTCCACCCCTGAAATCGGGCTGTATCTTAGGCCTACCAGTGGCCCTACAGGTACCACTTAACTCTTTGTAACTCTGGGGTCAAGGATTTTGCTGACTTTCATGAACACTAGCATTGAGAGTGCCCTAGAGAAGCAGTGACTGTACGGGGTGCCCTGTTTTCTTGTGAAGATCTGAGCATGCTCCCCCCAGAGCTTCTTCCAAGGATACAGCCTACCTCCCTTGGAGTTTCCCTTTACATCTCCTATAAGGAGACTAAAGGAATGGGGCTTTAAGCTCTTTGATATATTCTAAAGAGAGACTGCCAGGGATAGATGGGGTGTCTCCCATCACAAGGGCCTTAATTAGGTATGTAGATGGTCTTTTATCCATTAGGAGGCCAGTATTTTCAGGCCAGCCACTGGTAAATGATAATAATTCTTGCCATTTATTGCTTGCTCAGGGACATAATATCATTTATTCTTCACAACCACCCTCTGGTACAGACACTACTTCCTCATTTTTCTCACAAGACAACTGAGATTCATAGAGGCCCTGTAACTTATCGGAGCCCCAGAGCTAGCAAATGGCAGGTGTAGGATCGGAAACACAGGTTTCAAAGTCCATGCACAAGAGGCAGAATTACTTGTGCTTATTCCGATCCAGGCCTCTCTGGGCCAGTCAGTTCTTATGAAGTTCACTTGGCTCCCATAGCCTTCTGTTTACTAGCCTATCTCACAAGAGTCATCTCCCGCAGCAGCGTCAGTCTAAGGCAAATGTGTCAACTAGAACTCTCTCAGGCCCTGCCTGGTATCCCTGAAATCACACTCTGAGTAATAATTAGGGCATGTCTAACATTTGTAGGCCTTTCCTGTTCATAAGTATTTCAACATATATTATCTACACATAAGGTTGGTCCTGTTAGCAATGTTTACAAAATCATTTGCAATCATTTAATTGAAAAGTAATACAAAACAAAAACAACTGTCCCACAGGAGAGAGGGGATAGAGGATGCCCACCTTTCCTGAATGCCCACCACATGCTGGGCACAAGCTCAGAGAGGCAATATAATTTATAAGAAAGAGGAGGAGCTTCATAGTTGGAGAAAGCTGTCTTGATTCCTGTCTCTGCCCCAGCTAGAAGACCTGAGACAGGTTACTTAACCTCCACAGGCCTTTGTTTCCTCATCTGGGAAACAGTGCTAATGACAGCAATTTTTTTTTTTTTTTTTTTTTTTAGACAGAGTTTTGCTCTTGTTGCCCAGGCTGGAGTGCAATGGCGCGATCCTGGCTCACCGCAACCTCCGCCTCCCAGGTTCAAGCGATTCTCCTGCCTCAGCCTCCCGAGTAGCTGGGATTACAGGCATGCGCCACCACGCCCAGCTAATTTTTTGTATTTTTAGTAGAGACAGGGTTTCACCATGTTGGTCAGGCTGGTCTCGAACTCCTGACCTCAGGTGATCTGCCCACCTCGGCCTCCCAAAGATTACAGGCATGAGCCACCACACCCAGCCCAGTGACAGCAATTATGAAGAGTTATTGGGAAAAGTAAATAAGAAAATGCAAGCACCTAAAAAATACGTAGAAAGAAAACACCCAGCACCATGTGCAGCACAGAATGGGCATCATTCTATCATGATCAAGTCTCCTCTGCCTGATTAATCCTTCCAGCATTGCTTTAGATCAGTGATTACATGAGGCAGCAGGTTCTGAGAGGTAAAGTAACTTCTAAGATCATAAAACTATGAAGTGGCATAAATCAGAATAGTCTGAATCTGGAGCTCATGTCCAGGTTGTAACGTGGGAGTGCCTTGAATGTGGAGAAGGGAAGATTCTCAAACATGTGGGTTTTTAATCCCTTACAATTTTTGACTACACTCTTAGTCCTGGCTTGGACACAAACTTTCCACCAGGCTCCCAAAAGCCCCATTCTCAAGTCCAAGAAATGTTCTTGTTAAAAAAAAAAAAAAAAGAAAGAAAGAAAAAAAACCCCCTCACCTACAGATGAAGTTGGAAGAAGTGACAACCAGGACAGACGTAAGCCACGGGTTGTGCATGTGGTGGGTGTTTGGCAGGGTGTGGGGGGTGCGAAAGAGACGAAGCTAGTTGGTGATTGCTATTACTAGATTCAATCCCCCACGCAACTCCAAGCTCTGTGCAGTAAAAGCATTTTAGAAATCCAGAGCAGTGAATGTTCAACACACATTCTTCTTGGGGATATTGTTCATGCAATGCTTCATCAGTTCTCAGGGTGTTTGGATTAATCTTAAGCCTACATTACATTATAAACAGGAGTATAACTTGAACTTCCAGCTTCCTTTCTCTACTCCTTTCCTCCATCTTCTTTGGGACCGTTCCCTTTTGAAGGCCTCATTGCTTTGGCCCAGCCACCACTTAAAGGGCCCAGCCCTTCCCAGGACATTTCCTCCTGCTTGCTTCTGCCCTGGCAACTTGTCCTGGCAGCTGTTTCATAGCTCTGGAATCACAAAGCAATTCCAGAGTCCCCTGGGCCTAGCTCTGGGGCCTCCTTACCCTCATTTGCCCCAAATAATAGCCTTTAATTGCTATTAACATTCCTTTCTAGCAGAAACATAGCATGCACATCTGTGGTCAGCCTGTGATCTACTGTGACCACCGGCCTTTTGCTTCCTGCCGTATTTGGAATGTTCTATTCCATTTTATACTCGTAAGTTTGCCTTTCCTCTGTTAGCATACATCTTGGCTTTTAGCTTCTTGTATTTCTAACCTGTTCCCTATTTGCAGGGGAAAATTATCTAAATGGATAGGTCCCCCTCAACCTCCCATTCTTTCCAGTCAAGCATAACTCTACCCTACTTCTTTTATCATATTTATGAAACGTAGGTAGCTAATTTTCAAATTAAAGTATGCAGAACTAGGACTACAGAGTGGAAATTATAAGAAGATAGATTTCAACTGAATAGAAAAAAAGTGCTTCCTAATCACTGGAGCTGTTTAAAAAGTAGAGTGGGGCTGGCTGTGAGGAAGTGAGTTCCTAGTCGGTGGAGGGGTTCAAGCAGAGGCTGGGCAACCATGGGGCAGGTGGAATTCGTGCAGCATCATCACTAGGGGCTCTTTTAACCATGGTAGCATATAATTCTGTGAAAACTTTTTACTGGACATCAGAAATCCACCTGAAATTTTAAGCTTTTTGCTTATTTTTAACTTATCCATTTATGGACATTTTCAATACTAATCTTGTTTTTCAAGATGCAGGGCAGCTCCCAACTGCTTTTCACCATCTAGTTACTAGAGTAAATTCCATTAGTACGAACTTCTGGATGTTCATCATCTACTTAAGGTGGAGAAAAACACTGTTCTTATTTTATGGATAGGACAGCCACAAAGTGGTCAAGTATAAAAGTCCATCTCTTTTGGATTCCCACAACACTTGTCAGCTGCCCAACCACCACCATCCGCCCCTTCCCATATTTATTGAACAATTACTATATGTTTGGTACTGAATGCAATACAAACATGACTCGGATATTGACTCTATTTTTAAGAAGTTAACAGTTTAAGAGGAAAAATAAGAAAAGCACATAAATATAACAGGAGTCAGCATTTTTTTTTTTTTTTTCTCTGTAAAGGGACAGAGTATCTAGGTTAGGCCTTGTACACCACATATGGTCTCTGCTGCACATTCTTCTTCGGTTCCTCACCCCCTCCAACCATTAAAAAAATGTAAATACTATTCTTAGTTTGAGGGACTTACATAAACAAGTTGTGACCTGGATTTGGCCCTTGGTTTATGCACCCCTGAAATGCAGGAAGCTGTCAAGGGATAACTTTCACTTGCATCAGCTAAAGTTTCATTTGGGTGGATCTTTAAAGACAGGTTCGATTGGGACTTCGGAAATGGGGAGGGGGCTTTCTAGGTGGAATGAGATCTTTCTCATCACACATTGTCCCCTCTTTTCTATTCTTAGAGCAGAGATTTTCAAAGAGTGAGGTCTTATTAAAAATGCAAATTTTCAGGTCCACAGTGGTTCTCAGACTTGAGCACACAACAAAATCACCTGGAGGGTTTGTTAAAACAGAATGCTGGGCCTCACCCATCCCCAGACTTCTGAGGCTGCTGGTCCTGGGACCACACTTTGAGAACCACTGTCTTGGAGAATGGTGGGGAAGCAGAAGTGGAACAGAGATTGTGCTCTATTTTAATGTTTGAGAACTAAAAGGTAATGAAAGTCGCCACTGGAGAAGAGGAAGATGATCTGCACTTCAAGTCCTAAAGGCTTTGCAGAGCATCAAGTTCATTCCATTTAGTACATGTACTCAGAAAGGGGATTTGAGCCACTGTACGTTAGTGATGGCTTTTTTCTTTCGGGCAGGAGCTTTGAGCCTTGTTAGGCTCACCCACTGGAGACAGCAAATCACTGTACGGGACTGTATGCTTGGGAAGATCTTTTCTTCTGAGTCTTGGTTATTGGCACATACTCTGCCTTGTTTCTGATACATCTGCATATTTTTTACCACTCCTACAAAATGGTCCCCTCTGCATCATGCCTAATACTATTCCCTTTGATAGGAAAAAAAAAAAAAGGCAGTGCTTCTATTTTATCATTTAAATTAAATGCCTTCTAAAAATTCAGATGTGGAGCTCAGAGAGGCTGAGCTGAGGAGACAGAAGAAGGGAAAGACAAGCCAGAGAGAGTACACAGAGGAATCTCAGAGGAGGCGATGGGCAACCAGACACATGAGGAGTCGTTAATCTGGCAGACAATGAATGGCAAAAGGCAATTAGCTTGGCTGGGATTGTAGCAAGCCAATGAAGTATGCTGTATTGCAACTGAGGCTCTAGTGTAAGGGCAGGGTCATTGCTAGGGAGCTCAAAAGGAAGGCAAGATAAGGGAGGTTAGAGGCGAGAAAGCCACCTGGGGCTAGCACAGAGGGAAAGGAAAGTGCTAACGGTCTTCATGGATATTCATTACCCAGTGGAAGCGTCCAGGTGTGGCTGTGTACTTGCCAGGGCTCTGCACACTGTTATTCAGGACACAATCTTGAAAATGAACTAGGTGCTTCAGCTGTGTGCACACATACGTGCACACACACACACACACACACATGCACATGCACATACACAAATGCTCTCTTTAGACTGCTGCCTCTTCATCCACCTGTCTAGTCTGTGAGGTCCTAACGCGAGGTCCACATGCTAAACACTGGCGGAGTCATAACAGATACAGTTCTAAACTTCAGTTTATGGGCTCCCTTTCCTATCTTAAAGCATGCTTTTTTTTTCTGTTATGCCTCATTCACATGCGCGTTCTCACGTTCTGTTCCTTGCAGGTGCTCTACGGCCATACTAATGGATTCTTATCTGCCTGTATACATTCTCCAGACACACTCGTTTATTCACTTCACTAGAGTCATTCCCACATATTAAATACTACCTCTTGCTTCTAAAAAGCACTTCAAATCTCAAAGTTGCTTCTATTATAGCTCCTGTTCCTGCTGTCTGCAGGGCCCTCCTAGCTTTGCCATTATTCTAAAAAGGAAAATGTACCAATATTGGTTTGACTGAGTAAAGAGCCCAACCCAAAGCAGATTGTCCTACCGTGGGATGCAGGTTTGTGGCTGTGGTGTCCCCGCCTTCAAGATCATCCCATTTATCTGTCTTTGTTCCACTCCCTCTCTCTTCCTGCACAACACTGCAATCACACACATACTCCGTGTTGGGAAAAAAAAAAGGACAGCCTAATTTCCTGATGATTATGTTGTTACCTAGCAACAGCCAATCAGGGGCTGGGCTTTTTGCCTGCAGTATTTCATGCAAATAGTTTGGAGAAATTGCAGGGTAACCCAGGCTGCTTAGTCTGTCTTCTCAGGGGACACATTACAGAATAAACCAACCCAAAAGGGGACTATTGAAGCCAGGCACATGCTTCAGATAGCAGGCCATCTGATCCCTTCCCTTGTCCCCTCTATCCTGTACCCCCTTACAAAAGCATGAGAGTTCCACAGACAGACACTCAGGGAGGCCATAAACTTGAAAAGAAGCTCATTAGCAGCCATCATTTTCCCTGGATCTTTGTTAGTTATCACTGATAACTGGCGCCCAGAGCAACCTCGAATACTCTGAAAACCCTACCTTCCTAGGAAGGCAAAGAATGCATGCTGCATGCTCAGTAGTTGTCTGGGAGGATGCGATAGAGAATCCTCAGCCCTCCTGTTTAGAAAGGAGCTAAGCCTGGCACTTCTACCCTGATTTAGAAGCCTCATCTGTGCCCATGCTGGCCTCAAGTGCATTCTTCCTGGTGCTGACTGGAAAATCCTCATTTAAATGGTTGAACAAAACAATGAGAGAAGCCACATCACTTATAAGACCTTTTCAAGAGGTTTTTTTTTTTTTTTTTTTCTTCCAACAAGTACTGAGCATTTGATGTAAATCTTGTCAGGAGCCACACACACCAACTTTCTGTGCTCAGGGACCAGTGCAGTCTGTGTGGACCAGAACCATATGAAGTGGACTCAGGAGATAGTCTCCAAGCCTGTCTCCTCAGAGTGAGCAGGCTAGGCTTCAGAAGGTAGGTTGATTTTGCTGTCATTGTTGTTATTGACTTGATGCTCAGTAATCCAGAGCCAATGAAGGCAAGAATAAACTCTACCCAGCAGTCTTGCAAAGATGTGTTGTGGGTTACATGGGGACAACGAAGAGATGGATCAGCCCACATCACCATCAGGAATGGAAAACCAATTCAAAATCCCTATCCTACTGATTTGGAGTTTTACATACTTGTAAGACAAGAGGTAATTATACTCGAATCATTAAAGGAAGTGGTGACAGCTCTCCAACCTCTGACATTCACAGCCTCACATCCAGAGCCATATTATAGAACCAAAGAAAAGAACTGTCAATCTGCCTTTGTTCAGAAAGGCAGAGTTAAGGAATCTCATGTATCCTGGGGGTTGGGGAGGGCAATGGATAACTCTATTTCCACTCCTGTCCTATAATAAATTTCAGAAAATTTTTGAGTCAGGCACTTTTATCCTCATAGCCTTGGAATACATAACAGAAACCATATTTTACAGAAAAGGACACTGATGAGTAACTTGCTCAAACTTATACAGTTACAAAGTGGCAAAACTGGGATTAAAAAGCAGATCTTTTGACTCAAGTGAACTCTGATGTCCAAATAATCCAAGAACACCATCAAGTCTTTATAGCAGCAAAAGAAAAAAAAAAGTAAAGGAAAAAGGGGAACAGCAACAGAAAGCCAGTTTTCAAAGTAAAAAAAAAGTCAACTTTTTGCACTTATCATAGGCACCAAAAGGTCTTTAAACTAAAGTTAAATGTTAAACCTTCAGTGACTCTCTCCTCCAGCTGCAAATCAGAACCACAGCAGTGCATGCTGGAAACACCAATGCCTGGGCCCCACTCCTGATCAACTAATTAACTAAGAATTTTTTGGTAGGGGGAGCAGAGAGGCAATGTTTTTATTTTATTATTATTCTTTTGAGACAAGGTCTTATTCTGTCACCCAGGCTGGAGTACAGTGGTACAACTGTGGTACAATTATGGCTTACTGCAGCCTGGAACTCCTAGGCTCAAGTGATTCTCTTGCCTCAGCCTCCGAAGCACAGGCACACACCACTGCACCTGGCTAATTTTTTATTTTTTATTTTGTAGAGATGGCGTCTTGCTTTCCTGCCCAGGCTGGTCTCGAACTACTGGGTTCAAGTGATCCTTCTGCCTTGGCCTCCCGAAGTGTTGGGATTACAGGCATGAGCCATCACGCCCAGCCAAAACAGCGTTTTTAAAGCACTTCCCAGGAATAGCACAACCACTTTGGAAATCAGTCTGCCAATTTCTTATAAAACTAAACATTCATCTACCCTATAACCCAGAAATTCCATCCTTAGGAATTCACTCAAGCAAAATGAAAACATATGTTCATAAAAAGTCTTGTACAAATACGTTCATAGCAGCTTCATTCATAATAGCCCCCAAACCTGTGGTATATCCACACAATGGAATGCTATTCATCAATAAAGAGAAACAAAATATTAATATGTGCAACAACATGGATGAATTTAAAAAATACTATGCTGAATAAAAGAAGCCTTATACAAGGGTACATACTACATGGTTCTATTTATATGGAGTTCTTAGAATAAAGTTAATCTATGATAGAAAAAAATCAGAGCAGTGGTTGCCTCTGTGGGGTACGGGGTGGGGAATGGCTGGGAAGGGGGAAGAGGGAATTTCTGGGGTGATGTTGATAGGGATTTGTACTATATCAATGCATGCCTCTGTCAAAATTTACAGAATAGTGTTTTTCAAATTTGTGCATTTTGTTGTATATACATTTTACCTTAAGATAAAAATAAATAAATAAATAAATAAATAAATATTGAACTCTAGTTAATGCTATACATACTGAAGTGTTTAGGACTGAAGTATCCTGATGCCTGCAATTTATTGTGAAATGCATTAAGAAAAGATGAACTGATGATGGATGGGGGATGGACAGTTGGACAGATATGTGATAAGGCAAGTATGGTAAAATGTTAATTGTAGAATCTGGATAGGATACATGTGACATTCACTGTATACTTATTTCAACTTTTTGGTATGTTCAGAACTTTTCATAAGAAAATTTGGGGACAAATTACCCAGGCGATTCCAATGAGCAGACATTGGGGTAAAAGACAAATTTCAATTATCTTAGTTGAAAAGTGTGAAATGAATACTATAGGGTCCCTAAATCTCCAGAGATGATGGCAATCACACCTCTCCCCTCTCCTCCAAAATATCTGAAACATTGGAATAAATGTCCAGATTGAAACAAGACTTCCTAGTATTAGACTAAATCATACAAAAACACTGTGGCCTACTTATCACTGGACTTATGTAGGACACGTCATTTAACATATGGCCTCATGGGACAAAATATTTGAAATTAGGACAGTCGTGGAAATTTTGGGCAATATGGTATCTATAATGCTTTAGAATTAAAAAACCTTAAGCCAACCTCAGTAGGTGTGACAGTAAAGTACGAATTCACCACTCAGTCTATGGCTTAAGAGCCTCTATTCAGCCCCTGCTTCTCCTCCAGGGTTTGTATCCCTAGTCTTCTCAGAGCCTGCTGTTTTCTATAGCTCCATTTCCCCATGGTGGGCCACAAATCCACAGGGTTAATGCAGGATCAGGTATTTGGAGAGGGAGAAGCTGGCACGTGGTACCTCAAAGGACCTGAATGGACAGTTGATTTTAACGGGGTGGGGAAGGGTGAGGGGAGGGGTAAAAGGGGAAATAATGCAGTCAAGTGCAATCTGGGGCCCTTATTCCCTGAGCTGCCCCATTTATTCTGCATAATTGCTTCATTTCCACTGCCAGTGCATCTCAGAATGAATTTCATTACCATTGCCTTGGATATCATATTGATTACCAGTTTCATCGATCCCTATCTTGCTAATTAGCATATAAATTAGCCATTTGGGGGAGGCATTAGGCAAAATTGAATTTTCTCCTTAATCTTCTTTCAGAAGGTAAATGAAAATGGATGTGGCCTGTTAAAGCCCATGGCCTTCCTCTGACACAATCTAAGTGCTGTTCACAGCCAAGGAACCCTCTGGTATGGGGAGAGAGTGGCTTGTGGAAGGCGGCTTCCTGCCCCGTAACTGATAAGAGCTGCGGTCAGAATCCTTGAAGAGTTTTCACAAAAATTTGAGGTAGAGGCTTTGCAAGCTGAGATGCATTTCTTTGGAGGAGACACTCTGAGCTGACGGACAGCAGCGTCCTCCTCCCACACAGACACAAGAGGAGGCCCCTTGGTACAGCACTTCCTATGGTGTTCACTTTCAAGGCTGAAATGGAGAATGCCACTCGCTCTTTGGTTTAGTGTTAACACGAGGAGTCTGGAATCAGATGGTCTGTGGGAAGGCCTGCTCTGCCTCTTACCAGCTGTGTAATATTGAGCACATTCACCTCTCTAAGCCTTAGTTTCCTCATCTGTGAAATGGGGATAATCACAACACCTACTTCACTGAGTAGCTGGGACAATGAGAGGAACCATATATTCAGAGCATTCAGCACAGGGTCTGGCAGCAGCACCATCACCAGGCACCAGAGGTCAAATAAAAATCTTAGGAAATTGAATGCCAGGGTTCTCCAGAGGGAGCTGCTCAGCTCTGAAGTAAACATTACCAGGTGCTTAGTCCCGGGAACAGGTCACAGGCCAGTAGTTGAGGGCCACTTCTTGAGTCTTTGGAGCATGTTGAAAATGCAGAATCTTGGGCCCCACCCCAGACCTGCTGAATCTGAATGAGCATTGCAACAAGATCCTCTGGGTCATTCACGTGCACATTAAAGCTTAAGAGGAATTGTTTTGAGCCATCCTCTTAATTATAATCTTACCCTGTTAGACAAGGAGGAGACTTCGCAGAAAGGTTAAGTAACTTGCTTACAGTCCATCCATGGCAGAGACCAGATGAGGCCTCGGTCTCCTGACTCTGAGACTGGTCCAGATTCAGCTGTGGCCCTCCTGAGTCTGTTCCTCTGGCAGCACGGCAGCTCTCTGCCCTCTTTGTTTGGGGTGGTCTCAGTGGGTGATTTTGGCTCTGCCTCAGGGTACATCCACCATGCACTTTGAAAGGAGATATTCCTTTGGAATATTGTTGGGGGTTATGAAGCCTGGTTACCAGGATGACCTCTGCAGAGAATACTGATGCGACAAAGGAAAATACCCTTGATGACCTCTGCAAATGCTTGCCTGCCCTTTGAACTCAAAATGCTTCAGATAAGGATACACAAGAAATCGCAGACAGTGATGCCTCCCGGGGAGTAGGGGGAGGCATGCTTTTCACCGTATACTCTTTTGAATCTTTTGGACTTTGTTCCCTGTGCATGTAAAAAAATACTTAAAAATTAATTGTTAAATAATATTACAAGAATGCCTCAGACAGATTGCAACTAAAAACAAGACCCCATCTGGCTCTGCCATTAGATCATCTAGCCCTGCTTATGATAGCACTGCTTTTTGCTTCTCTTTCCTCCTGAAACCTGAAACTGAAAAGCATTGTGGAAAGGCTCTAAGGCTTGAGTGCAGAGGTAGACTCTGGTCTTGCTTCAGCACTATCAGATTCCTCAGCAGGATGTGAAATGCTTTGCAACATTTTAAATGACATTAAGTAAGTGTAATTATGATTTAAACCCCACCTCTACCCCCAGTAAATCACAGCCAGAGGAAGGAGAGAACTTTTGTCTAATAGGCTTCCCCTAGATTTGGAATAACCAATCAAAATGGCACTAAGCTTGTTACAAATGTAATATGCATAATATAATCCCATTGTTAAGTACATGTTATTTAATGTATAGCTTAGCTGGGAGGATAGATACCAAATGTTAACAATGGCTGCTTTGGGTGATAGTGTTACTGCTGATTTTTATTTTCTCATTTATCCTTTTCTTTATTTTCCAAATGTCTATGTATCTTAAAGTATCTGGGCTTCAACATCACAGTATTCTTAGCACAAAACATAAGGGAAAAGATGCTCACTTCCCATCTGAACATTCATTCACAAGCTGGTAGTGCAGTTCTGCCCACATTGGTCCTCTGCATTGAAGTACCTGCTGAACGAGGGGCTGCAGGCATTCTTGGTTTCCCAAAGCTATATTCCAGTAGATACAGGGACTTTTTGGTAGTTTTCAGAGCTAGAAAGCACACACAGATGGGAGGCACTGGTTTCTAGGATGGCTTCACAACAGAGGGCACAGTTGGCTAAAGTCAATTCCTGACCCAGACATTGACCATGAAGTGTTCTTGGGGCAAGTCCAGTTGACCTCGATAGCCTCGCTGATTGTTGCTTGGAGGGTAGGTGAAAAAGACACGGTTTCTTTCTTCAGGCAGTCTGGGTCCAGAGTTCAAGGAGTTTTACAGTATTGGAAGAACAATGAAACTATATACAAGGCAAAATGTGAAAAATTCTACTACAGATGTACAAAGTGAACAGTAGAACAAAACAGTGTGTGGGGTTGGGGTATTCAGGCCTGAATAGGATCCACCTCTGTCCTGCATTATGAGTGTGACTAGGACAAGGTGCTATGCTACACTGAGTCACTGTTTCCTTGTCTTTAAAGCAGAAAGAACAATCCTTGAAGGGACCCTACAAGGAATAAAGAGGATGTGTGTAAGACTTCTAGAATAGTACTCACACACAGCAGGTACCCTACAAAAGGTGCTGGAAGTATTATTACTTTGGACACTGAGCTCACAAGGGCCACATTATAGTCACATTATCATTATCACTGCCCCCATTTGGAAAAAGTTCTAAAGAGCCGCCACAGATTTATAGATGAATGGATTCCAAAAAGCTCCAAGTTCTTGGCTCCACGTTTTCCTGTCAGATGCCATGTGAACAGGTCAATCTTCTTATTGGCTAAAATAGACTTAAGCATCTTGCCATTGGAGATGTGCCTAGAATAGAAGGAGCCTGCTTAGCCTCTGGACATGTTTTCTTGTTTTCCAGGCCTTCACATAACCTAATGTGTGGCTTATGTTTCAGGACCATGACTCAAATCCACTCTTTTGAAATTTCTATAGTAAGGCCCCTCCACCAGTCACTGAATTTGGCAGAGAAGCCCGGTGCTACTAGAGGGACAGGGAACAAGTGGAAATAAAGGAATAGAAGTTATAGTCCCTGACCCCAAGTGACTTTAGGTAGGAATGCTCAAGAGACTGGCGGGGGCAGGGTTGGGGGAGCTTTAAAATGTTTACAAAAAAAAATCAAGTGAATATAAGTAATTCAGTTATATCTAATTTCCATAGAAACTATGTTTCTGGAAATTGATAGGTCAGTATTTTTATTTATAAGGCACTAGGGACTCTTAGAAATCAGTAAGAGAGAGATATAACTTAGTAGAAAATAGGCAAAGGATATGAGCAAGTAGTTCATTATTATTTGTAAAAAAAAAAAGTGATAAACCTATAAAAGGATGTTTAATCTCATTCATATCTAAAGAGATGCAGGACAAACTAAGTATAAGATTGGTAAACATTTAGAAATTTAATAATACGGAGGGCTGATGTAAGGTGAGTAATATACTTCTTATACAATTGGTAAGAATATAATTTGGAATATCTGTTTTAGAGGGCAATTTGGCAATATTTTTAGCTGCATACTCTTTGACCCAACAATTCTGTTTATAGGAGTTTGCACTCAGGGATACACATCCCCCAAGTTATTTTAAGATCTATGTACAAGGATATTCACCACTGCATTGTTTGTCATAGCAAAAACCTGGAAACAAATCAAGTATTTATCAGTAGCGCAGTACTAGGAGTAATAATAGCAGCAAAGGCAAGAATGAAAACGCTAGCAGTTAACATTTATTAAGCACTTACTGTGTAGCAGCCAGGCTCTAATGCCTGACATGAATTATCTCATTTAATCTTCACACCAATTCCATGACATAGGCATTGCTACTTTGACCATATTATAAATGAGGAAAATGAGACTCACAGAGGTTAAGAAACTGTTCTAAAGTCACATAGAAGGTGTCAGAGAAGGATTCCGGGACAGGCAGTCTGGTTCCAGAACTCAAGCTCTTAACCACTATCACACACACACATTCACATCCACATCTATACATATGCACATAACTGAATACTCTGAAGCAGTTAAAATAGTATAGTAAGTACAAAAGCATTAAAGAGTAAGAATTGTACATGTTGACAGGAAAGATCTCTGAGATATATTATTAACTGAAAAGATCCATGTTGGAATAATGTGCTTCAGATAGCTGCCCTTTGTGTTAGTAAAAAAGGAGGTATGTCAACGCATCATCATCTCATTCTTGTCTACATTAAAAATAATAAATAAATAAATAAATAAAAGCATTAAAGGAATTGTCTGAAGGTTAACAGACTCCAGTACAATTATAAATCTTTTTGTAACATAAAAATTATATCCATCTTGGGCCAGGCATGGTGGCTCACGTCTGTAATCCTAGCACTTTGGGAGGCCGAGGTAGGCGAATCAAAAGGTCAGGAGATCCAAACCATCCTGGCTAACATGGTGAAACCCCGTCTCCACTAAAAATACAAAAAATTAGCCGGGTGTGGTGGCAGGCACCTGTAGTCCCAGCTACTCGGGAGGCTGAGGCAGGAGAATGGCGTGAACCCAGGAGGTGGAGCTTGCAGTGAGCCGAGATTGCACCACTGCACTCCAGCCTGGGCGACAGAGCCAGACTCCGTCTCAAAAAAAAAAGAGGCTTTATAAGTTAATTCTAAAATATATATGGAAATGCAAAAGACCAAGAATAGGCAGATCACTCCTAAAGAAGACAATGTGAGAATTGCCCTGATATCGAGCTCTACTAGTTAAGAAAGTTTGGCATTAGCACTATCTTTTGGATAGACCCTATTCTTGACCTCTAACTGTTAGCACCTCTTACCAACTCCGCATTTTAGTGATATCACATTGGAAGCTTGAAACTGGTCATTGCGGGAGTATTTATACCATGGAAATCAGCAAATACTACAAATCGGGACTTTTTGTGTATAGGAAAGGAGTGGGAAGAGCTAGTTGCTAAACATTTACCACTTAATGGAACCAAACAGAAGTTCCCAAAATAGACCCACACATTTATGAACACTTGCTATATGACAGATGGGTTTATCAGGTCAGTAGGGGAGGACTGGACATCTCATTAAACAGTATGGGAAAACCAGGCATCCACATAGAAAAATGAAATTGATCTCCCACCTCACAGCAAACCTCCCAAGTTAAAGTAAACTAAATATTTAAGAGGAATAGACAAAAATACAAGATTTTTAGGAGAAAATGTAGGACAAAATAATGACTTTACAGTAGGAAAGGATATTTTAAACAAGAAAAGACTGATACATTTGACTACATTAAAAGAAAAAATTTATGTTCGTCAAAGGCATAATAACAAGCCTTACACTGAGAAAAAATATTTCTATCACACATAACAAAAAGAGAATTTGCATCAAAAATATTTTAAAAATACCTATAACTCAAAAGTAAAAGACACAACAGAAAAATGGGCATCACACTTGAATTGAATTTTCTACATGGCCAATAGACATTTAAAAACTTCACTTTATTAATAATCAAGAAAATGCAAATTAAAACTACAATAGGATAAAATTTCATACTCATGAAATTGGCAACAATTCTAGAGACTGACAATATCAAACACTGGGGAGGATACAGAGCAATGGTTATGTTCACATGGAATGGGTAGGAGTAAAAAATGATTCAATCACTTTAGAAAACAGTTTGGTATTTCACAATAGAGTTGAACATACCCATATGATATGGCCTAGCAATTCTATTCTTATCTATACACCTATCTTAGAAAAACTCTTGCACATATTCATAAGGTGACATGATAATGATGTTCACGGTGGAATTGCTTTTTAAAGCAAAAAACCAAAAAACTGGAAATGACCCAAATACCAATCAAAAGCAGAATGTAAAAATACATTATGGCATGTTAATTCAATGGAATGCTATACAACAGTGAAAATGACATACAATCTCAGGTATCAACACAGACAAATCTCAAAAAGATAATGCTGAACAAAAGAAGCAAGACTCAGAATGAATACAGTATAATTCCATTTATACAGAGTTCAAAACCAGTTAAAACTAAAAAAGTATATTGTAAAAATAACAGTATATTGTTTAGGAAGTCACTCATATGTTGTAAAACTATAAAAGAAAAGCAAGGGAAAACTCTTTTTTTTGAGATGGATTCTTGCTCTGTGGCCCAGGCTGGAGTGCAGTGGCGCGATCTCGCCTCCTGGGTTCATGCCATTCTCCTGCCTCAGCCTCCCAAGTATCTGGGACTACAGGCGCCTGCCACCACGCCCGACTTTTTAAATTTTTTTTATTTTTTTATTTTTAGTAGACATGGGGTTTCACTGTGTTAGCCAGGATGGTCTTGATCTCCTGACCTCGTGATCCACCCACCTCAGGCTCCCAAAGTGCTGGGATTACAGGCGTGAGCCACTGCGCCCGGCCCACTTTTTTTTTTTTTTTTTTTTTTGAGATGGAGTCTCACCCTGTCGCCAGGCTGAAGTGCAGTGGTGCGATCTCGGCTCACTGCAACTTCCACCTCCCAGGTTCAAGAGATTCTCCTGCCTCAGCCTCCCGAGTAGCTGGGACTACAGCTACCCACCACCACGCCCAGGTAATTTTTGTATTTTTAGTAGAGACAGGGGTTCACCATGTTGGCCAGGATGGTCTCGATCTCTTGACCTCGTGATCCACCCGCCTCGGCCTCCCAAAATGCTGGGATTACAGGCGTGAGCCACTGCACCTGGCGGGAAAACTTATTACAACAGTTTAAGAGTGGTATATCTGGGCAGATGAAGAAGGTAGATGCAAACAGGGAGGAGCATATGGGTGTCTTCTAAAGTTCTGTTTCCTAAGTTGGGTTATGGATAAATGTTGTTCACTTTATTTTTCAAATACTACATATACATTATACTTTCTTCTGCATAATTATACATTTCATGGTAAAGAAAATGAAAAATCATATCAAATATCTACTCTACGGAAAGGTACTGTGGATGTTAAAATGACTCAGATTCCATCTCCACTCTGCTAAAATTACTTTCACTGAGGTCAGAGACTTCAATGTCACTAAAGGTAATAAACATTTTCAATTCTCATTTTCTTTGGTGTCTCAGCAGCATTCAACACTGCTGACCATTCTTTTCCTTGAAACAGTAAATACCCTTGGCTTTCATGAAACCATATTCTCCTGACCATTCCTTCTCAGTCTCCTTCAAAGGCTTGTCTCGTACCACCTAACCATTGAATATTGGAGCTCCTTAAGATACATCCATGAAACCCCATTTTTTCATATGCTGTTCTTTCTCTCTAGACACTCACATCTATGCCTATGGCTTCAATTACCATCCATACATCAAAGATTTAGATCTTCAGCTCAGACCTCTCCTCTGAGTGAAGTATCCCATTATCTTGTCAACACCTCTACTTGGATATTTCAAAATATCTAAATTTTAACCTGTTAAAATTGAAACTCATGATTTCCCTCCAAAACACTTCTTCTAATATTCCTTCTCAGTGAATGGCACTGCCAGTCATCCTTGACAATTTTACTTGATTAAAACAAATAGGCTTTTGTTTTTCCATCTATAGAATAAAATAACTCACTTTCTTTTCTTCCTAGGAAAAGGTTGAAAATGAGGAAAATAATTTTGGTGATGCCTGTAAGTTGAAATAAAATCTTTCAAAAAAAACCCCCACATCACCTGGTAATTTAGTTTTCCTACATAGAGGTAGCTTAATAAAGTTAGTTCCTTTCCTTCTAATTAAGAGTTTTTCCAAAACACAACAGCAATACTATCTAATTATTTTCCTCTCTTTTAACCCCTTTATGTATTTTCTTGTCTCTTCTTTCCACTTCCCTTTTGCACACAATAGGGTCTTAAATTGTTTCTGATTTTTCTTTATTTCTTGTTTCTACTTTTTTCCTTATTTCCCTCATGGCCTACCTCTCTGTGACTGAATCAGAAGATGGTACTTCAATCAACAAATATTTATCGAGCACTCTGGGATAGAGTGATGAGCAAGATAAAGATCCTACTCTGATGTGTTTTATGTCTGGAGTGGGGAGCAAACAATTATGAAGTAAATAGCATGAGCTAATTAAGGAATTAAAATTGAATGATATGAAGAATAACAGGTTGCTCTCTTAGATTGAGTGGTCAGGAAAGGCCTTTCTGAGGAGGTTATATTTAAATCTGAGACAAGGAGACAGTCATTGCATTACTTTGCATTAGTTGGTAATGAAGACCCTATGAGAGAAACAAACTTGGCATGTTTAATGGCTGCACAGTAGATGAGAGAGAAAACTGTATAAAATGAGATGAATGTATGAATTAGATGAGACAGGGCTTTGTTTACCCAGAGTAAGAAATTGGAGTTCATTTATTTAAAAAAGTATTCTTTATAATACCTCTAGGATCGGCAGTGATGTCTTCCTTTTCATTCCTGATTTTGGTTATCTGTCTTTCGTTTTTTCTCCTCAATCAGTCTTTATAAGGATTTGTAGTCTTTTTTTTTTTTTTCTTTTTTGGAGACAGAGTCTCGCTCTGTGTCGCCCAGGCTGGAATGCAGTGGCGCAATCTTGGCTCGCTGCAACCTCCACCTCCTGGGTTCAAGCAATTCTTGTGCCTCAGCCTCCCAAGTAGCTGGGACTGCAGGTATGTACCACCACGCCTGGCTAATTTTTGTATTTTTAGTAGAGACGGGGTTTCGTCATGTTGGCCAGGTAGGTCTTGAATTCCTAGCCTCAAGTGATCCACCCACCTCAGCTTCCCAAAGCGCTGGGATTACAGGCGTGAACCACTACACCCGGCAGCAGTCTTATCAGTCTTTAAAAAGAATCACCTTTTGGCTTTGTATATCCTCTCTATAAGTGTTTTCTATTTCATTAATTCCTGTTCTTGTCTTTATTATTTCTTTCCTTCTACCTTCTTCAGATTTAATTTGTTGTTTTTTCCCCTAACTTCTTTAGATGAATTTAAAGCCATAAATTTTCCTCTAAGCTCAGCTTTATTTACTGAAAAGTTTATATATAGTATTTTTCATTATCAGTCAGGAATATTTTCTAATTTCCACTGTGATGGATTATATATGTGTACTGCTTAATTTCCAAATATTGGTATTTCTAGTCATCTTTTTCTTATTGAATGCTAACAATACACTGTGGTCAGAGAGCATAATTATGTGTGGTTTTAATTCTATGAAATTGTTGACACTAGCTCTGTGATCCAGTATAGAGTCAACTTTTATAACTGTTCCTTCCATGTATGCTTGAAAATAATATTCTGCAGTTGTTAAGTACAGTGTTATATATATGTCCCTTAGTGAAATTTGACAATTGTGTTATTCAAATCTTACATATTCTTACTGGGGCTTTTTGTCTGCTTTTTATATCAAATGCTGAGAGAAGAATGTAAATATAAAACACCTTGATAATGAATTTGTCTTTTTCCTTAGAGTTGTGGAATTTTTGCTTTAAGTATTTTGAGGTCATTTTATTTGATGAATAAAAATTTAATATTCTTAGATTTTCCTGGTAAATGGACATTTATTATTTTGAAGTAATCCCTTTTATTTCTAGAAGTATTTTCTGACTCATTATAATTTTGTCTATAATTAACATAGCAATTGGGCTTACTTTTGGTATATATTTTCTTTACTATCTTTTCATTTTTAACTTTCTGTTTACTTACATCAGGATTTCTCCAATCGTGATATTGGGGCCACGTAATTCCTTGTGTGTGTGTGGCGGGGGGTGCAGTTCTATGCACTGTAGTTTACAATGGCACTTCCCCAGGTTATGACAACCAAAAATAAGTCCAGACACTGTTAAATATCTTCTTGAGGGCAAAATCACCCACAGTTGAAAACTTACTGACATATTTTAGGTGTGTCTTCTGTAAACAGCAGAGAGTTATAGTATTATTTTATCCAGTATGACAATCTTTGTCTTTTAATGGGAACATTTAGTCCATTTACATTTGATGTAATAGAGGCAAACTCTGTTTTTGTTTGCCTCAAAATGCCTTTAATTTTCCTTCTGGGATACCCATCTGAGATAAATTTTCCTTCTGCCTGGGTCTACTTGTCAGAAGAATAAATTTATTAGGCTTCTTTAATCTGTGGATTGCTGTTTTTTATCAATTAAGGAAAATTCTCTGCTACCATCTCTTCCAATATCCTCTGTCCCAAAACTCTCTTTCCTTATCTTCTGGGACTTCCATAAGGGTATGTTAGTAGGTATTCTTATTCTGACCTGCATGTCTCTTACCCTATCTTGCATATGATCTATCATTTTCTCTTCTCTGCTACACTCTGGATGATTTCTTCAGACTCATCTTTCAGTTCTGACCTCAGCTGTATATGATCTACTGATTAATATGTTCACTGAGTTCATAATTTTGATGGTTATATTTTTCACTTTTGTAAGTTCTATTTAGTTTTAAAACAATCTGTTACAATACTTTTTATAGATTCCCTTCTTGCAGATATTTTCAAGCTCATTAAAAATCTCTTTATACATAGTCAGGATAGTTACTTTACAGTCTGTCTCATGATTGCAATTTCTGAAGTTTCTGTGGGACTCTGTTGTTTCTGCTGTTTACTACTCAGGGTATCTTGTTATTCTGTGAAAGTGTTATCTTTGACTGTTGGTCATTATACTAGAAAATAAATATTTTCAAGGTTAATAAATGTCCAAAGATAATGGCTCCATTCTCTAGAAATGATTTTTTTTTGATTCTGTCAAGCACCAGAAACCACTACTAGTATGGAACCATCCTAGTCTATCTATGTCAAAAGTTTGAGGTTCCCTGGACTACCTGAGTAACACAAACTTGAGCTGCTCCAGTAATGGTTTACTTCTAGTTCACTCTTACTTTGAAGGTGGAGCACTTGAGATTCCTGGATTAAACAGGGAGGTGGTTTATCAGATTTCTTACCCTGGGCAGGCTCTCAGCTTTGATTCCTGTCTTCCTTCCCCTATAAGACTACCAAAAACTCAGCCTGACTACACAGATATTTCATTCAGACTAGTAAATGCCTTCAGAGAGAGAGGTATTTTTAAAATTCATTATTCTAAGAGATAGTATTTTTATTTAAAAACAATTGCAGCAAATTTACATACCTAATAATCTTAACACTTTAAAAAAATGGTACAATCAATGTGTTTCATAGAAATAGATGAAGTTAAAAACAATGAAGTAGTCATCAGGTTAGCTTTCTCAGGAGCTGGCATTCCTGATACCTGTGGTCAGGTTTCTGGCCTGTCCCTGATCATGTGGGTCTAGAGCACAAACAAGGTGTGAGGGGGGAGAAAGAGGCTTTGAATGGTGAGTTTACCTCGTGGGTTCTTGTTTTACCCTAGATTTTGGCCCAAGCCTATTTTATTATTTTGTTACCTTTTTAGTACATGTAAGAAAATTTAAAAAATTTATTTCTCTCAGTTTTTTAAGTTGTCCTTGTCATCCTAATTATCTAGCTCGCCATTACTGGAAGTGAAAGTTTCTGGATTAAGTGTGATGGAAAGCTGGAGAGGGAGTGAATCAGTTAGTCTATTTTTGTCACATCACGTCAGAATCTGTTCACAAGCAAAAAGAATAACATATTTAAATCATCAACCAATAAGAAAATAGTTTGAATTGTATGAATTTATTTGCACTAGTTTGCTTCAAATGGAGCTGCACTAGTTTGCTTCACATGGATGTATGTTCTTTCTCCTGACTAGACAGTAAGCTCTTGAAGATTAGATACCCTTTCTGTTTTTAGTAGTTTTTTTGTTTTGTTTTTGTTTGTTTTTGTTTTGAGATGAAGTCTCGCTCTGTCACCCAGGCTGGAGTGCAGTGGGACGATCTCGGCTCACTGCAACCTCCGCCTCCCAGATTCAAGCGATTCTCTTGCCTCTGCTTCCTGAGTAGCTGGGACTACAGGCATGTGCCACCATAACCGGCTAATTTTTTTGTTTGTTTTTTTAGTAGAGACGGGGTTTCACCATGTTGGCCAGGCTGGTCTCGAACTCCTAACCTTGTGATCTGCCTGCCTCGGCCCCCCAAAGTGCTGGGATTACAGGCATGAGCCACCGCGCCTGGCCTGTTTTTAGTAGGTTTTAAGTATATCTCTCATCCTTTCTCTAGGACCTGGGACAAAAAGATAAAATGCCAGTCTTCTTGACTTCCTTGTTACCATCCCAGGGCTTGAGAGCCCCAGGAGAGAACCAGACTCTCAGGAATTCATCTCTTTCCCCATCTCCCACCTACTTGTTGTAGACCACTAGTTGAATACTGAGAACAATGAGAACTACTTTACATGAAGTTTGAGAACTTAATCAGAGTGCAAGAATATACAAGTAAGTAAATACAAATACAGAGTTTGATACTGTTCAATCATGAGTAGCTTAGAAGTCAAATTTTCTCATATACTCACTGCTGAAAGACATATAAATTGGGGTATATTTAAAAAATATACATCTAGAGCCATAGTATTTTACATAGGTTTTAACCCAGTAATTCCATGTTTATTAATTTATCTTTAAAATAATCCCAGGGGTTCACAAAGATTCAGCTACCTGAGTGGTCATTACAAGAGGGGAAATTGAAGATTTAAAATCCCATTGGTAAGGATTAGTAATTGTACTTTCATATAATAGAATATCATATTTAAGGACACAAAAAGGTTCATAGTAAGGTGATAAAATCAGTTTAAGAAAGAGTGTGTAACAAGATCTTTTTTTAAATAAGAAAATGTATGCACTCATAAATTTAAAAAACTAGAAGGATATAAAACAAAACATTAACAGCATTACTTCGGGGTGCTAGGATAACAGGTTTTTTCTTGACTATGCTTATTCCTCTCCCCCAAATCTTCTATAATGAAAATATATACTTTTGTAATAAAAATAACATTCATTATTAAAAAATAAACTAGAGTTCCCATATCTAATAGGCCACCTCAGACCAGCCCTTTCCAGGCCCAATCTATCTATCACTGGTTGGCAGAGAAGTCCACATTCTTCCAATTCTATAGTCTGTCCCACTTGGTCCATACATAGGTTTTTAGCCACCAGAAGAGTAACATTCATCCATCATTGGATAGGTGTCTCATAATATATATTTGGTGAACTGAACTGATTGCAGAGAGACAGAAATTTATTCACATAATGCTAACAGAATGTCACATACTTAAAACGTGATAGTTTTCTACCATTTTAAACTATCCTTATAGGCATTATATTATCTCTCACACTCAAACTAAATAAAAATATTTTGAAGAATACCCAAAGGGGAAACTATTACTATAATGACCTCATGTATTTTCTCTGGAAGGTCTGTTTGTTGAATATTTAGTAGTTTTGTATAGTGCCGGTCAATAAGGCTTAATTGCCTCTGCTGCTGAATTGCTTGTCACATGGAGAGAATCAAACCTGCCCCCACTCCTTTATGGAAAAAATGAATGCCTGGAATGAGCTGGAATTTCCAGGAAAAACATACCAGTTCAATTTGTATTAATCCCTGTGGGATTACTGCACTGATGTCATTTTTAATATGCCTTACTCTTCCCCTCTGGTTGGCATGATCCATCATCTCTTTCCTCAGCTGGCTTTGCTGCTTTTCCTTGGAGAGCAGATTGTCTTTGTGAATGACTCTCTCAGGGAGCATGTGCAGGAGAAGCCAGAGCCTCACTCCATGGGAACGTAACAGACAGAGCTAAAGAATGGGCTAAGAACAGCCGCTGAATGGAACAGGTCATGCTGCTTCTCGAAGCTGAAAAGGCCAATCCTGTAAAAGAGTTGATGAGAGCACCTAATCGGGTTTGACCCCACAGCCTGTGTGTATGCAGAAAGGACTGGGAAATGTAGCTTTGCAAATGAGAAGGGTAGCGATATTCCAGGGCTGCTATCCAGACACACTTACTCACTCATCTGCTTGATTCAATTTTATTTGTACAAAGGGTTTGTTGAGGCAATGGGCAGACTAAGCCTTTAGGGATCAAGGGCTATGCAAATAAAACCTTAATGGAAGATTAAATCAGCTGATGTCCTCCTCAGTGCTATTTCCATTTGTAGGACTGGAACTGGCATTGGGGGAATGAATCATTTTTACTACATTTAAGCATTGATTTTAAAATACCTTCTTTACAAAAATAGTAGCCATTATAATTAAACAGGACTGGAAATACTCAGTAACAAACAACAAAAACCTTCCTTTATATAAAGAGAACAAACATCATATTATGGTCACAGTTAAATAGCAAGCATGATAAATCAAGGCACTAACTATGGGGGTCCTTGTTTTGTTTATCACCCAATGAAGAACCAAGTCTTTCTTCACCTGGAGACTTCCATTTATTATGATTACTAGTGCAAAATAATTTCTAAATATGGAATGAATTACATTTCGATAATTATATGTCTTATTTAGCCAGCCAGCTTCATTACCCAATATATTCATTTCTTTAAAAAGGAAGTTCTCAAAAGAATTAAAATTATTTTTCTGTGAATTATGGGAGAAATAAATAATCTGAAAGCTAGTATAAATATGATATTCTCCTTGTACTGGTTTATATTTCACTAAAATATACTTAAATCACTAATCAAGAAATCTCAATATAATCATTTGTTCTCTCCCAGAAGAAATATTGCTGTTGATTATTATATCATTAACATTTAGTCTTTAAATTGAGAGACAACTAGAGAATAAACCTAGAGATTCTAAACTACCTTAAGATACTGCTAGTTCCCCAAAAATGCACAGAGAAACATACTGGAACATCTCTGTTTTTTGTTGTTGTTGTTGTTGTTGTTATATTAAGGCAAAGTTTAACATAAAAAAATCTAGCAATGTAAATCAGCATATTAATAAAGAAAGTGATCATATGATCATCTTTTAGTTTTATTTTTTTATTTTTTTGAGACGGAGTCTTGCTCTGTCACCAGGCTGGAGTGCAGTGGCATGATCTCGGCTCACTGTGACTTCTGCCTTCTGGGTTCCAGCAATTCCCCTGCCTCAGCCTCCCGAGTAGCTGGGACTAGAGGTGCGCGCCACCACGCCCAGCTAATTTTTTGTATTTTAGGAGAGGTGGGGTTTCACCATGTTGGCCAGGATGGTCTCCATCTCCTGTCCTCATGATCTGCCTGCCTCGGCCTCCCAAAGTGCTGGGATTACAGGCATGAGCCATTCGCACCGGGCCTGATCATCTTTATAGACAAAGGAAAATCATTTGACAAAATTCAATACTCAACCATCATAACAATTCACAACAAACCAGGATAGAAGAAAACTTCCTCAATCTCTTAAAGGATATCTAACAAAAACCTACAGCTAACATCATATTTATTAAGGGAAAGATTGAATGCTTTCCCCCTAAGATTGAGAATGGCCATTCAATTGTCTATTCAATATCATACTGGAGGTACTAGGAAGTGCAATAAGGCAGGTAAAAAAAGGTTTAAAGATTAGAAAGGAAGAAGTAAAACTGTATTTGCAAACAACATAATTGTGTTTGTAAAAAATCCTAAGGAATCCACAAAAAATCTGCTAGAACTAAAGTAAATTGATCGAGGTCACAAGATACATTAACACAGACAGGTTAAGTAACTCGACCAGGGTTACAATTATAATTAGTAACTGGAAGAGCCAGAATTCTAGTTAGATTGGCCCTGGAGCCTTTCTCTTAACTATTAATTATATGATAACTTAAAAATCAAAGTGTTACTGTACAAATACACACACACGTGCGTGCGCGTGCATTCAAACACTAAACATCACTTTTCCTTTTCTATTCAATTACCACCAGCTTTACCCTAAACTTTGGTGAAGAGGAATAAATAAACAATACCTGAATCTTGAATCCTCATTCTGTATATAGAAAGCATGATCACTGATTGCCCTAATAAAACCAAAGTTATAGATTTAATCCTTGCACAGGCCAGCACATTTCACACTGAAAAAACCCCTCACTAATACAGTGCCAGATATATGTACCCTATCTAGCCCCTACCCTAATAAGTGGCAAATTCTCAAGTTCGGTGCAACTTATCTCTAATACTAGAAAACAAAACTTGAAAGAGTATTGATGATGCATCAGGAGCATAAATCTTGTAATTGAAGGATAGCATGGTTATTGAAAAATTCAGAAACAGAATTAAAAGCTTGACATAGATTTCAAAAGTAAGGCACTAATGCCCAATTAGTCACAAGCCAAAGTAAAGGCTGGCAGCATTTTTGTCTTTATAGGAAACTCAGGGTTATCATCAGGGACCTTACATATGGACTTGTTTTTTTTTTGTTTGTTTGTTTTTGTTTGTTTGTTTTGAGATGGAGTCTCGCTCTTGTCACCCAGGCTGGAGTGCAGTGGCACAATCTCAGCTCACTGCAGCCTCTGCCTCCAGGGTTCAAGTGATTCTCCTGCCTCAGCCTCCCAAGTAGCTGGGATTATAGGCATGTGCCACCACACTTGGCTAATTTTTGTATTTTTGGTAGAAATGGGGTTTTACCACATTGGCCAGGCTGGTCTCGAACTCCTGACCTCAGATGATCCCCCCGCCTCGGCCTCCCAAAGTGCTGGGATTACAGGTGTGAGCCACTGTGCCCGGCCTGGACTTTTAAGTAGTTATAACCAAGGTTGTCTGTACCACGACAACAGAAATAATTGGATAACTACTGTTGCTAAATTGACAAGCATTTATTAGGGCTACTATCTAACACTGAAGTATTGAAATATAGCCAGTCCACTGACACTGGATACTGACATATAGGCAGAGAGAAATGACAACAGGAGCCTGAGGTGGCTTCCTCATGATGAATGAAATAAAGGAGACCGCAGGCAAAGTGGCTGGTGCAGGAGATTATTCAGGCCCAGCTAGTAAACAGTCACAGAAAAATCATTCAATGGCAACAATCTCAAAAGTGAAGCTCTTTATGAAGATTGTAAGTTTAAAAGACAGTTGCAAACACAGTCAGACTTTGCCAATAGTGACTACAACCTCAAACTAAAAGGCTTGTCTTTGAGCAGCAGGTGGTATGGTATTGGGGATGTATCAGTCTTTTTCAGTAAAACTGGCCTATATAGATAATAACAAAGTGTATTCACTGCTTTATTGTTGTTTTGATCCACTGTATGTAAACCATGAACTTCAAATTATTTTCCTAATGAAAAAAGCTGTAATTATCCATCAAACTCTGTCTTCGAATGCCTCCTGTGGCCCAGAGTACATGACTGCAAGATGGATGACCCAATGTTGTGTTTGTGGTCTACTGACAACTGAGTTATGGTGCTACTGAGGGTAATACAGCATGGCATTGTGAGAAACAGCATGGTATAATGGAAAAACTTGAACTCATCATTTAGTATCTCTAGATCTCAGCTTGTTCATTAAATCCCTTAAATGTATATCTAAAAACTGAGTTGGCAGGGCTGTTATGAAGATTAAAATGCCTGGCATATATAAGATACTAAATAAATAAGTGCCCATGCATCATGTTTACATATGTATTCTCTCTCTCTGTCACACACACACACACACACACACACACACACACACACACACAAGAAAGGTTAACAGTTGAGGTTGATTTATTGCCCCAAATAACCTGCCCCAGGATAGATTATTGTAATTAGCCTCACTTATTTTCAGTGTGGCCAGCAAGGACAGGGAGCAAAATCCTAATTCTGGGGTCAGACAGTCTGTAGTTAGTGGAGGCTTCTACAGTTTAAAAAGTTAGCATTTGTCAGATGTTCTCACTATTGTTTTGATCTTTATCTCAATGGTTCTGAATGTTTTATTCCTTGTTTGAATATTGGGATGTTTATCAAAGCAAACATTTAAACACTGAAGCCCACTGACAAAGAATTTAAATAGACAGTAGGGCAGTTAAAGGGTTTATAGCCAAGATTCAGTAACTGGTTACAGCTCTGTACAACCATGGATCTGCAGTAAATCACACTCTGGTCTGCCTTAGCCTTATTTTGAAATTCCTTTTCAACCCTCTGCCATTCTAATAGCAATGAATTACTCTCTAATTGTATGCTAGATAGCAAGGTGGGGAAGATCTAAATCTCCTAAATCCTGTTTTTAATTTATCACGTAGAATTTTGTTACTTTAAATGCAGATCTACTTTTTAACTATTCACAAGCCATATTTTAAATGACAGAATTTCTTTAAAGAAAGGAATCTACTAGTAGTCAATATGTAAGTTCTCTAAAAAATAAGTTTGAAACTTCTATTTAGAAGTTAAAGAAACAGGGACCAGATTTACTCTCCTGCCTTAAGCAACTAAAAAAATTGGACTAAATATAGAAAGAAATGGTTTTCATACATTGGCTGACAGGCAACACAGGCCTGTGATCGCTAAGAAAAGGGACACAAAGTGAGCCCTACGAGTGTACCAGTTTACTGCCTACAGACAGTTCCTGGATGCAGTACAGGGAGGGGGAATGGATCTCACCGAGTCGAGGTGACTGAGATTAGACATCCAGGAGGGCAAAGTGACTAGAATTTGTGGGACAGAGAACTGAAGATAGAACACTCTGGAGTTCTATCGACAGGCCTCCCTAGAGTCTTTGACTAAGCACTGGTCTGCACATGCATGATAGGAAACTACTCAAGACTACTGGAAGGGAGCAGGCAGAACCATTCCCAGAGTTCTTACAGGGCTGTAAATAGTTTGTGTTCACATCTATCTGAGCAGAAAGACCTTGTAATAGACAAGGAATTAGATACAACCCCCAGAAGAATATTGACAAAGTAGTGAGGGCTAAATTGGTTCTAGACCAACGGCTGCTCTGGACCCACCATAATAAAGCTTAGAAGCAACGTTTGAAAGGATCAAAGTAATCCTAGGTAACATAACTGCATCCAAAATAAAAGCCAACACTAATTAAAGAAATATAATGAAATTTAATCATCAAGAATATAAAGTTAACAATACCTAGTCCCCCATAAAAAATTACCAGGCATGCAAAGAAATGGGAAGATCAGACTTTTAGCCAGAAGAAAAAATAAATAAGTAAAAACGTATTCAGAAATGACATGGATGAAAGAACTAGCAAACAAGTATATTAAAATACTTTTACTAAATATGTTCCACATGTTCAAGAAGTGGAGGAAAACATGAACATGAGGACAAGAGAAAGGGAAAGTGTAAAAAAGACATAAATTAAACTTTTAGAGACTAAGAATACAACATCTGAAACCAAAAATAGACTGGATGAGATTAACAACAGATTGTAAACTTCAGAAGTAAAGATCAGTGAACTTGAAGACACAGAATTAGAAATTACCCAAAATGAGGCACAGAGACACAGGAGACTGAATACAAATGAACAGAGCATCAGTGACCTGTGGGACAATATCAAGCAATCTAATATTCATGAAATTGGAGCTCCAGAAGGAAAAGAGATGTGGGGAGGAAGGGAACATAAAAAAATATTTGAAGAAACCATAGCTAAAAGTTTTCCAAATTTGATGAAATCCATAAATCCAAGCATAATATACAGAAAGTGACTCCAAGGAACATCATAATAAAACTGCTGAAGTGATGAAAAGAAAACCTTAAAAGTAACCAGAGAAAAAAGACATTACAGCAACATAGATAAGAATTACAGCAGATTTCTGGCCAGGAGCGGTGGCTCACGCCTGTAATCCTAGCACTTTGGGAAGCTGAGGCGGGTGGATCACGAGGTCAGGAGATTGAGACCTTCCTGGCTAACACGGTGAAACCCCGTCTCTACTAAAAATACAAAAAAAAAAAAAAATTAGCCAGGCATGGTGGCAGGCACCTGTAGTCCCAGCTACTCGGGAGGCTGAGGCAGGAAAATGGCGTGAACCCAGGAGGCAGAGGTTGCAGTGAGCCGAGATCACGCCACTGCACTCCAGCCTGGGCAACAGAGTGAGATTCTGTCTCAAAAAAAAGAAAAAAAAAAAAAAAAAAAGAATTACAGCAGATTTCTTCTCATAAACTATGCAAGCCAGTAGGCAATGGATAGACATCTTTAAAGTCCTGGAAGAAACTATTAACCTAGAATTCTTTACCTAGTAAAAATATCTCTCAAAGGTAAAATAGAACTTTTCAGACAAACACTGAAATAAATAATTCCAGTATAACTGCACTATCAAAAATATTAAAGAAAGTTATTTAGTCTAAAGAAATTGATAAGAGAAACACAAAGGAATAAAAAGGACATCTGAAACAGTAAATAGGTGAGTAAATATAAAGGTCACGTTTCCTCATTTTTTACATATCTTTAAAAGATAATTGACTACTTAAAGTAATAATAAAACATGTTAAATAAAATACATGACAATAACTCAAAGGACCAGAAGGGAAAAATGGAAGTATATAGTTTTAATGTTTCTCTAATATATATAAAGTGATATATATTATTTGGAGATAGATAGGGATAAGTTAAAGACATATGTTATAAACAGGAGGACAAATACTAAGAAAAGATAAAACAAAGACACATAAGCAATAATGCAATAACAAGGACAATATGGGGTCAAGATTAAGAAACTCAAACAATCCAAAATGAGGCCAAAAAAAAGAGAAAAAAAGGAACAAAGAACAGATAGGACAAATAGAAAACAAACAGCAAGAATGTCAATTCAAGGCCAGCTATCCCGATAATTATAGTAAATGTAAATTGTTTACACATCCCAATTAAAAAGCAGAAATTTTTATATTGGATTAAAAACCAAAGATATGCTTTCTACAGAAACATACTTTAAAAATAAAGACATATATTGGCTAAAAGTAAAATGGTGGAAAAGATACACCATGCAAACAATAACCATAAGAAAGCTGCAATGATTATATCAATATCAGACAAAATAGACTGAGGAAGGAATATTGCCAGAAAAAAGAAGGTAATCTTATAATGATAAAGGGGCAGTTCATCAAGAGAACACACAATCCTAAATGTGTATGTACCTAGTAACAGAGTTTCAAAACAAGTAAAGCAAGAACTGATAGCACTAAAAGGAGGAAAACACAAGTTTACCATTATAGTTGGAGACTTCAATACTCCTCTCTTAGTAATTGATGACACAAGTAGATGTAAAAATTAATACATATATAAAAGACTTGAACAACACTACAAACCTAATTTAGATATATAGAACATTCCACCTAATGACAACAGAATATACATTCTGGGCCATAAAATAAGTCTCAATAAATTTAAGAGAACTGAAATCATATAAAGCATATTCTCTAAGCATAACAGAATTATACTCGAAAGCAATAACAGAAAGCCATTAGGAAAATCTCTAATATTTGAAAACCAAACAATGCACTTCAAAATAACTCATGGGTCAAAGAAGAAATCCTAAGGAAAATTAGAAAATATTTTAAACCTAGTGAAAACAAAAACATTACGTATCAAAATCTGTAGGATATAGCTAAAGTAGTACTTAAAGGAAATTTTACAGCATTAAAACACTAGTGTTAGAGAAGAAGAAAGATCTCAAATCATTAACCTCAGCTTCTATTTTGTTAGAGAAAGAAGAGTAAATAAAATGCAAAGCAAACAAAAGGAAGGAAATAATAAAGAGTGGAAAACAATGAAATAGAACACAGAAAAACTAGAGAGAAAATTGATGAAATGAAAAGCTGGCTCTTTGAAAAGATCAATACAATTGATAAACCTCTAGCCAGATTGATCAGAAAAAGGAGCAAGAGCAAGAGAGAGAAAGAGAGTGAGAGAGAGAGAAAGAGGACACAAATCACCAGTGATAGGAATGAAAGAAATCTTATAGACATGAAAAGGATAATGAAACAATATTATGAACTACTTTATACCAATAACTTAAACAACTTAGGTGAAATGGACAAATTCTTTGAAAGACACAAACTATCAGAGCTCACTCAAGAAGATATAGATAACCTGAATAGCCCTATAGCTATTAAAGTAGCTGAATTCTTGGCTTAAAATCTATTCACAAAGATAACTCCAGGCACAGATGGCTTTATTGGTGAATTCCATTAAATATTCAAAAAAAAGAAACAATGCCAATACTATATAAACTCTTCTGGAAAACAGAAAAAGAAACTCCTACCTACTCATTTCATGAGGCCAGAATTACCCTGATACCAAAACTACACAAGGATATTTAGAAGAGAAAAAATATTAAAGATAAAGGCTACCTAATGGAAAAGGGTAAAAACAGTGAACACAGCAGAAAACATGGAGAAGAGGCTAGAAGATTGAAAAGACTTTAGACACTGTCACTTTGTCCTTTGTGGAATGCTTGCCCAGTGTAAAGCCCTGTATAGCATAGTGTTTAATAGCATGGCCTTTTGAAATCAAACTGTCTGCCTTGGTTCAGGTCCTGGCCCCATTATTTACTAACTGCATCACTTTGGCCAAGTTACCTAACTTCTCTGTGCACTTCCCATTTAAAACAGAACCCCCATTATGGGAGTTGCTATGAAGAATAAATGAGTAAATACATTTCAAATGCTTACACCAGTGCCTGGCACATAGTAAAGACTACATACATGTTTGCCGAAATTATTATTATACATGTTATATTAGTTGGTTGTTGTCTTTACTAAGTCATAATATTTTCTCTCAAAATGAGCTAAGCAGTATGATAAGTGACTACCCTCATTGTTTAGTCCCTTGTTGCTGCCATAAAAACGATGACAAACTTAGTGGCTTAAAACAGCAGAAACTTATTCTCTCACAGTTCTGGAGGCCTGAAGTTCAATATTAGCTTCACTGGGTGGAAATCAAGGGGTCAGCAGGCTGTGCTCTCCCTCAGGAGGTTCTACGGAAGAATCTATCCACTCTTTGCCTCTGTGTTTACATTGTCTCCATGTTGTCTGTGTCTTCCTCTGCCTCTCTAAGGACACTTGTGATTGTATTTAGGGCCCACCCAGATATAACCTCCATGTCCATTGTCTCCACCTTGTCTGTGTCTCCTTCTGCCTCTCTCTCTTTCTTATTTTTTTTGAGACGGAGTCTCGCTCTGTTGCCCAGGCTGGAGTGCAGTGGCGCGATCTCAGCTCACTGCAAGCTCCACCTCCCGGGTTCATGCCATTCTCCTGCCTCAGCCTCCCGAGTAGCTGGGACTATAGGCGCCCGCTACCACGCCCGGCTAATTTTTTGTATTTTTAGTAGAGACGGGGTTTCACCGTGTTAGCCAGGATGGTCTCGATCTCCTGACCTCGTGATCCACCCGCCTCGGCCTCCCAAAGTGCTGGGATTACAGGCGTGAGCCACCGCGCCCGGCCACCTCTCTCTTATAAGGACACTTGTGATTGTATTTAGCGCCCACCCAGATATAACCCCCCCATGTCAAGATCCTTAATTTAATCACATCTGCAAATATTCCTTTTCCTTATAAGGTAATATTTACAAGTTCTGGGGATAAGGAGCTAATATATTTGGGTGGTCATTATTCAGCCTACTATTTATCACTAGGGAAGGCTGATGTGGTGTGGAAATTATTACATAAACAACATTTATTTTTAAAGGATATTTAGCTCTCTCTACAACAAACCTGTTATGCAACCATGTTTCAAGGCACAATCCATTCGCCTAGAGATAGGTCCCCAAACTGTAAGCATTGTATCTACAATGAACTATAACACCACAATAGTGCTAACATACAAACTCAAATCTATACAATTATGAAACTGATCACAAACTTTGGGGGAGGGAAACGCGCCTAGACCTTATGATTCAAATAAAACAGCTTACTAAGGTCGCTAGTAAGAATCAAGAAGATAAAGAGAAACTAGACTTGGTGATGGCAGTTATAACTAAAGGAAGATTGAAAAAAATCAGCTCACTCTTAATGACCACAGGTACTGGAACTCAAAGCCTGCATGTTCACCCTACATTACACAGCAATGAAGAACTTCCATTCTAGAGTCAGTCCTCAGTTCAAAATCTGGCTAATGTATTCATGATTTGAACTCGGACAAGTTATTTCACCTCTTTTTTTTTTCTTTTTTCTTTCCTTTTTGTCACCCAGGCTGGAGTGTGGTGGCACGATCATAGTTCACTGCAACCTTGACCTCTTGGGCTCAAGTGATCCTCCCACCTCAGCTTCCTGAGTAGCTGAGACCACAGGTGCATACTACCACACCTGGCTTATTTTTAAATTTTTTTGTAGAGACAAGGTCTTGCCACGTTGCCCAGATTAGTCTCAAACTCTTGAGCTCAAGTGATCCTCCTGCCTCAGCCTCCCAACGTGCTGTGTTTACAGGTGTAAGCCACTGTGCCCAGACTATTTTCACCTCTTTGAGCCTGTTTCTTCATCTGTAAGATGGAAATGACATGAGTACTTACCTCAGAGTAGCTGTGAGGATTAAATAAGAATTAACGTTATGCTCTAGCATGACAATTATCATCTATGAGCACTCAATAAGTTGTAATTCCAATTATTATTATGCAATAAACACTACCGTTTCTAATACAACTCCATCTCTTCTATTTCAGGAGAAATGTTGTCTTATCTTCAGTTTCTTTATTGTCAGGAGCTATTCCTCTGGGGACTGTGATCTCATGGGGGAAAGGCACCCACATGAGAAAAGCAAAGAAAATAATGTAGTCTACAATTCTGGTATGCATATCCTTGGGGAAACAGGAAAAGAGGAATAAAGACGGGACTTTGTAAGCTAGTAAAGGACAGGAAGTAGGGCAAAGTGTGTGACTAAGAGCGCTGACACACAGTACTTGAGGTTGGGGGAAATAAGAAAAAAAATAAGAATTTAAATAGCAGAAGTCTAAGTAAAGGGATGTAAAATGGATGCATTCTCTACAGGAACTTATTAAATGATTAGAACTTTGCACTCTGGAAATATGAAGGCTGAAAGGAAGGAGTTATGGGTGATGTCATGAGGAGTACAGACAAGATAAACCCAAATGAGCTCATTTCAACATACCAGAACCCCAGTCCCGGGACTGAGATGAAACAGAGGATAGACAAGAGAAGCTGAAAACTCAAGAACGTTTGTGTTTAGGACAAATAAAACACTGCAAGCAACTCCAAGACATGGGTGGTGTGTTGTTTCTCAGTATTTCCAGCAGTGAGTCTAGTATCTCACATGCCATTAACAAACTGGGGTTGAATGAACAAACATATATATTCAAGAGTAAACATACTGGCAGTAGACGAGAAGGCTCATTAAAGGTTCTTCGCTAACTGCATGATTCCGTCTCTGGTCTCACTCCTGCCCAAACCACCCTTCACATTGCTGATGTGTTCTTTCTAAAAGGCGGATCTGATCTCGTTACTCCTAAGGGCTTTAACAGCTCCCTATGGCCTCCACCATAAAGTCCAAATTCCTTAGCCTGGTAAACCAAGCCTTTTGTGATTTGATGCCAGCCTACTTTTCAGCCTTATTTCTGCAATGACCCTCCTCAAATGTTCTGCTGTGGTCTTGAAAGGTTGTTTGGAGGTCCCCCCATATGTGTTCTCTCAAGCAAATACAACCTCACCTTTGCAGACATTGCTTCTGTCTGGCTGAGAAGCTTCCTCTTACCCTGTCACTTTCTCCAGAAAACTTTTCCTAACATTTCTAAGCAGGGACCATACTTCTATTATGGTACTAAGTACAATACCATAATTAATGTTTCCATGTCTTTCTTTCTTTAGAAACCTCTGTAGTACCTGGCCTGGGTTCTCCTCATCTTTGAATCCCCCCAGCTGCTAGAGTGAGGTATAGAAGCTTATTAAATGTTTGTTGAATAAATAAATATGATTGTAGAGGCCAAAAATAGAAATAAAGCTTAAATACTCAGGTAAACAAAGACAGAAGGATACTAAAAGGATGGGCAAGCCCATCCCTGTAATCAGAAGATTTTGTCATGGCTTGAAGCTACAATACACCCTTCCAACTGAGCTTTGTTATCATGATCAGAAACCAAATTTTTGGCTGGTTATACAATGGGCCTGACCTAGTACCACATTCCCTACTTATATTATTCCAAACCATTTCTAATACTCTGCCTTTGAGAAAGCAATTTCATTTTCACGGGCTTTAGTGTCACCATCTTATGTGAAGTAACCTCTATTTCAAAATGCCCTAAAAGCCAAGTTCTGCCCTCTTATTCTAATTCTCATTTTCTCTCTCTCTTACTAGGCGGAATGGAAAACTTCCTTGGTAATTTAAGAATGAGAATAGTCTGAGCCTAAATTTACTGTATACTTTAGGCAAGTTATTATACCTTTATACATCTCAACTTTCTCTTCCTTCAAATATCAATTCTATCTAGGAGGCCCCAGGAAATAAAGAAAGGTAAAACCTACACAATTCTTATTATGTACCTCACATTATTAACCTGTTTAATTCTATAATTCTTCGAGGTAGGGACTGTGATTCTCCCCCACTATACCCAAGAAGACTAGAGCAGAGAGAGTACAGATGGAAGGCGGCTGGGAAGTTCACAGCTCATGAGTGGCAGAGGCAAGGCTGGAACCCCAGCATTATGGCTCTAGTGTCCCTGCAGTGAACCCTTACCTCCAACTGCCTCTCTGCAGGCCAGCGGAAGATACTGTGCTTGGAACATAACTCTAGCACATTGAAGTATTAAAGGGCTTAAAAAGTATATACTTTTTCAAACAAATGCAAGCCTTATTTGTAACTGAAAACAAAATAAAAGTGGGAAGAGAAGGAATGGAGACACTGAATGGTAGGCTTCAGATATGGGACAGTGTTCCATATTTCAATCCAAATGCATTTTACAGCCAAGATTTTAAGACCTGAAACCATCCATCCCGTACAGCTAAAATAAGAAGGATCTCATGATTTTAGCCATCAAGGAGACGGATGTGTCCTACACTGGTACTATATCTAAAATTAAGATGACACTGTCACTAGATGAACATCTACTTTGGGGTATGGCTTTATGGACCAATGAATTAGTTTTTTCTCAGGAGCAGCAACCAAAGAATAGAAATAACAGAAGATACACTCCTGTTAAGCTTTTTGTACAGAAGCAGAATTTTATTTCTAGAAACAGCATTAAATATTTAATTAAGTTCACATTACCCTATACTAAAAAAATTAATTTGGGGCAAAACTTGGAAGAACTAGGTGTAATGCAGTACTTTCAAATTATCAACTGCTTATAATTGTATTTCCTTCTGGACAATGAAAATACATATTTTTTATTTAGAAAGTGCTGAATAAGGCCGGGCACATGACTGATGCCTGTAATCCCAGCACTATGGGAGGCCGAGGAGGGCAGATCACGAGGTCAGGAGTTCAACACCACCCTGGACAACGTGGTGAAACCACATCTCTACCAAAAATACAAAAATTAGCCGGGCATGGTGGCACACACCTGTAGTCCTGCTATTCGGGAGGCTGAGGCAGGAGAATCGCTTGAACCTGGGAGGCGGAGGTGGTGCAGTGATCCAAGATTGCACCACTGCACTCCAGCCAGGTCGACAGAACGAGACTCCGTCTCAAAAAAAAAAAAAACAAAAAAAACAAAAAACAAAAAAAAAGAAAGTGCTGAATATTTGTTGAGTAAATTAATACTATTATAGAGATTGATTCATTAATACTATTTTAGAGATAGATTCATTTCCAGATGGTTCCTTAAAACGAACGGGTGCCTTATAATAGTCATCATTTGTTCTGGAGAACTTACTCCTCAAGTCTCTTGAAAAGTCTAAAGCCACCTTTATCTGTACCCATGGTTTCTACATCTTTTCTTCCCCCATTAGAAAGAGAACAGAGAAAGATCAGGTTACATTGCTTCTGTGGGCCTGTAAAAATTCCTGCGAGGTTCTCTCTTCTGTCAGGAAAAGTTTCCCTAGCAACCATATTTACACACTCACTCAATTCCCTCCCCTCCTTTGATTCACTGGTGGGTATAAAAATTAATTTGCATTGATTTGCTGAAGCTTACAAGTTAATCATTCTAATAGACTCACAAAATTTTAGACGCTGGTCTCTGCCCAAAACTTGTTTCTCAAAGGGCCTGTTCACTTTCTTTAGAAATTTGAATGTAATTATCTTCAGTTTAAATATTTTTAAATACATTTAATATGTATTCGGAATGTTTCTGGCTTCAGGTAGAGAAAATAATATTTTTCTAAGGGCATCTGGCCTATATTATTAGTTAGGACGATCAAGAAACAAAGAGATACTTTAGTTCTGAGTAAGCAAGGAGTCAGATTCTTATCCAGCCATAATAAGGCCCTGGAAGATAAAAGTCAAGGACCAAAACAAAAAGTCTGGGTCACATGAAATGATGAATCAGGCCTAAGATTCTGGGTGATCAGAGGTCAGGACCTGGATAACAGGAATGGGACATGAATTATCAAGAATTGAGTTTCATTAATTCATTCACTAAGTATTTGCTGTGCAGCTACTAGGGCATGGTGTCGGGAAAAGAGCAGTGAATAAGCCAGACACAGATGTACCCTCATAAAATTTAAGAGTCAAATATCTGAATAGTGAACAAATGTTGATTTTATTATTGAACCAAGTATCTTTGGACTAGGGGTGCTCACTGTATAATTTCCTATAAGGGCCAGAATTGGTTTCAGACTAGGAATGGCACAGAGACCTATAGATAAAGATAAATTCAAGAAGTCTTCACTGGAGTAGATAAGTTGGCAAGTCAAGCAGTCTTGGACATATACAACGTTTCTTTACATTTAACCTTCAACAACGATATATGAGCCTATCACAGGAAACAAGGCTGGATACTTTGCAATATACCTACGTTTTATAAAGAATAAAGTGAAAGCCGATAAAGGTATGAGTTATTCTTAAGCTCTTTTAACAACCATTTACTGAGCATCTGTGACATTCAAGAAATAGTTTTAGGAACTGAAGTTAAGGGTATGAAAAAGACATGGTCCCTAGCAATTATAACAATGTGGTAAATGCTATAATGAGATGCTGAAGTACGAAGAAATATCAAAGAGGAAGATTACTAATTCTTAAAAAGCAAGCTGGGAAATGCCTTCTGAGAGGTAATGCTTGAATTGAGTCTTAAAAGATAAGTAGAAAATTTTGTTTTAAGCTGGTAAATGTTGGGGTAATTTGTTACACAGCAGTGGATAACTACTACAGTGCCTTATGGAGACCATGCCACAGCATAACTAGGAGACTATGGAGAAGACCCAGCCCAGCCATGTAAACTGTGTTTCATGATGTATACTGCAGTTTATATTGGACATCTCTTCATATTTTTCTTCTCACGTTTTCTTAGGCTTACCTGGTCCATGTTGGGCATAGAAAATGAGAACAAACACTCTGAACGGGGATGAGACAGGTAATGGGAGGAGGCAACACAATCTCAGTCTTGTCTGATTTCCCCCACAAAGGAATCCAGGTTGGTTGGCGTAGGACTTGGTCAAGTGGTAAGTGTCAAGTGATGTCAGGACTTGGTCAAATCATTACTCAGAGAGACCAGAAGTGAGAGGAGCAAGAGGATGAGTAAAAATTGTTTCTGAGAGAACCATAACCATGAAACCCAGAAAAACCTAATTGGTTCTCAGTTCACTAATCACTTTCCTATTTCTTTCCTAAAGCCAAAAATGAGAGAAAATAGAAGTTTCTGTTTTTCATGATTCATGTGGGTAGATGAAGGAACAGAGTAAGCAACAAAGGCAGGACAGAACAGAAGCATTCCAGACAATGGTGGCAACCAGTGGGGTTCAAAGCTGCTGGGGGGGGGTCCATGGTTTGAGGGTCAAAGGGTGGCATCAACGTGGTTAAAAAGGCACCAGATGAGGGCAGACAAGTTGTAGTGTACCTGTTCCACTCCAATTTCTGTTTCAGTACGTTGAAAAATGGTCTCCATATCTTCCCATGAACAAATGGGTATACCTGACTACAAAAGGAATAGAAATGAACTTGTGTTGTATTTAAACTGGGAGTAACAATAGCATCAGGACTATAACTCTCTCCAGTAATACCCTCAAAACATGGTGGATGAGTTTCCAGAAGTCAGTCTAAGTAAGCAATTCCTTGCCTCTTTATTCTCTATTCTCTTCATATTGACTGGGCATTTCCTTTTGCCCTTCACACCAGCAAACTCACAGAGTCCAAAATGAGGGGACCATAGGAAAGTGTGATTGTGCAGCATGACATAGCAAGGACTTAGGCCACCTACCCAAACCAAAGGCCACAGCACAAAATGCTTTCCTACCTTCAGGAGGTAGTACAGATACCCTCAGGAGGTAGTACAGATACCTTCAGGCAGAACTGGGTATATAATTTGTGGGGCCTGGTGCAAAATGAAAATGTAGAACCCCCTTGTTAAAAATCATTAAGAATTTCAAGACAGCAACAAGAGAGTATTAAACCAAGCATGGGGCCCCTCTAAACACAGGGCCCTGGGAGACTGCACAGGCTGCATACCCACAAAGCTGGCCCTGACTTCAGAGACAGTATAGCATGATCCTTCAGGAAAGCTTTAGAGTCTGAGCTGGATCCAAATCCCATCTGTGCCACTCATTAGCTATGTGACCTCTGGCAATTTACTTAGTCTTTCCGTGCTGCCAAGAGGTTGTGTGGTTATAATCTGGTGCTGGGAAGATTAAATGGGATAATGAACAGAATGTATACAAAGAGCTTAGCACGATGCCTAGCACATAGTGAGCACTCAATAAACGACAGCTACACTATTACTGTTCAGTGAAACATTCAGGTAGTTATCAAAGCAGTAAGTTTAAGAAATGAACTGCTGACTTGCTATTAAGGATATGAAATAAAAAGAATAATATTTTAGGTCAACGAAAATAATGAAGCAGACAGGGAAAATTAATCTTCCGCTTGACTGTGCTGCCTTCACTAATCACTTTTCTATTTCTTTTCTTCCTTTCATTGCCAAACATACAAAAGGTGATCCGCATGCTGTCTCCACTTCTTATCGGCATCTCATGCCACAGTTCTCTCTCATGTGGCTTTTCATATCCCCATGGCCACCCCCGCCACTCTACTGAAGCTATCATTTTCAAAAAGTTACCAATGACCTTCTGTTTACTAAGTATAATGAATGTTTCCCACTCTTTCTGTACAATTTCAAACTGCTGACGAATTTCTGCAGCTCAAAACTTTTTCTTCTCTTGACTTCTGTGATACTACACTCTCATGGTTAATAGCGTGTCTAACTGGCCTTGGCATCTGTCAGGTACACAACAAATGGTGGTGAATAGAATGCATTTGTTGGATAAATACATTAGATGGTTCTCTTGCTTCTTTTCTTATTTTCTACCATACGGACTCCATGCCTTCTCCCTCCCTCCCTAAATGTGGGATGTATCTTCAAGCTTCAGTCCTTCATCCTCTATTCTATTTCTATGCTGTTACCAGCAGTGAACTCAGCTAATCATATGGCTTCAATTATCACCATTTTTTTTCTTTTCTCAACTCCTATAATACCACGCATTAAGCATCTCAAAAAGGTACTAAATGACTGCTATACATTTGTGATTTCATTTAGTCCTCACAACTATATTGGGTAGGTGGCATTATTACAGATGAAGAAACTGAAGTCAAAGTCATGTAGCAAGTACCTGGTAGAACTGGGATCCAAATCTTTGTTTAGCTGAGAATAACCCCCATACTACACCACCACTCTCATTTTCCTGTCTCCTCCACATCACAAATACAGGATAGTATTTGCACACAAGCAGGTGTTCAGTAAATACACTGACTGAGAAGATTGCTTAAATACCGCCCATGATTTTCCAGCACTTACAGTATCATCAATCTTAGCAGACCGTATTAAGCATGTCACCCCAGTGACACCTTCTTTACACGACTTGATCTGTAATATAATTCAAAACAGGAAATTTGCCAAAAACTCACCATAATCCATTCTAAAAATAAATGTGGTCTAAGCAAAGCAAAAAGGCCTTTATCTGATTCAAATATTAGAAGAGTTTTGGGGATGAGGTCCACTTTGCTACTCTGGGCCCAACCTTGCTCAGCTTCTAAATGATCAGGAAGTAAAAATAGGCTGGCTAGTTGATGGCTAATGAGGTTAAATGGACTATTTATAGTTCTAGAGATAGATGCTAAGACAGCAGAATGGGATTTTCTCTGCTCTGTTAGCTAAGACCTCATTAAAAGAAGCCCAATGCATGAGACATGGGTGGAAACTGGGATGAAGAGAAGAGGATAATAGTAAGGAGGGAGGGTGAACAGAAAGGAGGAGGCATTGGAAAGCCTATGGAGGGCCTGGCCCAGTCTGGCAGATCCACCGCTGTTCTGCACAGCTGGCACCATGCAACAGTGGGCTCAGCTGCATGTGCACGATTCATGGTCTCAATCCTGGACTACTTGCCCTGACCCATCTCACACTCCAATCCTCTCTTAATCCAGATCCTTCCAGCTTCTGATCTTACTACTTATTTCCCCAGGTCTCACAAATTTGACATTCAGCATTGCTTCCCTAGTTATGGTCATGTATTCTCTTTTTGTATGATTTAGATTTGCCCCTCTCAGATGCTGCCTCTAGTGCCAAACATTATGCCCAGTTTCAGGCCCTCTCCCTTGGAGCAACTGAAAACTACTCCTATTCAACCTCCACATGATGGACCCTTACTTGGGAAGATATGGGTGACAAAGACCAGGAATGAGGCTCAGAAAAACTGATGAGGGGAAAATATGGGGGAGAAAACAATAAGAAAAATATCACTGGACAACTGTGCTGGGAATAAGAAATTCTAGGCTACTTTTAGAAAGTTACATTACAGAGGAAGGAAAAAAAGCCATAGTTACAATAGAAAGCCATTCCCTAGAGATAACATATTCTTTATGTGGCTGCATTCGCTGTTCCCCCGCTTTGGCTGCCTTTTCAGTCCTTTCCAATTTTCTCTGCAAGGTAAACTCCTATTTATCCTTCAACACCTTGCTTAAATGTGTTCTCTGGAAAGCCTTCCCTGGTCCTCTCAGACAGCTAATTGTTCCCTCCTCTGTGCTTCCAAAGCCCTTTGCATTCACATCTATTATGCTGTTAATCACTTTTACTAGCAATTTCATTTGTTTCTCCTACCACTTCTTTCAGGACAAGGACTAATTATCTTATTCATCTTTGCATCCCCAAGACATAGCAGAGTGCCTGGCATATGCCAAGTATTTGTTGTTGGGTGATAAAAGACATCAAGAGCAACGTGGAAGTGGAATTTGCACTTCACTTGCAAAATCAAATTGGTTTCTGGTACTTTTCAATTGTAACCGCATTTTCTCTTGATTTAGAAGGAACGACTTTAGACTCACAAAAGAAACTCTATTGATATCACGGGCGCATTAGCCGATTTTTCATCCCCACTGGTGATAGAAATATTTTTTACCCCACACTTCCAAGAAACTCCCAGGGCAAGCTTAGTATCAGTGGCGCATCTCTCCTCCTACCATTTCTATTGTCGCAAAAGCTAAATTACACTGTGAGCCTAAAGCTGCCACCAGTCTTAGTGAATTGGGGGAGGGGGATAATTACAAGAAGACACTTCTGTAGCAGACCTGGGGAGGGGGGAAGATGAATTTAAACCTCGCCTTATAAGAAATTTGTTAGACACTCACGTAGAACAGCCGCTTCCTCCGTGTATGACAGACCCGATCCAGGTGTCCAGCAGCGACCTTTTCCCATGGGTGTCAGGTCATCACTCAGCACAGAAAACAAGGGACCAGCGCCTTTCTAGGGCATCCCTCCTTCTCCAACCTTGGGGCCCGCTTTTCCTTTAGACGACTGTTCTCTCCTCCCAGTTCCAGCAACCCCCGGTTCCCTCTGCTGGTGCCCCCCACGCCACGCTTGACTCTGGGCCGAAAGTGCCAGCGGCTGCGCTGTCACGCCGCGGCTGGGGAGCGGGCGCCCCGGTCAGGCCCGACGCCCGGGTCTCACCGCACTCTGCGGGACAAGCGGAGCAGGCGCAGGCCGCGCAAGACCACGGGCTGCCGCGGCGCGGGCCTCTCCGCAGGAGGGGGGTCGGTCCCCGGAGAAAGCGAGTCACTGACGGGACCTTGGCCCGTTCCCGTTCCGGTTCCCGTTCCCGGCAAGCCTCGGCCCCAGGCTCTCCGCAGCCCTCCTCGCTGCGCGTTCCCGGCCCGGGGGCGCCGCGCTCTGCCGGTCGCCGGCCGGGACTGCGGGCTCCCAGCGCGGGCCCCACGCCGCGGACCAGGGGTCAGGCCGCCTGCCGCCCGCCTGTCCGTGCCCATGGCAATGCCCCGCCCCGCGCGGCCCGTCCCGGCCGAGCGCTCCGGCCCGACCGTGACAGCTGGGTGCCCAAAGGGTTAAGCCGGCAGCGCGGCGGCCGGTGTCCCCCGCGCGCTGCCCGTCAGCCGCGAGCTGGCCCCAGCGCGCACGCGCCCGCCCGTTACCTGCGGTCGCCTCCGCGCTCCTCCTCCACCTGGCCGCTCTCTCCCGGGGGCCGCCCCTCAGCCCGCCCCCTCGGCTCGGCGCCGCGCACCCTGCTGGCTGCTCGGACGCTGCCCGCGGAGGAGGGGCGAGGGCGCTATTACCATATATTAGCATACCAGCGCGCGTCACGTGGCCGCTCCAGCCAATGGTCACCCTAGAAGGGCGGGGATTGGGCGGAACACGCCTTAGTGCTGCTCCCAGCCTGAACCGGTGGCCATGGCAACGGGCGGGTGGGCGGGGGAGTGGGGAGGTGCCGGAGCCCGGTGCCCCCGGGAGCATCTCCTCTACCTGAGCGCCACATGGCGACCACGCGCAGTTTTCCCACCTTGCGGATGGAGAGATTTGTCTCAGCCAGAGAGATCCAGATTCAGCCAACATTTATTGAGCACTTACCACGTGCCTTAACACTTTGCTGCAGAAAGTGATGTCTGTCCTATTAACCCCACTAGATAGTAGGGAAAGTGGAGGCTCAGAGAGGTTAGATCATTCGCTCAAGATCATACAACAACATTAAATGGCAAAAGTGGAGATCTAAGATCATTTTTGACTTCAGACCCGGGACAATCGCCAGTTTTTTCAAATCCAGCAGGGGTCTCCTAGCACCTCCTCACAATTTCAGGTGTGCTGTGCAGTTGAGAAAATCCTTGTACATAATTTGTACAGCGTTTTACTGTTTCCTTACAGTGACCTTTGAGATTAATAGGCAGAATAGTTATGCCTGTATTACAAAGGAGAGAAAATGAGGCTCAGAGAGGCCATGTGACATAATTTAGGTCAAACAGCTATTAAGAGCTAATGCTGAGTTACACTGATTTATACTGAAGCTCATTACTTTAGAAACTTTTAAATTCAGTCTTCTCAACATGGTGGAATTACTGTGACCATTCTATGGATTAAGAAACCGAGACTTTGGGAAGTTAAGCAAATTGCCCAACGTTATACAGCTAGTAAGTAGCAGATTTAGGGTTCAAATCCAGGTTTATCTGGCCCCCAAAGCTAGTCTCATTGTATCAGATTTATTTAATTTAGGATTGGACTTAGAATCCCTTCTCTAATAGAATTTTGTCTCCTCTCAAGATATGATGGTGTTACGTCTTAATCCCACAGCAAATATACCTTGTGACAAGTGACATGTGTTAAGGTCACAGAGGCTATATATTAAGAGAATAGAGTCACCAGGTAGGTAAGGGGCACTGTAGAATTCTCTGTCTTTCCTTTGTTTTTTGTTTTTTTTTGTTTGTCTGTTTTTTGTTTTTTGTTTTTTTTGAGTCCGATCTCGCTCTTGTCACCCAGACTGGAGTGCAATGGTGCGATCTTGGCTCACTGCAACCTCTGCCTGCTGGATTCAAGCTATTCTCCTGACTCAGCCTCCTGAGTAGCTGGGATTACAGGCATCTGCCACCACACCCGGCTAATTTTTGTACTTTTAGTAGAGACAGGGTTTCGCCTTGTTGGCCAGGCTGGTCTCGAACTCCTGACCTCAGGTGATCTGCCCGCCTTGGCCTCCCAAAGTGCTGGGATTACAGGCATAAGCCACCGCGTCCGGCTTATGCCTGTCTTTCCATTTTTACCTTAGGGATTTGATAGTTTAGCTAAAGGCACAGTAGTTTAAAAACACAAACATCTGTGTACAGACTTGTTTAGCTCAGTGATTCTCTAATTTTATTTATTTATTTATTTTTTAGAGACAGAATTATGCTCTGTCATCCAGGCTGGAGTGCAGTGGTGTGATCATAGCTCACTATAACATTGAACTCCTGGGTTCAAGTGATCCTCCTGCCTCAGCCTCCCGAGGAGTAGCTGTGACTACAGGCATGCACCCCAACACCCGGGTAATTGTTATGTTGCCCAGGTTTGTCTCGAACTTCTGGCCTCAAGCAATCTTCCTACTTGGGCTTCCCAAAACTCTGGGATTCACAGGTGTAAGCTACCACATCTGGCCATGGTTCTCTAACTTTAATATATTTATGGATTACTGGACAGGGCTCTGTGCCTCAAACTAAATGTGCTAAACTTTATAGACATTTAAAGGGATCATCAAAGGTAATTTTGAATATACGTACATTTCACCTTCCTAGACTGCTTTAAAACCCAATTTCCTCCTAAAACATGACTGGTGCTTAAGAGCACAAACATAGAAGCAGACCTGCTTGGGTTAAAAATCCTGACTTGGCCACTCATTGACTGTATGACCTTGGGAAAGTTACTTAAACTCTCTGTGCCTCAATTTCCTCATTTGTAAAATAGGATAGAAATGTTGTGAGAATTTAATGACTTACTGTATGTGTGTATATATATATACACACACTTAACTTCCCAAAGTCTCGGTTTCATATATATATATATATATAAACGTTTCATATATAGGCCCCGGCCCAAGGATAAACCCTCCATAATTGATAGCTAATGTCATTTTTGTTATTATCCCAGGAGTTTTCCTAGGAACAGACAACCCACATGTACACAATATCTCAAGGCTTCCTAGCTAGCTTTGGAATTCTGAAGCTGCCTTCCTTCCCTCGTGGCATATTAAACAGCCTGTTGTGCTGCTGAAGGCTTGTTATCTCTCCAAATGACATTCTCTCTTCTTGGGATCATAAATAATTCCTGCACTCAAAGGAACTGGTTTCTCTTGCACATCTCCTAGCACCAAATTACTGGAGTTGCTCCTTGCAGAAGGGGATCTTGACAAACAGTGGAGTCATAAGTCAGGCTCCTTGAAACACTTTTATGAGCGCCTTAATGAGGGAGATGAGCTGTCATCAGGAACTCATCCCATCCTTCCTGACCACAGGAAATGAGCTTTTTGTGCTCAAAAGGTTTCCAAAGCTGAGGCGCAAAGAGTTTTCAGGAAGTGGGCCAGGGATGAGAAGTTGTTGACTCAGAGAATCCCAGGGCTAAACAGCCCCCATCCTGCCATTCACCCTAGAGGGTCAAATGACTCATGGTCTTATTGCAGCAATAGCACCAAAGGGTGGTGTGTGTATGTGTGTGTGTGTGTTTGTGTGTGTGGTGTTAATCCTCCCCACTTCCCCATATGTGCACACTCCAACAGCCAACCTATTACCCCCTGACAAAAAGATACTGCAGAATAGAACACTGGTTAAGAGCATTGTCTCTGGAATCAAAGATCCAGATTTGAATCCTGCTTCTACTACTCAACTATCTATGTGATGTTAGGAAACTTGCTTAACCTCCCTGCATATCAATTTCCACATCTGTAAAATGGAAATAATAACAGTGTCCATTTTATAGACTCTTGTTAGGATGAAATGAGTTACTAACATAAACTGCTTAGAACACCCCATAGTATACACTAGAGATGTATTTGCTAATTAAACAAGAATAAATGTATAAATCCAGTACAAGCAACGTACTTTCTATAGAAGACACTGCAGCTTAAGTGAAGTTCCCTAGGCCCTCTCTGATGTGCTGCCTGCCCTCCAACCCCCTTCTGACTGGCATATAAATGTTGCCCAGGAGTAGGAAGACATGTGCTTGGGAACTTTGGTTTGCACCTGGCTCTGCCACATTCCTTGCTCTGTGAACTTGGACAAGTTATTTTACATCTCTGAGCCATAGTTTCATTATTTGTGAAATGAGACTAATTTCCTCCCAGAGTTGTTCTGAGCACTCAATCAGATAGTGTCTGGCAAGAGGTGATGAGGGCCTGAACTGGACAGAGGTCATACCTCATCAAAATCACCTTGTTCTTTTCCTGAGTTGTTTCTGGCAAACATCTTTGCTCTACATTAATGAGAATTACTAACATTTATGGAGCACTTAGCCTGGCCTTGTGCTATATACATCGTTTTATTTAATCCTCAAAATAAACCTAAGCCTCTGGGAGATTAAGTAACATGTTCAAGAAGATCACACTGTAAGTCAGTGGCCAAGCCAGGATCTATGCTGGGACTATCTGATTCCCAAGTCCATGCTATTAACCCACCACGCTACATGCATGCCTCCTACTCCAGCTTGGCTCATAGGACCCAGGGAATGTGTGTTACATTTCTTTAGCATCCTTCCCCCATCCATATATACACTCTTTCCGGTCACCCACCAGCACTGGGCATAGTAGGTGCTCCATACACATTTACTGAATGAGTGAAAATAAGTGACTATGACATCCTTTTATAGCGATAAAAGTCCATTTTTTCTCGAGCTGTCCCAGGTGGGAATAAAAGCAGCTGGTGACTCTCCTCCCCACCCCCTAGTATCCTCTTTCTGATGAATAATAATGTGGGAGGCCTCCCTCCTTTCCCCATGGGAGAGTTAGGCTTCTTGGTGTCAGAGATCCACAATAGACACAGTGATGACTCATCTTCAGTGTGCATTTGGAGAGATGTTAGGACCCCTGGAGCTTTTTAGGGCTCTGTTAATATACATCAGTAGGGTGATTTCCAAATAATGGCCTTGGATAGATGTATTTGCTGGGGGTGCCCTAACAAAATATCACAAACCGGGTGGCTTAAAACAGCCCAAGTTTAATCTCATACAGTTTAGGAGGCTGTAAGTCTGAAATCAAAGTGTCATCAGGGTTGGTTCCTTCTTGGGGCATTAGGGGGAAAATCTGTTCCATGCCTCTCTCCCAGTTTCTAGTGGCTGCCAGCAATCCTTGGCATCACTTGGTTTGTGGATGTGTCACTCCAATCTCTGCCTCTGTTGCCACATGGCGTTCTCTCTGTGTATCTGTATCCAAATTTACCTCTTCTTATAAGGACACCAGTCATGGGATTAGGGCCCACACCAATCCAGTATGATTTTGTCTTAACTTGATTACATTTGCAAAGACCCTATTTCTGGATAGGTCACATTCACAGGGACTGGGGGCTAGGACTTGAACATATCCTTTTGGGGGACACAACCCACAATAATATGTTTGGGGTAGAGTGGAGAGGAGATGGAAAATGAAGGGAGGGAATGAAGAGAAAGGGGAGGTTGTTCATGAGGGGCGGATCACACGGACAGAATGAAGTGTGACCAAGGGTCCCTCAAGAATGGGCCAAACTTTCTCTTCTAGGCCAATTCCATTCTTTCCCAAAGAAGTGTCTAGCTCACAGACTTACAATACCAGTGCTGGAAGGGACGCTGGGGAGTCATTCATTCACTCGACAAACATTTATCAAATATTCTTTGAGGAGCTGGGCAGAGAGAAAAGATGAGGTCTGAAGAAACTGTGGCCCAGAGGGTGGATGTGGGTTGTCTAAGATCACACATCAAGTTAGAATACAGCCAGGAACAGAACAAGGTATGTCAAACAAGGTATGTCAAAGTCCAGACCTGAGCCCTTTTGATGACTACTAGGAAGGTTATCAATCCCCCTGGACCTGAACCTTTGGTGCATAGACAGATCTAAGTTTTTGAAAAACGTTTGTGTTCTGAGGCGCATTACCAACTTCCCTGAGCTTCCATAGGTTGGTCCAGTATTTGAGGGTCTTTGAAGCCTTGGGCAAAGTTAGAAACATGCCCTCTCTAAAAGTGCAATCCTGTAGCCATTCTTCTCCTTGCTCTAATTAATTGCCTAATCTTTGAAACATCATCTCTGGGTGCAACAGCAAAATTGGGTGTAATGGAACTCCCTGGGGCAGAGACAACATCTTGTTCATCTTTTTTTGTCCCCACTGCTAATACAGAAACCATGGTGGAATCAGCCCTCAATAACCATTTGTTCAATGAATGAAAGAACATTGCTCCAGTTAGTACCAAGGGCTATTTATATCTTACTGTTTCTATATCCCATGCTCAGTGGCAGTGCTGAGTTGGTTTAAGATATCTGAATTCCACTCTCAAAGTCACAGCTGTTTTGACGGGAATTTCCATTTACCACTACATCATTAGAAGAGATGGTATTTTGATTCCAATATTGGCTGATACAAATATTGTCCTGCCTCGAGCTGTCATGATGTGAGATATCAGTCTGGAGCAGTGAGCCTGAAAACTGGGGCAGGCCAGGGTCAGAGATGGGGTCAACCCAGCAGGAGTTGTCAGATCAGAGCAGGGGTGAGAAGGAGGTCAGACTGGTGATCAAAGTCCAGGAACTAGGGCAGGTACAGTCAGTCCTGACTCTCCCAAGGATGGGGGCCTGCTAGCCGCTGCACAGCTCCTTGGGAAAGCAGCTCATAAGCAGGTCCTCTTAGCAGGCTTTCTGTTTGAAGGTCCCCAGAGGGTTCTTTGTAATTGATCTGGGTTTGAAGTTCCCCCTCACAAGGGGGATATAATCAGTCAACATTATTCCGCAGACCTTATGTTCACATAATCAGATAAACTTTGAAAACCTGGAAATAACCTTGTTTATTCTCGCCATATGGCTCCAGGCTTACTGCTAGTTTTTAGACGCACAGTTTTAGGTCTGATTCTGGCTGTGCATCAGAATCACCTGTGAAATATGTTAAAATACGGATTTTCAGGTTCCACCCCCAGAGATTCTGATTCCCTAAATCTGGGACGAGCTGCTCACATCTTGAGAGGCAGTGATACAGTGGCTGAGTGTGGACACTCAGGCCTGGCTGCTTAGGTTTTTGATGTTTTTCTCACTAGCCCAGTGAACTTGAGTGAATTTCTTAATGTTTCAGTGCCTCAGTATCTTATCTATAAAAGGGAATAATAATATTCAGCTCATTGGTTTGATGTGAAGATTGATGATTTAATACCTGCAAAGTTTTGAAATACTAAGTGCTCAATAAATAATGCTTACTATTGTTATCTTTCTTTTTTACCAGGCTCTACAAGTGACTTAGCAGCATAGTCCTTCCTTCACTCATTCACTCACTTGTTCATTTGTTCTAGAACCAAATATTGAGTACTCCTACCTGCCAGGACCCAGGCTAGATACACATAATTCTGCCCAGTTTTTGGTTTTATTTTAGTTTTGGAGATAAAGTCTTGCTCTGTCACCCAGGCTGGAGTGCAGTGGCGCAATCTCAGCTCACTGCAGCCTTGACTTTCCGCGCTTAGGTGATCCTCCCGCCTCAGCCACCTGAGTAGCTGGGACTACAGGTGCGCACCATCATGTCTGGCTCATGTTTTGTATTTTTAGTAGAGATGGGGTTTCACCATATTGCCCAGACTGGTCTCGAACTCCTGGGCTTAAACCACCTGCCTGTCTCAGCCTCCCAAAGTGCTGGGATTACTGGGTGAGCCATCACGTCCAGCCTCTCCCCAGTTTATGGCCTACCTGGGAAGCTAGTATTGGGAAGCACTGTTTTACTCATTGCCTTTAGCTCTCCAAACCCTTATTGGATTCTGAGGCTCTGGACTTCACTTCTGGTGTCCCTTAGGCACAATGACCTTCATTTTATAACCTTGAAATAGAGCAAAATGGAAAAAACATAGGAATCTATTGGACTTGGTATTGCATTTTCTAGTTACGTGGCACTGGACAAATCACATGCAAAAGACCTTCTGTCTCCTGCCTTCCCTGAATCCCTGTTCTAGAAATGGCCTTGCTCCTCTTGTATCTAGAAGGCTGGGAGAACAGTCAAATATACCTGTGCTTCCACCCCTCATCCCAGGCCACACATGATTGGTCAAAGTGGACACCTGACCCAAACTAAACCAATCATATCCCATCTCCAGGCCCTTGAAGCGATTCTGCCTGACTCTGGTTGCTCTCTGGAAAGGAGGTGGTATAAATGCAGGAGCGGTTGGCTGTGGACATTTTCCACCATGCATACCAGAAAATAGAGCCAGTCAGTCTTCAGTGAGAAAGAAAAGTCAGTGCTTGGGTTTTTCAGGGTACTAAGATTCCAGATTGCTTCCCTAACCCGGGGCCCAGCACCATCTCCAGCCTTGGATTCTGTAACTCATCCATTGCCCTTATAGCAGTTCCTCTTTGTGCTTAAGTCTGATGTAGGGGACATAACTTGTTTTTACCTTATGCTTGGAAGTCAGGCTTTATCCCCAACAGCTGGTCCTCCCGTGCTTAAGATGTCTGTTTCCCAAGGGTTGCTCAAGGGAGAAATAAATTCAGGGATCCTGGTCTGGAGTCTTAAAACCAAAAAGCCCTAGCCCGGCTCTGGAGTCTCTGTTGCTACTTTAATAAGCTTTTGGGTCAGGGATCTTTAAGCAGAGAGAGGAGGAAAGGGCCTGCCTGAGGTCTTGAATACTAGTTGGGTGCCTGGCCAGGCTTTCATGGAAGGGATTCTTATTTCTAACATTCCCCGGCCAAAGAAGAGTCTTCTGGAGAGCCGTAGTCTCTTCTGCTGCCTGTCATGCCCAGGGCCTCTTCTGTTTCTTCATACTCACAATTCCTCAGACACTGATACTCTTTCCAGATCGAGCTGGATTTCCCATACACACCTGGAATTGGTGCTTAGGATGTATCTATCTCTCTTGTAGTTGGGGGCTAAGATGGGGAGCAGGAAGGTGAAGTACAGCTGTTTCCATCCTACTATTACATAAGCTTCTGGTGTTTTCCTTATTTTAGGCCTGCCTCTCCTAGCATGTCATGGAGCTGATTTATGTTATCTCCTCCAGCACCTCTTTTGATTAGTTACGTATCAGTTCCTCCGTTTTCCAGACAAGGCTGACATTTAGCTGGTTTGCACCAGTACAGCCTCAAGTGCTTGTTAGTAGCAAAATATTTTTCTATTGATTGCTGCTCCAAGCCCCCTAAGTGCCCAACTCCAACCTTCCTCGACACTCCCAGTTCCTCCCCTAGGATCCCTCAGACCTCTGCAGCTTCCAGCAACTAAAGGGTTAATAACTGGCACAGCAGGGACCACCAGGATCTCTACAACTTTGTTTTGGACACTTGGCATGCTTTCTGATTCATTCCTGTCCTGCCTTATTTGTCAGATATTTTAAATATCCTTGTTTACAGATAAGGTTTAGAGAAGTTAACTTCATTCATTCATTCACATGGTCATTCATTCATTCAGCACATTGTTATTGAGTGACAGCTTTCTGCCAGCCCTGAGCTAAGTGCTGAGGATACAATGCTGAACCAAACTGACATGGAAGAGTCCAGCTTGGTGCAGAGACAGATGAAAAATTAGGAGCTAAGCAGATAAACATGTACTAACAAACTGACTCGTGCTCCAAAGAGAAAGCATGGACAGAATCATGTAGAGACTCGCTTTTAGATGAGAGGCCTCTGAAGTACTTTAGAAATTAACCAGACAAACAAAGGGCAGAGCTGTTCAGGCACAGAGGGCACAGCAGACATGAAGAATATGGTGTTAGGTGAACTTGCCCAAGATTACCTGGCAGAAAAGGGATAGGGCTTGGTTCTGGGTCCTGGTCTGACTGGCTCTGAAGTCTCTGTTCTTTCTGTCCTCCTGGATTTTTTTGCCTCTGCTCATTCAGCCCCGTTTCCTCAATCCTTGGGTGTGGACCTCAGATCTGCAAATCACTACTGTACTACTTATACCATAAAAAGCTACCATTGGCCAGGTGCAGTGACTCACGCCTGTAATCCCAGCACTTTGGGAGGCTGAGGCGGGAGGATCATCTGACGTCAGGAGTTCGAGACCAGCCTGACCAATAAGGTGAAACCCCATCTCTACTGAAAATACAAAAATTAGCCGGGCATGGTGGTGCATGGCTGTAATCCCAGCTACTCTGGAGGCTGAGGCAGGAGAATCACTTGAACCTGGGAGGCAGAAGTTGCAGTGAGCCGAGATTGCACCACTGAACTCCAGCCCGGGCGACAAAGTTAGACTCTGTCAAACAAACAAACAACAACAACAAAAACTACCCTTGTAATATATAGCACAGCCGTGTCTCAGCCAGAGGCCTCCTGCTACCTCAGCAAGTACATATTTCACCTAATTGAGCCATCCAATCTCCAGAGGTACAAAAGAATATTAGAAAAGTTACACAAGGACAGCTGTCTACAAAGCTAAACGCTGGTGGGGGTGGGAGAAGGAGCTTTCACTCCCCCACATAGAACCTGCTCTGGCACCAGTTCTGCCCACAGCTCCTCTGAAGGCAGTTTTATGCATGATCCTGATCCACCTTCTCCACCCCTGGGCAGAGTTGAGTAGCCCAAGTGTGGGTACCTGGCCCCAGGGCAGACAATCTACAGGCAAGGAAGAAGCAAGAACAGATGAGCTGCCCTCACAAATTTGAACCAAAGGAAGACTGCTTGCAAAGCAGAAAGTGAGGACGTGGAGCAGGAGGGAGGGGAGAAGCCAGCGGAGGCACCAAGGAAACATGGCCCGACTTTGGGCAGACACTGCTGATTGCCTCCCAGTATCCATTATCCTCAGTGCTGACAAGTGTTTAACAATGGGCCCTTGGTGTGTGGAGGGTGTGGCAGGGGCAGAGTCCAAATCTGTAGTGTTTGCCAATTTCTGTGGTGTAAGTACTCCTATCAAGGTTGATTTCAAGTCATGACAATGAACGCAGAAATGGGGGAAAATGCATGCCATTGCCTTTCATGAGCCTATGTCAGCCAGCTTCAGGACAGAAGATACCATTGAATTTCCTCCTCCTCCTTCTCCTCTTCCTCCTCCTTCTCCTCCTCCTTCTTTTCTTTCTTTCCTCCCCTTCTTCCTCCTCCTCCCCTTCTTCCTCTTTCTCCTCCTTCTTCCTTCTCCTTCCTCCTCCCTCTTCCTTTTTTCTCCTTTTTCTTCCTCCTCCGTTCTCCTCCGATCTTTCTCCTTCTTCTTCCTTCTTTCTTCTTTTTCTAATGGGAAGCCTTCTTCCAGTTTCATCAGGGGATGTGGCCACCTGGCTACCTGGCTAGAAACTATATTTCCCAGCCTGCTTATATTATATATGGCCATGTAAGTATGATTTGGGGAATGAGCTGTGAGCAGAAGTGATATGGGCAACTTCTCTGTCACATCCTTCAAAGGATCACTGGGGGCCCTATTTACTTCCTTTCCCCCTTCCTGAGGGTGAAATGCAGACATGGCTTAAGAGAGGACAGACCCAGAGTGGACAGCAGGAGCAGTAAGTTAGAGATAACCTGGGTTTTTGGGCAACCTCATGGGGCAGAGCTTCCTAACAACCTCTGTACCATTTCATGAGAGAGAGGTAATTGTGTGCCTTACTAAGACTTGTATCAGATTGGTGCAAAAGTAATTGTGAGTTTTGCCATTGCAAGTAATGACAAAAACTGCGATGACTTTTGCACCAACCTAATATTTTGGAGCCTCTTTATTGTCGCAGCTTACCCTGAACACCAACTAGTACTTAGCCCTAGAGCTACCTGGGGTTTCATGCATTTTATGGATATCTTCACCACAAACCCCACCTCCTCTTTTAAAGTGTCCCAAATGATTCTGTTTATATTATATCCAAGGGTTATTAGTCAGCATTTGCTAATCTGTGCTACAGAAACCACCCCTAAATCTCAAAGACTGACAACCACAAAGATTTTCTTCCCACTTATGTTAATAACAGCTGCAGGTTATTTAAGCTTCTGCTGTATGCGTCCTCACATTCTAGGTCTTAGACTGAAGGAGCAGCTCCTATGTCAGTCTGAAGACAGCAGGAAAAATGCAATAATTGAATCTTGCAATGGCTTTTAAAGCTTCTTTGGGGCCAGTGAATTATACAGCCCCCATAGAGAGACACTACACGGTAGGCAGGGATGGGTAATCCCTTTTCTGAAAGTCCAACGAATAATTGGGAATAATAATACTATTTACCACAACAGTCTAAAATGAAAGTCAGACATCATATGTTAGGGCAGGTGCTTTTATTATTGCCATTTTACAGATGAGGAAACTGAGGCTTAGAGAAGATAAGGGCCCCACAGTTATATAGTTTTATACTTGCTTTTAGAACAGGATGTTTCTGAGAGGTTCACCTCAGTTTTCTGCAATGGATCCAATTGTTATTAAAAAAAAAAAAAAGACCCTTGTAGAGAGTCTAGAATACCCTCTGCCTTCTAAAGTTCATGTTTGGAAGCCAAACTCAGGGGTCTGTAAAGAGCTTAATTCAGCTCAGCATGTAGAAAGAGAGGAAAAGGCCACAGAATATGAAGTTAGGGTGCTTGGGGGCTGGTTCAGGGGCTCTGCCACTATATCCCTGTTCAAACTCAGAAAGTTGTTTAACCTCTCTGATCTCAGTGTTTATACATGGAAGGGCTCAGAGCATGCAATTAATAAGGTCTTTCCTGGCTCTAAGATGCTAGTATCTAATTTCACCATTCCAAGTGAATTCTTTATTTAAAAACTACCTTGAAAGATAATCTTGATAAACTGCCAATTTCTGGTCATCTGCTCATTCATTTTAGCTGTTCTATCAAAAGTTGATAGCGTGCAGTCTGTGCCAGGCTCTGCTTTAGGAACTGGGGGTAGAGGAATGAGTCAGACCTGGTCTTTTGCTTCCAGGAATTCATAATCTGTTGGAGGAGAGAGACGAGGATATGGATAATGGTAAGCCTGAGATACATATCTTAATTACAAAACAGAGTGATCAGAACTATAAAGAAGATGTAGAAGATGCTGTATCAGACTAGGAGGAAGTGGCTTTCTCGGGCTGGATGTGATGCTAACCAGTGAGGGAAGACACAGGGAGAACAGCAGGTAGAGGGATGAAGATGATGAGTTCAGGCTGGGAACTGGGGAACATAAGGGAGGAGGTGCCTGGCAGGCCAGTGGATAGCTGAGGCTGAGGCTGGAAGAAGGTGTAGGTTCAGGATGTGGATTGGGAGTCATTTGCAAATAGATGGTCACTGAAGTCACAATAGCACAGGAGATTGTGATTTTCCTTCCGTACATTATCCCCAGATGTTGGGCCAAGAACAGGGCCCTGAACTCCCAGCGGCCTGACCTCACAAGGTGGCCACACACACCAGCATTTCCCAGGGAGGGCCCTGAAAGGGATTGACCTAAGCTGGGTGCAACAGTGTACAAGTTGGCCCTGAAGGAACAAATGTGCAGCACCAATTCTGTTTTATGACCTTGTCTGATGCTGGAACACGTAGAGAGGACACCAGGTCATCCTCGGTGCAACAGGGACATAAATCAGGCAGCGTCCTGCTTCCTGTGGCCCCAGCCAAGGAGGACAGGACCTGCCCAGCCCTAACTGGGATCAATTACAGGCCATTCCTCGGCCAACCCGAGCTTACTTCCACAGAGCTATGCAGGCCTGGCCCCAGGAGGCCCTGTGAAGAAGCAGCTCTTAGACTGTGTCTGTGACAAGATACAGAGCTCTAACTTGGGCAGGGCAAAGGAGACAGAGCTATTTGCCTAAGTGAAAAGGGTAAAAATGATAATGAAACAACGATGTCTGCTTTCATTGATGTGATGGGTCAGGTACAAGCCAAACACTTTACATTAATTTCATTTTAAACTCAGTAACCTTCTGAAGTGGGTTTTATTGCTGAACTCATTTTACAGATGAATAAATAGGCTCAGTGAGGTGGAGTGCTTTGCCCAAAGCTACCCACTTAGGAAGTGTTGGAGCCCCAAATTCAAACCCGTGTCTGTCTGTCTCCAGAGGCTGAGTTTAAAAAATGACAAAGAGACAGCAGGCCTAGGCAACCTGTTTTTTGGAGTCAAATAGGTTTGGATTCAAATCCTGGCTTTGCCATTTTCTAACTTTGTGATCTGAAGCAAGTCAATGTCCTTCTGAAGCCTCAGTTTTTTTCATCTGTGAAGTAGGGAGAGCAGAACCTAGCTGGCAACATTGTTATAAAGATTAAGAATAATGTATATAAGATGTATATGAATGCTTGATAAATGGTAATGTTACTATCGCCATCACCATCCTTATTCTTGCCTGTCATCTTTCCTCACCATGTTCAAGTAGATGGCAGAGTGCATGCAAAGCCTGCAAGCATGAAAGAGGCAGCATTTTTGGAGAGCTGAATCCAGCCTTACTTGATTATGAGAAAGAGGGGTGCACTTTCTTTTACTACCAGGGAAAGGTGGTATATTTTAGGGATAATTGTGGATCCTATCTGATATGGTTTGGCTGTGTCCCCACCCAAATCTCACCTTGAATTTTAATAATCCCCATGTGTCAAAGGCAGGGTCAGGTGGAGATAATTGAATCATGGGGGTGGTTCCCCCATACTGTTCTCGTGACAGTGAATAAGTTTCACAAGACCTGATGGCTTTATAAATGAGAGTTCCCCTGCACATGCTGTCTTGCCTGCTGCCATGTAAGACCTGACTTTGCTCCCCATTCACCTTTCACCATGACTGTGAGGCCTCCCCAGCCACGTGGAACTGTGAGTCAATTAAACTGCTTTCCTTTATAAATTACCCAGTCTCGGGTATGTCTTTATTAGCATCATGAGAACAGTCTAATACACTATCTATGACTGGATCCAAGGTGGCTATGGGTCCTCCGCAGGCTGGATGCACGGGTCATCACGGCGCACATCACATCCTGCTTCTGTCCTTCCTGCTGGACCCTGCAGGAAGTTTTGGTTTCCCTAGCACTTAGTTTTGGTTTCCCTAGCACTTGGGCATGGACATGGTCCATTGTAGCTTCATTAGCTCTCTCTACATTATAAATCTAAGACTCTTCAGTCTTAGATCCTTTTGGTAAGTGGCTCATTATTTGTTTCTTTAATTCAGAATCTACAAGAGAGAACCTAATTGGTCTAAGCTCACCATTTTATGCAGCACGAATCTGAATGAAGGAGGCATGCATACCTGAACAAAATCAGGCTTCTGTGGAGTAAAAAGAAAGTAAGCGGTGGAGGATAGTTGCTGGGAAGGCAATCAACAGTGACCACTACATTACACAAATCATTATTGAATCACAAATTGTGATAAACACTTGGAAGAGGTACAGGGTGCTAAAAGAGTGGGTAACAGGAGGACCTAAATTATATTGGGTGTCAGGGAGGAGGTTTTATAAGGCCTATAGATTGCCTTCCTTCCAACCAATACTCTGTTACTTAGAGTATGGGCCAAGCTGCTATAACAAAAATGTCCCCAAAATATAATAGCTTAAATGAGATATGAGTTTATTTTATAGTCCAGAGAGGAGCAGTCCATGGCTGCAGGGCTAGCTCTGATCCAGGGTGTCTTCTGGGGACCAGGTTGGTGAGTTGATGCTACTACCCTTAACATGAGCCTCCCACCTCTTGCTCCGCAGCACCAAGAATGCTCACATCCTAGTGACAAGAGCTCAGAGTGCCACGCCCAGCTGCAGGGGAGGATGGGGAAGGTAGAGTACTACTGGGCATTTGTATTCTCCAGTAAAACTCTGTGGGGGGTGTTGAACAAAAGGAAGGGATGGAGGCTCATTGAGGGCAATCCCAAGCCTCTGCTATGGGTACCCTGCCCTTGGGGGAGGAGATGAAGAGCTCAAGGGCTTTGGAATAGTTAGATGCAGTAGGGAGGCCCAGTAGGATGTGGACAAAAGGAGCCCACTGGGCTTGGCATTTAAGAGTTTCTATGGCCTCAAAGGGCAGGAGCCAGTCTGCAGGGTTGAGGATGAGAAGTGAAGATATGGAGCTGGAAGAATTAGACAATTCTTTTGAGTCATTTGGAAGAGCAGGGAAGGAAAGAGAGACAGAAATAGCCAAATCTAGAACAAAAGAACAAAGGAGGCCTTTTAAAAACCATTTGGGAGAACTTTGAGAATGTTTGCAGGCAAAAAGAATTATTTTAGTAGAAGAGAGTTTGAAGATGTGGGAAAGAGAGGAGTCAGTACCCCATTGAGGCAGTTCTCAGAGCAGGCAGGAAGGAATCAAGCACAAAGATGGAGAGACAGAAACATTTCTTCTGAGATGAGAGGAAGGCAGTGAGGACAGGTGGGGAAGTGGTTACATTTGTGGATATGGGGTGGGGAGGTGAGTCAAACAATCCCTGCCCTATAGCTCTTTTTTCTGAGTAAACCAGGAGGGAGGGGATTCCTGGCACAGAAGGGGCAGAGGGTTTATCAGCAATGAAGGGATCTGGGCAGCCAGGCCTAGATTCAGTCGGGTTCAGGGTCACGTGACTTTGACTCACATATCCATAGTCTACCAAAGCCAGCTCAATCTAGCTTAGAGAAAAAGTATGATTTTTTTTTTTTTGATGGAATTTCACTGTTGTTGCCCAGGCCGAAGTGCAGTGGAGCGATCTCAGCTCACTGCAACCTCCTCCTCCCGGGTTCAAGAAATTCTGCCTCATCCTCCCGAGTGGCTGGGATTACAGACATGTGCCACCATGCCCGGCTAATTTTGTATTTTTAGTAGAGACGGGGTTTCTCCATGTTGGTCAGGCTGGTCTCGAACTCCCGACCTCAGGTGATCCGCCTGCCTCGACCTCCCAAAGCGTTGGGATTACAGGCGTGAGCCATTGCACCCGGCCCGGAGTATCTTAATACCAAAGGCAGGAGGGCCTCTGGGCTTCAGGAAGAGCGTGGATCCAATGAACTGGATAGCTCTACGCTCTCAGTGGGGGGTCCATGGCATATGGGGCAAGGAGGAAATGTGAGGAGTAGCCAAGCTTGAGATATCCCTGGGGATGCAGGAGTTCTAGAACCTTGAAAGGGAACTGGGTTCCTGCCTTGATTTAGGTGTGGGGTTGAAATACCAACATCTGGATCTAAATTACAGTATAGTTTCATTTGTAGCCATAAGCTAGGGCAGCTTGGAGGACATCTAAATTACATTTTGGGGAGTGTAACAGTCAGGATTCCAGCAGATAACAGTTGACACCCTCACAACGGGTAACCTGAGAAAAGTTTAATAAAGAGTCTTTACAAATGTGTGAGCAGGATTTAGCCAAAGCACAAGAGACAGTGCAGAACCTGGGGCCGGTGACAGGAAAACTAGACCTGAAAGTGTGAGAGGAAAGAGAAGTTGCTTGAACTCAGAGAGGCCTCTGTGGAGAGGGCCATCCTGCAGGAGCTGAGATCTTCCACTAAGGGATGCGGCAGCCCGTGGCAGCCTCGCAGAGGCGTCAGAGGAGTCCATATCTTACCCCTATCCTCCTCCCACCCTCCAACTCCTGCCAGTGCTCTCACTGGCTAAGCCCAGCAGGAAGCCAGAGGACAAGAGAGCTCACTGATGTGGTTGGTTCCTAGAGTTTATGTGCTTGGCATCCAAAGCAAGGTGGAAAAAGGTGGAGAGTGGGTCTGGAGGGGCAAATGGAAGAGCACAGGAGGCTTATTCATGGTTGTACTCTGCACACACACACCATAGATGCATTATCCTTGTCCAAATACCTGACTACGGTTTGTGACACTAACAGGAGAGCTAGAGGCCTTGCCTCTGAGGGTGAAGGGCTCTCCAGTAAGGGAAGGGTTCTGGCCCTGATTTACAAGGGAGCAGAAGAGAAAGCTTCTGAGAAAAGAACTTAAACTTTGTCCATGATTAGGGGTTAGTTATGAACAAGTATGTTGGGCCAACTGGGAGAGAAGGAGGCAGTGACAGAGGGCAAATGAGAGGAAAAAACTATGAGGTAGAATCCATTCAACTGGATATGCAGTGTGGTTGGCCGAATAACAGCCCCCCAAAGATGTTCACTTCCTCATCCCTGAAACCCGTGAATACATGACTTTACACAGCAAAAGGGACTTTGCAGGTATAATTAACTTAGGATTTTTTAATGGAAAGATTACCCTGGATTATCCAGGTAGGCCCAGTGTAATCACAAGGGGCCTTATAAGAAGAAGACAGCAGCCTGGGCGACAGAGCAAGACTCTGTCTCAAAAAAAAAAAAAAAAAAAAGAAGTAGAAGAAGGCAGGAGGGACAGTCACAGAAAGTGATACGAGAAGAAAAAGTAGAGACTGAACGATAGTAGTGACACAATCTATCAAATCCTCTGGGTTACAGCAAAAGCAGTGCTAAGAAGAAAGTTAATATCATTAAATGCCTACATCAAAAAGTCTGAAAGAGCACAAATAGACAATTTAAGGTCACACCTCAAGGAACTAGAGAAATAAGAACAAACCAAACCCAAACCCAGCAGAAGAACAGAGATAACCAAAATCAGAGCAGAACTAAATGAAATTGAAACAACAACAAAAACAATACAAAAGATAAATGAAACAAAAGGTGCGTCCCTTGAAAAGATAAATCAAATTGATAGACCATTAGCGAGAGTAACAAAGAAAAGAAGAGAGAAGATCCAAATAAGCTCAATTAGAAATGAAACGGGAGCTATTACAACCAATGCCACAGAAATGCAAAAGATCATTCAAGGCTACTATGAACATCTTTATGAGCATAAACTAGGAAACCTAGAGAAGATGGATAAATTCCTGGAAATATACAACCCTCCTAGATTAAACCTGAAAGAAATAGAAACTCTGAAAGACCAATAACAAGATTGAAATGGTAATTAAAAAGTTACCAACAAAAAAAAGTCCAGGACCAGATGGATTTACAGCTGAATTTTATCAGACATTCAATGAAGAATTGGTACCAATCCTATTGACACTCTTCCAAAAGAGAGAAAGAGGGAAATCCTCCCTAAATCATTCTATGAAGCCAGTATCACCCTAATACCAAAACTAGGAATGGATATAACAAACAAAGAAAACTACAGACAAATATCCCTGATAAACATAGATGTAAAAATCCTCAACAAAATACGAGCTAACCGAATCCAGTAGCATATCAAAAAGATAATCCACTATGATCAAGTGGGTTTCATACCAGGGATGCAGGGATGATTTAACATCCACAAGGCAATAAGTGTGATACACCACATAAACAGTAAGCAGAATTAAAAACAAAAATCACATGATCATCTCAATAGATGCAGAAAAGCATTTGACAAAATCCAGCATCTCTTTATGATTAAAACCCTCAGCAAAATCGGCATAGAAGGTAATAAAAGCCATCTGTAACAAACCCACAGCCAACATTATACCAAATGGCAAAAAGTTGAAAGTATTCCCCCTGAGAACTGGAATAAGACAATGATGCCCACTTTCACTACTTCTATTCAACATAGTACTGGAAGTCCTAGCCAGAGCAATCAGAAAAGAGAAAGAAATAAAGGGAATAAAAATCTATAAAGAGGAAGTCAAACTGTCGCTGTTCACCATTGATATGATTGTATACCTAGAAAACGCTAAAGACTTATCTAAAAAGCTCCTGGAACTGATAAGTGAATTCAGCAAAGTTTTAGGATACAAAATTAATGTACACAAATCAGTAGCACTGCTATACACCAACAGTGACCAAGCTGAGAATTAAATCAAGAACTCAACCCCTTTTACAATAGCTGCAAAATAAATAAATAAATAAATAAATAAATAAATACTTAGGAATATGACTAACCAAGGAAATGAAAGACCACTACAAGGAAAACTACAAAACACTGCTGAAAGAAATCATAGACAACACAAACAAATGGAAACACATCCCATGCACATGGATGGGTAGAATCCATATTCTGAAAATGACCATATTGCCAAAAGCAATCTACAAATTCAATGCAATTCCCATAAAAAGATCACCATCATTCTTCACAGAATTAGAAAAAACAACCCCAAAATTCATATAGAACCAAAAGAGTCCACATAGCCAAAGCAAGACTAAGCAAAAAGAACAAATCTGGAGGCATCACATTACTAAACTTCAAACTATACTATAAGGCCATAGTCACCAAAACAGCATCATACTGGTATAAAAATAGGCACAAAGAAATAAACCCAGAAATAAAGCCAAATACTTACAGCCAACTGATCTTCGACAAAGCAAACAAAAGCATAAAGTGAGGAAAGGACAGCCTATTCAACAAACAGTGCTGGGATAATTGGCAAGCCACACGTAGAAGAATGAAGCTGGATCCTCATCTCTCACCTTATACAAAAATCAACTCGAAGTGCATCAAAGACTTAAATCTAAGACCTGAAACCATAAAAATTCTGGAAGATAACATTGGAGAAATCTTCTAGACGTTTTGGCTTAGGCAAAGACTTCAGGACCAAGAACCCAAAAGCAAATGCAACGAAAACAAAGATAAATAGATGGGACTTAATTAAACTGAAAAGCTTCTGCACAGCCAAACAAATAATCAGCAGAGTAAACAGACAACCCACAGAGTGAGAGAAAATCTTTGCAGACTATGCATCTGACAAAAGACTAATATCTATAATCTACAAGAAACTCAAACAAATCGGCAAGAAAAAAAAACAAACAATCCCATCAAAAAGTGGGCTTAGGACATGAATAGTCAATTCTCCAAAGAAGATATACAAATGGCCAACAAACATATGAAAAAATGCTCAACATCACTAATGATCAGGGAAATGCAAATCAAAACCACCATGCGATACCACCTTACTCCTGCAAGAATGGCCATAATCAAAAAATAAAAAAATAATAGATGTTGCTGTGGATGTGGTGAAAAGGGAACACATTTACATGGCTGGTGGGAATGTAAACTAGTACAACCACTGTGGAAAACAGTGTGGAGATCCCTTAAAGAACTAAAAGCAGATCTACCATTTGATCCAGCAATCCTGCTACTGGGTTTCTACCCAGGAGAAAAGAAGCCATTATATGAAAAAGATACTTACACACTATACACCTGTATAGAAACACTGTACTCATTGTGTAGTCTTTTATCCTTCACCCTCCACCCTTTCTCCCCTGAGTCCCCAAAGTCCGTTGTATCATTTGTATGGCTTTGCATCCTCATAGCTTAGCTCCCACTTATGAGTGAGAACATATAATATTTGGTTTTCCATTTCTGAGTTACTTCACTTGGAATAATGTTCTCCAATTCCATCCAGGTTACTGCGAATGCCATTAGTTCATTCTCTTTTCACCATATCCATGCCAACATCTATTATTTTTTGGTTTTTTGATTATGGTCATTCTTATAGCAGTAAAGTGGTATTACATTGCAGTTTTGATTTGCATTTCCTCGTTAATTAGTGATGCTGAGCATTTTTCATCTGGCTGATGGGTGCACTAAAATCTCAGAAATCACCATCGAAGAACTTATCCATGTAACCAAACACCATCTGTTCCCCAAAAACTGTTGAAATAAAAGCAAATAAAATATAAAAGAAAATCAAGTTTCCCAAATTTTGAAATAAAATTTGGATTACAAAAAAGAAAAACCATAAACAACAACAAAAAAATAAAGTTTCTGCACAGCAAAGGAAATCATCAACAAAGAGAAGAGACAACCCAGAGAATGGGAGAAAATATTTGCAAACTACCCATCTGATAAGGGATTAATAACCAGAATATAGGAGGATCTCAAACAACTTTACAAGAAAAAAATCTAATAATCCAGTTAAAACATGGGCAAATGGTTTGGATAGACATTTCTCAAAAGAAGACATACAAATGGCAAACAGGCATATAAAAAGTGCCCAACATTATTGGTCATCAGAGGAATGCAAATCAAAACTACAATGAGATATCCTCTCAACCCAGTTAAAATGGCTTATATTCAAAGGACAGGCAGTAACAAATGCTGATGAGGATGTGGAGATAAAGGAACCCTCATACACTGTTGGTGGGAATGTAAATTAGTACAATCACTATGGAGAAACAGTTGGAGGTTCTACAAAAAACTAAAAATTGAGCTACCATACGACTCAGCAATCCCACCGCTGGGTCTATACCCAAAAGAAAGGAAATCAGTGTATTGAAGAGATATCTGCATTCCTGTGTTTGTCGCAACACTGTTCACAGTAGCCAAGATTTGGAAGCAACTGAAGTGTCCATCAGCAGGTGAATGAATAAAAAAAATGTGGTACTTATACACAATGAAGTGCCACTCAGCCATGAAATAGAATGAGATCCAGTCATTTACAATGACACAGATGGAACTGGAGGTCATTATGCTAAGTGAAATAACCCAGGCACAGAAAGACAAACACTGCATGTTCACACTTACTTTTGAGGTCTAAAAATCAAAACGATTGAACTCATGGGGAGAGAGAATAGAAGGACGGTTACCAGAGGTTAGGAAGGGTAGTGGGGGGCTGTGGAGGAGGTTGGGGTGGTTAGTTCATACAAAAAATAGGAGGAATGAATAAGACCTAGTATTTGATAGCACAACAGGTGACTATAGTCAATGATAATTTAATTGTATACTTTAAAATAACTAAAAGAGTATACTTGGCCAGGCGCAGTGGCTCATGCCTGTAATTCTAGCACTTTGGGAGGCTGAGGCAGGCGGATCACTTGAGGTCAGGAGTTTGAGACCAGCCTGGCCAACGTGGTAAAACCCCGTCTCTACTAAAAATACAAAAATTAGCTGGGTGTGGTGGCAGGCACCTGTAATCCCAGCTATGTGGGAGACTGAGGCAGGAGAAGTGCTTGACCCTGGGAGGCAGAGGTTACAGTGAGCTGAGATTGCGCCACTGTACTCCAGTCTGGGTGACAGAGTGAGACTCTGTCTCAAAAACAAACAAACAAACAAACAAACAACAAAAGAGTATACTTGGATTGTTTGTAACACAATGGATAAATACTTGAGGGGATGGATACCCCGTTTTACAAGATGTGATTACACATTGCATGCCTGTATCAAAACATCTCATGTACCCCATAAATATATACGCCTACTATGTACTCAAAAACATTAAAATAACAAAAAAGAAAAAGAAAAAGAAAAAAAGTAGAGGACAGAATGGGGCCACAAGCCGAGGAATGTGAGGCCTCTAGAAGCTGAAAAAGCCAAGGAACAGGATTCTCCCCTCAAGCCTCCAGAAGAATGCCCTTTTTGGACTTTTGACCTCCAGGGCTGGGAGAGAATACATTTATATTGCCTGTAACCATTACATTTGTGGTAATTTGTTATAGCAGCAATAGGAAACTAATACATGTAGTTATTATTAGGTCTCTCAAACATATTAGGGACTCAGTAAATAGTAGCTGAATGAATGAAGGAGTCTGGAATGAACAACAGAACTCAGCAGAGGATCTGAGGAATGGAGGTGGGTTGTGGCTCTGGGTCCAATATCTGTATGTATCTGTAGATGTGGGGAAAAATAGCCATCTTTCTAGATAATGTACCACCTCAGGACTTGAGCAATTCTGCTGTGGTTCTCCTCTAAGGGGAGGTAGATCAGTTTCTCTATCCTTTTTGGAATAAAAAGGCAAGGCCCAGGATCAGGGTCCCAGGCATTGATTTGCGAGGGGTGTCAGGCAGCAGTTATACAGAACTTGAAGAGGTACCTTAGAGCAAGTGGTGCCATATGAACATCCACCACGTGGAGCACCAGAGTGAAGTCAAAGGCCATCGTGGAAGAGGTGGCGTGAGCAGTGGCCCTGCCTGGCCTAGACAGTGCAGGAATTCCCAAAGACACTGAGGGGCAAAGCAACCTCGTGATGGTTCTGAGCCCTGCAGTTACCTGGTTTGTGCGTGGGGCAATACTGAGCTAGCATGATGTGTGTCCACATGCTATTGTGGCCTCGTTCGAATGAATGAGGTCTATGGCCTCGAGATCAACGCTGTAATACAAAGGGAAGGAGCATGTTACGGATCATATTGTATTCCCCCAAAAAAGATGTGTTGGAGTCCTGACTCCAGCACCTCAAAATGTGACCTTATTTGGAGGTAGTCTTTGCAGAGGCAATTAAAATGAAGTCATTAGGGTGGACCCTAATCCAATATGATCAGTGTCCTTATAAAAAGGGTCAGTTTGAACCCAAAGCTAGGCCACATGGAGGGAAGACCATGTGAAGGGAAGCAGGGAGAAGATGAACATTGACAAGCTAAGGAGAGAGGCCTGGAACAGAGCCTTTCCGCACAGCCCCCAGAAGGAACCGAGCCTTCTGACACCCTGATCTCAGACTTCCAGCCTTCCAAACTGTGAGAGAATACATTTCTGTTATTTAAGCCACCCAGGGAGTGGAACTTTGTTACCGCAGCCCTGGAAAACAAATGCAGAGCCATTCTCCCCTGTTCTGCTTCCTGGCACTACGCACCATCTTGGGGGCTCGGAGAGCTGTGAGGTCTGGCAGGTGAAGGACCAGGCACCCCATGGAGCAGCAGGAAGTGGCAGCTGTGCATGCTCTGCCCAGCAGCAGAGTGGGAGCAGCATACTGCCTGGGCTCCCTGGCAGCATGGCTGCAGGCATCTGCAGAGATCAGCTGTGCCTTGCAGGAGCAGCTGTGTGAAATCAGGCTCAGAAGGGTGGATAAGCTCCACAGAGGAGTGTGGAGAGACCCTGGGGGTCAGCAAGGCAGTGGGGCTACTGTGGGAATGGACTTGCTTTTAGCATAAGTGAGACATGCCCTGGGATAAACTTGGTGGGTGACTCACACCTATAATTGCAGCACTTTGGGAGACCGAGGCGGGCAGATCACTTGAGGTCAGGAGTTTGAGACCGGCCTGACCAACATGGTGAAACCATGTCTCTACCAAACAAAATAAATAAAAAAGAAAAAAAATACAAAAATTAGCCGGGCGTGGTGGCAGGTACCTGTAATCCCAGCTACTTGGGAGGCTGAGACATGAGAATCACTTGAACCCAGGAGGCAGAGGTTGCAGTGAGCCGAGATCGTGCCACTGCACTTGAGCCTGGGTGATAGAGCGAGACTCCATCTCAAAACAAAAACAAAAACAAAAACACACACACACACACACAAAACAAAAAACAAAACTTGGTGGGAACACTTTCCAGGGGGCTGGAGATGATCTGATTACTGAAAATTGCTTTCACAAACTCCCACAGATTGTCCCGACCCCTCCTCCCCTCTCCTCCTCTCCTCCCTCTCCATCAGCCACTGGAGGTACCACCTCTCCTCCGCCTTCTCCCATCTTCTGGGACTTCAGTGCTAAAAGTCACTGTGCCCTGCATATTTCTGGGAAGTGCTCTCCCCTCCCCGCAGATCTCAAGCCTTTAGGGAAGTGGAAAGAAGCTCTTCCTACAAGAAGGTTTTGGATCCTGTTTTAGATGAGACTGGGTGAAGTGAGGCCCAGAGGAGAGGGAAGGAGGTGGCTGGGAATTGACGTCCGGGGGGCCACGGAGGAAAAAGTGGTTTAGACAGAAGGAACAGTATGAGAAAAGACACAGAGGCATAGGTGGGTGCAGCATGTTGAAGAAGTTCAATGCTGTGGTAGAGAGAGAGAGAGAGAGAGAGAGAGAGAGAGCGTGAGGATCTGACATAAGATGGGCAGGAGGAAATAAGGGGCCAGATATGACTGTAGTGCCACCTGGTGCTGGAAGGAGTCAGAGCCTGGCCTGAGATGACATTCTGCTCTGGAAGACTTAACTGGAGTCACTAGTGAGTAGCTCAGGATGCCTACCAACTAATGAGCCATTTCTGTAGCTGGCTTTCCAGTGTACAAAATGCTTTAGCAATTTCCCAGTGTTCCAACTCCCTACTGCTGTATAACACACAACCCAAAAGAGCAGCATCCATTTGCCCTCAGACCTGTAACCTGGGCAGGACTTGGCAGGAACATTTCATGTCTGCTCCATCTGGCATTTGCTGGGACAACTGGAATCACCTGAGGGCTGTCACTCACAAGTCTGGCAGTGGATGCTGGAACCTTAGCTGGTGCTGTGAGATAGAACACCTCCATGTGGCCTCTCCTTGTGGCCTGGACTTTTTCACAACATAGTGGCTGGGTTCCCGGGGCGAGTGTCCTCAGAGTGAGAGCCAGGAGGAAGTTTTTCTAAGTTGGCCTTGGAAGTCTTTTTGTACCACCTCTGCCGCATTCCACTCATTAGCAGCCGGTCACTAAGGCCTGCTTGTATGCAAAGGGAGAGGAATTGGACATCACCGTTTTTTAAGGGGAAAATCAAAAAATTGTGGACATGTTTTAAAATCGCCATGCCCTGTGAAGTAGGCTCTGTTATCTCTGTATTCCAGAGAGGCTGGGTGACTCACCAAGATCACACAGCCACCAAGAGGTGGACGTAGTTCTAACCACAACATACATACATACATGCACATATGAAATGTGCCACATACATGTATACACATACACACATGTGCACACAGGTATCAAGTGCCTCCTATGCCTAGCACTTTGCGTCATTTGACACAGCCACTTGGTATATAATAGTCATTTTGTTTTGTTTTGTTTTATTTATTTATTTTGAGACAGGGTCTCACTCTGTCATCCAGGCTGGAGGGCAATGGTGCAATCACAGCTCACTGCAGGGTCTATCTCCTGGGCTCAAGTGATTCTCCCACCTCAGCCTCCTGAGTAGCTGGGACTACAGGCATGTGCCACCACGCCCAGAAAATTTTTGTATGTTTTTGTAGAGATGGGACTTCACCATGTTACTCAGGCTAGTCTCAAACTCCTGGGCTCAAGCAATTTACCTGCCTTGGCCTCACAAGATGCTGGGATTATAGGCATGAGGCACCACCCCTGGCCTATAACAGTCATTTTAAACTGAGTACTTTAAAAGTTGAACTAATTCTTCTAAATCTGTTCTCCCACAGTCTTGGCATCATCCTTGACTTCTCTTTCCTCACACCCCACGTCCAACTCATCAGCCAATGCTGTCAGTTCCATCTTCAAAATATATCCAGAATTTAACCATGTCTTAACCTCTTAATCCCAAGTCTATCACCAGGGTTCAAGCCCACATTATCTTACACCTGACTTAATGCAACAACTCCTCACTTATCCCTCTGCTTCTGTCCTCATGCAACCACCACTATCCCCAGCAATTCTGCTCTTATCATAGCAGCCCGAATGATTCTTTGATAGTATAAACAGGCTTGTGTCACTCCTCTGATGAAAACCCTCTAATGACCCCATATCTCATACAGAATAAAAGCCAGAGTCCTGACAACAGTCTACGGCGCCACCCTGAGCGGCTATGCCCTGCAGATGTCTCTGATTTCATCCGCTATCCCTCTTCTGGCTCATTCCACTTTAGCCGCCCTGGCCTCCTGGCTTCCACCTCCCACCTTAGGGCCTTTGCACTTGCTGCTTCCTCTGCCAGAGAGATGGGTGGTTCCCTCTCCATTCTTCAAGCTTCTGTTCAAATGTCACCTCACTAGAGAGGTCTTCTTAGACACATTACTTAAAATTCTACCTTGATTCCTACCCTTGTTTCTCCCCATCCACCTTCATTGCTTTATTTTTCTTTCTTTCTTTTTTTTTTTTTTGAGATGGAGTCTCGCTCTATCACCCAGGCTGGAGTGCAGTGGCGCAATCTCGGCTCACTGCAAGCTCCGCCTCCCAGGTTCACGCCATTCTCCTGCCTCAGCCTCCCGAGTAGCTGGGACTACAGACGCCCGCCACCACGCCCAGCTATTTTTTTGTATTATTAGAAGAGACGGGGTTTCACTGTGTTAGCCAGGATGGTCTCGATCTCCTGACCTCATGATCCGCCTGCCTCAGCCTCCCAAAGTGCTGGGATTACAGGCGTGAGCCACCGTGCCCGGCCCATTGCTTTATTTTTCACCATATAACTCATGATTATATAATATATTGTATATTTACTTTAAAAATTGTCTGTTTTCTCCCATTAAAAGTAAGCTCCACAGTCTCAGGAATTTTAGATGTTTTGTTCACTGCTTATTCCCCACCACCTAGCGCAGTGCCTGGCACATTGTTGGGTGAATAAATAAAAACTACAATTGTGCTTCTGTCACCTTCTCCTTATAGTTCTAAAAGCTTTGATGTGTGTGTTTTGTGGCTCTAGTAATAGAGCTTTTATTATTTCCACATGATCCTCTTTAATCACTTAATGATTTGTCTTAAATTCTATTTTGTTTTCATATTATTGTTATTATTACCAAATTATGTCTTTTCATTGTTGGAAAGACTTCAAAGAGTTTTATTTTGTTTTAGGTTCAAAGTCATGCTATCTGCTAAGAAAATAGGGTGGGAGAACAGAGCCTCTCAATGTCCTGGGAGTATTGTTTTGTCTCAGGCAAAAGTTCCTAACGTGGTGACTCATATTTAAAACCATCAGTCTTGTAGCATTAACTCATGGTTAGTAAAAACAGACACACACACACACACACACGCATGCATACACACAGACACATCTACAAACAACAAACCTTCCAGAATACAAAAGCAAAAACCCATCACAGGTGGGCAGAGCTTACCAGGGAAAGAGAACAGCTACTGCAAAAGCCCTTAGGTGGAGGTGGGCGTGGCCCTTCTGATCAGCAGAGAGAAGGCCAAGTGTGTTGGGAAAGAGAGAGAGAGAGATGGGGGGAGTTGCATGGTTGGTATTCAATGGTGGGTGAGAACCAGCTCAGGTAAGGCATTGTAGGTCAGACAAAAAAAAATTATAAATGTGATGGGAAGCCATTGAAGGGCTTAAGCAAGAGAGTGCTGTGATATGGTTTATATTTTTATTTATTTATTTATTTATTTATTTATTTATTTATTTATTGAGACAGAGTCTCGCTTTGTCTCCCAGGCTGGAGTGCAATGGTGCGATCTTGGCTCACTTCAATCCCTGCCTCCCAGGTTCAAACAATTCTCGTGTCTCAGCCTCCTGAGTAGCTAGGATTACAGGTGCCTGCCAGCACACCCGGTTAATTTTTTTTTTTTTTGTATTTTTAGTAGAGATGGGGTTTTACCATGTTGGCCAGGCTGGTCTCAAACTCCTGACCTCAAGTGATCTTCCCACCTTGGCCTCCCAAAGTGCTGGGATTACCAGCATGAACCACTGCGCCCAGCCATGGTATATTTTTAAAAACTCACTCGAGATTCTGTGTGGAGGATGGGTTGCAGGGGGCAAGAATGAAAGCAGAGAGACAAGTCAAGAGACCATTGCCATCATCCAGGCAAGAGTTAATGGCCCTGTGACCTAGGAGCCTAGCCATGGAGATAGACAGATGTGGGCAGATTCAGGGTAGGTCCTGATGTGGTGTCAACAACAGGGCTAGCTGCTGGGGATGAGCAAAGAGAGGAATCGGGAATGAGTTTCAGGTTTGTGGATGGAGCAACTAAGTGGATGGTGTCATGCTGTGTGCTGAAACTTCCCCTGATACGGAGACACTTGGAGGGGAGCAGGTTGGGATGGACACGGCAGGGCTGGAAATCAGGAGTTTGCTTTGACTAAGTTAACTTTGAATTGCTTGTTTGACCTCTAAGTGAAGATGACAAATAGGCAGTTGGGTATGAGTCTGGAGCTCAGGGAAAAGTCAGTGCTGATGACAGTGACTTGAAAGTTATTGGCAAATAGATGGTATTTAAAAGCCATGAGACTGGATGAGATCACCTAGGGAGAGAATGCAGAGGCGAGAAGGGAGCCTAGTGTTCCCTGGAAATATGCTTATGTTTGGGCAAAGTTGAATTAGAAGCAGCAGATGAGGGAGTTAAGGTCCAGAGGCAGGCTCTGCCAGAGACCAGACCAGGGTCTAGTGGGGCAGACAGAGGTGACAAGTGACACCACAGTGAATTGGTGGAACTTGTAAGAATTCTTGGAGATCCTCGGGAATGAGAACGTGGTAGGATTTCCTGAAGTCTTGCAGGTGAAGAGCTCAGATGGTAGCTGCTTACCTGTTAAAAGGAAGTGTGGCTTGCTGGCAGAGGAAACAAAAAGACATCTGAGTCACTGCTCTTGTTACAGGTTTGTCATCCCCATCCACCAGGAGCAGGCACTCTGCCGCCTTTGCCTGAGAAGTGCCCAGCTCAGAATAGCTGTGGCCTGAATAAATGAACAGAGTGAATGTCTAACAGACCTTGTTCACATGATCTAAAGAGGGGACTCTAAATAATAAAGTCTGCAGGCCAAAAGGACAAAAGATCTTGAGAAACCAGGACCAGATGACTCCTAAGAGTCCAACCTACGAGCCCTTTTTGGGGATGGGAGAGTGGTGTGTTTTGCTGCTCCCTTGAGTGAGAGAATATTTTGCTTCTCTTCCCAGGACCGTCGAGAACCCCGTCATTCCCAGGCAGAGCATCTCAGCAAGCTCACAGGATAGAGCAGGAATCACATGGACAGAGATTTCCTAGCTGGCTTCTCCTTCCCTCTGAGCTCCCACAGTGGATCCCAAGGGGGCTGGGAGTGGGGAGAGCATCAACATGGGAAGGGAGGTCAGGCAGGTCTAGGGGGTGATGGGTGGTGGGGGATGAGTAGGACTAGATCAGGAAGGAAAGGAGCTTCTGCACCCACCTCAGCTGGCTTTTGGCTTTAGTTCAACCTGTTGTTCCTCTTCTATGGAGAGAAGAGAAGGTTGAAGCGGAGATGAGACAGTGAAACTATGGCCTGGCTGATGGCTCCACTCCCTGGCTTCAGTCCTTCTCCAGGCCCAGCTGATTTAGGGTTCCGTGAACACCCACACACCCTCCCAACAAATTCTGCCTGGGTAGTCTGAATTTCTATTTCTGGACAGAAAAGGAACCCCAACTCAGACAATAGAGTAATTGGGTTACTCTCAGCCTGGCCTCTTTCACTTCCCCAAAAGGGCTGATGCTGCTGCCTCCCTGCAGGTCTATATATAGGGAAATCTCTGAAAGTTCTGCCCGGCTGCCCCTGGCTGCATTCCCATTTGTTCTGTGGATGAATAAAAATATCTCCTTGTTCTACAGCTCTTGTTGAGACCTCTCTGCCTATTCTCATGATGTTTGGAATAACAGGAAACAAGGGCACCCTTTCCTCAAGGCTCTTTGGGAATTACATCTGAAAACACCAAAGTCACAAAGGCAATGACAACAAAGGAATTTGCAGTCAAACCCCAACTAACCCCTGGATGCCCAAATGGGGAAGTCATAACTGAGGTTTTCTCACTTTTTGCAGAGGAAGAAACTGTCTCAAGGACTTTGGCCAGTCACTGGTCTTCCCTGGGCTGCAGTTCTTCATCTGGAGAACTGGGGTCAGGGGGAACACGCACACAAAAACTGGGTGGTTAGGATTAGGAGAGAACGTAGTGGTGGCAGACAGTATCTTCTCAACAAGTGCTAGTTATTTTTATTAGTAAAAGGAATTCTGGGTAGCCAAAAGAGGGAATTCTGGGAAATAAAACATTTCTGGTTATGTTGTTTACAGTGCTTATCAGGCTGGGCATGGTGGCCCACATCTGTAATCCCAGCATTTTGGGAGGCCAAGTGGGTGTATCACTTGAGATCAAGAGTTCGAGACCAGCCTGGCCAACATGTTGAACATGTTGAAACCCCATCTCTACCAAAAAATACAAAAATTAGCCAGGTGTGGTGACAGGCTCCTGTAGTCCCAGCTACTCGGGAGGCTGAGGCAGGAGAATCGCTTGAACCTGGGAGGCAGAGGCTGCAGTGAGCCGAGATCTCACCCCTGCACTCCAGCCTGGGCAACGGAGTGAGACTCCGTTTCAAAATAAAAATAAATACATAAAAAAGTGCATGGGAGGCCGAGGCAGGCAGATCACGAGGTCAGGAGATCAAGACCATCCTGGCTAACAAGGTGAAACCCCGTCTCTACTAAAAATACAAAAAAATTAGCCAGGTATGGTGGTGGGCGCCTGTAGTCCCAGCTACTTGGGAGGCTGAGGCAGAATGGTGTGAACCCGGGAGGTGGAACTTGCAGTGACCTGAGATCATGCCACTGCACTCCAGAGCCTGGGTGACAGAGAGAGACTCCATCTCAAAAAAAAAAAAAAAAAAAAGAAAAAAAGAAAAAAAAAGTGCTTATCAAGCTGTCTGGCACATAGGAAGGTGCAAAAAATGATAGTTTTATGAAAAATATTTAGTGGTGGGACAAGGACTGAAGTGAACTCAGGCCCATGAAAACCATTTGAATTGGTGGTGGAGCTGTGGATGAACAGTTTCTTCTCTTTATTTAGAATCCTAATATGGGTATGCGATGACATTGCTAAGCACTTGTTATGAGTAGGGATTATATCTGCTGACCAGTTAACCACTCCCAGCAAGTGTGATCACTTGGGTTGGTCACAAGTCTGTCCTCCAGGAGGACAGGAGCGCCTAGGTGGGGCTGGGGAGCACTGAGTGTATGGAAAAGGGGGTGGTGGAGACAGGGGGTCCGGAGCCTGTGTGAGGAGAAAGGAGCCGCTGAGCTTGGAGGGAGGGGAGACAGGTGGATGGAGACAGAAAGAGAAAGGGCCCTCCAGAAGGTGGCCCGGACCAAAGCAAAGATGTCTGTTTTCATTTCATTCAATTTATTATTTTGTTTATTTGCAATGCTGGTTTCTCAGTTCTCTTTCTTTCCAGAACAGTTCTCTCTGGGCAGCCCTGGCCAGACTGCAGCATGAGAATTGATCTGACCTCAGCCTCCTTCTGTAAACTTCTCACGCTAGCCTCGGGTGGGGATGGTGCAAACCTAGTCCTCTGGGTGTGTGTGGGGAGCGATGGGCAAGGGGGCTACAGGTGGGTCTTCTGGGCTCTAAGGGCTACATTTGGCCTCTCAAGTTTGAGGGTGGATCTATTTGCTGCTATGCTGACACTCCATCCCCACCCAGCCTGACCATGACCCTGGGTTCTCATTCCAGCTCTGCCACCTGCCTTCTGCTTGGCCCTGGAAAATCCCCTTCTTCTGTCTGGGCCTCAGTTTTCCCATATGAAAAGGAAGGCGTTGGACTAGATGAACTCAGAGGGCTTTTATGGCTCAGGCAGTCTGTAAGTCTCAGACCTCTGAAGGGTATGACTGGGGAAAGGAAAGAAACATGAACAGGAGTCCCAAAGGATTTCCCATCAAACACTGCATTCCCCTACACCCCTCACTTGGGAAATTAGGGTAAAGCAAATCAATCTCCTGGCTACCATTACAAGGAGAATGAGGCAGTCCCATTCAAGTATTTCCTTCCTTTCTGCTTGACTGCAAATTCCACTCTTCTCACTTTAAAATAAGTAAAAGCCAGGCCGGGCATGGTAGCTCACTCCTGTAATCCCAGCACTTTGGGAGGCTGAGGCAGGTGAATCATCTGAGGTCAGGAGTTCGAGACCAGCCTGGCCAACAAGGTGAAACCCCGTCTCTACTAAAAATATAAAAATTAGCCAGGCATGGTGGTGCAGGCCTGTAATCCCAGCTACTCTGGAGGCTGAGGCAGAAGGATGGCTTAAGCCCAGGAGTTTGAGGCTGTAGTGAGCTATGACTGCACTACTGCACTTCAGCAGAGCAAGACCCTGTCTCAAAAATAAAATAGAATAGAATAGAATAAAAGGTACTCCCAAAGGGAAAGGAGCTACATATGCCCATCTTCTTCCATAAACTCATCAAGAATATAAGTCCCACTTCCTCCCAGAGGAGTTGTGAAGGGGTGAAGACAAACTAGAGGGTTATACTAACGGATGTCCCTTCACATGGAAGAAAACATCAGAAGTGGGTAACACGCATTCTCCCCTAACCACACAGTTCTAGACATGTATCATAAACTCAGTAAGTTTCATACAGACTAGTGGGTATTTACCATCACTTTGGCTGCCCTGCATCTGACGATTCCATGAGATACCCCAAAATCCTTTTCACAAGTTCCTTTTCTGCTTTAATCAGTTAGAATCAGTTTCTGTTGCATATAACAAAACCCTGACTGATGTAGAAATTTGTACAAGAAATGGTTGTGGACAAGAGACCCTCAGGAAAAGAGGGGGAATCTGAGGATTGGTTATTTGGGCCTGTTGGGACTGAGGGCAGTGAAAATCCAGCGTCAGACAGTGGGATTCTGACATATTGAGCATACACTGGTGAAAGAACCAAGTTAAAATTTCTAGTCACCTGGAATGAAGTGCCCCTTGAAAGCAAGCCTCTAAGAGGCAGAGTGGCCATCGCTGTAAGGTAATCTGAGGGCCACAAAGATTTCAAGGGGCCATGAGGCAGGATGGTTGCTTCTAGTTATACTGTATAGGTTCATATCATAACTCCTCAACTAAAGTGTTTACCTAAAAGCTAGGGAGCTTTTATAACTGTGGCTGAAGAATCTCAAGTTGTTTTTTTTTTTCACCCCTGGGAGGTGATTGAATTGTGGGAGAAGGCCCCTCATGAATAGTTTACCATCATCCCCTGGGTGATGAGTGAATTCTCGCTCTAAGTTGACTGAGATCTAGTTCTTTACAAGTGTGTGGTCATAGAGGGAAACAACAGACACTGGGGCTTACCTGAGGGTTGGCGGGTTGAGTGGGGGGTTGGTGGTGGGAGGAGGGAGAGAATCAGGAAAAATAACTAATGGGTACTAGGCTGAATACCTGGAGGATGAAATAATCTGTACGTCAAACTCCCATGACACCAGTTTGCCTATATGACAAACCTGCACAACTATTCCTGAACTTAAAATAAAAGTTAAAAAAAAAAAAAGCATGTGGCGTCTCTCCCTTCTCTCTCGCTCCCAGTGTTGCCATGTGACACTCTTGCTTTCCCTTTGCCTGTGAAAATGTAGCTTCCTGAGGCCTCACCAGAAGCTGAACAGATGCTGGTGCCATGCTTCTTATACAGCCCGCAGAGCCATGAGCCAATAAATCCTCTTTATAAATTACCTAGTCTTCGGTATTCCTTTATACCAACGCAAATAATGGCCCAATACAGGGCCCTTCCTTCCTTGCTGCAGCCTGGAAGAGCAGGAATGGAGCCTTATAGTCTTCTGAAGTTTGGGCTTTTTGGAATCTTCCATTTGGAACACTGCAAGATATCCAAGAGAGCAACATTTCGATGTATTATTTTGCTTACAAGACTTCTGCTTTTTAGAAAACCCTGATTTCTTCCCACTTTCTGTTAGGAGTAAGGAGAGCAAGTAGTAATGAGGGATGATGAGGAGTGAAAGCCCATTCTGACATCCATGTGTCATTTGCAGCAATCTTATGAAGCAGGCAGTAGTATATTTATTTTACAGATGAGGAAACTGAAGTTTAGAGAGGTGAAGTACCGTGCCCAGAATAATGACAGAGTGGTTCCTAGACCTGTGATCCCAAGTCTTGTGCTCAGAAACAGTGCTTGCTTCCTTTTTTTTTTTTTTTTTTAGATGGAGTTTCACTCTGTTGCCCAGGCTGGAGTGCAGTGACATGGTCTCTGCTCACTGCAGCCTCTGCCTCCTGGGTTCAAGCGATTCTCCTGCCTCAGCCTCCCGAGTAGCTGGGACTACAGGAGCCTGTCACCACACCTGGCTAATTTTTGTATTTTTAGTAGTGATGGGGTTTCACCATGTTGGCCAGGCTGGTCTCGAACTCCTGACCTCAGGTGATCTGCCCGCCTTGGCCTCCCAAAGTGCTGGGATTACAGGCGTGAGCCACCTCGCCCAGCCTGCTTGCTTCCTTAAAACAGAGAAGTGAGACCGGGACCCCATCTCACCATTAGTCTGCTTCTTCTTTTTCCTGACCCTTGGAACCTCAGCTATAAGTATCTCCTTGTCCCACTCTTCCATTCAACTCCCTAGCAGTTCTACTGTTGGTCCTTTGACCGTGGCACACTGGGGGCCGTGTATCTTTTCACTGTTGTGAGTATTGTGTATGTGTATTTTGGAGGGGGAGGATAGGGTCTGGAAAAGGGAAGGGGATAGAGTGGGATTCTGATTCTGCTTCTCTGTGGACTAGACTTGGTGCTGAGATGGACAGGCACTTGCTGTTGCCTGGTCTGCTCCTGTCCCTTCCTCTGACCGCAGGCTGGACCATCTCCAATAGTTTAGTGACTGAAGGCTCCCGGCTGTCTATGGTCTCCCGCTTCTTCCTGATTTGCCTCTTGGACTCCAGCCTGCCTTTCCTCACCACATGCCTCTCAGTGATCAACTTGGTGCGGGCCTTGGAAACTGTGCTGCAGAACGTGGAGGGTCTCTGTCAATCTGGTTCCACTTCTGCTCTGCCTCAGGATGCCTTCTCCCGCTTTCCTGGGCTCAAGGTCCTGGGGCTGAATCTGCATCTCACCCAGCTCCTGCCAGGAGCTCTCTGGGGGTTGGGGCAGCTGCATTATGTCTTTCATAGCTCCCACCGTGGGAGCATTAATCTTCCTACCGCTGATGCCTTTGGTGACCTGAGATCCCTCCAGGACCTTGCTTTCTTGGGTTCCTGCCTGGATGGGAGCTTGGGTGTCCGGTTGCCTCCCAGTCTGTGATGGCTGTCGATCAGGTGTAATTTCCTTCAGAATGTGGGGGTGCTGGCTGATATCTTCCCAGATCTGGTGCATGGCCCCTCCTCTGGGGATGCCTGGGCCTTGGACATGTTGGACCTGTCATTCAATAGTAGGCTGAAGCTGGCCAGTCCTGGAGCCTTCCAGGTCCTCAAGCTGGGGACTCTGAATCTGGACCACACAAAGATGAAGGCAGATGCACTGGTGGGACGGGGGCTGCAGAGATTGGATGCCCTGTGACACTCACTGACATGGCTGAGCTGCCTGCCAGGATGGTTGCCCATTTTGAGCTTCAGGAGCTGAATTTGGGGATTAATCGGACAAGGCACATAGCCCTGGAAGGCCTGGCTTCCTGTCACAGCCTGAAGAGCTCGGGTCTTCGGAGCAATGGCCTGATTGAGTTACCACGAGGTTTCCTGGCTGCCATGCCCAGGCTTCAGAGACTGAACCTGGCCAACAACCAACTGAGGAGCGCCATGTTGTGTATGAATGAGACAGGGTTTGTGTCAGGATTGTGGGCCCTGGATCTGTCCAAGAATAGGCTGTGTACCCTGTCCCCAGTCATCTTCTCCTGTTTGCCCCACCTGCGGGAGCTGCTACTTCAAGGGAACCAACTGGTTTGCTTGAAAGACCAGGTATTCCAGGGCCTACAGAGGCTACAGACCTTGAACTTGGGCAATAATCCACTGGTAACCCTGGGTGAGGGCTGGCTGGCTCCTCTGCCTACACTGACCACCCAAAACCTGGTAGGTACTCACATGGTGCTGAGCCCAACCTGGGGCTTCCGGGGCCCAGAAAGTCTGCACAGCTTGAGAATACAGTTTCCCTTTGGCCCTGCGGGAGTAGCATTTTCCCTGCTCACAAGACTGACTAGCTTGGAGCTCCACGCAGTTTCAGGCATGAAGCATTGGAGGTTGTCTCCTAATGTCTTTCCAGTCTTGCAGATCCTGACTTTAAAGGGCTGGGGACTGCAGCTAGAGACCCAGAATATCTCCAAGATCTTCCCTGCCCTTCATCAACTCTCCCTGCTTGGCAGTAGGTTGGAGCCCCTCTGTTCCCAGGACACCTCCAGCTTCTTCCTCTGGCAGCTCCCGAAGCTCAAGTCCTTGAAGGATGGGGAAACAGGCATAGCCCTAGGCCCTACTGCATCACGGGACTGCCCAGTCTACAGGAGCTGAAGCTGCAGGCACTGCAGTCTCAAGCATGCCCCTGCCCAGTGCGGCTTGAGGAGCTGGTGGGTGAGTTGCCCAGGCTTGATATGCTGCAGCTGTCCCAAACAGGGTTGGAGACACTGTCTGCTGCTGCTTTTGGGGGCCTCGGCAGTCTCCAGGTCTTAGTACTAGACAGGGAGAAAGACTTCATGCTGGATGACAGCCTCCAGGAGCACAGTCCTCGGATGCCCCAGTACATCTATATTCTGACCTCATCCTTGGCCTGCCAGTGTGCCAATGCCTGCGTGGGGCCCTGGCTTTAGCAGTCCCCCAGAACATACATGCACATAGTATCACAGCAGCTGTGCCATTCAGAAGCTGGGGGCCACTCAAAGAATCTCTTTTTCCCTTTTCTCTGGAGCCACTGCCCCAAGACTTTGGGGTTGGAGCTCTTTTTTGCGCAGCTCTGCCCTGCTGCTTCTGCTGGTCTCCTTGCCCTTCCTAAAGGAAGCCAGGAATTCCTGGATCCTCTAACTCAAGGCCTTGCTCAGGGTTTGGTTCCAGAGTCTGAGGAGTCAGAAGGGTAAAGGCAAGAGGTTCCTCTATGACGTGTTTGTGTCCCACTGCAGGCAAGACCAGGGCTGGATGGTGCAGGAGCTGCTGCCTGCTCTAGAGGACTGCCCTCCAGCTGGCCGGGGGCTGCCACTCTGCCTCCATGAGTGGGATTTTGAGCCAGGCAAGGATGTGGCTGACAATGCAGCAGACAGCATGGTGGGCAGCTGGGTCACGCTCTGTGTGCTGAGTCACCAGGCCCTGCACACCCCCTGCTGATGCCTGGAGCTCCTCCTGGCCACCTCCTTTCTGCTGGCTGTCCCCCACCCCCCAAGGGCTACTGCTGGTCTTCCTGGAGCCCATCTTACGCCACTAGCTCCCTTGCTGCCACAGATTGGCCTGGTTGCTCCGCTGAAGAGACTATTGCATGTGGCCCAAGGAAGAGGAAAGAAAGAATGACTTCTGGGCTTGGTTAGGGAGCAGGCTGGAGCACCCTGGGGTAGGGTAGAATGGGTGCGTGTGTGTTGGAAGGTGGGGGTAAGAAAAGCAAGCCAGCTTGGCAGGGAGATAGTGAGTATGTGTGGGCTATGAGACTGAACTCAGTTTTTAGTAGAAGGTGGGGCTACTGTGTGTGCAAGGGAGAATCAAATGGGAACACAGGCTTTGGGAAGGCTCTGGAGGCTGAATAAGAAAATCTGGGAGATGGCAGGTGGCCATGTGGTACGTAATGTAATCTCAAGATCTCCAAACCCTCAATAAATGTACTAAATCCATGAATGCTTGGCTTGATTGAATTTTTTTTTTTTGAGATGCAGTTTTGCTCTTGTTGTCCGGGCTGGAGTACAATGAGGCAGAAGGTGAAAGGGTTGGATTCACAGAAACTGTAGTCCAGAGGAAATAAGGTTGGAAATTCATGGAGAGAGAGGGCAAAGAGAGAAGCCTTTGGCCAGTCCTAAGCTGTGGAATGGGGTCCAGGTCAAGTTCAACCAGATCTTCAAGGGGCCAAGGGACCCCTTTTGCCATCTGGGTTATAGAGGGATTGGCAGCTAAGGATCAAAAAGCTGGGATGCTGCCCAGGAGACAGCAGACTGATTGCCTGTTCCCTCAATAAAAAACATGAAGGCCTGTTCCCATCTATCTCCAGTTAAGCCTCATAGCAACACTGGGAGGAGAAGCCTACCCCCTTGTCACTCTGTACTCTGACTATGCTAGACTACCTGTGGGTCCCAGGACATCATCACACCTTTTGTCTCTGGGCCATTGCATATGCTGTTCTTGCACTGAAAAATACCTTTTCCCTGGGGAACTCTTAAGTATTATTTAAGATGCAGTTCAGCCATCACTTTCTTCAGAAGCCTTTCCTGATCTCCCAGCCTAGATAACTGTTGCCCCTGGGCTCCCACAATTTCCTGCACCTCCCTTTCTCAAAGGACTGATCACAGGCCTGAAAGCCACAGAAATAGTGGTCTCCAAAGCTGAGTGCACAAGATTATCACACTATGGTTGCAAAGAAACTGTTATAACTTCTATTTCTATTTTTTAAAAATCTTACCTTATTCTGAAGCTAGACTGCCTGCTTTTTTAGCCACGTGCCGTTAGCATGTTATTTAACCTCTCTATACCATAGTTTCCTTTTCTGTAATATGGGATAGTGTTAGACTCTCCCTCAAAGGGTTTTGGATGTATTAAATGAGTTAATACATATAAAGCACTGAGAGAAGGACCTAATAATGCATTGCAAATGTTCAAGGAAAGTTAGCTATTACAGGCACATCATTTATAAGTAAATAAATACACATATGTTGGGAGTGTGTGCTCAACTCAAAAACTCAAAAAGGCTTCACTTATGGGAGCGCTCTATTGGGAAAGTTTAGAGATCAGGCCCTGGGGTCAGAGACCAGGTTTGCTTCATCTCTGCATCCTTAGAGCCTAGTGTCTGCCCAAATCAGAGAGAGTCCTGGTAGACAAATGCAGACAGAACGCTTGCAAACCAAATCCTGATGGGTGCTGAACCAGAGAGAACCTGGAACAGGTTCAGGCTCTGTTGCTTATTTCTACACGGCACTAAAGGGCAGTTGGCCTCTTGAGGACTTCGTTAGTTTTTTCTCTTCTGTAGAATGCCAGGCTTTAATTAGACAAAGGCTAAGGGAAACCATAGAATAATTCGAGGCTGTATTGAGGGCGAGGCGCGCCCTCTTGTGTCCTAATGATGTCCTCTCCTCTCTCTGCACACTCGCCTCCCTTCTTCCTCTTAGGGCAGATGATGCTGAAGTGGACACGTCCTTACCTGACCCTGCAAAGCTGCCTCTCCAGCTTCAGATCCTGACACTCTCTCAAATGTTTCCGGCTCCCTTGGCACCCCACACTGTTGCACTGTCCCTCCCCATCTCAAACCCTCCTACTTCCACATATGGTCTCTTCCTCATGCAGTGTAGGACCTTTGGAGTCACATGCCTAGGGGGTGACAAATCGCAGCCCTGGTTCTTATTGGCTCTGTGATCTTGAGTAGGTCACTTCGTTTCTCTAAGTCTCATTCCCTCTTTGTAAAGTGGAGCAAACAATACCAATCTCATAGGGCTACTGTGAGACTTCAACACCAAGGAGTATTTACGGGTTGTTATTATGTTTACTGAGTAAAATCACATGAGTTATTACTACAAATAAGTTGGAACATGTTTCACAGAGAAGGAATTTAAACTGGGTCGTTAAAGCTAAGAATTCTCCTATTTTAACACTAGCCAACATGCATTGAGCTCTTACCAGATGCTAGGTATTGTCAATTTTCCCTAAGCCGCATAACCATTGGTAATAATAATAATAGCTAATGATTATGTATATTATTGTATTTTCTATTTTTTAAAATAGAGACGAGGTCTCACTTCGCTGCCCAGGCTGGTCTCAAACTCCTGGACTAAAGCGATCCTTCCGTCTCAGCCTCCCAGAGGGCTGGGATTACAGGCATGAGCCTCCGTGCCTGGACTAGCTAATGATTATTAAACACTTTCTGTGTGTCAGACATGTGTCACGCTCTTTACATACCTTCTCCCATTTATTCCTCTCAACAACTGTCTCAGGAAGAGGCAAGTATTATCATTCCCATTTTACAGCTGGGAAAATGCAGGCATAAAGAAGCTAAGTAATTTGCCCAAGGTTTCACAACGCGGGTGGTATGACCTGCATCCTTCATTTGAAAGTAAGAACTTTCAGACACAAGCAGCTTGACTTCAGAGACTTTTACCTAAATAGTCTCATTTAACCTTCATAACACCCTGTGATGTAAGTTCTCTTACATTACTTGCATTTTATAGATGAAAATTCCAAAGACAAAATAGATGGCAGTAATTTGTTCAAGGCCACACAGCTGCGAAGTAGTTGAGTTGGGATTTGGATCCATGTCTGACTACAAAGCCCCCATTCTCAACACCACATTAGATTGTTCATGCCCCAAAGTATTCACAGTGGTACAGAGCACCCGCATTTATATGAGGATTATTTTGTAATAATGATTAACATTCTTCCAACACCTAGGAAGTGCCAAGCTCTGTACTAACTGATTTACATAATAATAGCTAACAATCGCTGTGCATTATTAGGAGCCAGGCCCTGAGCTAATCGTTTTAGGTGTATTATCTCATTGAAAGTTCACAAAACTCTGTGACATGGATGCCATTACTACCCTCATTTTATGGTTGAAGAGAACGAGGTTCAGAATTCTTCCAAAGTCACACAGCTTAGCTGTAAGCTGGAAATTAAAGCTACAACTGTCCAGTTCTCTCCTGCCTATCGGGCTGGTCACCTCTAGTCATTCTCTCTTCTTATTTCTTATTGTGTCTGCTTTGATCTTTCAGGGTCTGAGGCTCTCACTTCGACCCCTCAGTAGAACTGGGCCCCCTTCTGCTCGAGTGCCCTCCCATTGGGCGGTGCTGTTATCCGGAAGCCTATGGAAAAGGCCAGGATCGCAACAGGTCCCGCCCCCATGTGTCGCGCCCGTTCCGATTTGTTCCAGTGCCAGGGTCCGTTAGAAGATGACATATCTATTGGCTGAAGACGTCTGAAAGGCAGCAAACGGAGGGGGCCGCCCCCGGCGCTCGCGCGGTTCCTTCTGGGAATTGTGGTCTCAGACGTTCCATTCCCAGGGTGGCGCCGCTCGGACTCCGCGTCCCAGCATTCCCCGCACGAGCCCGGGAGCACTTCCGCCCTGTTGTGAAGTGGGTGTCTCGGTGGGTGAGTCCGGGTGGCGGGGCGGGGGCAGCTGAGACGCAGGCTCTGGGCTGGAGACTTAGGAGGTGGTGGTGACACAGGGGGCTGGGGAAGGTGAGAGGGGAGAAAGAAGCTTATATGTGGGGGTGGAGGGTGAGGGACGGTCAAAGGATGTAGAGGCCGGAGATGGGAAGGGTCATACAGGGGTCGGGGATGAGGAGGCGATAGAGGGCCCTGGGAATGAGGAGGGCCTTAGAAGGGTCTGAAGGTGAGGGGGTTGAGGGAGGTTTTGGAGGTGGGAGAGTCATAGAAAGGTCTGGAGACCACAGAGGAAAGGATAGAGGGTCTGGGGCCCTGGCAAGAAGTGAAGAGGGCCTGAGCTTGAAGCCCGACCTTAAAAATAGTGTTTCAATCTCTACCTTCCCATCTAGAACAAGCATATCTAATTTGTTACCTCCCTAATGATTGTTACCTCTGGAACCCAGTGGATGGGACTGGCTATTGTGTTCTGCCCCAAACCTGCACTTCTTTCCTTATGTCTTATGGAAGTCAGTGGCACGATCATCCCATTTACCTACCTACCTACCTACTTACCCACTGATTCCTCTTGCATTCTTCCACGTCCAAGGATCTTCCGATCTTTAATTTCTTTAATATCTTTTCAGTCGGCCTCTTTCTTGTAGGGTTTTCGCAGAAGCCTTTTCAGTTTCCCAGCATGAACACACACATTGCACCTAGTGTGATCTGTTTCACCTACAAATCTGATTATGCCTTCTGCTTGAAAACTTTCATTGGCACCCAGCACCTGTAAAGTCCAAACACCTTGTCCTTCATAAACTCCTTTTGCAGCCTAATCTTCATGCACCTCACACTCCAGGGCTGTCAAGGTTTTCCTCGTTTCCTGGGTAGGCCATTTGGTTTTCCATCATTATATATGCTGTTCTCTCAGCTTAGAATATTCTCTCCTTGCCCTTCACCTTCTTTGCCAAGAGAACTTCTTTAACTTAAAAAAATTTCAACTCTTACTTTGCTCAATTCCCTTAAGCAAATTAAGTCACCCCCAACCCTCAGCTCCCATAACTTCTCCTATTACCACATTTGATCATAATTATCTGTGAAGTGTGTGTCTCTTCCATTAGACTGTGAACATCTCCAGGACAGGAACAGTGTCTCAATCACCTCTGTTTCCCCATTGCCCAGTCTAGAGCAGTAAACACTTGATGTAAAGCAGTAAATACTTGATGTATGTATGTGTGAATGAAGACCATGCAGGGTAAGCTTTGCTATACCAGCCTTGAAGACTTCTATTGCCAGTGGATTTCCAGGGCAGGAGCTTTAGTCTTCCTCTGCCTGGCAAGGCTATCTGCTGGAAGCTGAAGCTGATTCATTGCCAATGGGAGTTTAAGCCAGGGGTGACAAATACATGGAATGTGTGCTGCCAGTGCCCCTTCCTGTGTCCCTGGCAGTCATGGCTAATTGGTTGGTTCTCAGCACATATTCACACTGTACTCAGAGCCCTCAGCACACTACTCTAGGCAGCCACTTCCAGTTGATTGAAGTTTCTGCTTTAAATGAAACCTATTTGCTCTCCCTGGCTTAAGCCCTTATGTGTGAGGTCAGGTCAGACTGCTTTAAGCCATAGCTTGGACTGTCAGCCAAATGGGCCTGACAGCCTTTAAGAGTTCCCAGTTTTTTCTCTTTGGAGGTCACAGACCAGTCTTGGCCTTTCCTGTGGAACTGGAGAGCATCTTCTCTTCCCTTTTCACTGAGTGGGCTCCTCATGACCACGTTCATACTTACTGCCCTAGGAGTCAAGATGCCCCTCAGCTTCCCTGTGTTTGTAAAGACATCTTGATTTTGATGGCAGTCAGCACTTATCCCTCATGACCTGGGAGGCTCTGTACTCTTTCTAGGTCTTTCTGGATATTGGAAGAGAGCTTTGAGATCACTTAGCTGAATCTAAGTGGCAAAGCGACAGCCCATGCTGAATGAAGTCCACCATCATGCTTTATTTAATCTCATAGTGTGTGAAAAAATTTTGAGTTGGTTACCAACATTTAAAAATCCAGAGTGCTAGTTTCTTTTGGAAAAATCAGCAGGCTTAGGAATATTCTGGGCATATGTTCCCCTGGCACTCTATAGTTGGCTGTAGTGCCCACCCAGTTCATTTCAGTCATTGACTCATTTACATTGCTAGGTCCTTATACCCATTTAAACTTGTAGCCACTGACTCTAGTCTCCCTTCTCCCTTGCTCTACCCCATCATACTAATTGGGGAACCTAGGGCAACTGCTGAGTAAGATCAGGCTGTAAGCTGCAGCCTAGCTAGGCAGCCACAGGGGCTACATAACTTGTCCAAAGTAACACAGCTGATTAGTGGCAGGAGTGGAACTAGAACCCCAGTCTGCTCACTCCTGCCTTAATGTTCTTTCCATTCTCCCGTACTGTCATCTTAAGAGTTTGGATGACTAGCACACATAGAGGAGGCTATAAGACATGGTTAAGAAAAATGATTGGAGAAAAGGGATCTCGGCTTAGACCCTAACTCTACCACTTGCTAGTTGTGTAACCTTAAGTGAATCTTCATAAACACTCAGTTTCCCTTTAGGTAATTGAGGATATAGTGCAGTCATACCTTATCAGATAATAATATTCTAAGGGTGAAAATCACTTTAGCCAAAAATCACAGTTAGTTTGAAAATCCTTTGGCAAGGAGCCGTTTCAGAAACTAACACGCTGCCTTTCAATAAATAAACTAATCAGCACAGCTGGGCTTTCTTGTTTGAACATTAGATGAGAATTCGCTTGTATTAGGGACTGTGCGGTATGAAAGACACTTTACTCACACTTAGTGGAAAGAGAGGCACGAGGGAATCAAGACCAACCTGGTGAATAGCGAAGTCCTAGGTGCCACCACCACATGCTTATTCTCGAACAGATAGTGAACGCAACTGGCTGCACTATTTAAATCATGCTCTTTCTCTCTTTCTTTTTTTTTTCTTCTTTTTCTGAGACAGAGTCGTGCTCTGTTGCCCAGGCTGGAGTGCAGTGGCACGATCTCAGCTCACTGCAACCTCCGCCTCCTGGGTTTAAGCAATTCTCCTGCCTCAGCCTCCCGAGTAGCTGGGATTACAGGTACGAGCCACCACGCTTGGCTATTTTTTTTTTTTTTTTGTATTTTTAGTAGAGACAGGGTTTCACCATGTTGGCCAGGCTGGTCTCGAACTCCTGACCTTGTGATCTCCCTGCCTCGGCCTCCCAAAGTGCTGGGATTACAGGCGTGAGCCACCGCGCCCGGCCCTCTTTCTCTCTTTCTGATCTTTGCAGTGGAAGTTACAGATCAGTGAAATGCAGCTCAACACCTAATGAGACTCCAGTTGCTGCCTGGAGGCTTCAGTGAGATTATGAATGTGGAACACAGCACTGTGCCTGGCACCTTGTGGGCACTCAGTAAAGGGGTACTCTTAGAAATTGCTGGTCCTAATGAGGCTCGATATTCCTGGTCATCTCGGAACTGAGGAATGCCCCGGTCCATTTTCCCTTGTTCACTTCTGTGTGAAGTCACCCGGCTGTTGGCCGACTCTGTTGGCCTCCCTCTCCCCACAATAGCCTGCTATCCATACTTCGGTCTAACTTCCTTAGAAAGTTACGGTTATGGTTCCTTAGAAAAAAAAGGTTATGGTGATATGTGGTCCCTGGGGCTTTCCGATTTCTATTTGAAACAAACCTTTGGGACTTTCAAGTCTTTCCAGGAGAAAATACCTATTATCTGAGACTCTGAGCTTTGGGCCTGGTGTGACTGCTAATTGCCTATTTTGTTGTAGTGTCCTGTTTGTGCAGGAACGCAAATGTCTTTGCTTGCTTATTGACTGTCTGTCTCACTAGACTGTAATTTTATTGAAGGTAGGGACTGTCAGTCCCAGCTACTGGTAGATCTGTAGCTTCCAAACAGGGTATAGCTGGTACTCTATAAATGATTGATGAATTGCTCCTTGTGTGAGAGGGTGACAGAAATGTGTTTGAACTCATGCATCAATAAGGTTGTGGTTCAAAAAGAAATTTCATGAAAGGCGAATTCTTTAGGTTCAAAAAGAAATTTCATGAAAGGCAAAATCTTTCTACATATGTGATCTCTCTGAGTGCTTATAGCAGTAATGTAGGTAGACAGAAATAGTTTAGTTTAATATAAATTATGGAATATCTGTATCCCATTAGGCTTTTGATACGCCAGGTTTATCATTTTAATACATGGTAATAAAACTTTTTAATGGCCCTGCTATTTATCAGATACTGGGTTGAGCACTGTGGATACAGAAATTAGTAACATACAATACTGATTCTAGTAATATAGTATAATGTGGGTGTCAGATATAGTAACAGGTAACTACAATAGTGTAGGATAATACCTATATTAGAGGTATGTACCAATTGCTTTGGTGATATAGGATCAGGGAGGCAATTCTTGGAGGGCAGGACATGAAAAGGGCATGTCAAGGAACTCCTATCAAAGGAGGTGACATTTGAGCTGGTGGTTGAAGGATGAGTAGGAAGCTGCCAGGTAGCCATGAGTTGTGCTTTAAGCCTCTTCCTAAGCATATGGAGGCCTTTAGGGCAAGACTTTAATTTTTATTACCCTTGTCTTGTTTCTCTTCAGTCCAGTCAGATTGCCCAAAATGAAAAATACCACCATCTCTCCATTCTCAATTCAGTTGTGTCATTCCCACTTGGAAGCAGCTAATGATCTCCTTTGAGTGGGCATTTTTTATGTCACCCAGACTTGTTGGGATGACACAGAGAGCTCATTTTTTCAAATAACCCAGCATGGGTGCCATCAGAGAGGCTGTAATCTCCTCTGGGACACACATAGATACGCACATCCTTCTCATACAATGTCTCATACAGTGTAGAAAGTGGTAAGTGTCACAGAGACATGGAAATAAAAGAGAAAGGAATTCCTTTTGGCATGAGCGCGAAGGTCATTTATTTTTTATCTAGTGTGCACAGAAAGGGATTAATTGCAATCCTTGCTTAATGACACACCATCATCATTAGTCAATCATTCGTGACTTTATTATTTATTGAGTACTTCCTATATGTGCTGAGCACTGTGCTAGGTCTCTTGGGAAGCTAATGATCTAGTGGGTAAGAAAATTACAGTAAAGCATGATCTGGGCTATGGTAGAGAAAATGTAAGATGCTATGGGAGCTTGTGGTCGAGGACTGAATCTTGTTTCAGGGTGCAGGGAAGGCCTTACGGAAAAAGAGCAATTTAAGCTGAGACCTTGCTAGCTGAAGGAAGGGAGGAGACCATTCCCAAAGGAGACCTTCCCAAAGAGGGGAAGGTTCAGAGGGCAGCGTGGTGTAAGATCTGGAAGCTGTGCTTCTGGAGCACCATGACTAGTGGAGCATGGTAAAGAGACGAGTTGGAGACTTGGGTAAGGCTTGTGCTTTGTCCTGAGGGAAATGGTAGATCACTGGAGGGTGTTTAGCAGGGAGGTGGTGTAGTCAGGCTTTGATCTAGTTTGGTTGTTGTGCAAACAATAGAGCAGAGGTTGGGGTGAGGTGAGTGGAGGCAGGGACGTGTTAGGAGACTGATCAGGTGGAAGACATGATGATTCTCTGCACTGAAGTGGTAGCATTGGAGATGGAGATGCCAAGTGGACACAGCGTGGTGATGAATTGGATTTGGGGATCTTAGAGAATGATGATGACCAGGTTTCTGGTGTGGAGAACTTGATGGCAGTGCCTTCACTGAAGGGGGAGCTTCAGAAGGCAGACATGATTGCAGGAGAAAATAACAAATCCAGTTTTTGACTCATTGAGTTTGAGGTGCCTAAGGGACAGTCAAGTAGAAGTGTCATGAAGGGGTTTGGATTTTGGGGTCTGGAGGTCTGGAAACAGGTCCTTGCTGGAGTTTTAGGAGTCATGTATAGGGATGATGAATAATGCCAAATAGGTGGGATGACCAGGGGATAGCATAGAGTTGTTGGATTTTGCAAGGAGAACATCCTTAGAGGAATGCCAGCCAAGCTTTAAGATTAGGGAAGAAAGGCCTTAGGAAGGGGGTGACATTTGGAACCCAACTTGAGGGAAGGTTGGACTTTGGACATGTGTAGAAGGGAGGAAGTCTACACTGGACCAGATCATGGAGGTGTGGGATGCCAGGCTAAGGTGTTCAGGCATGACCTAGAGGATTGAATACAGTGCTGTCTTCCTCCAAAGTGTGAGGCTCAAATGAGATATTAATTGACATTTTGTGAGCACTCACTGTGTCAGACACTGGTCTAAGCTTTTTATATATAGATCCCTCATCTAATCAACCCAGCAGTCAAGTAAGGTAGGTGCTACTGGCTTTGGTGCCAGATTGTGGCCTTACTTCCTGCCTATGGGAAAGGGGCATCTCTTAGCACCTCTGCCCCCATGCAAAGGTGGCGGAAGATATGGGGGAAGGGGGAGAATGAAGCTTCTGCATCCTTTTGCTCACACTCTATCCTTTGTCTTTCTGCCTTAGAGCCTTGGGGAGCAGTCCCTTTTCTAGGAGCCTCTTGAAGGACTCACCGTAGATGCAGGAAGACATTGGATGAGGTCAGCATAGCTGAAGTGAGGTGTCTGGGTTAGACAATGGCTATGGCCCTGGAATTGCAAGCCCAGGCATCTCCGCAGCCAGAGCCTGAAGAACTCCTGATTGTGAAACTGGAAGAGGACTCTTGGGGATCAGAATCCAAACTCTGGGAGAAGGACCGTGGCTCTGTCTCTGGCCCAGAGGCCTCCCGCCAGCGCTTCAGGCAATTCCAATACAGGGATGCAGCTGGACCCCACGAGGCCTTCAGCCAGCTCTGGGCTCTCTGCTGTCGTTGGCTGAGGCCGGAGATCCGTCTCAAAGAGCAGATCCTGGAGCTGCTCGTGCTGGAGCAGTTCCTGACTATCTTGCCTAGGGAGGTCCAGACCTGGGTGCAGGCACGCCACCCTGAGAGTGGTGAGGAGGCTGTGGCCTTGGTGGAGGATTGGCACCGAGAGACCAGGACTGCAGGACAGTCGGTGAGACAAACAGTCTTCTCCTGCAGAGGAGTGGGTCAGGCAAGGCAGCAGGGTTGTGACTACGTTAATAATTGCCAAATTCACAATAAAAATAACAATAGTTATTGAGAACTGACACTTATTGACCACTACTGTATACCAGGAAGTGTTCTAAGTGCTTTACATGTATTAACCCACTTAGTCCTGTCAACAATTTAATGAGATAGGTGCTATTATCCTAATTTTACCAGTGAGAAAACAGAGACAGAGAAAAGATAGGTAAGTTGCCCAGGGTCTCAACAGCTGCTAGATGGTAGAGTCAGGATTTGAACTCAGGCATTCTAACTCTAAAGCTGGTATGCCTAACCACTACTCCAAACTGCCTCCCACTACCGTATTCACAATATGATTAACTCGTGTTTTATACTTAACAAAATCTTTCTGCATATGTGATGTCTCTGAGTGCTTATAGCAGTAATGTAGGTAGACAGAAATAGTACTGTTGTCCCCATTTTATAGATTAAACTAAGAGCCAAAAAGTTGGCCGGGAGTGGTGGCTCACGCCTGTAATCCTAGCACTTTGGGAGGTTGAGGCAGGTGGATTGCTTGAGCTCAGGAGTTCAAGACCAGCCTGGGCAACATGGTGAAACCCTGTCTCTACAAAAAATACAAACGAAACAAAACAAAATGCCAAGTGGCCCACAAAGGTCATCAGTGAATAGACCAGAGCCTAAAGCCAAATCCTTAGGTTCCAAGGTCATTGTTCTTTCTACTGCATGTCAGATGCCTCCTCTGCAAACCATGGGAATTAAAATACCTTTGAGCCATGAGGCTCAAATGAGATATTAGTTGACATTTTGTGAGCACTCACTGTGTGTCAGATACTGGTCTAAGCTTATATATATAGCCCTCATCTAATCAACCCAGCAATCCAATAAGGTAGGTGCTATTATCATTGCCATTTGCCAAATGGGTAAACAGAGATGGAGAGGTAAGTAACTTATCTAACTTTATATAACTACGTGATAGAGCTGAGGTAAGGGAAATGAAAGTATGGATTTAACATTCGCAGTTTCAACAATTTGCAAGTGACCGCTGAAAGCCCATGATATAATGCATAATTTTGCTATGACACACATTTTGAATCCTGCTTCAAAGCTGGTATATGTAGAACAGATCCTTTAGCTGGATCCAGAACCTTCCTCTAAACATGACTTTTTCTCTACTTGTTATAGTTAGTAATTCTTGTGATATTTTACTTACCCCCATTTTGCTGGGGGAAATTACAGGTTTGGGAACATATCCCTTGCAAATGGCAGGGGTTTTCTGTACATTTAAACTGTAAAGTTCTATACAGTGTGAGGTTGGGGGAGCAAAGGTTTTAGACCGGTGACTTTGCTCTTTGGATTCCTTTACAAACTGATTGAAGATACAGGGAGACTAATATATAAAGTTACAGAACTAAGTATGAGAGAGTGTGCCTTATTTTAATGTACCTCCCCACCCCCCTATATTATTTCTTTTAAAGAAACCAGCTGTTTGTCTTAAGTGGCAGTGAAGAAACAAATGGAAGTTTTAGGGCTTCAGAGTTGGGACATAAAGAACTTGAGACCCAGAGATGAAAACGGATTTAAATCAAGGTCTTTATGATTCTTCATCTGTAAAATGAGAGGGTTGGATTAGACCAAAGGTTCTCAAATTATGCCCCTGTGAGCTGACCAAAAGTTGAACTGCTTCTAAAATTGAGAAAAAAATAAGGTAATGGAATCTTGTCTATTATGTATTTTTGTTTTTACTGTGACTTTTTTTATTTTTAAACTTTCCTACCTGCTCCTGAGTGGTCACAAATTTCAAAACAAATGGACAAGTAGCAGAGGAGCTTGTTTTTTTCAGGTGCAAATGTAGCTTGTGATCTTACATTGCAAGATATATAACTTAGTTGCATTCTCTGCAAGTAAAATTTTTCAAGTCTTAATAATGGGATGAAATATAGTTATAATATTCCTCAAAGTGAACCTGAAAAAGGTTGGTGCCTACAGGACTAAATGGCCCCTAAGGTAATTTCCTAAAAGGGATCTTTCAGCTCTGCTATTTTGTGATTGTTACTTGTTTCTTCTGTCATCACCATCTTGTTGAATCCCCCTCTCTGTCAGATGCCCCCTCTCCATCAGGTGCACAGGGATTTTTAAAAAACAGGCTTTATTTTTTAGAGCAATTTTAGGCTCAAACTCACAGCAAAATTGAGCAGAAGGTACAGAGAGTTCCCATCCCTCCCCGACAAGCCTCCCTAACTATCAACATCCCTGCACCAGAGCAATATGTTTATTACCATTGATGAACCTACAGTGATACATCATTATCATCACTCAAAGTAGCAGTTTATGTTAGGGCTCTTAATGTTATTCATTCTGTAATGTATGACATTAAGAGCCCTATTATAAACTGTATCTACCATCATAGTGACATAGTAACATGTATCTACCATTGTAGTGACATACAGAGTAGCTTCACTGCTGTAAAAACCCTCTGTGTTCTACCTGTTTATTCTTCCTTCCCCCCAACCCCTGGCAACACCGATCTTTATACTGTCTCCATAGTTTTGCCTTTTAAAAAATGTTACATAGTTGGAATCATACAGTATATAGCCCTTTCAGATTGGCTTCTTTTACTTAGTAGTATACATTTAAGTTTCCTCCACGTCTTTTCATGGCTTGTTAGCTCATTTCTCTTTAATGCTTAACAATATTCCGTTGTGTGGATGTACCACAGTTTATTTATCTACTCACCTACTGAAGGACATCTTGGTTCCATCAAAGTTTTGGCAGTTATGTATGAAGCTGCTGTAAATATTCATATGCAGGTTTTTGTGTGGACCTAGTTTTCAGTTCATTTGGGTAAATACCAAGGGACATGATTGCTGGATCATATGGTAAGAGTATGTTTACCTTTGTAAGAAATTGCCAAACTGTCATCCAAAGTGGCTGTACCATTTTGCATTTTTACTAGCAATGAATGGGAGTTCTTGTTGCCCCACATCCTTGCCAGCATTTGGTGTTTTGGATTTTGGCCATTCTAATAGGTAGATAGTGGTATTTTATTGTTGTTCGAATTTGCAATTCACCAATAACCTACCATGTTATACATGTTTTCATATGTTTACTTGCCATCTGTATATTTTCTTTGGTGTGGTGACTGTTAAAGTCTTGCCCATTTTTAAATTGGGTTGTTTGTCTTCTTACTCTTGAGTTTTAAGAGTTCTTTGTATGTTCGGGGTAACGGTCCTTTATCAGATATGTGTTTTGCAAATATATTCTCCCAGTCTGTGGCTTGTCTTCTCATTCTCTTGACAGTATCTTTCATAGAGCAGTATTTTTTAATTTTAACGAAGTCCAGCTTATCAATTATTTCTTTCATGGATTATGCCTTTGATTTTGTATCTGAAAAGTCATTGCTATACCTGACATTATCTCAGTTTTCTCCTATATTTTAGGAATTTTATAGTTTTTCATTTTAACGTTAAGGTCTGTGATCCATTTTGAGTTGATTTTTGTGAAGGATAGGATAGAAGCTTTTTTTTTTTTTCATGTGGATGTCCAGTTTTAGTATCATTTGTTGAAAATATATTTGCTTCACTGTATTACCTTTGCTCGTTTATCAAAGTTCAGTCGACTATCTTTATGTGGGACTATTTCTGGGGTCTCTATTCTGTTCCATTGATCGCTTTATTCTTTTGCCAATACCACACTGTCTTGATTACTATAGTTTATAGTAAATCTTGAAGTCAGGTGTGTCATTTCTTTGATTTTTTTCCTTCTCCTTCAATATTGAGTTGGTTATTCCAGGTCTTTGCTTCTTCATATAAACTGCACATGGCCAGGTGCAGTGGCTCACACCTGTAATCGCAGCACTTTGAGAGGACGAAATGGGTGGATTGCTTGAGCCCAGGAGTTTGAGAACAGCCTAGGTAACATGATGAAACCCCATTGCTATTGAAAAAAAAAAAAAGAAAAACAAACGAACAAAAAAAGACTTTACAGTCAGTTTGTTGATATCCACAAGATAAATTTCTGTGATTTTGATTGGGTGTTGAATCTGTAGATCAAATTGGGAAAAGCTGACATCTTGACTACAGTGAGCCTTTCTATCTGTGAACATGGAATATTGTTCCATTTATTTAGTTCTTCTTTGATGCCTTTCTTTGGTAGTTTTCCCCATGTAAATCTTCTACATATTTTCTTAGATTTATGCCTAAATATTTCATTTTTTTTGGATGAGAATGTAAATGTTATTATGCCTTTAATTTCAAATTCTACTTGTTCATTGTTGGTATATAGGAAGGCGATTGACTTTTGCATATTTGCATATTTGTACCCTGCAGCCTTGCTATAACTGCTTATTAGTTCCCAGAAGTTTTTTTTGTTGATTCTTTTAGATTTTCTCCATAGACAATCGTGTCATTTGTGAACAAAGAGTCTTTTTCTTTCTTCCCAATCTACGTACCTTTTGTTTCCTTTCTTATCTTGTATTAGTCTGGACTTCCAGTATGAAAGAATAGTGAGAGAGAACATCCTTGCCTTTTTCCTGATCTTAGTGCAAAAGCACTGTGTTTCTTACCATTAAGTAGGATGTTAGCTGTAGGTTTTTTGTAGATGTCCTTTATCAAGTTGAGGAAGTTCCCCTCTATTCCTAGTTTGCCAAGTTTTTATCATGTGTGTTGGATTTTGTCAAATGCTTTTTCTGCATCTGTTGATATAATATATGATCATGTGATTTTTCTTTTTTTGCCCGTTGATGTGATGGGTTACATTAATTGATTTTCAAATGTTGGACCAGGCTTGCATACCTGGGATAAATACCACTTGGTTGTGGTGTGTAATTTCTTTTTTATACATTGTTGGATTTGATTTGCTAATATTTTATTGAGGATTTTGCATCTTTTTTTTTTTTTTTTTAGCTGGAGTCTTGTTGGTTCTGTCGCCCAGGCTGGAGTGCAGTGGCATGATCTCAGCTCACTGCAACCTCTGCCTCCTGGGTTCAAGTGAGTCTCCTGCCTCAGCCTCCCGAGTAGCTGGGACTACAGGCATCTGCAACCACACCCAGCTGATTTTTGTATTTTTAGTGGAGATGGGGTTTCACCATATTGGCCAGGCTGGTCTCAAACTCCTGACTTGGTGATCTGCCTGCCTTGGCCTCTCAAAGTGCTGGTATTACAGGTCTGAGCCACCACACCCAGCTGATTTTTGCATCTTTGTTCATGAGGAATATTGGTTTGTAGCTTTCTTGTCTTGTAAGTAATTTCTTTGGTTTTGGTATTAGGGTAAATGCTGGCTTTATAGACTAAATAAGGAAATATTCCCTCTGCTTCTATCTTCTGGAAGAGATAGTAGAGAATTGTTATAATTTCTTCCTTAAATGTTTGGTAGAATTCACCAGTGGACCCATCTGAGCTTGGTGCTTTGTGTTTTGAAGGTTATTAATTATTCAGTCAATTTCCTTAATAGATATTGGCCTCTTCAGATTGTTTATTTTTGTGTGAGTTTTGGCAGATGGGGTGGGTAAAGGAATTGGTCTTTTTCATCTAGGTTGTCAAGTGTGTGGCCATAGATATTCCTTTATTAACCTTTATGTAGTTCATAATATTCCTTTATTATACTTTCAGTGTCTATGGGATCTGTAGTGATGTCTCTGTTTTCATTTCTGATATTAATAATTTGTCTTCTGTCTTCTTTTCTTTTTTATTTTTGAGACGGGTTCTTTCTCTGTTACTCAGGCTGGAGTGCAGTGGTGGGACCTTGGCTCACTGCACCCTCTGCCTCCTGGACTTAAGCAACCCTCCTGCCTCAGCCCCCTGTAGCTGGGACTACAGGACCACACCACCATGCCCAGCTAACTTTTGTATATTTTTTTTTTGTTGAGATGGGATTTCACCACGTTTCCCAAGCTGGTCTTGAACTCCTGGCTTCAAATGATCCACCACCTTGGCCTTCCAGAGTGCTGGGGTTACATGTGTGAGCCATCGTGCCTGGACTGTCTTTTTTCTTAGTCTGACTAGAGGCTTATTGATGTTATTAATCTTTTCAAAGAACTAGCTTTTGGTTTTGTTGATTTTCTCTATTGATTTCCCATTTTAAATTTCATTTATTTCTGCTCTAATTTTTACTTCTTTTCTTCTGCTTACTTTGGATTTAATTTGCTCTTCTTTTTTCTAGGTCTTATATTGGTGTACCTGTGTCCCTGGACTCTGACCTTTGCCAGTGCTTCTCAATTTTTTCCCATCTTAGGTGGGACAGGATGCCTAAAGGGGGCTGCACTGGGTATTTCTTATCTTGCATGTGGAAGAGCAGAGGGAGCTGGAATTGCATATTTCTCTTCCGACAGTTAGGTTAGGCTTTGGTAAAATAGTTTCTGCTGAGGACAGGACTTATTAAGAAGAGCAGAGTGCCCTGGCATATTTCAAAATGGTTCTTTTTTCCTGCCATCTGCCATAAGCATGAAGAGATTTTTCTCTGATATTCACTGTGAGGGTCTGGTTGAGCTCCTGGAGATAAAACTTACAAAAATGTGCCCCTGCTCAGTGATTAAGTGCCCTGGAGTTTTTACCTCTCAGAGTTGTCCACACTGACCTTCCAGCAGTTCATCAATTACAGTTTAGGTTTTTCTCCCCTGGAACTGGTTCCCACAGAGGCTTCTGCTCCACTAAGTTGTGATTCTCTGATTCTACCTGTTTGTCTCTCCAATTTTGGGGAGAATGGTTTGCCCTGTGACCTCACTTCTCTGACAGATCTAAGGAGAGTTGTTGATTTTTCAGTTTGTTCAGCTTTTTACTTGTTACTGTAGAGTCTAGAGGGGCAACTTGTAGACTACAGACTTCTTGGAAACTAGAAGTCTGACCTACTAATTTTTTGTCTCCTGGTTGTCACTTGAATCTACTTCTTTCTGTGTCCAAAATTACCATCCATGGAATCAGAATCTTTGCTTAGGGATGGTAATAGTTGGAGGCACTGGGGTTGAGAGTAAAGATTGTTGTTGAATTTAGTCACACAGTTCCTCTGTAGGTTATAATGATAACAAAGTGAATTTTTTTTTAACATGACCATATAAGAAGATTGATAAGCAGATGCTTTCTCCCTGTGAAGTCACACAGGACACTGGTGGATCTTCTTATTTGGAATGGCCCTTGATGCTCATGGCCCATTCCTATATGTCTTCTCAATGGTAAAAATCCTTCTCTGTGAGTGGATCTGAATTTTCAGGCCAGCCAAAAAAGTTTTGGAGCTAAGTTTGGCAAACTCAGTAATTTAATGAAGATAGTTGTTATTATTTTGGTTCAAAAAAATAAGACTCAGAGCAGTATATCTAGTCATAAGTTTTTGTATAAAAAAGAGGGAAGCTAAGAATACACATTTACATTTGCTTGTATGTAGAAAGAAACTCTAAAAGAATGCAGAAGAGCATAGTTACCTGTGATGAGGAGAGGGGAAAAGAACGGGGTCGATGGGATGAAGATGGATGGAGGTGGGGCATTTTCACTGAATATACCCATGTATGTATTTTCTGTTTTTAAACCATGTGAGTCTATTATCTATTGAAAAAAATTGAAATATGTTTTTAAAAGTTAGGTGTTTCTATAAAGTATTGAGATTGTTATATTTTGGAGGTTTTATAGCCTGGGTAACACCTTGACCTCTCTACCTGTGAACTTGGAACCAGCTGAGAAATAGAGATAAGAAATTAGCTGTGTGATTGATGAAGTTGATTGGGTAATGTTATTTTAGTTGATTACTCCCTTTTATTTTAAATATCTATATCTCTGAGTACCTTTTTTTTTTTTGCCTGAAATCCAACATTGAAATGAAAATTGCCACTTCCTTTTTCCTTTTGAGTTAGAGTGCCTTGTCTTTTGCATGTCCTTCTATTGTAAGATTAACAACACGTACTTTTATCTCATTTTAAAATTCCATCTAATTTCTTTTTTTGAGACAAGTTCTCACTCCATTGTCCAGGCTGGAGTGCAGTGGCATGATCATAGGTCACTGGTACTTCAAACTTCTGGGCTCAAGTGATCCTTCTGCCTCAGCCTCTTGAGTAGCTGGGGGTACAGGCATGTGCCACCATGCCTGGTTAATTTTATTTATTTATTTATTTATTATAGAGGTGAGGGTCTGCTATGTTGCCCAGGCTGGTCTTGAACCCTTGGCATCAAGTGATTCCCTTGCCTCAGCCTCCCAAAATGCTAGAATTACAGGCATGAGCCACTGCACCCAGCCTCCATCTGTAATTCTTTGTCCTTTTTAAAAATTTTATTTTAAAAATATCTTTCTCTTTCAGCAGAGATATTTAGAGCAATTGCATTTGGGGTTATAATTTTATATTTTTTTCCTGTTTTTATGCCTCCCTTTGCCTTTTAATATACAACTTGATAACTTTTATCTTTTTTTGATCATTTAAAAAGTAAGCAACCTATTTTTGATGCTTATGGGTTATTTTTTAATGTTACACAAATTTTACATAATTTATCTCTTTATGAATCAAAAATGTTTTGAACAGTGGGACTCTCATTGAAACACTTGGATCGCCACCCTGTGTTCAACAGATGGTACTCATTTGGTGGTATAAATGCTGGTCTACCTACCAAACTCACTCTGATGGCTTTCTCATCCTATTTCAAGCCATTTTGGATCTTAAAAGAGCCTGTTAGCCTCTGGACTGCAGTTGTACTCAAAATACCAAAGTGGGTCTTACTGAATTGTTGATTGGGAATTTTGACTATTTGTGTGTAGGGACTGGAATTGCATACAGAAGAGACCAGGCCCTTAAAGACAGGGGAAGAAGCTCAGAGCTTCCAGCTGCAGCCAGTGGATCCCTGGCCTGAGGGACAGTCCCAGAAGAAGGGGGTGAAGAATACATGCCCTGACCTTCCCAATCACCTAAATGCCGAGGTGGCACCACAGCCTTTGAAAGAGAGTGGTGAGTACATCTGAGAACATTAGGGAATGAGGCCTTCTGCAGGGGAGAGGGATGGGAGGTGAGGAAGGGTGCATGGGGAAGAAGGATGTGCAGAATTCAAAGCAAGGGATAGGCTGCAGTGTGGTGGGCACACTTACTGAGAAGTAAGCAAGCCTCGTAAAGAGGCTGTGCCTATCGATGATGTCATCATGCCCTGCTGTAGCTGGAGTCCTGCAGCAGGTGCAGGCTGGGACAGGGGTGGGTGGTGATCACAGGAGGTCAGGGCTGGCATCTCCCACATGGCACACCACTCACAGCAGCTTAGGAGCTACACACTCTAGAAGGGAAGTAAAGGGGAAGTCTGCACTGGCCATAGGGATAGCCCTAGCTTGATCCAAGTGTTACTTTTGGAAAGCCAATCTCAAAGGGAGGTGATTTTTTGGGAACCAGAGCTTGGGTTTCAGTGACTTTTTCTTTTCCTCAGCTGTCCTCACTCCCCGAGTCCCTACTCTCCCAAAGATGGGGAGCGTTGGAGATTGGGAGGTGACAGCTGAGTCCCAGGTAAGCTGTTACTCGTTCTTCCTTTCCTGTCATTGCTGCTCCTGTGCTCTTGCCCCCACAGTGTTCCTCCTCTCTCTCCATGACCTCTGCTCAGCAAAAGGGCATGAGGCCCAGGGTGTTAGCCTTTGCCCTTCACCCCCAGCCTGCTGGGCCCCAAACATCCCCAAACACATGTATGTACCAAATGGCCATCCTGCTCCTTATGATGCCAGCTTCACACATGGTATCCCTCTGTTCCCATCATCTTTCCTGGGAGCCTGCTAGGGTTCCTAGGCTGTTGTCAAAGGTCAGTGATGTTTGGGGTCCTTGTCTTGTGCATCTCGCAGGAAGCCCTGGGCCCTGGCAAACATGCTGAGAAGGAGCTCTGTAAAGACCCCCCAGGAGACGACTGTGGGAACAGCGTGTGCCTGGGTAAGGAGACGTACCCTCTGAAGGTGATGTTGTCATGCTTCTGATACACCCAGTTCCCAAAGAGGGTTTTGCCGCTCCTTTAAGAATCATGGCTCTGCAGTCTCTGGAATTTCAGAAATAGGAAGAAGACTTGCCCTTTGTAGCCAGCACTCTCATGGCAGGGATGGAGTCTGCCTGGAGACGGGGTGGCAGGATGGCTTCCAAGAGCCTGCCCTCTCTGGGCACATTACCTTCCTTACCTCAGTCCATTCACCACAGTCCAGGGGCCAGGCCTGGACTGCCATCTCAGAAATCTGATTTTTTTTAGCACTGTAAATAGGATCTCTCTCTCAGGCAGACTTAAGTGAACTAAACCCATGAGACCAATGAATTAAACCCAATAGGAATAAATATCACAGAGCCCAAAATACCTGAAGCCCATATAAGCAGCACAGACTCCTTTCTATGTGGGCACTCCTATGTGGCAAGCCAAATAATAGGGAGCCGTTTCCCTGTGGAGCCCGGGATCACTGTGTGGGGAGTTAGACATGTGAATAGCTGAAATAGAAAAGACTCTGATAGGCCTGACTCATGGTAAGTTTAGATACCAGAAGCTCGCTGGCTACTTGCTTGACAGTGGAACCCCTTTTTACACATGATATCTGGGGGAAATAGTGTTCAAAGGAACAGATTTTGGGAAACGGTGAATTAAATTATCCTTATACCTCTTTAAACCCTTTTCATCTAGTTTTCTTCAAATATTTATTTCAATTAAAGGCTTCCTATTTTGTTAGGGCCGGGAGCTGTTGGGATAGCAGTCCATTAAACATAGCTAACTTTTAAAAATAAGGAAATTTATTTTCTCACATTATTAGAAGTCCAGAGGAGGACATGCTCCAGCCACAGTACAGACTAGCTGAGCAATGTCTTAATGGGTCTGTGTTCTTTATTTCTGTCTGCCATCCTCAGTGTTAGCTTCATATTAAAGCTGTTTTGTTTCATGGTCAAAAGATAGATGCCAATGGTGGCAATGGATGCCTAGCAGGACAGAGACTCACTACACACACAAACACACACACACACACACACACACACACACACACCACACACCCTTTTCCTCCAGCCATGGAGTTCAGTCTAATTGGGCCAATTTAGGCCATGTGCCCATCTGTGGACCAATGAGTTACTCTTATATGATGTTTCATGTTTCATAACAACAACAACAACAAACAAATGAACAAAGTAAACAGGTCACTTAACATTTCTCATATATTGGTCGTGTTACCTCTTCTCTCTCCCTATTCCTGTAAACATTTTATGGGATCAACTTGGGAATTTCTCGTTAGCCTCTTGCAAGGAAAAGATAGAAGTTTCAGGGAGATTTTGGACAAACATGCCGCTCAACAGACCATTTCTACTCTGTCATTTCTCTTCCTTTTGTAGGAGTTCCAGTTTCAAAACCAAGTAATACCTCCGAGAAAGAGCAAGGACCAGAGTTTTGGGGTCTAAGTCTTATAAATTCTGGGAAAAGGAGCACTGCAGATTACAGCCTGGATAATGAGCCAGCTCAGGCATTGACCTGGAGGGATTCAAGAGCCTGGGAGGAACAATACCAGTGGGATGTGGAGGACATGAAGGTGTCAGGTGTTCACTGGGGCTATGAGGAGACCAAGACTTTCCTGGCAATTTTGAGTGAATCTCCTTTCTCTGAAAAGCTCCGGACTTGTCACCAGAACCGCCAGGTATATCGGGCCATTGCAGAGCAGCTAAGGGCAAGGGGCTTCCTGCGGACACTGGAGCAATGTCGCTATAGGGTCAAAAACCTCCTACGGAATTACCGGAAAGCCAAGAGCAGCCACCCACCAGGTACCTGCCCCTTCTATGAGGAGCTGGAGGCCCTGGTCAGGGCTCGGACAGCCATCAGAGCCACAGATGGCCCAGGAGAGGCCGTGGCACTTCCCAGGCTCGGGTATAGTGACGCAGAGATGGATGAGCAGGAGGAAGGGGGCTGGGATCCTGAAGAAATGGCAGAAGACTGTAACGGTGCTGGCCTGGTCAATGTTGAGTCTACCCAGGGGCCCAGGATTGCAGGGGCCCCAGCTCTGTTCCAGAGTCGTATTGGTAAGAACATGGGGGTTTAGTCAGATTCAGATTTCCAACCCTCCTACCAGCTAGACTGCTATTCCCTGAGGTCAGGGCACAGGCTGCAAGTCTGGATTGAAGCCACTAGAGTGAAGAGCTACATTCCTTAGGTCATCCTCAAACTCCAACTTTCTTTTCCCATGACCAAGTCTCTTTGCAAAAGTCTTCTTAGTTATAGAAGCAAACATTTTTAAAGCCTTAAGGGGCCTCAAAGAGTGAATCCAGTATTTCCAAAAGTGTGTCACTGGTAGTATGGGATGATCATCGACGTTACATGAATGAACTTTAAATTCTTGTATTTATATATTTCTCTTAATTTGTATGAGTGCATCAACCTGTGATTTCACAGATAACAAAGTTAGGTAAAGAGTGATGGCGAGTGAAATATTGAACAGATAATGGCAGAAATCCCGACAGTGTAGACTTGAATAATCAATGTCTGGGAAACATCCAATCATTGTAAAGGTGCAAACATGGAAGTCCATGAGATGAGGCGTCTTATAGACGCACAGGTAGGAGCAGAGCCCGGATCAGAGCCTGTGGCTCCTGCCTGCTGGTTTCACATGGTTTTCCCTCCACCATGTTGCCTTCCTGGGCTACATCACTTTCCTGCAGAGGAGCTGAGACTAGACCACCTCCTTTTCATTCCCCTGCAAAGGAGGAAAGTGTGTCCTCATTTGGCCTTTCTTGCAGGACTATTTGAAACTCATTTATGCCTCTAATCTTTAGGAATTCTCAGCTTTCATGTTTTGTTAAAAGGAGAATTTATGGCCAGGTGCGGTGGCTCACGCCTGTAATCCCAACACTTTGGGAGGCTGAGGTGGGCAGATCACGAGGTCAGGAGATCAAGACTATCCTGGCCAACATGGTGAAACCCTGTCTCTACTAAAAAAAATACAAAAATTAGCTGGGTGTGGTGGCATGCACCTGTAATCCCAGCTACTCAGGAGGCTGAGGCAGGAGAATTGCTTGAACCCAGGAGGCAGAGATTGCAGTGAGCCAGGATTGCATCGCTGCACTCCAGCCTGGCGGCAAAGCGAGACTCCGTCTCAAAAAAAAAAAAAAAAAAAAAAGGAGAATTTATAAAATAAATAGAGTACAGGTATTGAGTGAATATGGGGAAAATCACATGCATCCCAATTACAGGCCTTTCCCTGAACTAATCAGCTAAAGCCAGGCACATGGGATCACCTGATATAATTGATATAACATGGCTACTTAAGTCCTCACCTTCAGCCAAGACTTGAAGTGTTAATAGAATCTCTTAGAAGAGGGTGAGGGTGGGAAGCTCTGGCTGGCTGTCCTAGCATGCCCCTGAGAAGCAAAGGGATATTCTCCAGGTACCTGGATAGTTTCTGACATGCCTATGTTCTAGGTATTTTGAAGGGCAGGTGACTTTATTCTCTGATGACCTAGGCACATCTCATTAAGTCTCACAGTTCTCAACTCTTCACTCCTGACAGCAGGTGTGCACTGGGGCTATGAGGAGACCAAGGCCTTCCTGGCAATTCTCAGTGAGTCCCCATTCTCGGAAAAGCTTCGTACCTGTCACCAGAACAGCCAGGTGTACCGGGCCATTGCAGAGCGGCTGTGTGCTCTGGGCTTCCTGCGGACACTGGAGCAGTGTCGCTACAGATTCAAAAACCTCCTTCGAAGCTACCGGAAAGCCAAGAGCAGCCACCCACCAGGGACATGCCCTTTCTATGAGGAACTGGACTCGCTGATGAGGGCTCGGGCTGCAGTCAGGGCCATGGGGACTGTCCGAGAGGCTGCAGGTCTCCCTAGGTGTGGGCAGAGTAGTGCTGAGACTGATGCCCAGGAGGCCTGGGGTGAAGTGGCCAATGAAGATGCTGTCAAACCTTCAACCTTGTGTCCTAAAGCCCCAGACATGGGTAAGCCTGGAGTAATTGGATGTTCTCAAAATCTGTGGGCATGTGGAGAGAATGAGGAAGCCAGGCTCATTATCTTTTGTCTCTTAACTAAAAGAGAGAATGGGATTGAATGGGAAAAAGTATTTCTGCTTTGCTCAGATTATCCAGTCTCTAGCTTTGTGTGATCCCCCGAATCAGTCAGTCAGTCAGTCATTCTATCTTTTACTAGGTATATCTGGGCGGTTAGAGACTTTATTCAATCCAGTATGACACAGGATATATGGAATGTACTAGAAGAAGGAGGTGTTCATGATTGAGTACTAAGATAGAGGAGTTTGATGGGGAAACAGGTTGGCTGTGGCTGCTGGGCTGAGCCCCATGGCTCACTTGGTGGGGTCACCATGTCCCAGAGTCCATTCCTCAGCTTTGCAGGTCACAAACACTTGTGTGTACCAAAACTTGATCAATTTCTTGTTAGTCACATTTATAAGATGTGCGATAGAAGATATAAGAATCAAATTCATGTTAGCCAAATTCACAGATGTACAATACAGACACACACAAACACACACACACGCGCGCTAATGAGTGAAGAAAAACTGCATTTCTGTCCATTTTTTCAGGTTTTGAAATGAGGCATGAGGATGAAGACCAGATTTCAGAGCAGGACATTTTTGAGGGTTTGCCTGGAGCCTTATCAAAATGTCCTACAGAAGCTGTTTGCCAACCTCTTGACTGGGGAGAAGACAGTGAAAATGAAAATGAAGATGAAGGGCAGTGGGGAAATCCCTCACAGGAACAGTGGCAAGAAAGTTCTTCTGAAGAGGACTTAGAAAAACTTATTGACCATCAAGGCCTGTACCTTGCAGAGAAACCCTACAAGTGTGACACATGCATGAAGAGCTTCAGTCGGAGCTCCCACTTCATTGCCCATCAGCGAATCCACACAGGTGAGAAGCCCTACAAATGCCTTGAATGTGGAAAAAACTTTAGTGACCGCTCTAACCTCAATACCCATCAGAGAATCCACACTGGAGAGAAGCCCTATAAATGCCTTGAATGTGGGAAAAGCTTTAGTGACCATTCTAATCTCATCACTCACCAGAGAATTCACACGGGGGAAAAGCCCTATAAATGTGGAGAATGTTGGAAAAGCTTCAACCAGAGCTCAAACCTTCTGAAACATCAGAGAATCCACTTGGGAGGAAATCCTGACCAGTGTAGTGAGCCTGGGGGAAACTTTGCCCAAAGCCCATCTTTTAGTGCTCACTGGAGGAATTCTACAGAAGAGACAGCTCCTGAACAACCTCAAAGTATCAGTAAGGACTTGAATTCTCCTGGACCACACAGCACAAACTCAGGGGAGAAACTTTATGAGTGTTCTGAATGTGGAAGAAGCTTCTCTAAGAGCTCTGCCCTCATTAGTCACCAAAGAATCCATACGGGAGAGAAACCATATGAATGTGCCGAATGTGGGAAAAGCTTCAGTAAGAGCTCCACCCTGGCCAACCACCAGCGCACCCACACTGGAGAGAAGCCGTATAAATGTGTGGACTGTGGGAAGTGCTTCAGTGAGCGCTCCAAGCTCATCACACACCAGAGAGTGCACACAGGAGAGAAGCCCTACAAATGCCTTGAGTGTGGAAAATTCTTCCGTGACCGTTCTAACCTCATTACTCACCAGAGGATTCATACGGGAGAGAAGCCGTATAAGTGCAGAGAGTGTGGGAAATGCTTTAACCAGAGCTCCAGTCTTATTATTCACCAGAGAATCCACACAGGGGAGAAACCCTACAAGTGCACAGAGTGTGGCAAAGACTTCAACAACAGTTCCCACTTCAGTGCTCACCGGAGAACCCATGCAGGAGGGAAGGCGTCGTAGGGGACAGTTTCCTCAACAACAAAGGAGGACTCAATGTATATATCTTATATCATAAGATGTATGCTAGAGATAAACTTTCCAATTTTTAAGCTTGGTGTGTACCCAGGGAAGTTATCTTGGTATAAACCAGGTAATTTGGAAGTGAATTACAAATACTAAGGATCCAGATTTGAAGGCACTTTTAAGTGTAATTTGTTTTTCTTCTGTAAAGACCCACACAGAATCCTGACTGTCCTTGTATTTGCTATCATGTAAGAGCTGTGTCAGTATTTGAGCCAAACTGGCAACTTACGAGATTAGAGTTAAATCAGTGGTCCTGAGCAGTGATTCCAAACTCTCACTGTGCCTTCACACCATCCATGTGTAATCCACCCCATCAGCAGTGGTTCTCCTACTTTCTCAGTGGGGGCATATCCTCAAGGGAGAATGTTGTGACTCTGGTGAGAGAGGAGTTGGCCTAGAGCAGGCCACTGTGAGCTCAGCACAGAGTAGGAAGAACAGTGACATCATTACAAAATCATCAATAGCAGCAATAGCTGGTGTTTATTGAGCTGTTGCTCTTTGGCAAGCTCTGTGCTAAGAACTTTGTATACATCATCTCATTTAATCTTCACAACGGCCCCAGGAGATAAGTACTAACTTTCTCCCCATTTCCTAGAGGCTTGGGAAATTAAGTAACTCGCACTGGTCACACATCTGTAAGTGGGAGAGGCAGGATTCAACAGATCTGTCTGTCTTGAGTCTATCGTGCTCTTATTGCTATACTGAATTCCCATTCATGTTAGGTAACTTAGGGGCCAGAATCTCCATGCACTTTGTAGACCACATTTCCTGTTATGAAATTTCCACATTTTGAATTTTTTAAACAAATATGGAAACTGAGAATCCCTAAGGATTAAAGGACTTGGGATATCCAGAATTGGTGAAGTGATTTGAGCAAGGATGAGCTATTATCAAAATACTTGATGTGAGTTTCCATCTTCGCAATAATATGGGTGAGAGATATAGGTGGGTTGAGATTGGGAAAAATATGCGGCCTAAGTAATTTTTCTTCCAATAAGATACTGCTTTGGCTAAGGAAATGGGATGTAAGAGTTCTCTTTTTCTCAGGGGACAGTCCTACTTCTTGCCATGCTTGGCTGATCATAGGTTAACCCTAACAGAAGCCTGGGGTCCCTACATTTTTGTCTGTCTGGCTTTTCCTTTTGGCAAGCAGAAGCTTTGTTCTTGGTCCCCATGCCAAGACTGAGGTGGGAGGTGCTGGTGTATATGGTCATCTACTGAGAGGGCCTTGACCACTGTTCTGTGTACCAGGTTCTTGGCACAATTTTACCCTGAGCCATCCTGTCCCAGGCCTGCCCAGGGCTTTCTGTATGTTGACCCTTAAGACTCACCTCCCACATGGACAGGCTAAGTTAGAAAGGTTCACATAGGATGGTTTTAACATTTGCAGCACTTTGGCCTCCAGAGTTTCTCCTTAGAAGGGTTTAAAACTGTTGACCAAGGACTTCGGTTTCCATAGGACTTTAAAGGAAAATCCCCCTCCTGCCATCCTCTTATGACACTAGGATGTATTCATAACCTGCTTGGTTCATGGGCTGGGGAAGTACCTATCAGATAGTGGATGTGAAGCAGCCTTGAAGAATGGAACTTTTATTAACATGTGAGGAAGCCAGTGGAGAGATTTGCTACTCCCACAGAGTGATATCCCTTCTTAACCCCTTCCCCTGCTTCAGAACCTCCTTTCCCAAGAACCAGCCCCACTAGGATCACCGTCAACTCCCTCCCAGTTTACCTTTTCTGGCCCACGTTATCTCTGCGGGGCAGGGGTCATGGGATGAACCCTGGATAGAAGTCAGCAGATGTCAGTAACTGCAGTAATACAGTGATATTGTCTAGTAATGTGAGCTGAGAGGAAGGATCCTGAGGTGAGGGAGAGGGAGGGAATTCCAGGGAAAGGCACTGTTGTGTGGAATAGCATGGATTCAGGGTGGGGTTGTATGATGGGAGGTTGGGAACAGGGAGCTGATATTAGAGGAGTGCTGGAGCAAGGTCACTGAGGACCTCACATGTGAATGGAGTGTCAACACCAGGCCCGGGGCAATGTTCAGATGTGCATGGTTGAAATCTGACAGCTGAATGGAACTTGGACATGCTGCAATTAGGATGGCCTTTTGGGACACTGTTGTGGTATTTCAGCTAAAGGCTAGGGTCTGAACTAGAGCAGTGGTGACACTGAGGAGGAGGGAATGAATGGGAAAGGTCTCAGAGGCAGAGGGGAGGACATCAGAGGAAAGCTAGAATGCCTTTGGTGACTGGGTAGAGCATGTCCTCATTCAGAATTGGGAGCACAAGGAGGAGAGGCTGATAGAGCAGGAGGGCAGAAGATGAGAAGTTTAGTTTGGTATGTCTAGAACTTGAGGTGCTTAAGGGAAATCATGGTGATGCTATGCATTTGGATGTCGGCTAGCAGCTAGGGGAGAGGCTAGGACTAGAGATCTGTGTATGCGAAGTAGTTAAACTAATGAGAAAGGAAGAATTTCAGTTTCAAATATTGGGCCTAGGACAGAGCTACTTGATAGTGCTGAATGGAGAGGAAGATGGCCCTCAAAGGAGATCTAGACCATTCCCCACTCCCACCCACTACCATCATGTTCTGGACCCTGTCTTCTTTGTTACTGACCCCTGAATTCTTCATGTAGCCCTGAGTTTTCTGGAGCCCTCACTGTGGAAGTCAAGCTGAGCTCTGTGTGGATGTGAGGTGGTAGTCCTCTCTCCACTTGGTCACCCTTTCCCCTGGGTTTGGTAGTGTGTTAGTGTCTCATATCTTTAGTGAACAGTTTTGATGTTTATTATCTGCCATTCTTGTCTCATGAATCTTAATAGAGGTTCAGTCATGAAAGCAAGGCCAGTGTGGGCCAGGTGAGAAAATGGCCCAGGTGGTCCCTTCCTCCTTGTCTACCTGACTTCCTTTGGAAGAAGCACTCTTTCAGGGGGCTTCAGTGTTCCAGGCTTGCTGTCTACCCAAGAGCTTGCTGGGCACCCAGGCGCCCTCCAGTAGGTCTGTGCTGCTCAGATAAACTGACATCTGGTTTTACACACCCTGAGCTTTGCTAGCGTGATTCTGCTCTTGGGAAGTAGATTCACTCTGCAGAATGGGTGGACAGTTTCTCAGCCTTCCTGGCCACAGGTCAGACCCTGGTTATGGAAAACCAAACCAGCAAATGCTGCCCTGGGAGGGTGTTACATCATGTGAGCTGCTAAAGGCAGGATCGTCTCCCCAGATGGCTGCCTCCCCTTGATTTCTTCACCCTCCACCTCAAGAAGGGCATTGGCTCCTCTGAAGGGACAAAAAGGTACCTAAAGGACCTTAGGCCTCCCATTCCTCAGACCCCCAGAGGCAGCAGACCCAAAGGTAGGGGCAGGGAAAGGAGGGGCCAAGACTTTTTCAGATACTCGGTTTTTTCTAAGGCCTTGACCTCAGCAGCTGAACTCATGGTCATGGCTGCCTTGGCCTTATTGTCCACTGTAGCCTCCTCCCAGAAGCCGAGTAAAGCAGCTAGGGTCCCTCCATGCTAAATAATGTAGTCAGGCGCTCTGGGTAGTCCGTCCTGCCTCATCTTGTTCTGGGGCCCCCAGTGGGGATAGCTCTCTGCTTTCGGGCTGCAGAAAAGAATTGAGTCACTTTCTGTAGGGGAGTAACACCCTTTGGGGACAGGGGTGCAGTTTTGAAGTAATGAAGGCAGTGATGTCTGGAGTGGGTGTGGGTGTTGCAGGTGAACTTGCCTCACCCAGGCTGTTCTGGGTCTTTGTACTCCAGAGTTCTGTCCTAGGCTTGCTTCTTCATTCACTCTGTTTCCCTTTCTCTTCTTTTTTTCTTTTCCTTTCTTTCTCTCTTTTCTTCTGTGTAGATGCTAATGACTTCCAGATCTGTGTCCTGCTGTGGCCTCTCCTCTTAGGATCCCAGCTGCCTGCCAACCAGCTGTGCTTGGGTGACTCCTGGGCATCTCAAAGCCCCGGTGTCTACCATCACCCATCATGGGGCTCTTGGCCTGCCCATTCAGCACGTGCATTGATGTACACACTCAGTGACTCCCATCCAAGCCTCCCCTGCACGTGCCTGGAGAGACCTGCCCATTGGACTCATCTTGGACTCAGTTCTGCCAATACTTTCTCCCTTCTAAGAGCATTTCCAGTTGGGCTGGAGTTACCCAGCTGCCTGAGAGGTCTCTTTCTGAATGAAGTCAATATCTAAAGTCAAAATTAATCATTCAAAATATTCCCTTACCCCATTTTTTTTGGGGGGGAGATGGGGGTCTTGTGTTGCCCAGGCTGGTCTTGAACTCCTGGCCTCAAGCGATCCTCCCACCTCAGCCTCCCAAAGCTCCCCTTAACCTCAGTTTTGATCCCATCCTCCATTTGGGCATTGCTCAGCTCCCCCACCTGTTAATAGCAAACACCAATCTCAAGCCCCTGCCCCAATCTGCTACAAGGGGTTAGTGTTCCATGCAGTGGGAGTGCAGGGAAGGCTTTACAGGAGAGGAGGGAGTTGAAATGGGCCTGGAGGCCTGGGATGGTAGACACTGGATCCTTTTCCCCCACAGCTCCTGGCTGTTTCTTCACACTCCCAGCATCACTATTACTGCTAGCATGTCTTTAGCATCATTTTGCCCTCCCTCTGACTTTCAGCAAGCCTGCACTTACCTCCAAATAAATGCATGTTTTCGGGGGGCAAAGGCAGGTTCCTTCCTTACCTTATTGTTGCTTCCCCCACCCCATGCTGCAGCTGAGTGGGTGACCTTTCTCCTCACCTCCGTGTGCCGCATCTCTCACCTAGTCTCTGTTAGGAACCCTACAGGAGCCTGCACCCCAGTAACCCCATTTTATGCTGCTTGGAGGAAGAGACAGAGAGTTTGAGAGGTCCCAGTTCTTTTCAGTGTGTGTTTGGTTCCCCCACTTCTCAAAGCTGAGAGCTTCTTTGTTTTAAGAGCCACTTGGTTAAGTCAAGAGCATTAGAAGAGTAAAAAGAAGAATACAATTAGATAATTTTACCTAAACATGCTATAGTCGACTAGGGAGTCACATAGACATTGATTTTCTAATGAGGGCGCTGTTGGTGATTCTTTTTGTGTGTAAAGATGCTTCTGATCATGCCTGCTATTACATGATACTTATTTCTAAAGTCACTTTTTTTTTTTTTTTTACATTTTCATTGTAGAAAAATATCCCATAAAAATTGTGCCCCCTAGAGGGCGAGGGCCACGGGAAGGGGGATCAGGAAAACAAGAATCAGTCTCTAAGCTGGTCCTGGAGCAGCATGACAGATGTATCTGAGCCCAAGCAGGAGAGGAGCCACAGGCCCAGGCTGGCAGAGTTGTGACTACTAGAATCTCGAGTCACTGGGGCTCAGGGAGCCCTAACTTGGTGGCAGGTGACAAATGTGGCACAAAGGAGAAAGGAGTCTTCTCCTTCCACATAGAACACACTTGGCTTCAGTGCTTTGGGGGGATTCGTGGACCACAGAGAAGCTTCCGCATATTTATAGGCACTGGGGACCAGCAGGAAGTGGTGGTGAGACACTTTGAAACCCTCCACTGCAGACTTCACCCAGGGGGCAAGGCAGGAGAGAATCCCTCTGTGGACAGCACTTGAGAGGAAAGGGCTTGTTCATGACCACGTATGAGGTCGCCAACCCAACCCTGTTCCTGAAGTTTCCCAGAAATAGATGGAGAGGTAAGGCCAGCTAGGCTGGAGCGCCAGCATCAGTAGTAGGGGCAGGAGCTCACGCTAAACCCGGTTGGTGTGTCCTGGAGAAGCACAGGTGTCATCTCCAGGGACCTTTCTCGACCAACTAATTTATGGAAATGAGACATTTGTAATTGATTTTAATTCCCTCTTAGGGACTGTGAAATTAAAATGGATTAAATTTTGTCCATCAGGAGCCTCAGGGATTTAATGTCCAATTCTAAAACCTGAACAGGCCCTTTTGTTTTGCAATTTGTGGACCAATCCCTGGCTTCATTTTATTTGGCTTTGCTTTCACTTCCCCATTTTCTGTTATTTTTTTTTTTTTTGTGCTGTTATGTACATCTCTTAAAGCTGGTCAAATCATATTTTGGGATGGAATGGCCTGATAAGTTAATAAATTATATTAAACTGCCAAAAAAGGAATGTGTTTTCGATTCTTCTGGCTTCTTCCTGGTTACACCAAAAGCATGGGGGAGAAAAGGAAGGGAAGTCATCGAGACACAGGTTGTCAGGGAGATTGGGGCCAAGGTCTCAAGCCCCTTGTGCTGGGCAGGTGTCTTCTTTTCATTGTTCCCTGTGGTCCTTCAGACATGGGTGGCTCTTCAGGCATGTCCACAACCCCAGGAGCCATGGCCTCAGTGGCCGGTGCAACTGGCCGGAGCCACAGTGGCTCCGGGTGTCGGGGCTGTCCTTTTGTCCCTTTGATCTTACGCAGGGTGAGGGAGCCAATCACGAGAGGCTCACCCCTGACGTCACCCAGTCCCCAGGGCCAGTGAGGGCCCTGCGTTCCATGGGGCCCCCTGGAGGGAGGAGTGGCATCTCAGTCTGCTGGTCCCTATGCATCTACTTTGATATGTCCCTCAGGATCCCTGTGCTAGGAAACCAGAGGTGTCTGAAATCCAAATAACACAAGGATAATTATGGATGAAAACATAGGAAAGAGTTCCCAGGGGGCTGAAACTTACCTGATTCCTCTCATTTGCTTCCTGGTTCAGGAACAGAACTGATCGCACTTCGTACTTGAGAAAGAGGGGAGAGCTGGAGCGTCTTTATATTCTTTTCTGGCCTTCCTCCACCCATTGTCCTACTGAGGACATTCAAAAGACTGTAGCTCAAGGCTGAAGTTTCCTAATACACGCTCACTCTTTTGTCCTTATTGAATGAGATATAGGCAACTTTGCCTTTTAGGCCCTTGATATGGTTTGGCTGTGTCTGCACCCAAATCTCATCTTGAATTGTAGTTCCCATAATCTCCATGTGTTGTGGAAGGGACCTGGTGGGAGGTACCTGAATCATGGGGGCAGTTACCCCTATGCTGATCTTGTGATAGTGAGTGAGTTCTCATGAGATCTGATGGTTTTATAAGTGATTTTTCCCCACTTTGCTCTGCACTTCTTTCTCCTGCCACTATGTGAAGAAGGACGTGTTTGCTTCCCCTTCCGCCATGATTATAAGTTTCCTGAGGCCTCCCCAGCCCTGTGGAACTGTGAGTCAATTAAACCTCTTTCCTTTATAAATTACCCAGTCTTGGGCAGTTCTTTATAGCAGCGTAGAAACGGACTAATACAGCTCTGTTATCATTGAATTTTGATTGTGAATTCGTTTTGCTCGGAATCCACTGAGAACTTGTTTTTTCTTGTAGGGGTCAGATCTCAAGTATAGGTGTTACTAGTGGTTGGCATGTACTAATATTCTGCATGTCTTGGGACGAAGATGAGATCTGGAGGAAATGAGTCATGGTCTCCCTGAGGAGAAAGCTCTGGGTCTTGCTTACATGTTTTCATGTAACTTCTTTCTAGCAGTTACTCCAATACTGACCAGACCCACAGGGCTTACCTTCCTGGAAGACAGGACAGAGATCACAGACTCCTCATAGTCCATGCTCTTGCTGTTAGCTGTAGTTTGACCACAAATGCCAGTAAGGCATACAGGTCAGTTATAAATGTCAGGGTCCACTCAGGCTGGCCAGCCAATTCAGGCAGGAACAAGAACTGTTACCTGAAGGGGTCCAACATAGGTAGCCAGAGAGCTGGCCAAGGCCAGTACAACTGAGAACGTAATACTAGGAAAAAGCCCTACCTGAGGGAGATGCCTCATGGCTGGGGCTGGCCATCTGTTGGCCCCATGTCAAGAAGCTGCTGGGGCTGGGTGCAGTGACTCCCACCTGTAATCCCAGCACTTTGGGAGGTTGAAGTGGGTGGATCACTAGAAGCCAGGAGTTGGAGACCAGCCTGGGCAACATAGTGAGACCTCGTCTCTACTAAATAAATAAATAAATCCAGAGGATCCCACCTCCCTGCAGCCCTTTCAAATGGAGGCTGTTTATTTGCATACAGCCCAAGTTCCTCCTGGTGGGAGGTGGGGTTGCTGTTCTTTCTCCTCACTCCTTGAGGCTGCCTCCAGATCATAGCTTCTTTCCTCCCTATTCATTTGACCAGTAATTGACAGCCAATAGCTATAAAGAGCCTAGGGGCCAGGCATGCTGGTAAGGACCTTGGGTGGATGACATCATTTCAGCCTCAGCACGACTCAATGAAATATTGTTGTTGCTATCCCCATTTTACCACAGAGCCTCAGAGGCTCAGGTTAATAACTTGCTACTTCATATATTGTCTCAAATATATGAATGGAACCAACAATATATGATGTTCCTACTTCATATATTGTCTCAAAATTTTTAAGAACAGCTTGTTTGAATTTGAATTCAGTTAATGTCATACATCGCAACTGGATTTAAGATGAGGTCATTTTCACTGAGGAGTTTTCCAGAATCTGTATGTTGTCAATTACATCCTTATGGTATCATTGAACTTGTTTCCCTGTCATCTGTATTTCCTGTAACTGGTATTTAGATCCAAAGGTTTAAACAGATTCAAATTTGATTTTTTTTTTGGCAAGAATACTTCATAGGTGGTTGTTATGTACTTCCATCAGAAGGCCTATAATGTCTGGTTGCCTCGCTTTTTGTGATATTAGCAGTCATTGATGATCATTGCCAGAATTTATTTTAATAAAGGTTTCAAAATGGTGATAAATTCTATCCTTCATTTACTGGCTGCAATACTTTTGTAAAGAGACTCCGCTTCTTAATATTTAGTTACCCTGAAATACATTGCATACAAAAAGCAGGATGAATGCTTGCTCTTCCCTCCTTTTACTTACTGGTTATCAAAATATAGCTGGTTTCTTAATGTTTTCCATAAGTGACTAATGAGTTTTTAAAAAAATGTTATTTATTATTTATGATTATTTCAATAGCTTTTGGGGTACAAGTGGTTTTTGTTACATGGATGAACTATATAGAGGCGAATTCTGAGATTTCAGTGCACCTGTGTGAGTTAGTGTACATTGCACCTAGTGTGTAGTTTTTATCTCTAGGCCCCCTCCCAGCCTCTGCTGTCTGAATCTCTGAAGTCCATTATATCACTCTGTATGCCTTTGGATACTCATAGCTTAGCTCCCGCTTATAAGTGAGATCATACAGTTTTTGGTTTTTCCACTCCTGTGTTACTTCACTTAGAATAACGGCCTCCAGCTCCATCCAAGTTGCTGCAAAAGATATTATTTCATTGATTTTAATGGCTGAATAGTATTTCATGGTGTACGTACACCACATTTTCTTTATCCACTCATTAGCTGATGGACAGTTAGGGTGGTTCCACATCTTTGCAGTTGTGAACTGTGCTGCTCTAAACATACATGCGCAAGTGTCTTTTTCATTTAATGACTTATTTTCCTTTGGATAGATACCCAGTAGTGAGACTGCTGGATCAAATGGCAGATCTACTTTAAGCTCTTTAAAGAATCTCCATACTGCTTTCCGTAGAGGTTGTACTAATTTACATTCCCTCCAGCAGTGTCTAAGTGTTCTCGTTTCCCCACATCCATGTCAACATCTATTGTTTTTTCACTTATCCATAATGGCCATTCTCGCAGGAATAAGGTGGTATTTCATTGTGTTTTTTTTTTTTCTTTTTTTCTTTTTTGAGGCAGAGTCTTGCTCTGTCACCTACACTGGAGTGCAGTGGCACCATCTCAGCTCACTGCAACCTCTGCCTCCTGGGTTCAATCGATTCTCTTGCCTCAGCCTCCCGAGTGGTTGGGATTACAGGTGCCTGCCATCATGCCTGGCTAATTTTTGTATATTTTGGTAGAGACGGGGTTTCACCATGTTGGTCAGGCTGGTCTCGAACTCCTGACCTCAGGTGTCCACCTGCCTCGGCCTCCCAAAGTGCTGGGATTACAGGTGTGAGCCACCGTGCCCGGCCTCATTGTGGTTTTAATTTGCATTTCCCTGACGAATAGTGATGTTGAGTATTTTTTCATATGTTTGCTGGCCATCCATATATTTTCTTTTGAGAAATGTCTATTCATGCCCTTTGCCCACTTTTAAATAGGATTATTTGTTTTAAAAATATTATTACGAACTCATAGATTCAAACACAGTTACTATTTTTCATCCATTGCCTTATTATTATTATTATTTTATTTTTCTAGATTTAGGGGTACAAGTGCAGTCATGTTACATGGATATAGTGTGTGGTGATAGAGTCTGGGCTTTTAGTGTATTCATTGTTCAAATAGTGTATGTCGTCAAATTCTCCTCTGTGAGTTGGACCAGCAGTGACAGTGCCAGTTTCTCCCACAGTTTTGTCAACAGTGTGTTGCCTAGCTTTTGGATTTTTGCTGATTTAATAGGTAAGGAATAATGGAGTGAAACTGAGTACCTTTTCATATATTTCAAGGTTTTTGCATGTCTTTTCTTTCACAGTCTTTGAATGTTTGCTTATGGTACTTTTAGACTTATTTTTCTCAATTTTTAAGAGTTCTCTATGTATAAGGGATATTTGCATGAATGTTCCATGTATGCTTCAAAAGAAAGCATATTCTCTAATATTGGGTTGCAGAGTTTGACAGATATTCATATTCATAAAAACTTCCTTATGATTATTTTGGTTAGGTCTTCTACAGCCTTACTTTTGTTTCCTTGATTTGTTATGAACTGAGAGTGGTGAGTTAAAACTGCTGTTATTGGCATGCTCCAATTTGTCTTTGCACCTCCTGGTTTCTGCTTTATGACACATCTGCTTTCTTATTGGGTGCATAGTTATCGATATCTGTTATATCTTCATTGTGAATAATCTCCTTTAGTGCTGTAAAGTGTCCTTCCTTGTCCTCTTTCATGCCTTTGGCCCTGAATTCTAACTTATCTGGTGTGAGGATGGTGATTCCTGTTTTCTTGTTTGCGTATGCCTGTTATTCCTTTGCTTTGCTTTGCTTTAGATTTCAATACATGGTATTTAAGCCATTTTGAATCACTTTGTTTAGGTATGCCTCTTGTGATAGCACAGAGTCAAGTTTTATTTTGTGAGATAATCTGAACATCTTTATAATTAAACCTAATTATATTTAATAATATAGTGGCTACGTTTGTTTTCAGGTCTGTCATATTATTTTGTATTGTATTTACTTGGTGCATTTGTCATATTTACTGGTTCTTTCACAGTGTGTTTTTTTGGAGTACTTAAAAATATATGTATTAGTATTTGGCAAAATTTATATTTTCTTCTAGTAATTACTTTTATATTAATATATTTATAAATGTCCTTAGTCCTCTTTTTTCTACTTAGGTTCTAACTGTTTTATTAACTGGTTCTCAACCAGTGCATCTGTTGATCAATGACTTTCAACAGAGGTGGGGGGAGTGTATCCATTTTATTCCCCAGAAGACACTAGGCAATGTCTGGAAGTATTTTTGGTTGTCACAACTGGGAGAGGTGTGCATCTATTGGGCAGAGGCCAGGGATGCCGCTAAACATCCTATAACACACAGGACAGCCAGGCCCTACAACAAAAAAATCATCTGGCCCAAAATGTCCATACTGCCAAGTTTGGGAAACCTTTAGATGGTCTTTGACTCCCACCTGTTATCTGTGTGGCAACGAGTGGGGTCACTTTACTTTCCCCTTTCTCTTTCTCTTCCCATTAAAAAATCATGTTATCTCCACTTTGTCAGAACCTAGGACATTTACATACTATTCTTCGGTCTTTATTTTCATCTTCATTGTAGATTTCAATATGCAGTTTTCAATTCTTAACATCAGTCCTGTTGTTGAAATTCCTTAACTATCATTTGGTTGGTTAAAACTTGTCCTCCCAGTAGATTCTTCAGGAAGGGCTCCTGAGGAAAATATTCCTGAATTCTTGAATATTCATTACTGTGTTCTCATTGTCTTGATGCATAAAAATCACTGCATATAAAATTCTTGGTTTGTACTTTCTTTCCTTCAGTTTTGCTTTGTGTGTGGCTGTTAAGAAATCTGATAGCAACCTAATTTAATCTGGAGGCTCAGAGAATGTTTTATTTTTCTTTAAAATCTTACAGTTTGACTGGGGTTTGTCTTGGAGCTGAGCATTGCAGGATAATTTTCCCAGGAACCTGGTGGACCTTTCAATATATATGTTAAGTTTTTCTTTTAGTTCTAAATAGTTTTCCTAGAGTATAATTTTAAATATTAATTCTGTCTAATTTATTTAGGTTTTCTTCTTTAGGGACTCCTATTGTACATAAATTGGCTTGCTTTGCCTGTCTTTTATCTTTCTTTCTTTCTTTCTTTCTTTTTCTTTCTTTTTTTTCTTTCTCTTCTTTCTTTCCTCTTTTTCTCTTTCCTTCCTTCCTTCTTTCTTTCCTTCTTTCTTTATTTTTCTTTTTCTTTTTTTTTGAGCTGGGGGTCTCGCTTTTTTGCCCAGGCTGGAGTGCAGTGGCACAATCTCAGCTCAGTGCAACCTCCACCTCTCGAGTTCAAGCGATTCTCCTGCCTCACTCTCCCAGTAGCTGGGACTACAGGCACGTGCCACCATGCTTGGCTAATTTTTGTATTTTTTGGTAGAACTGGGGTTTTGCCATTTTGGCCAGGCTGGTCTTGAACTCCTGGCCTCAAGTGATCCACCCGCCTGCCTTGGCCTCCCAAAGTGCCCTTTTATCACTTTCAGTCTCATATTTTTTAGCTCTTTACATAACTTCTGTTTTCTTAGATATTTAAGTTTTCTTCCTGTATGTGCTTTATTATACTTTCTTTCTGTATGTTACCCATTGAACACTTTGCACTTTGCTCTTCATTTCTGAGATATGCTTGTTCTTTTATTGTAAGCTGTCATTTATTTCTTCCTGTTTTATGTCTATTTGTATCCTGAGTTTTCAAGCTTCTGGTTTGTATTACATGTTAATATTTACAATTGCTTGATTATATTTAATTAATGTTGGGATGCTTTAAAAAAAGTTTTCCTTTCCTTTATTTTTTAGGGGAGTATTTTAATTAGTTACAATGTTTTCTTTTCTTTGCTTTTTTTCTCTTTTCCACTCTTAGATATATACCCAAGTTACAATGTCTTTACTACTCATTTTCTGTTTTATTCTTTTTTTTTTTTTTTTTTTTTTTTTATTGATCATTCTTGGGTGTTTCTCGCAGAGGTGGATTTGGCAGGGTCATAGGACAATAGTGGAGGGAAGGTCAGCAGATAAACAAGTGAACAAAGGTCTCTGGTTTTCCTAGGCAGAGGACCCTGCGGCCTTCCGCAGTGTTTGTGTCCCTGGGTACTTGAGATTAGGGAGTGGTGATGACTCTTAACGAGCATGCTGCCTTCAAGCATCTGTTTAACAAAGCACATCTTGCACCGCCCTTAATCCATTTAACCCTGAGTGGACACAGCACATGTTTCAGAGAGCACAGGGTTGGAGTAAGGTCATAGATCAACAGGATCCCAAGGCAGAAGAATTTTTCTTAGTACAGAACAAAATGAAAAGTCTCCCATGTCTACTTCTTTCTACACAGACACAGCAACCATCTGATTTCTCAATCTTTTCCCCACCTTTCCCCCTTTTCTATTCCACAAAACCGCCATTGTCATCATGGCCCGTTCTCAATGAGCTGTTGGGTACACCTCCCAGACGGGGTGGTGGCCGGGCAGAGGGGCTCCTCACTTCCCAGAAGGGGCGGCCGGGCAGAGGTGCCCCCCACCTCCCGGACGGGGCGGCTGGCCGGGCAGGGGCTGACCCCCCCCCCCCCACCTCCCTCCGGGACGGGGCGGCTGGCTGGGCGGGGGCTGACCCTCACCTCCCTCCCAGACGGGGTGGCTGCCGGGCGGAGACATTCCTCACTTCCCAGATGGGGTGGCTGCCGGGCGGAGGGGCTCCTCACTTCTCAGACGGGGCAGCTGCTGGGCAGAGGGGCTCCTCACTTCTCAGACGGGGCGGCCAGGTGGAGATGCTCCTCACCTCCTAGACGGGGTCGCGGCCGGGCAGAGGCACTCCTCACATCCCAGACAGGGCGGCGGGGCAGAGGCACTCCCCACATCTCAGACGATGGGCGGCCAGGCAGAGACGCTCCTCACTTCCTAGATGGGATGGCGCCGGGAAGAGGCGCTCCTCACTTCCCAGACTGGGCAGCCAGGCAGAGGGGCTCCTCACATCCCAGACGATGGACGGCCAGGCAGAGACGCTCCTCACTTCCCAGACGGGGTGGCAGCCGGGCAGAGGCTGCAATCTCGGCACTTTGGGAGGCCAAGACAGGCTGCTGGGAGGTGGAGGTTGTAGCGAGCCGAGATCACGCCACTGCACTCCAGCCTGGGCACCATTGAGCACTGAGTGAACGAGACTCTGTCTGCAATCCCGGCACCTCGGGAGGCCGAGGCTGGCGGATCACTCGCGGTTAGGAGCTGGAGACCAGCCCGGCCAACACAGCGAAACCCCGTCTCCACCAAAAAAATACGAAAACCAGTCAGGCGTGGCGGTGCGCGCCTGCAATCGCAGGCACTCGGCAGGCTGAGGCAGGGGAATCAGGCAGGGAGGTTGCAGTGAGCTGAGATGGCAGCAGTACAGTCCAGCTTCGGCTGGGCATCAGAGGGAGACCGTGGAAAGAGAGGGAGAGGGAGACCGTGGGGAGAGGGAGAGGGAGACCGTGGGGAGAGGGAGAGGGAGAGAGAGAGGGAGAGGGAGAGGGAGAGGGAGAGAGAGAGGGAGAGGGAGAGGGAGAGGGAGAGGGAGAGCTGTTTTATTCTTATAGAAGCTTTGAAGATATGTCCATGAACCCTTTTTGTCCGTGAGAAAAGAAATGTGTAGGATTTTCCTAGACCAGCAATAACAGGTGCTTCTGCTGGAGTGAGGGAATGGAGTGGTGTTAGTGTTTATTTGATTTCTTAGTTCAGGGACACTCTGTTCTCTTGGTATAGGTAGATCTTGTGGGGTGCAGCTTGTCTCACAGGCATTGTAGTTTGGGCTTGCCCCCTCTATCTATGCCCTACGGCTTATGAAAACTTGTCCTGGCCTGATGTTTGGAAGTCTTTCCCCACTCTATGTGGTGTCCAGCAATCTGCTCTTTTCTTCCTTTCTTTTTTCTCCTTTATTTTTAGTAGGGACAGAGTTTTGCCATGTTGGCCAGGATGGTCTCGAACTCCTGGCCTCAAGTGATCCACCAGCCTTGGCCTCCCAAAGTGCTGGGATTACAGGCATGAGCCACTGTGCCCAGCCCATCTGCTATTTTCTTATAAAGTGTTTGCATATTTGCATGCTGGTATGAACTTGTCTTCTGAACTTAGACTTAATATTTGCTCCCTTGCTCTCTTGATTCCCAATCCAACCGGAGCTTGTGTTGGACAACAGTCCAATTCCTGACCCTGAATCCCTGCCAAGCTACCTGAGGTTCCAGTGGGAGGACTACACCCACCCTGCTGATTCCCTGTGTCCAGGAGAGAAATGCCAGGCAGCGTGTCCAAGATGGAATGCCTTTATTAAAACTGGGGGCCAGGCGCGGTGGCTCACGCCTGTAATCCCAGCACTTTGGGAGGCTGAGGCGGGTGGATCACCTGAGGTTAGGAGTTCGAGACCAGCCTGGCCAACATGCTGAAACCCCGTTTCTACAAAAAAAAAAAAATACAAAAATTAGCCAGGCATGGTGGCGCGTGCCTGTAATCCCACCTACTCCGGTGGCTGAGGCAGGAAAATCACTTGAACCCGGGAGGTGGAGGTTGCAGTGGGCCGAGATTGTGCCACTGCACTCTAGCCTGGGCGACAGAGTGAGACTGTGTCTCAAAAAAAACAAAAACAAAAAACTGGGAATGTTGGTCTAAATCAGGTTATTGAGGTGACAAGGGGGGCAGCTGGAGCCGAGGTACAGTGCAAAAGTGAAGGGTAGTGGGAGTCAGAAAACTGAAGGTAGTCTGGATGAATTTTCCACCTAAAATGATGACTGCTAACAAATGCATAGTACATTTAAGAAAGGATAGGCTCCTACTAGCTCTTGCCAGTTCTTTCCTCTTCTTCCTCACCACTCCTCTCATGACTGTCTTGCCTGGATGACCCTCCTTGATTTGGCTTTTCTCTGCTATGGAGTTTCTACTGCCTAAGCCCACCTGCCCTTAGACCGCGGTCCTCAGATCCTGAGCTCCTCAGTCCAAGCCAAACTCCAGCCCTGAGGGGAGCAACTTCTTTGTCCCCAGGTTCTTGGTCTGAGCTGATGTGGCCTCCACTATAAATTAAAAAAAATTGTATTGTGGTAAAATATATATAACATAAAATTGATCATCTTAACCATTGTTAAGTGGCATCAAGTACATTAAGTATATTCACGTAATTGTGCAATCTCCAGAACTTTTCTTTCTCCTTTTTCACAATACAAACATTTAATGAAAATTGGTTAGTGAGTGTGTATAATCCACAGGGGGCTAAATGTTAACCTGGGACTGTAGCAGAAATTTAAAATAGAATAGATGCTGGAGTAAATGTTATATATTGTCATCATCTGATTCATCTTCTTCCTTCAAAGATTCCTTGGCATGTTTCTCTTCTTCTTCCCTTATATCTTTTGGAATAATTTCATGTCTTCTTCCTTTAGTTAATTCACCAACCCTGCTGAGTTCTAATTTAAAAGGTTTATTCTTAACTTCATCATATACTATGTAAATATTTTTGCAACTTCTTAACAATAACATGGCAGGTCATTTCTTTCACCTGAAGCTTTTCTATTTTCTATCTTTGCAGCGTGCCTGGCTTTGCCAAGGGTACAGCCCCAATAACCATACGAAACATCTTGCAGAATTGTGCCCTGTTGTTCACGCTGTAAGACCCTACTGTAAAACTGCAGCCAAAAGGTCTAACAGCACTGCAGAGTGTATATGCATGGCAACTGTGTCTGCAAGATGTTTTTGTGGAATGGTATAGCCAAAGCTAGATCTAAAGTTGGAAGCGTCTTCTCTTGTTATATCTGCCAAAGAAGGGGCATCTGTCAACAAACCTGCTACCACCATTCCAACATGCCAATCAATATTAAAAAGTCTTTTGTTGGAGCCTTCTTCATAAAGTTTAGGAAGACTCCCTTTTCTACCCCAAAGCCACCACCATCTTTACATCTGAGTCCAGTGGCTGTACTATTTTCCACAGCCTTCACAGCATATTCAACTCAAAAAACTCTTCCATCAGGAGAGAATGTAGAGACTGACAAGTCATACCTGGTGTCAATTGAGCTCTTTGTTTTAAAACCAGTAGAACGCGTAGGGCTTCCAGGCCTCCAGAAACTTTTCATCTTATAAAACTGAAACTTTATACTAATTAAACAGTAACTCCCCATCCTTTCCTCCCCCTAGTCCCTGGCAACCACCATTCTACTTTCTGTATGAATTTGATGACTCAAGGTAGCTTTTATAAATAGAATCACATAGTATCTGGTTGTTTTTTTTTTTTTTTTTTTTTTTTGTGACTGGCTTATTTCACTTAGCATAACATCCTCAAGGTTCATCCATGTTGCAGTATGGGTCAGAGTTTCCTTCTTTTTTAAGGCTGAATAATATTCCATTGTACATATGTACCACATTTTGTTTATCCATTCATCTGTTGATGGACATTTGGGTTCCTTCTACTTTTTGGCATTTGTTAATAAATGCCGCTATTAACATATCTTTTTGTGACCCTGCTTTCAACTCTTTTGGGTATATATTCAGAAGTAGAACTGCTAGACAATATGGTAATTCTATTTTTGATGTTTTGAGAAATCGCCATACTGTTTTCCATAGTGACTGCACCTTTTTACATTCCCACCAATGGGGCACCAGGGTTCCAATTTCTCCACATCCTCACCAACACTTATTGTTTTTTGATAGTAGCCATTCTAATGGGTGTGAGGTGGCATCTCATTGTGGCTTTGATTATTTCCCTAATGATTAGTAACGTTGAGCATTTTTTCGTGTGCTTGTTGGCCATTTGTATATTTTCTTTGGAGAAATGACTGTTCAAGTCTTTCATAAGAGTTCTTTATAGAGTCTCAATATTAACCCCTTATCAGATATATGATGTGCAAATATTTTCTCCCATTCTATAGCTTGCCTTTTCACTCTGTTGATTGTATCTTTTGATATACAGAAGTTGTGAATTTTGATGTAGTCCAGTTTATCTGTTTTTTCTTTTGTTGCCTATACGTTTGATGTCATATGCAGGAGATCACTGCCAAATCTAATGTCATGAAGTTTTCCACGTACGTTTTCTTGTAAGCATTTTATAATTTTAGGGCTTATGTTTAGGTCTTTGATCCATTTTGAGTTAACTTTTTTTATGTGGGGTATGCACTATCATTTTTGCTCAGAGTTTCCAACATGTAGCAGTGATAACACAATGCAGTTAAGAAATGGACTCCCATATTTCTACCCTTGGATTTTAGGCGAAAATATGTCCTTCTTTCCCTTTCCCAACAAACACTTGCCCCTAGTCATGAAAGAGGCCATAAAAATGTAAGAAAACCAATGCAAAAATTTATATTTTATTTGAATTCAAAAAATTTAAAATTGCTTTCAAATTCAGGAAAGTACCATAATGCAGGACCCCAGGGGGAAGCCTCATATACAGAGACAGATAAATTAAATGTATATACTGCAGACAAGCCAAGAAGGTGTGTAGATTACATATTTACAGCACTTGATGTTTTCTGAAAACCATATTTATACATTTTATTACATTTACAAAAAAGGCTTCCACTACCGTTTACCTACAATAATGAAAAAAAAATTTACACCTTTTTTTTTTTCTTTTTTGGTACTGTACAAACTTTGTATAATAAAAATATATCTCTGTACAAAAGATTTTTTTTGTCTTTGTTTTACTTTTTTTTTTTTCCTCATGGGATGGTGATGGGTATATGGCGTAGATGGTGGGTGAAGGGCCTCATCTGCCCTGTTCCCTTCCAAGCCTCTGGAGGTGGAGAGAAATGTCAGGGGTGCGGAGGGTGATGCCCAGCAGAGTGCTGGGTGCCCCACCAGCAGGTGCTCCTCGAGCATCTCATGGAACTTTACAAGGAGACGCAGGGGAGGGGTGGGGGGCGGGAATAGGCATCCGCTGGGTGGTCTGAGAGGGGCATAAGAAGGGGGAAGGGAGCAGTCGAAGGAGAGGAGTGTAAGGGGGAAGGGAGCATAAGAAATTGGGAGGGGAGCTTCCTGCACTTGTTTCCAGCCAAGGAAAGAGATGAGAGTGTGAGTGTGTCTGGATTGGCCCTCTCCCTCCAGGCCCAGGGGGGTGCCGTGTCCCAGAGGTGGTGTGGCCAGGGGTAGGCTCCTGCCTCTGTCAGCCTCCATTGTGTCTGCTGGAAATGGACGCCTCTCACTTTCCTCTGGCCACTCTTAACATCAGTCAGATCTTCTAATTGTTCCAATCTAGAATTTGCTTAAGAACCAGGTGTCGCTGTCCCTCCGCTCCTGCACATTTCTATTTGCTATTTCAATATGTGACATGAATCTCTGAGGCCAGCATGTCACACGTATACAGGGGCTTAAGCTTGTGGGGGCCTTCCCGAGGACAGAGAAAGTGGCCCTAAATGCTATACTTTGATTCCTAAACTCATGAACTTCCCAACAATTCTCATGGAATTCATGAACGACCCAAGCATGATATAGCTGTCAAAATCAATCAAACCCACTCGCAAGGAGCTGGAGAGGTGTGACTTTCAGCCACTCTGTTGTTTTGATTCAGGACCTGCCAGGTCTTTTGCTGGCTATGGTCAGCGGCTGCTGGGAGCCAAGGAGCCAGCACCAACCGTGGGAGGCCTGGGGAGTTGAATCCTTGCCCCGAAGCTGCCTACGCGGAGACAGCAGAACCCAGATAGGACACACAGGTGTCTTGCCTGGCTTTCCAGACCTGGCCACAGTGCTACTGTAGAGATTCATCGGCTCCTCCCTTCTTAGCTGCCCCTTCTAGAACAGGGTTTCTGGCAGCTGGTGTAGTGGACTTTGGGGCAGACTGATCTGGGTTTGCATTCTGACTCCACACTTCCTAACTCTGTCTTTACCTTTGCAGGCTTCTGTTTTCTCATCTGTCAAAGGGGAATAACAAATCCTACATTTTGGTGTTATTGTGCAGACTAGAAATACTACAGGTAAAGTGTCAGGCACAGAGAATAACCCCAGTACATGATAGCCATTGTTTTTTGGGTACTGGGGCAGGCTTGCTCCCCTGTTCTCTCAAGGACCCTGCTGCTGCCCCCAGACTTGGCATCCTGTCTGGGCCACAGACTTGTCTTCTCTTCTCTTTGTCAGTTGACAGCCAGACTTGACCTTGGGCTCCTGGCCAGACTCCTGCCCTATCCTCCCCGGCTCTCCCTTCTTTCCCAGTGCTTCCCAGGACCCAAATGACTTTTTAATCCACTGGGTTTAGAACTCAATAAAACAGTGTTTGAAAAAAATAAAGAAACTGATTTTCAATCTATTTCCAAAGACTTTTTTCCTGCCCTTGGGGTAATCCTTGCTGCCGCTGTGCAGATGGGCCGTTCATCAGCAGACAGCTGGTTTCTGCACGCTGACCGGGTTTCTGCACTCTGACCGCATGATGGGATGTGTCCTACTGTTACAGTCACCGAGTCACCATGTCCTCACACATGGGATGGGCGGGGGGCATATTGTTTTGAAAGCTGACCGTACCTCCCCCTCTTCATCTCTTCTCTGTGTGGGGAACAGGGCATGAAGCATCCTTCATGCGCACTTCTAGTTTTGAAGCCTTTATGGTCTCTTCCATAGGACGTGAATGAAGGAGAGGTGTGTGTGTTTGTGTGTGATCAGGCCCATACACACACACACACACACAGATCCACAAGTTGCTTTGCTATTTTAAATCCATAAACTTTCTTCCTCTGTCTGCAGCCCCTCTTCCTTTTCTGCCTTTTCAGGACACGGCAGGAGTCCTCTCCAGGGTAACTGGCATAGATGGCGGCAGGGCGAGGGCCTGAGTCCCAGCAGTAGCAGACACAGGCAAGGAGACGAACGAAGATGGGCACTGGGCACTGTGCTCAGGGGAGCCTACTTCCTGCCCCCTGGGGAACTGGGAACAAACAGATCACACCTGAGTTTGCAAAGAAAAAAGAGGCAGTGGGAGGGGAGGGGCCGGGAGCAGAGGAGGAAAAGCAAAGCGGCAAAGAAAAGAAGGCACAAGCGGGAAAGAGATGAGTCACCTCAATCTTCACTTTGATTTTTAATCTTCCCAGGTTGGGGATGGGGGTAGGTAGGGAATACGTGCAGCAGAACATGTATTTTTCTGTCTTTTTCCCTTGCAGGGCCAACTTCGCCATTAGACCTGGAGGCCCAGTGCTTGGGGGCCACCATACTTTTAGGAACCCAGGAAAACATTCTAATTTTAGTTTCTTTCAAAATCAGATGAAAAAAAAAAAATGACTAGGATAATAATGGCTCTGTAATAAAGAATCCAGGCTGGATTATATTCATTTTTGTAGTGACACAGTTGTGAAATCTCATTTTTGATACTTTTTTTTAATGGAGGAAGGGTTGGCAAACATCATCACACAGCCCTGTTCCCCCGCCCTGTTACTCACTGACCGCACAGGCCTCGTTGCTTCCTTAGTAGGGTGTTTATTTTAATTTCAGCTTTTCTCCTTGGCATTATTTAAAAAAAAATTACCATCTAGTCACTCATTTGCAATGTGTGTGTGTCTGTTCAGGGTGGCTCTTGCTTTCTTTATGCTCCAGCTGTGGGCAGAAGTGGTCAGAGGGGCCCTGCTGGAGACCTGTGGGCTGGGCAGTGGGTTCAGAGCCTGCTGGCAAGGGGCCAATGCTGAGGGCTGGCCAGATGTGGAGCCACCAACCCCAGCCGACCCGGAGGTGACAGCATGGCGCACACCAGCACCTGGAACCCAGCAGAACCCAGGTGTGGAGCAAGAGTGACTGTGTGGAGGTCAGCGGCATTCTTGTTTCTTTCTTACACTGTTCAATAATTCATGCAGTGAATCAGATTCATCACTGATCATCTCCAAGCCCCGATTTACATCATCAGAGGGGATTTTTCTTTTTCTCTTTTGCCTTCTATTGATAAGAGTTCTGAGAAGGAAAAAATAAAGATTGGGCATACAGATGAAACTTGAGGAGTAATTTTGGCATGCTAAAACAATCCCACTGGAATAAGGGGGAACCCTTATTTAAATGTTTGTTTTGGAGAGACGTAAAAAGATGGGGAAAAGCTCTTTCCATAAATTGTTTGTATTCAGGAGCTGCATCTGCTGAGTCCCTGACTCACTCACCATCTGGGACTCAGGCTGAAACTGTGAAATCCTCCAGGAGTTGTGAGGCAGAAAGGGAGTAAAGCACGTCAGGGGCTGGGCAGTGATAATGACATTTGCTGCTCTTGTAACCCCCTCCGCAGGAACTGTCCCCACCATCTCTGTTGGTGGCCTTTGCAGGCACCCTCATAAAAGCCTGTTTCCTCGCTGCACTGCCATTTGTGTGTGGCTGGGAGAATCTGCCACGTGAGCGGCCATGCACAGGAGCGTGGGGAGGGAGCGCAACACTAGCCCTGGGTTTGGCTGGTGGCCCACTTGGCGGATTTTCCACCGCCCTCACTGGGAATCCCTACCTGGCTGGCTCTGTGACTCTTCTCCCCAGAGTCCTTCAGCACAGGACCTGAGAGGGGGCACCTGCCTATCCCCAGAAAGCGGGATGTGTGGGAGAAGACAGTTCTCAGAGGGGTGCAGCTTGGACATCGTGTTGGGGCAACTCCTGAAGGGTCATAGGTCCCAGAGGTGAGGGTGTCATCGAAGGAGGACACAGTGAGGAAGAGGCAGTGCCTTTTAGATTCATCAGTTCCTTCCCAGTGGGCCTGTCAGATGCATGCCTGTGTGCATGTATGCGTATGTGTGTGTGTGTGTGTGCATGACCGTGTACACGTGTGGGTGTGTCTGCCCCCTGTCTATATTTCCGGGAGCTCCTCCCCTCTGTTGTGCTCAATGTGGGGAATTTTGTAAGTAAACCTGCCTAGGCTATGGTGCTCAGTTGATGGGTCAAACACCAATCTGGATATTGCTGTGAAGGTATCTTTTTAGATAAAATTAACTTTGAAATCAGTAGACTTTGAGTCTCCATAATGTGTGTGGGCCTCGTTCAATCAGCTGAAGGCCTTAAGAAAAAGACTGAGGTGCTCCAAAGAGGAAGGAATTCCGTCTCTGACTGCTTTTGGACTCAAGATGACAGCATCAACTCCTGCTGGAATTTCTAGCCTGCTGGCCTGCCCTTTAGATTTCCACCTTGCCAGCCAATTCCTTAGATGAATCTCTCTCTCTAAATATATATTTATTTATATTTCTATCTCTATATAACATTTACATATAGCTCTACGGAGATGCGTATCTATATATAGATGGATAGGTATGGATATATCTTGATATGGGGTATATGTATTGCGTTTATAGTGTATGAATGTATATATATACACAATATACCTATATACACAGATATATGTGCATCTCTGTATAGCTCTACAGATCTCCAGGGCTTGACTTCGACCCAGAGGATGTATATATCCAGTTGGTTCTGTTTCTCTAGAGAGAAACAGACTAGTACATGCCGATGTTCTGCCAAGCCCAGGGGTGAGGAGCAGTTTCTGGAGCCAGTCAGCCTGGGATTGGATTTCGACCCCACCCCTTCTGAGCTGTGTGACCTTGCTCAAGTTAGTTTCTATGCAGCTCAGTTTTCTCATCTGTAATGGGGCTCCCACAAGCTTCTACCTCACAGGGCGTGCAGGGATTCAATATATTAGATCCACAAAGGGCCTGGTTCAGTGCCTGTTACACAATGATGCTCAATGCACAGCTCTCCTCTTACTGGGTGTGTCTATGTGGTGTGTGCGACTCCGTTGGGTGGAGCCCCTGGCACGCATAGGTCCCTGTCTGTGCTTGTCATGGCCTGTCTTCCTCCCACACCCCTGCTCACCGGCTGCTGGAGGCGGGGCTCTCGGTGGCGGTGGTGGCGGCCAGGCCGGGTGGCTATACTGCTGTGCACACTGTGCTGACTGTGAACTCCGCCTCGCTGGCCATGATGTCTGTGGGCTGGATGTTGCGGTCGTACATTGGGTTCTCAAATGTGGCCCGAACATTGGTGTTCTCGTGGCCAGCATAGCCATTGAAAGGAACTTTGGGTCTTCTCCTGGCGATAAAAGAGGAAGTGCCCACGGCATGAAAAGAGCGACACAGAGAGGCTTAGGGGTCTGGTGCGGGGGGCCCTGGAGGGAGAGAGGGAGGCCTGCCTGATGCCCGCCCTGCCTCCTTCCTGCACGGTACCTGTGCTTGTAGAGATAGAGCACGAAGCCCGCAATAATGAGGGCGATGAAAGGCACCAGGATCGCGGCTGCCACTGAGCTGCTGTTGGAAGCAAAGTGGCGGCCAATGGACTCGGGGTCTGACTCCAGCAGCCTGAGGTCTGTAAAGTCCCAAAGCAGAAAAGTCAAGTCACGAGACACAGTCTGAGGCTCCGTTGGCTACCCTCCCCGACTATACACTCTTGGGAAGCAGGGCTGCCACTCAGGGTGCTCCTCACTCCTGCTCAGCACGGGAGGCAGGTGTGCCCAGGGCTGCCCGCCTGCCTCCACGTGCACACTCAGTCCTTGGGGGCAGGGTCCTGCATGCATCTACCTTGTGCTGCTCAGATGGCACCCAGAGGACCATCCGCAGAGGAGCCTGAAACCATGGCTCAACAGAAACTCTTACAAGGGTGCAGCCCTTTAGAAGTCTCTAAAGTTCTTTTGGCTGTAGCAGCCTTTTATCAGATGAAACCTTACAGGCACAACAAAATATAAGACAGATGAAGGTGAAACTGTTCTGGTTGAAGCTGAAGCATCTCCTTCTGAAAGGCTGCCTCTCCTCCTTCCTCACCCTCCCCTGCAGACTGGGAAGGCTCAGAAGAACACAAGTAGAAACTGTGGCCCCAGTAGGCACCCTGCTAACTGAGGGGCTGGGGCTCTGAGAGGGGACAGGATGTCTGCTGTGGAGCCAGAACAAAAACTGTGATTTTCTAAGGCCTTTGCAGCGTGCCTGGCCATCTTGCAGTAGGTGAAGGGTGCTGTGTGGAAGACAGTGGTCTCAGTCCATGCAGCTCATGAGGGCAGAGCTGGGACAACTCCGGGGGAGGAGCAGTGTGGGTGGGAAAGGGTGGGAGCAGACCGTGGCTCAGTCCAGAGAAGCTTTCAGGAGCTTGGAGCCAGAGGACATGGAGTGGACTGCCTTGGCAGGCAAGGGCCCCGGCGATGGGAGGTGTCAGTGCCTGGGGTACAGAGAGGCTGTCACGCACCTGCGGCTGCCTCCTGTTTCCCCCTCCCCTGCTTCTGAGAAACCAGACCCCTCCCCCCACCAGAGTCTGAGGCTGGGCACCCAGAGGCTCTGGGCCAGGACAAGGCTCCAAGGTGTGGATGTTTGACATGGATGACAGGAAGCACGCTAGGTAAAGAGGCCAGGGAAGGACCAGGGAGGGAAGTGGCCTTAATGCTCAGTTTTCTTATCTGTAAAATGGGCACAAAACCAGTCTTCTAGGGCTGGGCTAGGGCAGAAACGACATCACAGTCAAGGCACCCTGAGAGCTCTAAGACACTCCACAGTGTCGTTGTTTGTTGAGGCAGGGGTGACACCCAGGGCTGGCTGGAGGGTGTGGCTGGGGGCTGTATCTAAGAGCCAATGTCCCTGGAGTTGGGGGCTCTCCTCTCCAGGTCTGAACAGGAAACTTTGTCAAAGGTTGAGTGGGTTATGCACATGTGTTTGCTTTTGGAGAGATATTCCATGGCTTTTGTCAGAATCTCAAGAGGCATCCCTGATCCCAAAGAGGCCAAAGCACCCCCGCCTCAGACTGTTCAACTTCCCCAGTCCTCTACCTGACCACGGCACACACGGTTTCTCTCCCACCCACCCGGGCCCACACTTCCGGGGGACAAGCACTAGTTACCCAGTCTTTGAAAGCCGAACTGCCCAAAGCCTTGGCCCTTGACAGAGCCTTGGTAGATGAAGGTGGCTCCGGAGGACTCTGACGAGACCTGTGATGGTGGGGAGCACAGAGAGCAGGTGGGAGGCTGCTGGAAGGATCTAGAACTCCTCTCTCATCATACACGCTGCCCAGCAGGTCACCCACTGACCTGCTGCTCTGACACACAGGGTTTGTTCTCTGCCCACACCTAGGCAAGGGTGGGTGTGACCGGGGAGCCCGGGGTGGGGCAGGGGCACCAGCTACATGTATGAGGTAGGAGGAAGATTTTATTTTCTACTGGTCAAATCACTTAATCTCTCTGTGCCTCAGTTTGTCATGTGCAAAATGAGAATAGTAACAGTACCTATGTCATAGGGTGGCTGTAAGGATTAAATGAGTTAATAAAGATGAAATACTTCAGAACACTTAATTTATAGGCCTTACATGCATGGTAGCTGTTATTACTGTGATGAAAAACCGCCTTTTGGAGCATTATGGAACACACAGAACCATGCTGAAAATGTCCCTTGCAGATTAAAGGTATTGGAGAGTTCGTCACAGTTCTAAGAGCTATTAATTTTTTAGGGGGCGTAGCTGGGGACATAACTCCTGCTACTGATGCTCATGTGACAGATGCAGACCCCCAAATGTGCAGTCTGGGGCCGCAGCGGCTGAGGGCATGCTGTGAGGATGCCTGTGCTCCTGGGTACTCCCAACCTATGCTCCATGGCTAGGAGCAGCCTCTGTCTGCCCTCCGCAGCTGTCCCCGCAAACACACCTTGCTGGCTATCAAAAGGCTCGACGCTTGTCTGGCGTCCTAGGCAGTAGCTCCAGCTGTTCCTGGCCCTCTGGATCCCCATCCTCATCTTCCCCTGGCCTGCACTGCTAGCTCCATGTCCCAACTTTGACCCTCCTGGATGGTGGAGTCTATTGTTCCTGCACAGCTTTTGGGCCACGATGATTGAAGCTGGCCCATACTTGGATTATGAAGGGGACCTACAGATACCCTTGGGCCTACCAAGGAACTACCTGTATGTGCCAGCCCCTGGAGAAGCCACTTGGTTCTCCTGATGTGTTTATAAAGCAAAGTCAACTATGCCACAGTCCTCCACCAGCTGGTCCTGTCCATGAGAATGCACTGTGACTCCCTAGCTCTCTGCTACTCTGGTCTACCATGACCTCTCGCTTCATTCTATCCTTTCTCTTCTAGCTCCAGCAATCCAAGACAGAGAAGTGGAGGACGTGGTAGGGGATGCTATGCTCAACTCCACTATGTGTGAAATAGGAAGGTATGGCCAGAGAAGTGTCACTGGAGATCCAGCTTCCACCTCAAGAAAGCCCTAGAATAGAATGTCTTTTCCACAAGGGAATGCAAGAAAGTCCTATCCCTCTGCCATGTCCTGGTCTCTCAAGCTGTGTTAATCACTCACAATCTGCATCCTCAAGTGTGAGGAGAAGTTCAATGTAGTCATGTGAGACTCACTGCCTTCTTCCAGCTCCCACCCACCACATTAATACCTTCAACTAGCCTGAATTCCCTCTGCCCCCAACCTCCATCCCTTGCTTTCTGTTCAAACAACAGAACTTACTCCAACTCTCTTGAATGTGGTGAACCTCTGGACTCTGAGTCTTCTGTCTTTTAAAATCTTTTCCTTTGCCTATTTCATTAGCAGATGAGGATCCTCTTGCTGCTCCTAGGCAGGGCCCCACAGAAAACCTCCTCCCAAGTTGCCAGATTGATCCTAGGGGTTTGCACACCCTTTTGTCCTCCTCTTCCCTGCCAGTGATCTGGGAGTCAGGGGAGGAGGTGAGTTTGCTGAACTTACATGGCCATCTAAAGCCCAGTGATCATCTTTGAACTTATTCATAAAGATCTCCACAGGCCCTGTAATCTGGTACACCTGGAGTAGGAGATGAAAATCTTCTTTCTTGTAAGTTCCTGGGAAATAAAGTTCAGGTGTTACACATGAAAGATATGGGAAAATTTCAAAACTCAAATTTGTGGGTTTGTGGGTGTAAGTTTCTGGATGGAATTTCATGTGTAGATGTTGATATAAACATTCTCCACATCCCTTTAAGTCGTAAGTGTAGTGTTGAGTGTGGGTTTGTGTAGGCTGAACGTGGTTATATGCAAGAATTATTAATATATGCATATGTATGTTAATAATTGGATTACCGGGTTGAGGTTGTGATGCTATTGACACAGGCATGTGTGAGAATATGATTTTGTCTTTTAATCTGTCCACTAATGCATAGATAGTTCAATGGGTGCAATAGTTCATGAGGTCCTGGGCATGGGAGCATGTGAACATGTCTATTATCATGTGTGAAATGAGCAAATGTCATCCTGCAGTTGCGTAGGTGTGTGCACGTATGAATGCGTAGATAGGATTTTATGTGGGGTTGTGCATTAATATGTTCATTCACTCACACATTTGCTTATCTATCCATCTATTCAACAAACACTTATTTTCTAAGGTACTTACTTTTTCTGATTATAGAAAGATTGAAAATTGGGAAAATTTTAGAAAATGCTGAGATGCATGAAGAAAAAATGATCTCTCCTGATCTTACTAAGAAATAACCACGTTACTGTAAATTATTCCTGTTTTCTTTCTTATGAATGTAATATTTTCCTTTAAAACACTGGAGTCATATTTTAAATACATTATAATGAATGCATTTCCCTCAACACTGGCATAATATTTCATCTAGTAGATATACTATCATTAAAATATCCATTTCTCTATTTTAGGGAAATTTTCTAGTTCCAGTTTTTATATACTACAAATGGCCTTGTAATGGGAACAGCCTTTATTCATAAATGTTTGACTCCCTCCGTATCTTCTTATGATAAAAATTGTTAGAAATGTAATTAATGGGTCCAATCATTTTCAAGGATCTTGACACAAATCGCCAAATTGTTTTCCCAGAATGGTACCATTTTAGAATTTGGCGTTCATGGCTGAACCCGACCTGCACTAAGTGTTATTGTTTAAAAACACTCTGAGTTGATGGTGTAAGTGGAAAATGACATTTTGAGTTTACTTTTTTTTTGATGATTGCTGAAAAATATTTTTTCTTTTGTTTGTTGACTGATTGTACTTGGGATCCTGGGAAGTCTCTGCCCCTATTTTTGGTTCAGTTTAGGGATATCAGTCTTTTCTCTTTGTTCATAAGAGTTCTTTATGTATTCAGGTTATTAATATTTGCCATTTAAACATTTCCCTTTAGTCCACAGTGCTTTATCATGTAAAGATGAATAGACACTTCCTCTTCCCTGACCACCAGACAAGTCTGAGCCTTGCATGACAGTATGATGCAATGCCATTAGGCTCATCCTTGCCAAGGGTGTGTGCCCATCCATCCTCCCGGCTTTCATAGAGGGGCCTGCTCCTTACCAGCCAAGTGCAGCTCCACGCCACTGTGGTCGATCATGGTGGCATTGACCTTGCTGTTGGCAACTTGGAAGCCAGTCACTCTGAGCATGGCTGGCTGCTTCTTCCCCTGGTATTCATAGGCCCCTTTCCACAGGGAATTCTTGGCAAAAACATCCCCAGGAACTAGAGGAATTGAGAAATAGATGTGAGAGGGACTTTGTGTGTGCTGCCAGAATTGGGGTAGCCTGATGACTGATCCCAGCCCACTCACTGGGATTGTTTCCTTTCCCCAATGTCTACCATGTGAGGAAGGTGGTAGAATGCTCTGGCCTCTTCTCGTCTTGTGTCTCAGAGTGGATGGATAGAGGGAACTGATAAATATCCACTCCCATGTTCATCGCAGCATCATTCACAATGTCCAAGATAGGGAAACAACCCAAGTGTCCGTGAATGAATGAACAAATAAAGAAAAGGGTATATATACATACACTATGGAATACTAGACAGCTTTTAAAAAGAAGGAAATTCTTTCATTTGCAGCAACATGTATGAACTGGAGGACATTATGTTAAGTGGAATAAGCCAGGCACACAAAGATAAATATCATATGATCTCACTTATATATGGAATCTAAAAAAGTTGAACTCATTGGAGTAGAGAGTAGAATGATGGTTACAGAGGCTGGGGCAGAGTGGAGGGTGATGGGGAGATGGTCAAAGGGTACAAAGTTTCCATTAGACTGGAGATATGAGTTTTGGTGATCTACTGCATGGCATAGTGACTATAGTTAATAAGAATGTATTGTACATTTCAAAATTGCTGAAAGAGTAGTTTTTTCGTTGAGATGGAGTTTTGCTATTGTTGCCCAGGCTGGAGTGCAATGGTGTGATCTCGGCTCACTGCAACCTCTGCCTCCCAGGTTCAAGCAATTCTCCTGCCTTAGCCTCCCAAGTAGCTGGGATTACAGGCATGCACCACCATGCCCGGCTAATTTTGTATTTTTAGTAGAGATGAGGTTTCACCATGTTGGTCAGGCTGGTCTCGAACTCCTGACCTCAGGTGATCCGCCCACCTTGGCCTCCCAAAGCGCTGGGATTACAGGTGTGAGCCACCACACCCGGCCAAAAGAGTAGATTTTAAATGTTCTCATCACAAAAAAATGATAATTAGGTGAGATGATGGGTATGTTAATTAGCTTGATTTATTTATTCCATAATGTATACATATAGAATAACATCACATTGTACTCTATAAATATGTTTATTATTTGTCAATTAAAATTAAAATATTTAAAAAGATATAGAGAGGGAACTAGAAAGGAGTGACAGAAGAAGGGAGGAGAAAAGGAAAGGTGTTTAAAAGATGGAGAAATGGAAGAGGGGAGAAGAGAGAGAAAACTGACATGTCAGTATAGCATGGTGAATTGGAACATGGGCAAATGAAGTCAGACAGACCCAGAGTCTAATCTTAGCTCTGTCACTTATCAGTTGTCTGATCATGTGCAAAAGCCTTGACTTTCTCCCTGTATAGGCTATGCCTGTATTCCTATACATGGTGGCCATCCCATCTACCTTATCAGGGTTATTCTAGGGGTTAAATGACTAATGTTGTAAATTGTATGTTACATGATGTTGCATGTGTAAAAGCACCTAATCAGTGATAGCTACTAAAATTGTCATTTATCCTTGTAATCATTCTCTATGGCAATTATTATGATCTCTATTTTACTGAAGCTTAAGAGGCGAAGCTCATTCGTCCAAGGACACAGCTGGTCAGTGACCAAAATGGTACTCAAATTGAGTTTCTGATGCCAAATCTAGCCTCGTTTCCTGCATAATACACATGTTAATGTGGTAAATAAAAGTAGAAGGTTCATGAAAGGATGTGATAGTCTCTAAGAATTTGGTATTGGTCAGGCCACATCTGCAGTCTGTGTCCAGTTCTGGATGTGATACTTGGAAAGACCCCAGACCTATCTTAAACTGTAACCATTTCCAGGAAGCTCCCTGGGTATGGCCTGGGTCAATGTGTTTGTATGACCACACACTGGCCAGTCCTATGCCAGGAGGGGCTGTAGTAATCAACAGTTCCAGAGCTTCCAGTTGGAAGTTGCTGGCTCTTTCTTCCAGATGAAGTTTCTGCTTCCTTCAGGCTCACTTTCTTCTGAAGTCTGCCTGGGCTGGGGAGGTGGGTAGGGAAAGCCATCCAGATTTATAGATAGTTTTCATGCCCTTCCTCTAGGCACTCAGCAACTCTCAGCAACACGAGTTTTCTGGCTAACTGTGTGAAAAAAGTAACACCAGTTTCTTGAGCCAATGATCTGGACCATACGTACTCAAGGCTTGGGTGAGCGGTGGCTCCCGGGCAGTGTTGATGGGTCTCCCACTGGGCCGGACCTCTGCTGGGGAAAAAGAGTGGAAGAAAACAGGTTCAGCTTCTGGTTCACACTCTGTTGGAAAAATAATGACCACCTGTCTGACCTTAGGTCAATGGGTTCTTTGAGATCTTGCTTTCCCCTTATTTTTTTTAGACCAGGAGGTAGACTGCTTTGATGCTCTAATGATGCTATGGATCCCTCTCAGAATAAAAAATACAAAGAATTACAGAGGAAGTCCATTTTATTAGTTGGAGTTCTTACAATATTAGACAAGACATTAGGATATAGTGGTATATATGATTCTTTATTACTGCATTAAATAACAGGATCTAGCAGTGAGTCAAGAAATAACCATAATCTTGAAGTAGTCAGGAACATGAACAATATTCATGATATTGGTAGCAACTGGAATATATACAAAAGTCTTTTCAATTTCTACTGGTGACAAAGTCACAGGTGCTAACACTCCTAAGGGTTGTTGTCTACATTCCAAATTAAAGGAGAGGCTACATTTCAGTAAGAAGTAAAGGAATAAAAGGTGTATATTTTCCCATCCAAGTGCACAGACTCCCTGAATGTCCTCATTGAAAACTTTGCGGAGGCTGAGGCAGGAGAATGGTGTGAACCTGGGAGGCGGAGCTTGCAGTGAGCCAAGATCATGCCACTGCACTCCAGCCTGGGTGACGGAGTGAGACTCTGTCTCAAAAAAAAAAAAAAAAAAAAAAAGTCCTGCCCTCGACTTTGCTTTTCTTCCAGATGCCTCGCATGAAGGAAGAACTTCTACCCATCAACGGTGAACTCTGTGAGTCCTGGTGGGGGTTGCAGAGGAGCACCTTCCTCCCTTGGAATGATGAGATTAAGACCAAGAAGCCCTCACAGGCAAAGCAAAGGCAAAAGCTTTGGGCCTGGGCCAGACAGCCAAGGTTCAGGTCCCAGCAGTGCCACTTAATGACTGCGTGACCTTGACTAGTAACTTCACCACTCAGAGTCTTTGCCTCCTCATTTGAAACCTGGAAAAAACTGAAACATACCTCACAGGTCTATGCTGAATAAATGAGGTTATGAACAGGAAAGTCATGACCAGTAAGTATTAATGTCTTTTCTTCTTTTGCAGAGAAACAATAGAAAATCTGCCTTGTCGCCATTAAGGGCAGACTCCCCACTGTCTGCCTTGGCGGGGAGCACAGCTTTAGCAAATCTCCTTCAACTCTGGAGGTCAGCCTATGCCTCAGTACACAGAATGCTGTGGAGAAAGTTTCTGCAGTGACTCAATGCAAGTGTACTTCTGAACAAAATGCTTTATCGTCTTAGGTTTCATAAGATGAATGGAGCAAAGAAGGAGAAAGCATCTTATGTGCGAGGTGCTGTGATAGGCACTTCTTCATTTCCTCCTGCTCTTGAAACTCTGAAGTAGAGATTATTTTCCCCATTTTATAGCACAGAAACTTTTTGAGAGGCAGAGAAATGAAAGGGCTTGCTCAAGATCATACAGTAATGGGTTGAATTCAGCTGCCTCTAAAACATTATATATTTTTAAATAAAAGTAGCTATAATAACAGATAAAAATATTTAAGAATAAATGTAACCAAAGAAATGCAAGACTTGTACACTGAAAAATATAAAGCATCATTGAAAGAAATTAATTATCTAAATAAATGGAAAGACATCACATGTTCATGGTTTGGAAACCTTAATATTGTTCAGATGGCAATACTCCCCAAATTGATCTACAGGTTCAATGCAATTTCTGCCAAAATTCCAGCTCTCTAGTTTGCAGAAATTGACAAGCCAATCTTAAAATCTGTATAGAAACAAAAGGCAAAACAATAGGCAAACAGTCTTAAAAAAGAACAAAGTTGGATAATTGATACGTCCCAATATTTTTTGTTTTCTTTCATTTAAAACAATTTATTTTTATTTAGAGACAAAGTCTTGCTCTGTTATCCAGGCTGGAGTGCAGTGGTGTAATCATAGCTCACTGTAACCTCCAAATCCTGGGCTCAAGTGAACCTCCTACCTCAGCCTTCTGAATAGCTAAGACTACAGGCATACACCACCACTCCTGGCTAATTTCTTTACTTTTATTTTTTTGTAGACATGTAGTCTCCCTAGGGTGCCCAGACTGGGACACTTGCCAATTTGAAAACCTACTACAAAGCTAAAGTAATCAGGGCTGGGTGGTAATGGCATAAAGAGAGTCATAGAGATCAATGGAATAGAATAGAGAATCCAGATATAAACTCATACATTTATGGTCAAATGATTTTTGACGGGAGTGTCAAGACAATTCAACAGGGAAAGAATAGTCTTGCCAACAAATGGTGCTGGAACAACTGGATAGCCACATAAAAAAGAATGAGTTTGGATTCTAACCTAATATCATAAAAAATTAATTCAAAATGGATCAAAGACATAAATCTAAGAAGTAAAACTAGAAAACTCTAAGAATAAAACATAGGCATAAATCTTTGTGACCTTGGATGTATCACAGTTTCTTAGATATGACAACAAAAGCATATGCAACCCCCAAAATAGAAAAGTTAGATTTTATCAAAATTAAAGACACTGGTGCTTCAGAGAACACCAACAAGAGAGCGAAAAGACACCCCGTGAAATGGGAAAAAATTTGCAAATCATGTACCTTATAAAGGCCTTGTATTTTAGATAGAGAAAGAACACTTTCAACTCAACAATAAAAAGATAAGTCAGTAAAAAATGGACAAAGGATTTGAATAGACATTTCTCTAAGGAAGACATACACATAAAAAAGTGCTGAGCACCATTAGCCATTAAGGAAATATAAATCATTTTTGCACAATGATACAGGCAACAAAAGCAAAAGTAGACAAATGAGATTACATCAAACTGAAAAGCTTCTGCACAGCAAAGGAAACAATCAACAGAGTGAAGAGGCAACCTGTGGAATGGGAGAAATTGTTTGCAAACCACACATCTGGTAAGAGATTAACATCTAAGGAACATATAGAAGGAACTAAAACAACTCGATAGCAAGAAAATAGATAACCTGATTTAAAAACAGGCAAAGGACCTGAATAGACATTTCTGAAAAGAAGACATACAAATGGCCAACAGGTATATGAAAAATGCTCAGCATCACTAACCATCAGGGAAATGCAAGTGAAACCCACAATGAGATATCACCTCCTACCTGTTAGAAGGACTATTATAAATAAGATTAAAGATAACAAGTGTTGGTAAGGAGGTGGAGAAAAGGAAACTCTTGCACATTGTTAGTGGGAATTTAAGTTAATGTAACCATTATGGAAAACGTATGAAGGTTCCTCAAAAAATTAAAAATAGAACTACCATATGATACAGCAATACCATTATGGAGTATATATCCAAAGGAAACAAAATCAGTAAGTCAAAGAGATATCTGCACTCTCATGTTTATTGAGGCATTATTCATAATAGCCAAGATACGGAAACAACCTAAGTGTCCATCAGTGGATGAATGGATAAAGAAAACATGGAATATATACACAATGGAATACTATGCAGCCTTAAAAAAGAAAGAAATTCTGCCATTTGTGACCACAGGGATAACCTGGAGGACATTATGTTAAGTGAAATAAGCCAGGTACGGTAAGACAAATACTGCACAATCTCACTTATCTGTGGAATCTAAAGTAATTGAACTAATTAATAGAAGTAGAGAGTAGAATAGTGGATACCAGGGGCTAGGGTGGGGTGGTACTGGGGGGTTGGAATTGGAAAGATGTTGGCCAAAGGGCACAGAATTTCAGTTAGACAGGGAATAAGTTCAAGATCTCTTGTACATCATGGTGACCATAGTTAATAACAATGCACTGTGTACTTGAAAATTACTGAGAGTAGATTTTGTGTTCTTACCACAAAAAATGGCAAGTATATGAAGTTAATGGATATGTTAATTAACATGACTTTGCCACTCCACAATGTATACATATATCAAAACATCATGCTGTACACTCTACATATATACAACTTTTATTTGTCAATTAAAAAATAATTGGATGAAAATTCAAACAAACAATAAAAAACACCACAATGAGATACCACTTTATACCCACTGATCATGGATACACTAAAACAGGATGGACAAGTGTGGGGAAGGATGTCGAGAAATTGGACCCTGATGCATTGCTGGTGGGAATAACATGGTGCAAGAGTTTTGGAAAACTTTGGCAATTCCTCAAAATATTACACATAGAGTTACTGTTTTCCTAGATATGTCCCCAGGAGAACTGAAAACATATTAAAACAAAACATGTACATGTATGTTCACAGAAGTATTATTTGTAATAGCCAAAAAGTGGAAACAGCCTAAACAGCCATCAACAGGTGAATGGATAAACAAAAAGTGATGTCCATATGATGAGATATGATTCACGCATAAGAAGGAAAGAAATTCCGACAGATGCCACAACATGGTTAAATCTTGAAAACATTATGCTAAGGGAAATAAGCCAGACACAAAAGAACAAATATTGTATGATTCCACTAACATGAGGTACTTAGAATAGGCAAATTTACAGAAGCAGGAAGTATGATAGCAGTTACTATGGGCTAAGAGAAGGGGGAAATGGGCAGTTATTGTTTAATGGGTATGGAGTTTCTGTTCGAGATAATGAAAAAATTCTGGAAATGGATAGTGGTGATGGCTGTGCAATATCATAAACATAACTAATGCCACTGAATTGTACACTTAAAATTGTATATTATGTATATTCTATCACAATAAAAACTTAAATGTACTTTAATAAATGTACTTTATATCACTACTGTATGTGGAAAACAAAAGAAATTTCCAAGTGATACCATGAAAATAAAACACCGTTAGTAAGTTCTAGCTCTGATATAGTCTCTGACCCTGAAGGCTTCCCTCTGAGTGGCAGGATAGCAAAATAGTCATAGATCCTAAAGTTAGACCATCAGGGTATAGATCTTCAGCACTTAACCTTTCTCAGCTGGGGACCTTGGACACATTAATTAACTTCTCTATGCCCTAGTTTCCTCATATATTAAATAGCCTCATAGGATCTTGTGAAGATTAAATGAGTTGAAACATACAAAGCATTTAGCACAATGCCTGGTATCTGGTGAGGTGAGTGCCTATCAGAGAGTTTAATGCTATTCCAGCACTGAACTAATCGTTTAACCTTAATCCTTTCCCTCAAGACTGGACTCAGACATCACCTTCTCCAGGAAGTCCTCCCTGACTTCTCCTTTCCCCCACTTTAGTGCCCTTCCTCCTCATTCCTACAGCATTTGGCACATCTCCATGTTCCTCCAAGTACTCCAAATATAAAATCTGATAACGTGTCTGTCTTCCACATGGCAGGGTTGTGTCTTTCCCCTCTGAATCCCTCATGCCTAGCGCAAGCATGGGGCCACATGAACTCTCAATAAATAGAGAACGAGTGAATGAAGAAGAGGGGAAGGGAGGTCTGGGACATCCTGGTAACCCCAAGGGACCTACAGGCGGGTGCTGTTTTATCAAGGGTGCAATATGTGTAATGCGTCACTCCAGTTTGGTGGAAGAAAGCACTTTCCTCTGCCTGATGATGAAATGTGATCCTGTGAGTGTTTCAGCCCAGGCAAAAGGGGCAACCCTTGGGGTGGGTTGAGTATGCACCTTTTTAGACCGCTCTGCTTTGCTCTTCTAGACTCAAAACCTTAGAAAATCAGAAGCGGGATCCAGCTCCTTGAAACGCAATTCCTTCCTTCTCTTTTGCCCTCTTTCAGCTCAAGTTCAGCCAGCACTTTCAGCCTCCCGCCCTGGAGAGCTTCCCCGAGCAGGCACACTCACCCAGGCAGATGGGCGGCTTGCCTGTCCAGCTGCCATCCGCCTTGCAGGTGCGGTGCTCGGAGCCACCCTTGAGGGAGAAGCCCTCCTGGCAGGAGTAGATGAGCGTGTAGCCCATGGAGGGCAAATCCAGGGCCCCGACGTTGGCATGCGTTGGCGTCTCTGGCTGCCTGCAGTGGTGGGCTGGATGAGAGGAAAGACCCTGTTGGACTGGAGGAGATTAGGGGCTTCAGGGGCCCTTTCGACCATTCCCCTGTTCCTAGATAGAATATCCTCTTCCTTTCCCTTCCAGTCCCTTTCATGCCAAGCATCCCCCTCCCTAATCCTCCACCCTAACCCAAGCTCTGTGTCTAGAGGAATGGCCAAGATGGAGATCATGTGGATATCGGCTTGGTTGACTCTGAGTTGGGGGAACTTAAGCCTGCAGCACTTCCTGAGGGGTAAAGGAGTAACTGGGTCAAAAGCTTGATATCTCCATCCTGAGGCCTGGCCTTGCAGTTGTTAGTTTTTGCTGCTGCCACTGGATAGTTTTTTCTTTGCTAAGGCATAGGGATTGCCTTCCAATATCAGAAAGGCTTTTGTGTGGAAGTCTTCTGTGAGGCCCCAAAGTGTAAGGACTACAAAGAGACCGATGTCGGTTCGCATGGGGAGTTGTGAACTCCCTGTCATTCAGAGCATTCAAACATGACCCAGATGCCCAGCTGGGGCAAGAGGAATTTTCTTGGGATGTGGGTGAAGTCTGCACTCACGGACACAGTCAGGTGGGGTTCCACTCCAGGTCAGGTTTGGGAGGCAGGTCCTGGTGGTGGAGCCCTGAAGCAGGTAGCCTTTTTGACAACGGAAGAGGACTGTGCTTCCAACCTGCGGCAAGATACAAAGTCCCATCAGCCCCTTCCTTTCAGCGGTGCTTCCTACGTCTGTCCCTTGACCACTTTCACATGGCCCAACTCCTCCCGCACTGTTGCCTGCAAAACTCTTTTTCTGATTCTCCGCCTGGTTAAATTTTCTTCTTCCTTTGAGGCAGTTGATAGGATGCCTCCTCCACAAGGCCTCATCTAATACCCTGAACAAAGTTGTAATATTACACTCTGTTGTGGACACGGTGGCTGATTCAGAGTCAGAAGACCCTGGATCCGAGTTCTGGCTTCTGCATTTACTCAGGGCAGGCTGCATGGAACTCTGTAAACCTTAGTCTTCCTAAGGATACAGTGGGGATGACCATCCTTGCCACAATCACACTGGAATGTTGTGACACTCAAATGTGATGGCGGATTTGACAGCATTTTACAAAATGTGAAGAAGAGTGCAAATTAAATATTGTGTGTGTGTTCCTTTCCTCAATGAAATTGCAAATTCTTTAAGGATGGGAGACTTGTCTTTACAGATATGGCCCCCATAGAATCTGTTGAACGAACTGCCACCCTCCCTCCCTGCTCTGCTCAGTTATGTTCCCTACCTTAACCCTCCACCAGCCCCTCACTGTACAACTCGACACCCCGCAACCACGGGCTCCATCTCTCCCTACCCAATCCACTTGGTGTAATGCGGCTAGATCTGTTTCCTATACTGCAACTCGGATTATACTACTTCCCAGTTCAAACACTTATGTGTCCCTATTACCTACTGGAGCATGTGCAAATGCAATGTGTAACTCTTAAATTCCACTCCCTTCTTCCATGCTGAACACTTTTTTGTCTTGGATTTCATCATTTGACTTAGCAAATGGCACCTTTATCCATGCAGTTGTGCAAATAAAAAACCTCAAGTCATCTTTGATCCCTTCGACCCCACAATCCAACCCATCAATGAGTCCTCTTGGTTCTGCCTACAAAATGTATCCCGAACAAGCGTTCAGGATCACTTCTCACCTTCTTTTTCCCTGGAGTCATGACAACAGTGTCCTCCTTGCCTAAGTGCATCTATTCTCAACTCCCTGATATTCATTCTCTACTCAGCAGCCTGAGTAATATTTCAAATGAAGAATCAGATTGTGTCACCTTCAAATGGCATTTTAGATAAAATCCAAAATACTTATCATGGCTTCAAGGCCCTGCATGACCTGTCCCATGCTGCCGCCTTTGCAAAAATTATGTGATATCCGACATACACAAAATAATATATGGAACACATATAAAGTATAATAATAAAATGGATATTTTAGATTGAATCCACCATGCAACTTAAGAGCTATGGACATGGTTGTAATGTTCTAGGGGCTCTTTCCCTGCTGTGTTCCTCAACACCCCTCCGTAGTAATGGCTGTCTTGAAATTTGTGTTAATTTCCTTGCCTTGTTAAAAAACAATCCTATCACATATGTGCATACATACCTCTAAACAATTTAGTAAGTTTTTGCTGGTTTTAATATTTGTAAAAGTAGTGTCATGCCACCTTTGTCACTTGATAGTATGTTTCTAAGATTCATCCATGTCATGCAGAGCTGTAATTCATTCATTTTCTTTGCTGTATAATAATCCATCACGTGACTATACCCACAAATTTCCTGTTTCTTGGTGACATGTGCAAGAGTGCCTCTGGGATATGTTTGCAGAGGTGGAACTTTTGGGTCATAGAGTGTGTGAATGTTTAACTTTACACACCAGGACCAAGCTGTTTTCCAACCTAGCCTCACTCTTGACTACATTTCCTTATCCTCCCTCACGGGGCTGCAGACTTGCTAGCTGGCCTACTTTCCAGGCCCCCAGGCTGCTAAGCACTTCCCTCAGCACTCCTTTGCACCAGCCCTTCGTTCAGCCAGGAATGTCACCCTGCTCTGCACAGGGCTAGCCCTTCTCATCATGGAGGCCGTAGTTCAAATGTCACCCTTCCCTAACCACCTTTCCTAAAATGGTAACCCACCCCGTTCACACCCCTTTATATCAATCACCGTGTCGTGTCTACTGCTCTCAGAAGCTAGCTCGTTTATTTATTTATCATCTTCAGCCAGGCAGCTCCCTTCAAACAGGCACCCAGTCTGTCCTGTTCCCACTGTATTCCTAGCTCCTAGAACAGTTCAGGGCCATAAGCATGTGCCGAGTGAGTACAGACTAAGTGAATAAGTCACATTACTTGACTAGATCCCAGCCTGTCATGTCCAGGTGAGTCCGATATTTTCCTGGGCAAGTCCTGGACTCCACCTAATTGTCCTGCCTTGAACACACCCATTCTTCCTTTTCTTTTCTCTTCTTTTTTTTCTGAGACCGAGTCTCGCTCTGTTGCCCAGGCTGGAGTGCAGTGGTGCGATCTTGGCTCACTGCAAGCTCCGCCTCCTGGGTCCACGCCATTCTCCTGCCTCAGCCTCCCGAGTAGCTGGGACTACAGGCGCCCGCCACCATGCCCGGCTAATGTTTTGTATTTTTAGTAGAGACGGGGTTTCACCATATTAGCCAGGATGGCCTCGATCTCCTGACCTCATGATCCACCCGCCTTGGCTTCCCAAAGTGCTGGGATTACAGGCGTGAGCCACCGCACCCGGCCATCCTTTTCTCTGTTCAATGTGTCACAACCCAGACTGTCCAGGTTCTCTCCTCCCAAAGCTCATCTGAGGTGTGTCCGCAGGGCCTGTGTCCTGGTGGGCCAGGCATGCCAACAGGCCTGCCTCCTGTGTGGCACATGCTCGTTGCCACTGTGCATGAGCCCAGTGTCTGTGGGTGGGGTGGGCACCGTGAGGACAGAGGTCTCACTCATTTCCGTATTTCCACAACCACCCTGCCTGGGGTTGCCGGGAAGTGTTCATGGAACTGCACGCCATCTGTCCTTCCTCATCAGTTTCTCTGACGGATGTTAGGGTCCTGCTGTCTCTGCAGGGTGCTCCCATGGAGCACTGTTCAAAGAGGCAGAGGGCTTTCTTTCTGCGCTTTCCAAGCTCTTGTCCTCCCTGAGTGCTGTCCTGAGGAAGGTCTCTGGGTCCTCTTATGTTGACAGTGACAAGAAGGGATAGGATGTAGGAAGACCCTATCTTGGCTGACCTCCTTACCTGGTAGCCCTGAGAATTGTTCTGTATCCCAAACTGTGGCACACCAGGGTCCGCACACGTGGTCAGGGTCGGATCTGGATGGCCAAAACAAAGACACAGATCACATGGTCATGGAAGCCTTCACGGCCTCATCTCACTCTGGGAAATAGGTGTAGAAAAGAAAATGCGGCCACATCCTGACTTCCCTGCCCACTGAGATCCCCACCTGAGCCTTGGCCCTGGCTGTCTATTTGACTCCTCGAAGCACACTAGCTCTGGCTATTTTACATCCTGCTGCAGAAGCTCAGAGGATGAGATGTTCCCTTTTGCAGATGAGACCACTGAAGACAGGGAAGGAAAGTAATCATCTCAGGCCCAAAAGAAGGTCTCCCGCAACCCCAGCCAAGACGCTCCCTGCTCCAGATGACCTCTCACCTATGCAGCTGGGCTGGGTGCCACTCCATGTCCCATCTGACTGGCAAAACCTGCGTGGAGAGCCCACCAGCACCAGAGGGGGATGGCAGGAGAAGGAGACAGATGACCTGTAGGAGAAGCCTCGGTCCTCTCTCCTCCCACGGGACGGGACACCAGGATCCCCGCAGAACACAGCTGGGAAGACGAAGGGAGAAAGGCAGGTCTAAGTTGCTTTCCAGAACCCAATCTTCCAGTCCCACACCCCCATCTTTGTTCTTTGCACTGCTCCCTTCCTGGTTGAGCTTGAACTCTGGGAACCGGGGCAGCCCCAGGTAGGTGCTTCCACCTGCTGCGGTGCTGCTGCTGATGGGGGCTTCCTCTCCCTTCTACATTCAAAGTGCCTATTAATAATGATCCAAGTAATGGAGTAACATTACAGGAAGTTTAGAACATGAAAGAGAAATAAACGAAAATCCCACTATTCAAAACTTTTTTTCCATTTTCACGCACATTCTTTTCCAATCTTTGTTCAGTTGTATGGAAACTTGTGCGGAGCGGCAAACCCAAGCCTATGTGATCGTAAATCTTGTTTCATTCACTTAGCATTATCTTGTAAATATTTCCTATGTTTATGACATCATCATCGCTTATTGGCTACACAATTAGCAACAGGTGGTTGTACCATAATTATATTTTATCATAATCCTTATATTGGGCATTTTCTATTATACAGTTATATATAACTCTTCTTTCACCTGTTTTGTTTTCTTTTTTGTTTTTTCTTTTCACATGTATTACTTTCTTAGGAGAATTCTCTAGGAGTGAACTTATTATTTTTAAAGGGCTGAACACATCCACAGCTCTTGATGGGTAGTGTCAAATGTCTTTCCCCAAAGGGTACACATTTACACTGCGGTGGGTAGTGCATGGGTGTACCCATTTCATTCAGGCCATGTTAACATCAGGCAGTGCCATTAAAAATTGACTACCAAAGGCAAAGCTCACCACGATGTCACTTCAAGCATTGCTTTATGCTATGATGCAAATGTGTGTGCGTGTGCGTGTGTGTGTGTGTGTCTGTGTGTATGTGTATATGGAGTCATGAGATACATAACCACATGCAAAATAAAATGAAGCTGGACCTGCATCCTCTGCCCTGAAGGTTGGGGTGTCTATGCTGACCAATTAGAAGTCAGTTTAAGAATCGATTGATGGGAAGTTACTGTATCCAGAAGGAGGCAACTGAAAGAACCAGAAACACAAACGGCTGACAAGTGAAGAGCAACCAGCGTGGCCTTTCTCATAAGCAATGTGATGCCAATTAAAGTAATGAGCGATCTTTTAAAGCTCCTCAGGCTGGTAAATATTTAAAAATACTGGCACAATCCATTATTGATGAGGGTGTGCATCCAGAAACATTCTCATTAACTGCTGTGGGGAATGTAAATTGGGACAGTTTCTAGAAGACAGTTTGACAACATATGTCAAGAAGGGAGGCATGACTGCCCTCGGCCCAGCATTCTCATGCCTAGGGCTTTGCTGCAGGAGTAAAGAAAGGCATTTTTTTTTTTGAGATGGAGTCTCACTCTGTCGCCCAGGCTGGAGTGCAGGGGTGCGATCTTGGCTCACTGCAAGCTCCGCCTCCTGGGTTCACGCCATTCTCCTGCCCCAACCTCCCGAGTAGGTGGGACTACAGGCGCCCGCCACCACGCCCGGCTAATTTTTGTATTTTTATTACAGACAGGGTTTCACCTTGTTAGCCAGGACGGTCTCAATCTCCTGACCTCGTGATCCACCCACCTCGGCCTCCCAAAGTGCTGAGATTATGGGCATGAGTCACCTCACCCGGCCAAGAAAGGCAATTTTCAGGAATACATATTGCAGAACTGCTTCTAACGTGATTAAGTTGGAGATAATCTAAATTCATCACCAGTGCAAAAAGATTAAATAACTTGTATCTACAAGGAAATTCTTTAAAGCCATTAAAAATGATGATGCATAGATCAGTAAATATTGATAAAGAAAGGTAGAAAGGTATTGATGGAAAGGTTTTGGTGGCCTATCAGTGAATACAAGTTATGAAACAGTATGTACAGCATGAGCCAATACCAGTTCTAGAAAATGTATACATATCACTATCTATTCAAAAATGCACAGTGATTCACACGGGACACCATCAAAAGCTGAACTGTGGTTATCATTGGAAAGTGTGAGTTCAGATGACTTTTACTTTCTTTTTTGTATTTTCTAATGGGTAAAATTTTTTTCATGATGACCATAATTCATTGTTAAAAGGCACTTCAGCTATTTCTCCAGAGGAAAAGCAAGGTGGCTGAGTCCAGACTTGACCCTGGTAGTATGTGAAGGTTGGAAAGGGTAACATTGCACCAAATACCTGTGTCCAGTTTTGAGCTGCTGGCCCTAATCTCTGAGGAAATCCCCAGATGGAAGCAAATTTTCAGAGGAACCCAAAACAGTATCATGAGTATGTGGATAGTTTTCTGCAGAATTAGATAAATGGCAATTAGAAAAATACGTCCTACTGTTTGCCCAAAGCACGGGCATGGAGAAAACCTTCCAGAGCCCATTCACAGGGTGTGACAAGAATAAGTGACCCAGAACCTGCTTACTGGGGATCTCAGTAAAGAGTAAGCCCTGGAATAGATTTGGGGCTCCTCAGGATACAACTGGGCCAGGTGTATAAAAAATAAAGCAACTCACCAGAAAATCACAGGTTTCCCAGAAGTCTTTTCTGTGCAGGTCATTTTTCATGAAAACAGACATGTATATAGCACTGGGAACCCTCAGATCTTGGAGTACTATTCCATACAGTTAACAACCCTTCAGGTAAAAAAAAAAACACCCCCAATATCTCTAGCTTAATTTCCTTCTGTTACCATAGACAGTATCTGACACCAGGGCTCAATTAAGGGATCCTCATTTTCTTCCTTTCCACTTCCTTCCCTCTTTAATAGTGTCTTTGATGAAGCTCCTCCCTGGTTTTGGGGAGGGGACTACCTATTCTGGGCCTTCCAGCCACAAAGCTCCGAGGAGGCAAGGGGAAGGAGCTATTGAAGAGGATGCACCAAAGGCCCTTGTAAGCAACTTACGGAAACACTGAGGCAGCTCTCCGGTCCAGGACCCATTTCCCTCACAGGTGAACACCGCGGGCAGGGAGAGCTGGTACCCCTCCAGGCAGGCATAAGTCACACTTGAGCCCCACATGAAGTCAGACCCCACCACCTTCCCATTGGGGATGAGCGGAGGTGGCTTGCACATGAGAGCTGGAGGGAGACCAAAGCAGGCTGAGTTCTGATGCTGTCCTGGGAAACCAGCCCCCGTCACCATCATTGATATCACCGACTACCCTGCACCCACCTAGAGCCTGGGCTAAACAGGAAGAACCAGAATGGGGCCCTCTTACTGTGGGAGTTCTGATCTTTTTGCACCTTACAATGCCCTCTCTCAAGTGTGACAACCCAGTCCTCTGTTTGCGGGACCCTCCCCTCAATGTTCATGGCCCAGGCCTTATTTTGGTACTTCTGATTCACTCCTGGCAGATGTTCAGGGGCCAGTTTTCTCACCTTGCACATCCCCTGATAAGATGTTAGGGCTGGCCTTTCACCCCTCTCCCTTCTAGAGAGATGCTCAGGGCCTACATCTCACTTTTGTATCTTCTTTGGCTCTCTGTCCACATTTGCAGCCCCAGACACACCTTTGCAGACGGGCTTGGTTCCATTCCATGTCCGGTCCTTGGTGCAGCTCAGCACAGATACTCTATGTGACTCCATCATATAGCCAGGGACACACTGATATGTCACAGTTTTGTTGTACCTGAAGTCATTGCCCAGCCGAAGGCCATTGGCTGGAATCCCAGGGTCACCACAGTTTATGACTAGGATAAGAGAGATATAGCATTGTTCACTCCTGGCCAGGACCCCACTTCTCCTCCAATACCATCCCTATCACTCCCTGCATGCATCCAAGAAGGGAAACTGTCAGATCAGGGATGCCCTGTCTCCTCACAGGATCCCAGTTGGACATTACCCATTCTAAATTTCTTTTTTTTTAAGTCAGGGTCTTACTCTGTCACCCAGGCTGGAGTGCAGAGGCACAGTCATGGCTCACTGCAGCCTCGAACTCCTGGGCTCATGCAATCCTCCCACCTCAGCCTTCTGAGTAGCTGGGACTACAGGCATGAGCCACCACACCCAGCTTGCCCATTTTAAATTTTGTTTTGTCAAATCCCTGGCATCAGTCCTGTCCTTGCCCACACTGTCCTTATGCACCGCTGCAACTTGGGCTATGAAGATTCACCTTATTCAAAGTGCCCCCTCTAAGAGGAAGTATCCAGAGGGCTCAGTTCCTAAATGAGGCTAGGACCCAGGGAAAGGGAGTTTTCTGTTTGAAGAACCTAAGGTATATTAATGAACCACATGAGACAATTGATTTGTCTGCTGAGGGGTACATCTTATCACCTGCTGTTGTACCTACGAGGCCTCTGTAGGCCCAACAGCACCTACACAGGACTCCTAGGGACAACAGCCTGGAAGCAGGGTCTTATGGCCCATGAAAGGGTCATGCCTATGTCATCATATCATTGAGGGTGGGGCTTGGTGAGCTCTGGTCTCAAAACCAAAGTGAACTTGACACGGGATTTCAGAGGGAGTCGAAATCACAGACTAGGACTTTGACAGGGAGAATCTTGTCACATTTCCTCATCCTATCTCTTCCCTCCATCTGGATCCCACAGTGACTCACTTTTCCCAGAAAAGAACTGGGACTACCCTTGAGAGAAGCAAGAAATTGGAGCTGTGAGGCTACACCGTGCTCAGGAACCCGTACTGGGTGGGGTCGGGTACAAGGACAGAACGAAGCAACAAAGATGGCAGATAGCTGCATCTTTGAAGTGAAAAGAGAATCAGGTTGAGCTCTGGGGTTTGATTCTAAGAGATAAAAGGGAAAGCCCAAGGAATTGGCTAGAGCCTGAGAAATGGCCAACATATATTCTCTGCCTCTCTGAGCCTCAGCCATCTCATATACAAAATGGGGATAATAGTAGCTACTTCACGGAGTTACGGAGTTATGGTGAAGATCAAATGAAATGTGCATATGAAATAAAGTACTTCGCTCAGTGGCTGCCACATAGCATATGCTCAACAGAGGCTATTCATATGATTATCGTTCAGGTTCAAGTCCGACCATCCCAACCATTCTGCACCATCTTCCATGGATAGCCTTCTCCTCTGGCATGCAGGATCTGGGCCACTGTTGGCCATGGAACCCGTAGGGCCTGAGCTCTCACCGAGGCACTCAGGGTCACTGCCTGTCCAGGTACCATTGACCGAGCAGTGACGGCTGAGCAGGCCTGTGGCGTAGTATCCTTCCCGGCACTCATAGACGATAGAGCTGGAGAAAACCAGGCCATCACTGAACACAACTCGGGCATTACTTGGAGTCCCAGGGTTCCCACAAGAGATCACTAGGAAGACAAAAATACACATTATTCACCAGAACAATGGTGGGTATCACCTAGGGGACTGATAACTGCCCAGAGTGGAAGCCACATGCTACCTCGGGACCTCGTGGATAGAAATGCCTCTCATGCTGCTTTTGTATCGAATTATCTTGCCCCTAGACAGGAAGGAGAGACCCCTATGAATCTTTTGAAATTTCTGAGCAAATTCCAGTTTTTTACAGAAAAAAGATGATCTATTCTATTATCGTCCTTAAAATTTTAAACACAATTGCTTAATATCACCAAATATCCAATCAGTGCTTGATTTTCCTCAGTTGTTTTTCTCTTTTTTTAACAGTTGATTTGTTTGAATCAGGATCCAAATAGGGTCCACACATGACATTTGGTTGACACGTCTCTAAGACTTTGAACCCAGAGATGATTATTTCTGCTTCTATAATTTATTTGTTACAGAAACCAGAACATCTGTCCTATAGAACTTCACACTTTCTGGATTTTGCTAACTGCATCAATGAGATATAGTTTAACATATTCCTCTATCCCCTGTAGTTCCTTCCTGTAATCAAGTTCCGCCTTTTGGCAATGGTATTCATAGGTGGTTTTGGGCCTCTCCTATTGCATTGGATAAGAAGCAAAGAATGTCTGGGTGTTTTCTTGTTCATGATGTTGAGGCTCATCAGTGATTTCGGGCATGCCTGCCTAATGTGGCATTATGAAGTTTCCATTATGAAGTTTTTCATTTAATAGTTTTAGCAGTCATTGACCAGATTCATTATTTCATTAGGGATTGGAAAGTGGTGATATTCTAATTCTATCCTTCTTTCTGCATTAGCTAGAGTTCTTTAGGAAAGACATTTTCTATCATCAAATATTTGCTTACCCTGAAATACTGTTCATATAGGAACGCCAGATAATGCTTGATTTTTTGTGTGTGGTTTTTATTTTAAATCAAATGTCAGAATAATGAGTTGGTTTCCTAGCAAACTCCAAAGGTGACCAATGTGTTTATTTAAGAATCATTTTGAACTCATGGATCTAAAGATATTTTTTATGTTCCCATCCATTGCCATTATTATTCTTATTGATGCTCAGATTCTCCATCTTTAGCCAATAGGAGCCTCTTCTAGTTGGCTCCTGAGTCCAGTTAACATGACCTCAGTTATCTTTGGTGGAATCCTCGCTGGAGTGACAAGATGTTCCATATTTGTCTTTTTTTTTTTTTTTTTTTTTTGAGACGGAGTCTCGCTCTTTCGCCCAGGCTGAACTGCAGTGGCGCTATCTTGGCTCACTGCAAGCTCCGCCTCCCGGGTTCATGCCATTGTCCTGCCTCAACCTCCCGAGTACCTGGGACTACAGGCGCCTGCTACCACGACCGGCTAATTTTTTTTTTTTTTTTTGTATTTTTAGTAGAGACGGGGTTTCACCGTATTAGCCAGGATGGTCTCGACCTCCTGACCTCGTGATCCACCCGCCTCGGCCTCCCAAAGTGCTGGGATTACAGGCGTGAGCCACCGCGCCCGGCCTCCATATTTGTCTTGTATATTTCCTGCACCAGCCCGGGAATTAGCCATTTCTCCAGAGAGTCTAGTTTCTTTTAATGGAGAATGGACCACAATCCAGGCAGTAAGAGTACTCATTGCCACTGATCTGGTCATTGATTCTAGACTTTTAGAGTTAGAGCTGTGAAAATAACTTCTTAAATTGAAAATACATGGGGATCACGTGGAGGTAGAGAGTGGAAAAACAGATAATAGAGCCTGGGAAGGGTGAGTCAGGGGAGGGGGAGGATGAAGAGAAGTGGGTTAAAGGGCATGGACATGCAGTTAGAAAGAAAAAATAAGTTCAATGCTTGATAGCAGAGTAGGGAGACTATAGTCAAAAATGTATTGTACTTGAGTGATGGACACTGTAAATGCCCTGACTTGACCACTGTGCATTTATATATATATATATATATATATACACATATAATCTCTGCCTCACATTCACCCTCTTTTCCCTTGCCACTTCTGCCAATGTCTTAGTTGCCTGTCAAATCTCCAGCTCTGTACCCAATGCACTGTCTGCTCTGTGCCCACAACTAGGTAGCAAAATGAGCTTGAACAAAAACATGGTCCCATGCTGACTGCTCTCACTTTAAATTAATGATCCCCCCACCTTAAGTGAGCGCTCAGTGCTGCCTGGCCATTACACACTTCCCAATTCCATTCCACTTGTATCTTGCTAAATGATTATCTCCTTCCTCTTCCAGATCTTCTCACTCAAACTTACTCTCATCTGTTAAGCCTGCTTCCTGCCTAGGAGAGTACTATGCAAGCTGTATTTTAGAAAGAGAGAGACAGAGAGATTTGGGGACCAACTGCAAGAGGAGAGAGAGATTTAAAAATATACATTTTCCCCAGAAACTTAGGAATATATGGAAAAATGATAATTTCTCCCATTGGTGCTACCTCAGGCAACATCACTGAGGGCCTAGATTACTTTGAGAGTTTTCTAAAATTGGATTTGTATATCTTTTGGCACATTGAATATTTGTTTCACGTAGTCTCTTCCCTTAGACTGTAAGCCCCAGGAGATCAAGATGTGTGTCTCCGTCTGTTCAGGCTTGGACATGGTGCCTTCTTGCTGTGTCTTCACATGGCACAAGGGAAAGGGAGCATTCTAAGGTATTTTCTTTTCTCTATAAGAGCATTAATCCCATTCCATGACCTAACAACTTCCCAAGACCCCACTTCCTAATACTATCACTGGGTGACCAGGTTTCAACATATGATTTTTGGGAGGTCACAAATATCCAGACCATGGCAGTGTCCGTCTTGGTCACCATTGTGTCCCCAGCACATTCCACAGCACTTGGCACATAGATGCTGAATGAAACTATATGGGAAATGAATGAAATAGTGGGTCAAATTCAGTCTTTTTTGATTTCTTCCCTTTTGAGGTGAGAGTGGGAATATGTTTGTCTTTTGATTACTAATGAAAATGCACATGAATTATCTGTTGCAGTCCTATCAGCCAGGCTGAGGGTTCAAATGGGGCCACGGTTTTTTTCTGTGAGCGCAGGTGCCTGGGAATAAGAGCAGGAGCAGGGGCGAGCTCTGGGGCTGGGCAAAGGGGAGAAGCAGAATGGTCACATACATTACCTCCACACTCAGGCTGCGAGCCGCTCCACGAGCCATTGGCTTGACAGGTGCGCTCTGACGATCCCCGGAGCACGTGGCCAGCTTCACAGCTGAAGCGCATCACAGTGCCTGGATCAAAGCTGTCCCCCAAACGGATGCCATGAGCCGGGATCCCAGGGTCACCGCAAACTCCCACGCTGGTTCCTATGGACCAGAACCACACAAATCCCATTATTTTTCAGGGAAGAAAAGGGAGTGGAGAAGCAGGGGAGAAAGATACTGGGATGGGACTAAGGGGATGCAGTGGGTCCCACGAATGAGGCCTAGCACAAGTTACCTGCACATGCTCCTGCCTCCATATGCAATGGTGGAAGAACACAAAGATCTGAGGCCATGGGTAAGTCCCTGGGAACCACACAGGGAGGGGAAGCAAGAAGGCAGAGGAAAGGCTCTGTGGCCCGTGCCAGTCTGGAATTTCAGTGATCCAAACTGGCCACAGGTCCTCCTTCTCCCCTTCCCCTCTTCTCTACAAACACCTGCTGATTCTGTAGTCCCATCTCCTCTCCTGTGCCACTGTCTTAGCTTAGACATTCAACATTCTTTTGCCTGAACTCTTGCAAGAGCCTCCCGACTAATGTCCCCTCCTTGTAAACTCTCCCTCTAATCCATCTTCTACTTTGTCCTCTAATCTTAACAATCACTAACCATCTGACCTTTTTTTTTTTCAAAAAATTTTTTCCTGCAGAAACATCTTTACTGGCTCCCCGATGCCATAGGATAAAGTCCAAACTGCTTAGCATAGCTTCATTTCTTAACCGCCTAGCTTGAATCTTGATCTTGGGCATTTATTTATTTATTTATTACTTTTTAAAAAGTTTCATTTTATCTTTAATTGACAAATAATCATTGTACATATTTATGGGGTAGGAAGTGATGTTTTGATGCATGTATTGTATATTTCCAAGTAGCTGTAGGAGAGAATTTTAAATGTTCTCACCACAAAGAAATGATAAATATTCAAGGTGATCGATGCTGGGCCTTTCATTAAGGATTCCCTACTCACAAATTATGCCATACAAGTGAGCTCTAGAATAAACATCTCAGACCCTCTCATTTCATTTTTGCTTCACCCCCTTCCTCTTGCTACATTCCTACATTTCTCTGGCTTCTGGTATTGTGCAAACCCACTCAAGAGACCTCCAAGGACCCAAGGAGCGAAGAAGGGTAGAGAACAGGAGACAAAGCCACAAGATCTATGGTCCCCTGCAGGGCCAACACATTTCATGATACAGAAATGTGTAGGAGATGTCCTTAGATCAGACCAGGCCATGGTAAACATGAGGAAAGAGGAGAACAATTACCGAATAAATGACAACTGCATGAAAAGATAAAGTTACAACTATCATGGAATCTATCTCCTCATGTAACCATGTGTGGGCATCAAATGGTAACATCTGAGTGACCACATCTAGTTGGCTGGAGCCAATAAATGTTTAAGTCATGTGTACCCCACCACTTGCCATTTATGTCTTTTCCACTTCTCAACCTTGGGATTATTCCCTTTCCTAGTCTCGACTCAGACTGTGAGACACTACCTAACCACATGTTCTCCATTCTGTTTCCCACTGTGGAAGAGGGATTCATTTTCAACCTTCAATGTAAACATTAATAAAAGAGAGCTTATCGCATTTGGCTAGGTTTTCTTATCTTTTGAAGGTTGCCAGGATGTAATTCACACAACAGGCAGAACTGGGTCTCCCTGGAAACAATCTTGATGGTGAGCAGCTCTAACCCACACACTGGCTAGCTAACCTCAGCTGGAGCTAGCACTATTGTAAAATAGGCACAAGATGGTTAACGTGGTTTGGCTCTGTGTCCCCATTCAAATCTCATGTTGAATTGTAATCCCCAGGTTGGGGAAGAGACCTGGTGAGAGGTGATTGGATCATGGGGTGGATTTCCCCCTTGCTGTTCTCGTGATAGTGAGTGAGTTCTCATGAGATCTGGTTGTTTGAAAGTGTGTTGCACTTTGCTCTCCCTCTCCTGACAGCCGTGTGAAGATGTGCCTGCTTCCCCTTCTGCCATGATTGTAAGTTTCCTGAGACCTTCCCAGAGGCAGAAGCCTGTACAGCCTGCAGAACTGTGAGTTGATCAAACCTCTGTTGTTTATAAATTACCAGGCTCAGGTATGTCTTTTGGCAGTATGAGAACAGACTAATACAATGGTGTTCAGTCCTAGGGGCTTTTTCTGAAAGAATGGCCCCCACTACAGTATTGGAGGCTTCTAGTTCAGTGATGGAAGGGAGTCTGGACAGGATATTGCACCATGGGGGCAGAGTAGATAGATGGCAACTATTTACCGAAGAGGCAAAGAGAATGACAGTGGAGATGTGGGTGGTGAACTTCTTGAAGTAGGTCTCAAACTCCAGAAATCTCTCCATAGCCTTGGTGGCCCAGTGGTGTATGACTCAAGGACTTAAGAGGTTTTGTTGTGCAACAGTTGGGTCCACTGCTTGCACACAATGAGACTAAAAACTTTGACCTGGAATTCATGAATGTGTATTTCATAGGACTGGCAGGAGATGCCACTGCAAAAGACGACATTGTTTCAGGAAGGGAGGAACTATCTCTATATCTGTGGTATATACCTAATGTTACTTCCTAATTGCCTATTCTTCTCATCCCTTATGTTCTCATCCAAGGGATTTAAGGTTCACTCATTGTCTAGCCTTTGCGTACATTGAATTCCTTCTAATTCTGTTTTCAGAGAGCTCCAGGGAGGCTGGAGAGGCAATGTACATGACCCTTGTCCTCTCATGCTGTATTGCCTATCACTTCTACCAGATGTCCAAACAGAAAGAAGCCAGGGCACAGTTAATAGGCCTTCCTCTAGCCCAGCTAAATGAGTCATCATGGCTCCTATATAGTCCTGCCCGGTTCCTTAATTAGGTGTTTAATGAGATTAATAGGGGTGAGAGGCCAAAGTCCTGGGTGGTCATATAGAGTGATGTGTCTGGGATTTCCTGGGCAACCAACAGCCCTTTGAAATAGTGGCTTTGGGACTCTTTTCTTTCTGGAGAGATCTAATGAATATCTCATTAAATATTCTGGCAGTGACCTAACTTTTGGGAGGCAGGCTCATCTGGGAATGTCAAACTGCAAGAACAGTGGCACATCTTATGGGTAAGGTCCTACATCAAGGAGAAGGCTTCTGTATTAGGAGGAGGTCATGATCCTTTCCTCTGAAGGGATCTGGCATGGGAAGGGTTACGGGTTAATTTCAATGCCAAGGTGGGCCCTCCGAGGAACATCAAGCTGCACAAGCAGCTCCCTCTTGCAGGCAACATGGAATCCCTTCCTAGGGCCAGGCAGGTCCCCCTCAAAGAAGACAAAGCTGCAAGGCACTAATATTTTAGCTTGGTGGTTTCTGCTATTGGCAGGACAATTCACTTGCAAAATTTTGTTCTGCTATATGGCATTACACATTCATTTCTGGTTTGGATACTGTGGACATAGGACCTTTGGCAGTTCTCTACATTTGCGATTTTGATAGCATCTGTCAGTGTCCTCATTAGCAGTAAAAGGAACTTAACAGGAAAAGTCTGGGGACTGGCGTTTCAAGGCAGTAGAGAAGAAGACTGTACCCCACTAGGTAGCCAGGACATAGGACAAGTTGAGGGGCAGTGATAAGAAAGGGAAGGAGGCTGGGGCCTACGAGTCTGAAACAGAGAAGAAAAGAACACAGGAGTGGGCTTGGACCTGAGCACGAGTCTGAAACAGAGAAGAAAAGAACACAGGAGTGGGCTTGGACCTGAGCTGATCAACAGGAAGACTTGAACTGTCCCCAGGAACTCATAAAATCAAGTGTCTGGACAGGACTCTGGCCATAGGTTGACCTAAAAAGTTGTGCCCCTCCTAGTTTTGCAATCCCTGGGCATGGTCAGGGCTGACTGAGGGGATAAGGCAGGGCTCAGCCCACCAGAAGCTGAAGCTCCATTGGGACCTTGTCTTGCTGTGCTTTCTACCTGTTAGGGTAGATATAAGGGTTCTGAGGTCTGATTCCCTCCCATCCATCAATCACACTCACACCTTGGGGGCTCGTCTACCTCCCATCAGTCAAGCATTCCACTGGAGCTCTTTCCTCAATGCCATGCACCATACCTGAGCAGTGAGGGAGGGAGCCAGTCCAGTGTCCATCCAGCCCACACATGCGGGTGCTGTTTCCCACCAGAGTACGCTTGCCGATGCAGCTGTACCGCACCACTGCTCCCACAGTATAACTGTCTCCAGACATCTGGGAGTGAGGCGGGGAGCCCGGATGGCCACAGGACACCACTGTGGGGGAAAAGCAAACATCTCAATGACTCTGCACAGGGATGGCTCACCATCACACAATCCATGCTAGGCTTCTTTAAGCAAGAGGCTGGGAAGAAGAGAAACCCAAGGGTATCTGTTGAAGCAAACTTCCTGCTGGCATGCCCACCTGGCGTTGGCAGACAATGTCCACTCAGGGGACAGTTTTCCATATCTATGAAATGAGGAATAATACCTTCTCAGCATGTAGCAGATATACAATAACATTAGATTGTTTTCTCTCTTGCCTCTTATGCTTACCTCTCCCTATTTCCTCATACTCATGATGTCTCTGGGCAGGAAGGTGGTACGCAGAGTATACACAAGACAAAAATGGGAGCTCTGTCACCCTCAGATTGTCTTCATTGGCCAAGGATTCCAGAATGAAAGCCAATTATAGCCCTTTTCCATCTGCATCTTACAGTTGCCTCATCAGTTGTCCCCAACCTGTCCCTCTCAGTATGCAAGTTCCCTTTACTAAAATACTGAAGTATAGCTGTGAAAACAAGTGAGAAGATAGAACACCAGAATTGAGATGTCTAGGCAAGGGTAATGCTTTCAACATTACTGGGGCTGGTCTTCCCATTGGTCTTGTCACAGGATCACAGGTTGATCCTAAGATTCTCTCATTTACTCAACACACATTTATTGAGTCCCTGTCATGTGCTAGACACTCCGTGTGTTTGGGAAGATCAAGTGACTTTGAGAAGTTACTTGAATGATGTGAAGAGGCCAGCCATGCAAAATTTTGGAGAAGAGTATTGTTGGGGATGGAACATCAGGTATAACGGGCCAGAGGCCAGAGTGAGTTTGCTGTGTTTGAGAGACAGCAAGGAAGCCAAGGATGCTGGGACTGGAATGAGCCAGGACAGAATGGAAGAAGACAAGGGTGGAGAGGTCACTATGAGCCAGATCATGGCATGAAAATTGGATTTTATTATGAGCATCTTGGGAAGCCACTGGAGTTATATGATCGGATTTACATTTTAACAAGATTATACTGGCTACTGTGTAGAGAAAGGACCAGGTGGTACAAGAAAGAGGGAGCTGTTGCAGTAGTTCAAGGAGAGATGATAATGTCTTGGAGTCTGGTAGGAGATCCCTGTAGACATCATACCCAGAAAGCCCACAGGGCATAGCATACAGGCAGACCACAACAGGTGACCAAGTGGTAAAACCTGGGTTGGGCCAGTGCTGACCCTGATGATGAATTTTGGTAGGTACTGGGATGGTAAGAATGGGTCTTAGGTATCTTCACTTCTCAATGTGGTCTTAATATGGGTCAAACATTGTTCTAAATGCTTATGGTAGATTATCTGCAAAGACTGCTGCTACTAACAATTCCTCCCATCAAGGAGTGGAGTCTTTTTCCCCTTTCCCCTCCCCTTGAATCAGGCTGGCCTTGTGACTTGCTTTGAATAACAAAACATGGTGGAAGTGATGTTGAGCCAGGTTACATCCTAAGAGGCTTGGCAGCTTCTACCTTCCCTGTTTGGAGTACTATGCCACCATGTAAGGAAGTTTGGCAGAGACTACGGAATGACAAGAACTCATATGAGGGGAGGGACCATGGACAATCACAATGCCCCAGCTGACAGCCAGTGCCAAGATATGAGTGAGGCCATCTCGGATCTTCTAGGCCCACCTGAGCCACAACAGCCAATAACATGTGGGGCAGAGATGAGCTGTCTCTACTAAACCCTGCCAGAATTGCCAATCATAAGCAAGAAAATGGCTGTTGCATTAAGTCACTATGATTTGTTACACAGTAAACACATAAAAATATGCTTAACACGATTCGTCATTAGAGAAATGCAAATGTAAACTACAATGAGATAGCACTTTGCATCCACTAGGATGGTTATAATAAAAATGATGAACAATAACAAGCATAGGAAAGAATATGGAGAAATTGTAATCCTTATACACTGCTGGTAGAAACGGAAAATGGTGCAACCACTTTGGAAAACAGTTTGGCAGTTCCTCAAAAAGTTAAATATAGAGTTCCTATGTGACTTGGCAATTTCTCTCCAAGGTATATGCCCAAGAGAATTGACAACGTGTTCACACAAAAACTTATACACAAATGTTCAAACCAGCATAATTCATAATAGCTAAAAAATGGAAACATAATAGTCCCAAAGTGGAAATGTTCATAATAGTCCCAGTTCATCTATCAATTGTCGAATGCATAAACAAGATGTGGTATATTCATACCATGAAATAGTATTTGGCCAAAAGGAATAAAGTATTGATATATGCTAAAACGTGGATGAACTTTGAAAATTTTATGTTAAGTGGAAGTAGCCAGACACAAAAGACACACATATAATTCCATTTATATGAAATGTCCAGAATAGGTAAATCCACAGAGACAGAAAAGTACATTAGAGGTTGCCAGAAGCTGGGGTGGGGTGGGCAATGGGGAGTGACTTTTAAGGGCTGCTTGGGAATGATGAAAGTGTTCTGGAATTAGACAGTGATGATACTTGTACAACTTTGCGAATACACTAAAATCACTGAATTGTATACATTAAAAGAATGCATTTTATGGTGTGTGAATTATATTTCACTAAGAAAAAGAAAGAAAAAATGCAAATGGATTAAATCCTCCACTTGAAAGAAAAGATTGTCAGATAGGGTTTAAAAATCACAATTACATGCTTTTTACATAGAGAGCAGTTAAAAATAAAATGATAAAAAAATCATGCCAATACTAAAAGAAGGAAGCTGGTTATAAGTTACAGGTACACCTAGTTTTATTGTGTCTTGCTTTAGTGTGCTTTACAGATGTTGTTTTTTTTACAAATGAAAGGTTTTTGGTAACCCTGTGTTGAGCAAGCCTAACAGCACCATTTTCCCAATAATACGTGCTCACTTCATGTCTCTGCATCACATTTTGGTAATTCTCACAATATTTCAAACGTTTTCATTATTGTTACATCTGTTATGGTGATCTGTGATCAGTGATCTTTGATGTCACTATTGTAATTGTTTTGGGGCGCCATGAACCATGCACACATAAAATGGAGAACTTAATTGATAAATGTTGTGTGTGTTCTGACTGCTACACCAACTGGCCATTCCTTGTCTATCTCCCTCTCCTTGAGTGCCCCTATTCCCTGAGACCCACCAATATTGAAATTAGGCCAGTTAATAGCCCTATGATGTCCTCTAAGTGTTCAAGTGAAATGAAGAGTTGTGTCTCTCACTTTAAATCAAAAGCTAGGAATGATTAAAAGCTTAGTGAGGAAGGCATGTCGGAAGCTGAGACAGCCCTAAAGCTAAGCCTCTTGAATCAAACAATTAGTGAAATTGTGAATGCAAAGGAAAAGTTCCTGCAGGAAATTAGAAGGGCTGCTTCCGTGAATACATGAATAAGAAAATGAAACAGCCTTATTGCCAACATGGAGAAAGTTTGAGTAAGTCTTTATTGTAGGGGGCTGTCCTGTGCATTGTAGGACGTTTAGCATCGTCCTTGGCATCCACCTACCATGGAAGGTAGGTAGATCTGGACAGAAGATCAAACCAGCCACAATATTCCCTTAAGCCAAAGCCTAATCCAGAGCAAGGCCCTGACCCTCTTCAATTCTATGAAGGCTGAGAGAGTTGAGGAAGCTGCAGAAGAAAAGTACAAGCAAGCAGAGGTTGGCTTATGACGTTTAAGGAAAGAGGCCATTTCTATAACATAAAAGTACAAGGTGAAGCAGCAAGTGCTGATGTGGAAGCTATAGCAAGTTATCCAGAAGATCTAGCTAAGCTAATTGATGAAGGTGGCTACTCTAAACAACAGATTTTAAAGGTAGAAAAAACAGCCTTTTTTTTTTTTTTTTTTTTTTTTGAGACAGAGTCTTGCTCTGTCACCAGGCTGGAGTACAGTGGCACCATCTCAGCTCACTGCAACCTCCTCCACCTCCCAGGTTCAAGCAATTCCCCTGCCTCAGCCTCCCGAGTAGCTGGGACTACAGGTGCACACCACCACGCCTGGCTAATTTTTTTGTATTTTAGTAGAGATGGGGTTTCACCATGTTGGCCAGGATGGTCTGAATCTCCTGATCTTGTGATCCACCTGCCTCGGCCTCCCAAAGTGCTGGGATTACACGCATGAGCCACCGACAGCCTTCTATTTGAAGAAGATGCCATCCAGGACTTTCATAGCTAGAGAGAAGTCAATGCCTGGCTTCAAAATTTCAAAAGACTGAATGACTCTCTTGTTAGGGATGAATGCAGCTGGTGATTTTAACTGGGAGCCAATGCTCATTTACCCATTCTGAAAATCCTAGGGCCCTTAAGAATTATTCCAAATCTGCTCTGCTTGTGCTCTATAAATGGAACAACAAAGCCTGGATGACAGCGCATCTGTTTATAGCATGGTTTATTGAACATTTTAAGCCCGCTGTTGAGACCTACTGCTCAGAAAAAAGAGATTCCTTTCAAAATAATACTGCTCATTGACAATGCACCTGGTCAGCCAAGTGCTAAATGATGAAGAGCTCCTGTACATCAGAACTGGAGATGTACAGGAATTGAATGTTGTTTCCATGTCTGCTAACACAACATCCATTCTGCAGCCCATGGATCAAGAAATAATTTTGACTTTCAAGTCTTATTATGTAAGAAATACATTTCATAAGGCTATAGCTTCCACAGATAGTGTATTCCTCTGATGGATCTGGGCAGAGTATATTGAAAACCTTCTGGAAAGGATTAATCATTCTAGATGCCATTAAGAAGATTTGTGATTCATGGGAGGAGGTCCAAATATCAACATTAACAGGAGTTTGGAAAAAGCTGATTGCACCCCTCACACATGACTTGGAGGGGTTCAAGACTTCAGTGGAGGAGGTCACTGCAGATGTGGTAAAAGTAGCAAGAGAACTAGAATTAGAAGTGGAGCCTGAAGATGTGACTGAATTACTGAAATCTCATGACCAATCTCAAACAGATGAGAAGCTGCTTCTTGTGGATGAGCAAAGAAAGTGGTTTCCTGAGAAGAATCAGGAAACTACTTTTGGTGAAAATGCTGTGAACATTGTTGAAACAGCAATAAAGGATTTAGAACTTCACATGAAGTTAGTTGATAAAGTGGCAGCAGGATTTGAGAAGACTGACTGCAATTTTGAAAGGCATTATACTGTGTAGGTAAAATGCTATCAAACAGCAGCATACGCTACAGAGAAACCTTTCATGAAAGGAAGAGTCAATCCATGTGGCAGACTTCACTGTTGTCTTATTTCAAGAAATTGCCACAGCCACACCAGCCTTCACCACCCCGATCAGTTTGCAGTCATCAACATTGAGGCAAAGTCTCCACCAGCGAAGAGTATGACTTGCTAAGGGCTCAGATGATTGTTAGTATTTTTTAGCAATAAAGTATTTTTAATTAAGGTGTGCATATTTTTTGACATGATACTACTGCACACTTAGATTATACTGGAAAACTAAAAAATTTGTGTGACTTATTTTATTGCGATTTTTGCTTTATTGCAGTAGTCTGGGACTGGACTTGCAATATCTCCAATGTATGCCTCTATATTAATATATATACCTATTAGTAATATCAACAGCAACATTAACAGGAGTTTGGAGTAAGCTGATTCTAACCCTCATGCATGACTTTGATGGGTTCAAGACTTCATTGGAGGATCTCACTCCTCCACTGAAGCAGCATCAAGAGAACCAGAATTAGAGCAGCAAGAGAACCAGAATTAGAAGAGGAGCCTGAATATGTGACTGAATTAACTTTAGAGAAAACAAGCATTGGGACAAAAAGTTAATATGGATAGGGTCACTTTATTATGATAAAAGCTGCATTTTACTAGAAGAAAAAACAATTTGAGTCCACTAGGGGCTGTGACTCTCAGCTGGCACCACTGTACACAGGTGGTGTCCATTTCTGACCCCAAACTATTTGCTGGTCATAAATGGGATTGGATGGCCAGGCCAGAGTTCTCAAGCGAGGAAAATACAAGCAGTGAGCAGCTATACCAGGCTCCTGTTAGACCTACAGCCACGAGGGCGTAAAAAAATGCAGTTGTCCAGACTGGAGGGCCTACAAAATGTATATAATCTGCCAAAGGTAGGTGGACTGCTGCATGGCCTTAACTGCATATCTATTACTCCCTCTTGAGTGCATCTTCACCTTTGCTTCTTGGAAGATGGGGGAGAGAGAAATCTATGTGGATTCACCTTTAGGAAACAGAGGGGAGAGCAGGAAACCAAGGGGTTGCTCTTCTCTTAAGGACGTGTAAGGCCAGGGACCAGATGTCAGGTGATATGGTTTGGCTGTGTCCCCACCCAAACCACATCTTGAATTGTAGTTCCCATAATCTCCACGTGTTGTGGGAGAGACCCGGTGGGAGGTAATTGAATCATGGGGGCAGTTACCTTCATGCTATTCTCATGATAGTGAGTGAGTTTTCATAAGATCTGATGGTTTTATACGGGGCTTTTCCCCAACTTTGCTCATTCTTCTCTCCCCTGCCACCATGTGAAGAAGGACATGTTTGCTTCTCCTTCCACCATGATTGTAAGTTTCCTGAGGCCTCCCCAGCCCTGTGAAACTGTGAGTCAATTAAACCTCTTTCCTTTATAAATTACCCAGTCTTGGGCAGTTCTTTATAGCAGTGGGAGAACAGACTAATACATCAGGATTCTGAGCACCTCCCCAACCCCTTTTAAAAAACCAGTTGTCCCCAATTCTTTTCCTAACAATAATTAATGTGGTCATTGTTTATTGAGTAGCTACTATGTACCAGATACTATGCTGGGACTTTTAATAGATTTTGTTTCCCCTTTAATCCTCTAATAACCCTATGGAATAGGTACTGGCATCATTTTTATAGATGAAGAAACTGACGCTCTGAGAGGTTAGTGAATTTTTCCCAAACCACACTACTTGTTCAGTAGCAAAGCCAGAATTCCAGTCCAAGTTGGTCTGCCTCCAGAGTCTGTGACCTCTCTGCTTCAGTCCTTTAAAGGGAAGGGGTTCATGTGCTGTGTTTCTGGAAGGGCAAGGAAAAGGTAAAGTTGGGAGATGATGTCCCGCGAGGCAGCCAGTTCTGAAAAAAGGGAACTCTGTAAGCTGAAGAGGGTGGTAACTAGAGAGGAAAGGGACCAGGCCTCTAGCTAGGAAAGTGAGAACACAAAAATTGGTATGGAAGTCACCCAACAGAGGCTCAAGAAGGAATCTGAAATCCCAGGAGTAGCCAGAGTGACTGTCACCATAAGGCAACTCATACATGTGCAGACACACACACACACACACACACACACACACACACACACACACATGCACAGAGGGGAGGACTGTTCTTTGACACGGGCCACCCCATCAGTCATTTTGAGCAGGTGACATCTACTTACAGAGACACTGGGGGCGGGGACGGTCCCATGTGCCATCTCCCTGGCAGCTGAGCACTGGGGTGCCCAGGAGGTAGAAGCCGTGGTTGCACCGGTAAGACACAGTGGTGCCGAAGCTGAACCTGTGCGGGCCGCTGGCGTGGACCTGACGAACACTATTTTCTTGGTGTCCAGGATCTGTACAGTTGATGACTGCAATTGAACAGAAGTCCAAACAGGCATGGATTCCCAGTATAGTAAAATCTTCCGAGCAAAACTAGGCAATGAAGCAGACCCTGTCGGGAGGGTGAGCTGGTCCCAAGGTTGCTGGACTTCTCCCCTCACCTTGGTTACCTGGTCAGAAGAGTCATCCTTCCATGTCCAGCTAGACATCACCTCCTTAGAGAACTCCTCCCACCTCTTCCCAGATTGATTACTCTCTTTCTGGTACTCCCTTGCACAAATCGCTATTGCTGACTTTACCAGCCTGTGCTGTGACTTGTTTGAACACACGAGTCCCTTGAGGGCATGAATGTCTAGTCTCCATATATCTGATCGTAGCACAATGTGCCTCCCACAGCAAAGCTTGTCAATTGTAAAACTGACGCATTTGAACTGACTTGAACAGGGTTGGGCTCTTTTGAAAATGGTTTTAATCACTTTTATGAGTATTTCAGGGACATATTAATATCCTGGGGGATATATTTGACTTTAAAATCTTAAAAGTGTTTCCAAAGCAGCTTAACTCAAAATCAGGATAAGATTTTAGAATAATGACAACATTATTCATAACCCATGACTATACTTTTCTTTCCAAACATCTTCAAATCCATTATCTTACCTGAGTCTCAAACTTATCATATGAAGTGGGCAGGAAGGTATTTTTTAAAAATCTTTGATAAGCCTTTAAGGATTTTTACTTTTGATGAGGCTCTCTGAGGCTTCACTGCTGTCAAAAGCCTCTAAAAGCGTTAGAAGCTATTTCCTAAATACTCCAAATAGAGCCAGGACATTCTGTATTCTCTCTGCCTTTTGAGTCTTTGGCTTCCTCTCTGTGTGTTTTCCCCCAGCCCTCACCCCCTTTATCTCAACTCTTAGGCTCTCTGCTTTTTAACCCTCTGCTTTTTCATCAAGAATGGGGATCTCTTAAGAGTGGTTCCAAAGGAGCTGCAGCAGCCATTTTGCAACCACAAGGAAAGACCAAGATATTGCTCCTGATCTCGTGGAGCAGCTGCAGAAATAATATTACTTCTAGATCTCTTGTTTATGTGAGAAAAATAAACCTCTGTTAAAAAATAACGGGGCTTTATAAGATAATGATACATTATTTGTTCAATGAAAGGTAAAAAAGACGACTTGAAAGATAAAACTTAAGTTTTGCTTTCCTTATATAACCCATGATGATGAAATTTTATGTGGCTCTTTATCTAAGGGTTGAGAAAGTCCTCATTTATGACCCTTCTCTGCTCCATCTTCCCTATCTGGATCAGAATGATGCCAGAATGAATTCACTGGCTTCTTTTTCTGAGCTACAGAACCACATATAGCAGAGATGGTGGGGACTGGATTGGGAGAGAAAGGGTGACTCACTTCTGCAGGTGGGCAGCATGTCACTCCATTGCCCGCTGGCCAGGCATTGGGACCTAGCAGCCCCCTCAGCCATATACCCAGGGTTGCAAACAAACTTGACCACATCGTTGAGGTTAAACTGGTTACCCTGAGTGAGGCCGTTGACAGGGTTGCCTGGGTGTCCACAGGTAATTGCTGTAACCAAAACAGAAGATAGGTAAGCCCTCCTACTATTCCACACCCCTCAGAATTTATCCACCTCTCACCTGGCATCTCTTAGGCCATCAGTGAAGTTCAGCCCTAAGTCTAACTTCAATCTCTTTTGCTGTAAAACCTTTATAAACTGAAATTGTCAGGGGAACATTCTGTCTGCCTTGAAGATATGTCTGTAGCTTGGACAACTTGAGATCAATCATTCTATGACTTCCCATAGGGTGTTAGGACTGGACTGTGGTTCTCTGTGGTCTGAGCGGTCAGTGCTATCTTACTTTCCTTGCCTCTGATGCCCTCGGCTCCCCAGATCCATTCTTAATTGCTGGGTATACTGATGGCCAACTGTCAGCTGGTTTAGGCCCATCCTCATTCCTGAGCCAACCTTGTAGAACCAGAGTGAATACTAACCAAGACTGGTGCAGAGTTCAGTCACTCTGCTAGATCAATAGCCCAGGTAAACTGGGGAAGCAGAGCTGCTGTTTGGAGAGAACCCACTACCTCCAATTCCTTCCATGGCAAGGGAGTTCAGTTAGTGCACTTTGATCTGTGCAACTTGGGAGTAATGAGCTGGCATGTTTGGCTCAGCATCCCTTCTTTTTCTAGGGACCTAGTTGTCTGCAGGGAGCAATGTTCTCGGCTGCTCTCAGCTGTTGAGGAGGGAGGCTATCCCCAACATTGCAGGGCTGCATGCCCCACTGCAGTGTTGCCTCTGTGGGTGGGTGAATCCATCTCATTCTGGGTTCATGTAGCAGCCTCCATCTGACTGTCACATTAAGCTCCATTTTCCAACTTAGCCTTTATTAGTAAGCGAGGTAATATTTGGGCCTCCACCTACCAGTCTGTTTTACTATTTTGTTCAGACATGAGCAGGGAAGAGAAAAGGGATGTGGTATTTGCAGGCCACCATGCTTATCCCTGCATCCCTCTGATTCCCCCTTTCTCCCAGTGGTATAGCTCACTCTATTTGGCTGCACTGGCCTCTTGGAGGTTTCATGAATATACAAAGCAAGTTCCTGCCTCAGGGCCTTTGCACTTGCTTTTTTCTCTACTTAGGACATTGTTCCTGCAGATATCCCTTAACTCCTGCCCTCTTCTTCTCAGGTCTCTCCTCAAATTAACCATGTCAGTGAGGCCTTCCCTTAGTCCCTAGTTGGCCAGCATGGCCAGTACTGCCAGGTCCCTTGCTCTGCTCAACCTCTCTCCATAGCACTGTCAGCAACCAACACACCACAGCACTTCTGTATTTGTTTATTGCTTATCACCCTTCAGCTGAATGCAAGCTCCTTGAGGTCAGGGACTTGGTTTTGCTTATTGCTGCATCCTTGGTGTATGTACCAGTGCCTGACATTCAGCAGGAGTGTGATAAATATTTGCTGAGTGAATCAGCGAATGAGTAAGTGCATGAATGGATGGATGCCTAGGCTTCTGCTTTGATCCTTAGTCCTTAGTTCTATTTCGTCCCAGCCTGGCACCCTGGTCTCATGGAGTTGAACTCCCACCTGATGCTTTTGCCAGGCCTCTCGCTTTGTTCTGGGTTTTAATTTGTGGGAAGATTAGGAACTATAAGGGATGTTCTCTTTGTCCAATACTTAAATCCATGAGGATCCCACCTAAGACCCAAATGGTGATAATGGGGACGGGGGTGTAAGAAGAGGAAGCACCCAGTCCTTGGTGTGGCCAGATCTGGTGTTTTCTGGGCTAGTTCTCTTCTGTAAATCTCAGTAGTAGCAACCCTGACTCCAGTGGAGGGAGCCAGGAAGAGCAGGGGACATGCTGTTAGTGGACCACAGGGGTTCAAAGCAGCCTGGCATAGTGAGATGAGAATGAGCTATGAAGGCCAGCAGACCAGGATTTCGGCTCAGCTCTGCCCCTTCCTGACTTTGGGTCTAAGGATAATTCACTTTGAGCCTTGGTTTCTATAGCTGCAAAGTAAGAATTTTGATATGCATTTCACAGGGTTGCTTTGAAAATAGATTCAATTCACATAATTATTTATAATCAAATGTCTACTGAGTGCCTTTTATGAGCTAGGTACTCTGCTATGGAGTGGAATATACAAAGAAGAATATAAAATGTTCTCTGACCTCAGGAAGCTCATTTTACAGACTTGTAGGAGGGCAGGCAGGGAAGCGGCTGTTAAACCCAGTGGGCTGGTGCTGAGATAGAGCCCAGCGCAGTGGACCGTGGCTTTTACCCTCCTCTGGGGAGAGAGTGGGTCAAAGAGGGTCCCACAGGGAGTGGCATGAGGTCTGATCTAGGTCTCAAGGGTGAGTAGGGCTTCGCCAGGTCAAGAAGGTGGTGGGAGAGCAGGGATAAGCATCGCAGCATCTGTAAACCCCTGAAATTATATGCAAGGCACTGGGTGTTTGCAGCCAGCTCGGGAGAGGGTCCATTACTTTCACCGGATTTGGAAAAGGTCGTGATGCCCCTTCCCTGAAGGCGGAAATCACTCATATAAAGAGAGAGAAGAATGTTGAGGATTAAAACCCTTGGGAATACCACTTTTTGAAGGGCAGATGTTAAAAAAGAAAAAACCTATAGGAAACTGAGGAGTGATCAAAAAAGTAGTAAAGCAAAAAGCTCTACAGGAGGGGGTAGTTGTCACAGAGCCAAGAGCCTCAAGAATTGTCAGATATCCCTGATAGATCAAATAAGATAAAGATGAAAATGTGTTCATCGGATTCATCAATAGGACCACTGGTGACTTGCAAGTGTCCCCTGCCTGGTTCAGGCTCTTACCCACTGCTTCCCACATATTCCCAAGCCACAGGCCCTGGACCAGGATCAGCAGGAGAAGAAGCTGCTGCGACCAGGTGTCATCTCTGGTGCCCCCATATAAGTTCTTCTTGCTCTCTTTAGGTCCCAGGCTTTCTGGCTGCTTGGAAGCTTTGGCTGGCACTTCTCAGATTCCTGCTCTGCAGCTCTTGGGTAGCAGAGGCTCTGAGCATTCTAGAACATGGCCTAGGACCAGAGATACTGTTGACTGGGATGGAAGTTCTTTCTGGCTAGAGCAGAGAAGTGGCCTTTGCTGCTAATGAGAGGGGAGAGGTGGAGGCAATTAGTGTAGGCAACCGTCTCAAGCAGCATGGCCATGTGATGGTTAACTTCACGTGTCAGCTTGGTTAGGCCGTGATACCTAGACATATGGCCAAACATTAGTCCACATTATTCTAGATGTTTCTGTGAAGGGGTATGTTTTAGATGAGATAACATTTCAATCAGGAGGCTTTGAGTGAAATAGATTATGAGGCCCTCCATAATGTGGGTGGGCCTCATCCAATCAGTTGAAGGCCTTGAGAGAAAAGGCAGCCTGCTATCCCTGGAAGAAGAGGGAATTCGGCTAGCAGCCTGCCTTCAGACTTGAACTGTGATTCTTTCCTGGGTCTCTACCCTGCCAGCCTATGCTGGTGATTTTGGACTTGCCAGCCTCCACAATTGTGTGAGCCAGTTCCTTAAAATAAATTGCACTCTCTCTCTATACACACCTCCTATTTGTTCTGTTTCTCTGGAGGACTCTGAACTAATACAGGCTGCCATGGGCAGAAGAATAAGGCATCATTAGGAGGAAAGTAGAGGTCCTGATGAGGCTTGAGCACTTAATGGGCTTTTGAGCACATTTCAGGACAACTAGACCTAGTTTCCTAAGGGCAGAGATGATGTATGACACATTCAATTCATGTTGATCCTCAGCACCTAACACAGGGTCTGGCATATAGTAGATGCTAAGGGAATCTTTATTGAATATGGTCTTAGAAGCTGAGGGAAACAGAAAGGGAAGGTCCATGGTAACATAGGAGAGGATTAAGAATAGACTAACCTCACTAAGGAGGCAGGAGGGAAGGAGATCCAGAGACTGGTGGAGGGATTAACCATGGGCTGGGAGAGAGATTCTTCTACTGAGGTGGGAGAGAAGGGGCAAGGATGGATGTACACAGAGCAGATGTGTGGGTGGGGAAGCTGAAAGTAGGAGAAGCTATTTTCTGATGGCTTCTATCATCTCTGCAGAATAGAAAGTGATATTATATGATTAGCTAACAATTGTTGGGGCTCGCAGTCATTGTCTCACTTAATCCTCACAACCCTATGAGGTAGGCACCACCACTATACCCACAGAAAACAGAATTTCAGAGGACTCAAGATATTTGTTCAAGGGTCACAGTTTCTAAATGTCTCATCTGAATTTTGAACCCAGCTTCTCTGATTCCAGGCCATCTTAACTGTTTAACTTAGTTATTTGCTGAGAACGTAGGTAGGGGCGATGGAATATAAGTCTTCAGAAAGGAGGCAGAATTGTCAAACAGCTGTATGGAGAAAGGGCAAGGGAACTGACTGAGGAAATGAAGAGGACAGCTGGAAAATTTTGAGAGTCTGGTTGACATTGGAAACCTTGACTTTGTATGTACTGGCAGCTAACACAGTGCTTAGCACAGAGTAAACACTTACAAATATTTGTTCTTTTATTCTTGCTTTCCTCCTCCAGATAATTCCCAAACCTCTGTGCTCCAAGAGAGAATGGGCCTTAGTGTAAGAGATCCTGGATTCTGTAATGTGATGGTGGCAGCATTACTACCACCACTACCATCATCTTCATCATCATCATCATCACACAACAGCAGCAGCAGCAGCAGCAACTGCTGCTTAACATCTGGATCAGACACCGGTCTAACTATCTTATGTGTATTAATTTATTTAATGCTCCCAGTAGTCTTTGAGGTGCCTGCTTTTTACAGGTGACAAGACTGAGACCTAATGAGGTAAATCGACCTACCTAGAGTTACATAGCCACAGCAGATCTGATGGTAGAGCTGAGATGTAAACCCAGGCAATCTGGGTCCACACCTGAGTGCCTAACTACTTCACTCACTGCCTTTGAATATGGTCCAGTCTAACGTTCAATGTCTTTAGGCCAGGCAGACATTCTCCACCCAGACCCCGACAGTCTCTATTATTTATTACCTAAATCTCTTTGTATACATCGTGCACCAATTTCCTGAGGGCATCTGCATGTTCTTCTGGGTGAAACTAAACATGTTTTATTTAGACACATCTGAAAGAGTGACTGAATACAGATGGAACTTTATTTTTTATTATTTTTGAGATGGGATCTCATTATGTTGCCCAGGCTTGTTTCAAATTCCCAGGCTCAATGGATCCTCCGACCTCAGCCTCCTGAATAGCTGGGACTACAAGCACAAGCTACAATATCTGGCTTGGGTCTTGCTTTCTGTAACCCTTAAGAAGTTATTAAGACTAATTTCAGGCATTGTTTTTTGAGAAGTTCTCATTATTTTATGGCCCCATCCCATATATAAAAAGCCAAAAGAAGAATTAAAATAAAAAAACTGCCTTACAAAAATTAAGAAGGAAAACTTGCACTTTACATAAAGGCTCACTTTAGGGAAATTTAAAAAGTGAAGAATTATCCAAATTACTTCCAGGCAGCTAAGCATAACAGTGATTGCCTAAATCAAAAAAATGCAGATTAACCAGAAGAATAAATAATAGAAAACCCAGGCCTGCAGCCTAACTAGAAGCCAGAGAGTGCTACAAACTTTAAATTACATGTAAGAGAAATATACACTAAGCCCAGGCAGAGTTACTTCTCATGGTTCTGTTGCAAGCTTTTGTGGAGAGCAAGACTGTATGAGAAAGAGAAGAGAGGAGCAGGTGAAGGGCTTAACACTGATCTAAAATCACTGCCAGAAGGAGAAAATCCATCTCATATATGAATATACTGAAAACAAATCTTGGTATGTCAATGTACAACCACAGAAAAGGGACATAAAAGTGTGTGTGATTCTCCCTCATTGCTTCTGGAAGAAAAGAAAGTGACATCCTCTGAGTGATAAAGGGAATAAGAAGCAATGATGGGAAAACCTGGGGTTCTGCAAGACAAAAGAAAAACACGCAAACAAACAAAAATGAAGGACACACAACCTCTTCCTTACCACACACAAAACCTTATATTAAAAAAAATAAATAAACAAAACAAAGGCAAACATCCAAGATAATCAAAATGAGATAAAGAAGTAAAAACAATCAGAGAGAAAGACTTTGTAACACTGACAGAAGAGGGTACTACTAAACCACACTAAAGCCATAAAATGAATAGAAGACATCAACCTAAATGTATACGAAGCTACTTTAAGAAAAAAATAGAAAAGAATTCAAGAATTTCATCTGATGAAAACCTCCTCACCAAAAACAAAACATGTGAAGCGTAAGAAAAATGTAGCAGCATTCTAAACTGAACTAAATATTCTCAAATAAGCATCTGGAGATATTTTAAAAACCACCATGAAAATCAGAAAATCAAAAACTAAACAGCACAAATGGACAAAAGGTGGAAGAATATAAAAGATAACTGATTGTATGCTTTAAAGAGATAAAAGAAAAAGACAAAACCATCTGAGAAATGAAGACTAAATTATAAGAGGCCCAAGAAAGAATATTCTCAAATGATAATTTAATAAGAGTTACTCAAGAAAGTCAGGCAAAAAACCAAGGGAATTAAAATGAGATAAAGAGGTGAAAATAATGAGAGAGAGGCTGAGAGAGAAGATAGGCAAAGAAGATTCAACATACACATAATCAGAGCTGATGAAGAAGAAAAAAAAAACAGTGGGAAACAAAGCAATATCAGTGTTTAAAACCATAATCCAAGAAAAGTCTTTGGAAATAAAGAAAGACCTGAATCTATATATTCAAAGACCCATAGAATACCTAAGGAAATTGTCTTGGAATAATTAACTCTGAAGCATGTCCTAGTAAAAATATTAGACTTTAGGATAAAGGGAAAAATAATCAGGAACCTCAAAAAAAAAAAACAACCAAATAACCTATAAGAAAAATAGAATTAAACTAATATTATAATTCCAAAAGTCAAATACGTAGAAACAGAGAGCAGAATGGTGGTTACCATGGGTGGAGAAGTGGGGGAAATGGGAGACGGCAAAATTAAGACCGAACATATCAGTCATATTAATATATGTGAATGAGTTTAACTAACCAACTAAAAGAAAAAGATGGTTAAGTTAGCTTATAAGGCAATTTATACTGCATACAAGAATCACACCTAAGAGAAGCAGAAGGCTAAAATAGAATGGTCAAAGGTGCATCAGGCAAAAGAATTAAAGCAGGGGTTGTAAGCCTAATATCAAGCAAAGTACAATTCTAGCTAAAAAATGTTAAAAGTGACAAAAAAGTAATCTTTAAAGGCTAAAAACCACAATGTGCAATGGAGATACTAGTTATGAATATCTATGCACCAAATAAGACAGCAACCATCTTTATAGAACAGAAACTACAGGAAGTGCAAGGAAAAACAGAAACACACTAATAATAGAAAACTTTAAACACATCTCTCAGAATAAAACAGATTGAGTGGGTGAAAAGTAAGAATGTAAAGGACATAGACAACATAATCAATCAGATATATCTCATGAATATATAAATAAAACATGACATCCTAATATCCTTTCTTCTCAAGTGCACATGGGACATTCATAACAACTGACCAACTATTAGGTCACAAAGAAAGCTTCAGTCAATTCCATGAAGTAGAAATATTACATACAATGCAATAAAATTAGAAATGAATAACACAATGAAAAAAAAGGGCCTTCCACCTAGAAACAAATCCTTCTATTAAAAATTTTCTATGTAAAAGGGGAAATCAATACCAAAATTACAGAATTTCTAATAAATAATAAACATTTATTATTAGACTCTATAGGATACAATTAAAGCAGTGATCAGAGGAAATTTCATAGTCTTAAGCACTTATAGCAATAAAACTCAATAGAAATGAAAGAATGAAAATAAATGAATTAAATTCCTACTCAAAAGCTAGAAAATGAACAAAAATGTAAACCAAAAGAAATCACAAGGAAGGAAATAATAAAGGTGAAAACAGTGATTAATGATGCAGAGAACTGAAAACATTAGATCAACAATGCTTTCAGTTTTGAAAAAAAAAATAGCAATCATATATATATATATATATTTAAAACAAACCTCTAGCTAATCTAATTAAGAGACAGGGAGAAAGTCCATGTTGAATCTGAGCCCCATGACTAGGGAGAGTGGATGACATACTTACGCACACAGAAAGGGGTCTTGCCCGACCAGTGATGATCCTGCTGGCAGATGCGCACAGACATGCCGATCAGGCGGAAGCCAGCATTGCATTGGTACACCACACTGCCCCGGTAGCTGTAGTTCTCCCCATTGATGTGTCCGTTGACAATGGGCTCAGGAGTCCCACAGTGTCCAGCTTTGGTGAGGGATGGGGAAGAGAGTACATCGAAGAGGAGCTTATAGAAAATGGAGTGGAGCTTGGTCTGAGTGGCTAGAGACAGGGATGGTGGGGAAAAGGACCAACTATCCCACAACTCATTACTTTTCCCACCTCTCCCTGAGAGTAGCAATCTAGGAGTGACTTCAGGAACCCTCAGCATGACAAAAATAGTGTTGAGGACTTGGCACCCCAAATCCCAAGGTTGTACCCCAAATGGCCACTCACTTCTGAGCTTCAGTTTCTGTGTCTCTACACAGATGTGTGCAAAATGATCAGTTACCTCACTGTCCCCAGGATCATCCCCCACTTTTTCTTACCAACCAGATACAAAAAAGCCTTCTATAAAAAAACAAACAAACAAACAAGAAACGCCCCCAAAAACTCAAACTCAGGAGCATCTTTTTTTTTTTTTTTTGAGACAAGATCTTGCTCTGTCTGCCAGGCTGGACTGCAGTGGCACGATCTTGGCTCACTGCAATGTCCACCTCCTAGGTTCAAGGGATTCTCCTGCCTTAGCCTCCCAAGTAGCTGGGACTACAGGCATCCACCACCATACCCAGCTAATTTTTGTATTTTTAGTAGAGATGGATTTCACCATGTTGGCCAGGCTGGTCTCGAACTCCTGGCCTCAAATGATCCACCCGCCTTTGCTTCCCAAAGTGCTGGGATTACAGGCGTGAGCCACCACACCTAGCCTGGGCATCTTGTTTTTCACCGAGCATCTGCTGCATGGAGGGCACCATTGTCTACATTAAGGCAGTCAAAACCTGGCTGTGTTGAAACAACTATGTAAAAACAGATGGTTTGGCTAAATTCATCTTTCCTTCCTTCTCCTTGAGTAGCACCTAGGTGAATTCTTTTTATTATATGGGATTTGGGTAGAATATATTCCTGGCATTTCTACCAGCTTCCTTTGGCTCTCTGTGGAAATAACCTGTGACTGTGTCCTTAATGGGCCTGAGACAGTGGCAAGACAGCACTGTTCACCCCAGGACAGACCATTCAATCTATCCTATTAGGTTTATGTGGCTGGGGCCCTCTTTTAGACTCCAGGGGTCCAAGAAAGGTGTGAGAGGAGACAGAACCATAGAACCAGGGAGTGGATTAGCCATGGAGGAAATGATAACTTTGTCCTTTGGAAGCCAGGTTGTTTTATGTTTCTGTAATTTGCTTAGTATATATGTATAGATCTATATGTTGTGTGTAAAATTTGCTAATAGATAATATAAAAGGTATTTTAGGTGTGTTACAGGAATGCGTCTGCAAATTTGCCAAAAATGGAGACTGGGGCTTCACTCATTATACAAAGGCCAATAGGAAGGGATTGTCTTTCTAACCAGAATGAGAACCCCTCAAAAGCTTGTCTCTTTAGATCTGAGGTTCTTCTCCTTCTTTTGGGTGGCCCAGGAGAAGCTGTTCCAGGGTTTTAGTCATGCCTGATGGCCAATAGTTGGTGTTTGGATTAAGCATTTTATGTCAATAGGTGAAATGATACTGTTTAAAGACTGGATCTCAGCTTTGGAAAGATCTAATCTATCTCAAGGAGAAAAACTGGGCAGGATAGGCCTGCAGAGGTCACTTACCAAGGCAGCGGACTTCAGAGCCACTCCAGAGCCCATTGGCCATGCACTCACGCACCCTGGAGCCCACCAGTGTGTATCCGGAATTGCAGGAGAAGATGGCTGTTGCCCCGTAGACAGACAGTGTTCCGATGCGGTGGCCATTGGGGGGAATCGGGAGCTCTCCACAGGAGATGACTAAAATGATCACAAGATGCTCAGTAAGCCAGCCCCAAGAGGAGGGACATGGCTGCTTCTGCTTAGCAAGAACTGTGACAAAAATAAGACCTGTTTAACCTTACTCTGCTGGAATTCCTGACCAGAATATGGGTTGTGTTGCTGACTTGTGTGATGTGGCACCTCAACTGGAGGTGTCTCCAGAAGCCCCTGAAGGTTATTTAAAATGCCCGGCTCCACTGCAGGTGCCTGACTCACCAGCTTTGCAGATAGCGCCCTGGCCTGTGTATTTTTTTAATCCTCCTCAGGTGGCTGAGATGTGCACTGTGGTTAGGAAGAGATGGCGATTCTGTGGTATGCTCCTGAGTGCCCTGGGCAGACACTGCTAATCAATTTCCTTGCCCTTCTTTTCTGAGCCCAGCAGCCTCACACTCTTTGTCAACAGAGCACTGCTGAGAGCCTCTGGCTGATGTATGAGGTGAGGCCTAATCGCCAAGGCTGCACTGAAATGTGAGTGGCTGCATTGTAGTGAGGCTGCCAAACGCTTGGGACTACTCTGCCACATATGTGGTTACATCCCACTGTGCAGTCTGCACCACAGTGTGCAAAGACAACAGTGTCATGAATCACGGACATTGGCTTTTTTTTTTTTTTTTTTTGAGACGGAGTCTTGCACAGTCGTCCAGGCTGGAGTGCAGTGGCACAGTCTTGGCTCCCTGCAACCTCTGCCTCCTAGGTTCAAACAATTCTTTTGCCTCAGCCTCCCAAGTAGCTGGGATTACAGGTGGGCACCACCATGCTGGCTAATTTTTTTTTTTTTTTTTTTTAGTAGAGACAGGGTTTCACCATGTCGGCCAGGCTGGTCTCGAACTCCTGACCTCAAGTGATCCACCCACTTCAGCCTCTCAAATGCTGGGATCTATGCCCAACCTGGATCACAGGCATTGGAAGACACCATTTCTCCTCCTTCCCAGTTTCAAACTCCCACTTCTCACTGACCACTTCCTTCTACCTCTTTACAATCACTTGCCTCCTCTGTGACATCTGCATTGGTCACATAAATATGATGAGCATATCCCTATCGTAGTGCATGCTGCGATGAGCTACTCAGAGCCCCTTTTAGGACCGAGGGACTTATTTCCCCAGCTGCTGGAAAACAACCCTTGGCTGGCAGCCCTTTTCAGATTGCTGTGGTTGAGGAGTCCTCCCACCTAGGAAGGTCATGTCCCATTCCTAGGCCAGCCTGCATCCAGTGGCTGGTCAGTGTGGCAGTATAACAGTTCCCTTGCTCCAACTTGTGACAATTCTGAAGGGCCATCCAGAGCTCCCTGGGGGGTGAGCTAAGGCTTTCATGGATACTGCATCAGAGCTCAATTCTCCTTCTGCCCAGTCCTGCTTCCTTCCCTCCTTTCCCTTCTGTAGGTGGTGTTCTCAAGAGCACCCCCTAATAAGCCTCTGTCTCAGAGTGTCTTCCCAGAGATTCCGACCTTTGAAAGTGTATTAAAGAACCAAAGAAAAACAATTGACAATGGAGAAGGCAGGCAGGTTTAGGTGACCTGTCGCCTGTGCTACCCTCATTCCTCCTATATACACTCCCATTTCAGGTCTTATCGCACCACATTATCATCACTTCTTTATGTGTCTGCCTCTCCAGTAGACTATAAAGTCCTTGTGGGCAGGAACCAAAATCTTTTATCTTCAAACCTCTACAGTGTCTGGCATATAGTAAGAGCCTAAGAATATTAAAGAAATGAATTAGTGCATGCTCATCTGGACAAAAGCAGCTTTTGATAAGATGAGAAGATGCTAAGAAATACTTCCTTAAAGGAGTAAAGGAGTAGGCATTTTCCCAGCTCCTGATTCTACTAGATGAGAGTTTAAAAAGCAGTACACTGCAATCCCTGGTGATACCCCTTTTTCCCCCACCCCAGTTCACTCCATGCATGAGACAGCTTAGGTAGGAGGGACCCTGCTAAACTTGCCCACCCTCCCTTCCTGGGCTTACTTCGGCAGGTGGGCGTAGAGTCCCCGAGGCTCCATTTGCCATTGGCCTGACAGCGGATGACCCTTTGGCCAGTATAGTAGTAGCCAGGGTCACAGATGAGCATCAGCTGGGCCTGGAACTGATACTGTGTCTCAAAGATAAGCCTCCATCGGCCATGCTCCACGCTGATGCTACTGACATCAGGACAAGTCACAGCTGGGGAAATGAGGAAAAGAAAGGAGGATTAATTACTTGATTAATTCTGGAAGACCTTGTAAGAGCCCAGATCTAGGGACTTGGAGACCTTAATGCAATAATGAAGAATCCAGGAATCTTCAGTTCTCAGGCAGGTTTGGTAAATGAACAGGTGGGTTGGGTGGGGGATGTGGCAAACTGGGGAGTACAGTTCTGCTAAAAAATTAAAAATTAAAAAAGGGAAATAGTACTCAGTCAAGGTTGACTATTGAATGTTTGAGTTGCATTTGATTAGATTTTCATTTTTCAAGAGAAGACAGAAATCTGGATTTTAATGTAAAATTTCTTGATTTTAAAAGATTGTGGAGTAATTCAAAATTTGTTATAAAGCACCGTGTAGGCCAAAAAACAAAACAAAACAAAAACCTCTGTCTTTGGATGGGACATAGTCGAGGAGGTTGCCATTTTGTGATCTGGCCTAAAAGTTGTTGTTTTTAGAGCTTTGGAATCAAGGGACATTCATGCAAACTTTCTGACAGGTTTTCCATCTAAAAGGGAGTGGACCAGGCCATTCCTAAGTTCCATGGTGGTTTGTGGAAACATCTTAGGGCACAATGGTTATCAATGCTGAGAGCAGTTTCAGCACCTGCCTCCTCTTCTGAAATCCTCCAACCTCCATGTCCATGTTTTTTTTTTTTTTTCCCCCTCATTACTTTGCTTTTAGCTCACTCCTTGCAGGAATCTTTCCAGCTGCCTACCTAGCCCTTCCTTACACCCGCCTCCATTGCCCGAGGACTCACGGACACACTGTGGTGGGACATTGCGGTTGCTCCATAGGCCTGTGTCCAGACACTCTGCAGTGGCCTCAGCGCCTGCCTGGAGGTGGTAGCCTTCACTGCAGCTGTACATGGCCTTGGTTCCCACTGTGTACTCCTTGCCAAACACCATTCCATTCTTGGGGGCCTCAGGAAGCCCACAGGAAAGAGCTAGCAAAAGGAAAACAATGTCATGAGCATTTGTTTTAAGATGGTATTCTGAGAAACTATTTTTATCCTTCCTCCCCTCCCAAGGTCCTTTTATTAGTAAAAACTAATTAAAGGGTAAAGTATCATAATAAAAAAGAAAATGGGAGGATCATCAGCAGAAGAGTTTTTTCTTCTTTTTTTTTTTAAGTTTGGAAGAAGGAATAAAGATAGAAGTGCAAAGAAGCTGTAGCTCAAAATATATGGGAGGGAGCCTCAGGGTGAAACCAGTTCTCCGCCATCTGTTCCCACAAACACAGTGTAGACACATTCAAGTATCTACTCTCCAAACGAAAGAGAGAATTTTCTTTTCCACTGAGGGGGGATCTCTCTTAGGATGAATTAGGGCTGTTATGGTGGGAGTTGGCATCCCAGAGGAAAGCTCTTTTAATTCTAGGATTTATGGTCTCTTGGCCTAAAGGCTGCCCCATTGCCTACTCAGGTCTGCCACATACTCAACTCAACCTCTCACTGATAGGAGAGACTTTGTGGACCAAGATATCTGTATATAAAAATAACAAACGTAATCCACATCTCATAGCTGGAAAAATCAACCTGGCCCTTACTTTTAAAATACGATCAAGGATCATTATACATGTGAAGAAAATCAGCAGTGCGAACAAGACAAACCAAGATAAAGTTTAAAATAAATGTCCCCTTAGGAAACAGAGCTAATTTAGAAAACAGAAGATACACAATCTTTAAACTTCTGATCAGTAGTATCTTGAGAAAGTCAAGGTGACATACGGTACTCATAAAATAAAATCAGTGTGCTCTGAAGGAAAAAAAAACAAACAAAAAAAAAACAAGGACAAACTCTTTGAAATGAAAAATATGATTGCCGAAATAAGCATTATAGGATTAGAGATGAAAAGTAAATTTCTCAGAATATAGAAAAAAAAGAGACCGAAAATGAGAGAAAATGACAGAAAACACGGATCAATCCTCAATACAGAAGGTCCAGCATCCAACTGTTCAGAGCTCCAAAAAGAGAGAACACAAAAAGTGGATGGGATGGAATTATCATAGATGAAAATTTCTCAGAGCTGAAGAGAGACACAAGTCTTCAGATGGAAAGGGAGCCAAAGGAATGCAAAGAGAATCCCTCTTAGATTCACCATCACGGAATTTTGTGTATCTAAGAAGTCCAGAGACACACAGGCATTCCTCCAAATTACTAGAAAGAGGGAAAAAAAAATGACATAACTGTGAAGGAACGAGAATCAAACTGGCATAAGACTTCCCATCAGCAGTGAGTGTTCAAAGATAATGGAACAAAGCTTTAAACCTCTGAAGAAAATGATTTATAAACTAGAATTTTACCCAGTCAACTGACCAAACATGTGTGAGGGCAAAAAGATAGACACTTTCAGACATGTAAAGTCTCAGAAAATGCACCTCTTGTGAACCCTTTCTGAGGAATTTACTTAAGGATATACCCCATGAAAAAGAGGGTGAAAACCAGGAAAGGACAATATATGAGATATGAAAAATGACAGAACTAACTCAAGAATACAAAGAAAAGGAATCTCAAAGGGACAACTCAGGAGAGAAATGTTTGCAGCAACATGGCCAGGATTATTATTTTATAAGGAGTAGGGTCGACATTATGTTTATAGGAGGAATAGGAATTACTTAGGCAAGAGTAGACTGTTTGGTCTTTGAAAGAAAGTAATACTTATAAATCATCCTTGCTCTTTGACAGCTCAGGGGGTATTACAGATGGAAAGATTAATCCGTCAAAGTACCCACTACTGCCTCCATCCACTATCCCCTCTGGCTACTAGTCTAGAGCTCAGAACTTTTTCGCTTAGAGCCAGAATAAGCTTGGGCAGAGTCCCATTGAGATTGCCTAACAAGATGCTTGATGCTATAAGAATTTCCAGAACCAATAAGAGGCATCAGGCTGGGGCTCCATTATGAATGGAGGAGGGTAGACTGTTCAGAGGGAGAGAAGTTGGAATACCAAGATGGAAGAAGGATCTAAGTGTGGGACTTTCCAGAAGAGGAGGATCAGGAACACAGAAGGAATGAGAAATAAGAGAGTGTTTAAACATGAGACTCTTAATGACTAATCAGAAAGGCTATGAGCTCCTTCAGTGGAACTAGGTTAGCTAAGCTGTCATATTACATCAACTACCTGCCCAGCTTCCTTAAATCCTTTGGGAAGAAATACTTGGATCTCCACTGGTGTCTTGCATGGAGAGTCAATCCAGGGAGGGCAGTGAAGGAAGTGGGCGGCAGCCACTTCTCACAGGCCCTGGCCTGGCCTTGCTCTTGTAGATAACTAAGGGGACAGAAGATAATACTCCAGCCTGAGATACTAAAAGCCTGTGTCTCATGATCTCCATGCCAAAATGCAGTCCCCAAAACCCGGTGGTAAGAGGGACACTTCCTGTGGGTAGGAGGAGGAGGGGATACAATCACAAAGTATTTGAGGCTTGTGGTGGAATGAGATCTCTGAGGGAGAGAGACACAGGTGAGAGAGTGGGCTGGGGAAGGAGAGAGAAGGCATTAGGAGGCATAGAGTCTCTAAAGGAAGAGTGGAAAAGTCATGGTTTGGAAACAGCAGTAGAGAAGTGGAATAATGCCAGGCCCTTCCTGGCCCAGAATTCTGTGGGAAGTAGGAGGTGGGTGGAGGGGGATTAACAATCCACTTGAAAGGGCCACAGCATACGTGCTCTCAGAGGACAGCCATGGTCTCCATGGAGGGAGGAAGTGAAGACAGCCAGCTGGGTAGGGACTGAGGGTGTACGCTTGCTGGCCACGGAACTAGGATTCCAGAGAACACAGTGGGAGGCTTAGAGGAAGGGCATCAGTGGGAGGCAAGGGGTGCAGTGGGGAGAAGACATGCACAGTAGTATGGGGATGGGTCAACTGAAGTCTGGTGGAGGCTTAATTTTGGGTGGTGATGTAAGGTAACAGAAATGAGAGGCTTAGTAGGTTCCAACTGGCGCTCCGGAAAAAAGACTTGTCCTTGTTAATGCAGTTAGAGACGCAGAGACCAAAGCCAAATGCCATTTGCCATTTGTGGACAGCCAGTTCACTGTGACCTTTGCTTAGGGGTAGAGTAGATTATTAATAGCACATTGTTTTTGTTCTTTGAGAAAGCACAGGCACAGGCGAGAAGGTTGTGAGGATTAGAGATGAGAGATGTCATTAAAAAGTACTTCACCACTACTGGGAACCAAAGGAAAAATCAAATAGCAATGTGATTTCCTGTTTTTGTCTATGTAGTTGGCAATGTTTTCTTCTTTTTTTAAATGCAGTGCCTAACGTTGAGACTGTGGGAGAAAAGACAGTTCTCACATGCTGCTATACATGAGGACAAACTTTCTGGGAGGCAATCAGTATCGACAGCTGTCAATCGCATACGTTATGATGCGAGAATCTCATTTCTGAGAATTTGCCTTAAGGAAATATGTAATATTCATAAAGATGGAATTATAAGTTTATCGTCACAAAGAATATAGAAATCCAAATGACCAACAAGAGAATGATACTTAAATGAATGACAATTTTCTCATAATGCTGTGCAACTATTGAAAATAATGGTGACGAAGTATAATATTAACAATAGAGTCCAGGCGCGGTGGCTCACACCTGTAATCACAGCACTCTGGGAGACCGAGGTGGGCGGATCACCTGAGGTCAGCAGTTTGAGACCAGCCGGACCAATATGGTGAAACCCTGTCTCTACTAAAAGTACAAAAATTAGCCAGGCATGGTGGCGGGTGACTGTAATCCCAGCTACTCGGGAGGCTGAGACAGGAGAATTGCTTGAACCCAGGAGGCAGAGGTTGCAGTGAGCTGAGATCATGCCACTGGACTCCAGCCTGGGCGACAGAGGGAGACTCTGTCTCAAAAAATAGTATATAGTTAAATATACTTCCTCACCATGATTTTCAGTGGTTGCACAGCATTATGGGAAACAAAATCTATAAGAGCTTTGTACACGGATGATCCTATTTTTATAATCAATACATAAAAGACCAAAGGAAATGTGCTGAAATGTTAACAGTGGTGATCTCAGGTTTATTGTTCATTTTCACTTTTTTTCTTTTGCATTATCTACCGTTTTTTTTTTTCTTCTTCAGATTTTTAGTTTGAATGTATATTACTTGAAGGGAAAAAACTGTCATAAATCATAAAATCATAAATCATAAAAGGTAATGCATGCAAATTGACTGACACATTTCAAGTGTTTGATCAACCCACTTGCTCTATGAGCCGGAACCCAAGCATCCCCTCTGCTGGGAGCCCTCCCCAGCTGGCCAGGAGGAAGCAGATCCTTTCTCACCTCTGGGCTCCCACAACACTGATTATGCTCCTGACACGACACTTCCTTCCTCTGCCACTTTGCATTGATGTGCTCACATACCCATCTCCCCCATGGATCTCAAAACACTGAGATTGCTACGCACTACAGATCTTGTAAATGCTTGTGGAAAGAATGAAATAATTATCAAAGAGGAAACCCACATTTGGAAGTGACTAGTCCTGGGACAAACCCAAGATATGAGTTGGATCCGAGCTACCTTGTGACCCCCTTTCCACCTGCTTCTCACCTTGACAGAGAGGGATGGCTTCGCTCCACAGGTGGTAGCCCTGGGGGTGCCGGGTACAGATGGCCATGCTGTGTCCCACCAGGCGGTAGCCGGCGTTGCAGCCAAAGTGGATGGAGCCCCCGGGCTGGGTGCTGGTCTGGCCTAGGATGAAGCCATGGAGTGGAGCCCTGGGCAGGCTGCAGTAAGGGGCTGAACAACAAGATGAGGTTCAGGGAACTGGCACCAGCAGGAAGACAGACATGGTCTTTCATGCAGGCCCCTTTCCCTTTCGTCTCCCCCCCATCCCCTTGTCTTTGCCACTGCCACATCCTCTGCTGTTGAGGAAAGTCTGAATGGTGGATATTGAAAAACACCCAGTCAGGTTGGTAAAGCCGAAACAAAACAACGGAAACAAAACAAAACAAAACAAAAAAAACCAGCTTCATGAAGCACTGGGTCCCTTTTGCGGTCCAAAGGTAGATCTGGTGTATGGCTAAGTTCAGGCTCTCAAATCCCTTCAGCTCCGAAACAGACTTAGAAAGTAGAACCCAATGGGGTTGGTTCCAGAAAGCTGCGACTGCGGGGGTGTGGACTTTGACCTTAGTGAGGGCTGGGCTCCAGTCCCGTTTCTGATCTGACCAGTTTCTGTAACTTGGGGCAAATCACTTCAGCTCCAATTTCCTCGCCTGTAAATTGGGACTGGTAATACCCACCTCACAGATTTTTGGGCAATTTAAGCTGTATATGTAGATTGCGTACATAAAGCCCCCAGCACAGCATGGGGCACTCACTGTTCAATGCTCAGTAAGTGGTCATTGTCCTTCTTTGTGCTGTGTGGGGGAATGTGCTGAGACTGACCTGTGGCAACCTGGGACACACATTTCCCTACAGTGCTCATTTCCCCTCCACATATGGCTTCAACTTATTTCATTCATTTATTCAACAAATAGACATCAAGTATCTATTATCTTCCAGATATTGTTCTAAGTGCTTGCAATACAACAGTGAAGAAAACAGACCAAAACCCTGGCCTGGGCTCACGCCAGTAATCCCAGCACTTTGTGAGGCTGAGGCCAGTGGATCACTTGAGGCCAGGAGTTCAAGACCAACCTGGCCAAAATGGTGAAACCTCATCTCTACTAACAATATAAAAATTGGCCAGGCGTGGTGGTGCGTGCCCGTAGTCCCAGCTACTCGGGAGGCTAAGGCAGGAGAATCACTTGAACCCAGGAGGTGGAGGCTGCAGGGAGATGAGCTCATGCCATTGCACTCCAGCGTGGGTGACAGAGTGAGACTCTGTCTCAAAAAACAAGCAAACAAAAAAAACAAAACAAAAAATCCCAGCCTGAAAGGACTCACATTATAAAGCCTGCCAGGGATCCTCAGGGGGAGTTCTGTGAGGCCAGGAAAGAGGGATGACCAAAGGAGCAGGCAGATAATTCTCTTTGTTTGCCCTAGGAGTCCCTGGTGGGGTCTTCCAGGCAGAGATGGATAAGGCAGGATGCGCGTGTGGGGCCCTTACAGCCACCCCTGGTGAGGTCCCCGGCCTCTTTCTTGGTGATCATATCCGTCTGCCGGTGAAATGGTTGTTTTAAATAGCTGCCTTCCAAGCCGAATTTGTTTCCCTACTCCTGCTTTGCCCGCTGTGTCCTATGTGTGCTGTATCCACATGGTTACCTCCCTCAGGAACAAGAATCTCGGTTGTAAAATATACTTAGTCACAGTGACAGACGCAGGTGCAAATTACACTCATCTACTCGATCTGAATTATTAAGTACTAATTGTTGCGCCATGTAATTAACTCACTTTCTACGTGGCATATGTATTGTAATTACAACTGACTCATTATCCCCAAACACGTTAGAACATCAAGGAAAGGGTAACTCCTTAATAACGTTCAGTTCCTAATTTAGCAACCAGCATAGTGAAATGCTACCAAACTGCTATATTTCCTGTTTGAGTGAGCAGCTGCCAGGAACTCAGCCCTAAGAGGCACCTTAAAGTTTCTTTTCCATCATGCGGACACTGAAGCCTGAAGTGGTTAAGTACCTTGCCTAATAATCCCACAGCTAGTAGGTGAGAGAGCTGGTCACTGACATTGGGGCACTCAGTCATTGCAGCCACCCAGACCCCTCTCCGTGTGCACCAGGGAAAGGAGAGGTTGGATGGACTTTGCAGAGGATATGGGCTCTGAGACAGTCAAGACCCACCTTCTCCCAGGGGCCCTCAGCTTCCTCTGGTTGGCTCTCCCCTGAAAGCTACACCCAGGGATTCTTTAAGACTGTCCACCCACTGAGTATGGGCTGGTCTTGCAAGTAGGAGACCCATGAGAAGAGATGGACTGTGGCAAGTGGGACTTCAGGCACTGAATTTGACATTCCTTCCAACCAAGATTCTTTTTTTTTAATTTTTTTTTTTTTTGAGACAGAGTTTCACTCTTGTTGCCCAGGCTGGAGTGCAGTAGCGTGATCTCGGCTCACTGCAACCTCCACCTCCCAGGTTCAAGTGATTCTCCTGCCTCAGCCTCCCAAGTAGCTGAAATTACAGGTGCATGCCACCATGCCTGGCTAATTTTTGTATTTTTAGTAGAGATGGGGTTTCACTATGTTGGTCAGGCTGGTCTCAAACTCCTGACCTCAGGTGATCTGCCCGCCTTGGCATCCCAAAGTGCTGAGATTACAGGCGTGAGCCACTGCACCTAGCCCCCAACCAATATTCTTTAGAAATTTGTTCATTGTTTGCCTGGAATGTAGGCCAAAGGTAGCCAGGGGAAAGAGTGCTGAAAGGGAACTGGTGTGTGATGGAACCCCCCATGGTCTTAAGTAATTCATTTCTGCCTCCAAGCTTGCGGAGCCCAGTCAGCAGTTCACTGAACCCACCTCTCTTCAAAGTGGGCATCAAGCACCTTGTGAAGTTTTCTTCCAACCACAGACAGTAATCCCCATGACGAGAGATCAGATAAATTCAATTTTCTCCATCTCATTATATTCCCAGGATTATTTTTTTCAGTCCTTATAGATTGTTGCCTGGGTCAGTCTTTGGCCTTTTGATCTGACTCTGTTTATAAGATATGGCTTGCAGAGCAGAAGAAAGGCACCTGGCCTTGAAATATAGCCCATCCTTTGCTGCATGCTTAACATCTGCCAGTCAGAGATCTATGCCTTAGGGCTTTTTAGTTTTAAGAAACTTTTATTAGCATTTCCTAACTTTCCTAAAGGGACAGGATCACTGTTAGGCATTATCAGATCATATAAAATTGTTAAACTTATCCTGAAGACAAAGGCTGGCAGTATGAGAAAAGAGGGAAGAGGTTCAAGAGGGGAATGGAATAGAAAAATAGGAGGTAGGGGAATGGCAAAGACCACTTAGCTTCAGGTGAGGCAGATTTAGGAGGGGAATGGCCGCCCGGTCTCCACAGAGGAGCTTGAGGCTTCGATGAGGAGAGGGCCTGTGGCTTATTTGTGTTTTTTTCACTCACCTGAATAGCGGATCTTGAAGCCCTTCCGATTGTAGGCGTGATCAGATGACCAACGCAGGTACACAGAGTTGCTTGAGCTGGTGACAATCAGGGGAGCTGAGTAATTCCCACTGAGGGCTTTCAGCAGAGGACTCTGTCCTGATGGACCTGGGGTGAGAAGGACGCAGGATTACAGACCATGGGAGCCATCACAGGGAGCCTCCAGGGAAGACCTCAGGGCTCAGAGGGTGGGGTGACTTGTTCAGAGTCAGCAAAATCATTTGTACTTGCACTCCTCTCTCTGCATCCACAGGCATTGCTCAAGGTGCTCTTTTCTCCTAAGCCCAGCTCTAAAGCAGTGCTCTAGGAAGTCCCTGCCTACCTCTAGGGGCTGGCAGGTAAGATGAAATTGATTTGCATTTTGAGACTTGACAAGGTCAAGTAGCTGGTTAATGGAAGAGCTGGTTTTCAAACTGGGAACTTCTTCCACTTGGCCACCCTACTTCTCTTGTGTGTATTTAAGCTCATGTCTGTAATCCCAGCATTTTGGGAAGGTGAGGCAGGTGGATCACTTGAGCCCAGGAGTTTGAGACCAGCTTGGCAAGCAAGACCCCATCTTTACTAAAAAAAAAAAAAAAAAAAAAAAAAAATACAAAAATTATCTGGTCATGGTGGTGCATGCCTGTAGTCCCAGCTACTGGGGAGGCTAAGGCACGAGAATCGCTTGAACCCAGGAGGTGGTGAGCCAAGATCGCACCACTGTGCTCCAGCCTGGGTGACAGAGAAAGACTCAGTCTCAAAAAAAAAAAAAAAAAAAAAAAAAGAAAAGAAAAAAAGCTCAGTGCCTGCCATATAGAAAAAAATATTTATGGAATGAATACATAGCAATAAAGCTAGAGGAAAATGTCATGTCTCGGGGTCATAAGTAACAGAGCTCCCTAATACTGCTTTTGAAAGCTCTTTGAGAAAGACCTCCCTCTTCTTTTGTCCTACCTTAAATGTCTGAGATTGCATCCCGAGGGGGCTGGTTGAAGGGGCGCAGAATATAAAGCTGGATAACCCATAACACAGGATTTATCACTCTGGAAAAGGCCCTGAATGATGGCTCTACTATGCCACTGAGACAGCTCTTAGAAGCTTGGAAAAATTAATGGATCATATTAAACAAAGTAGAGTCACCAGAACTGCCATGCAAACTGTGAAGGGAAAGGCTGGGAGAAGTGGCATGCTGGGCTAGGTCTGCTGTGTAAAAGTTGACCATAGTTCTCAGGAAGACCTGGAGGACACTCCATTTACTAAAGCAATCAGGAGGTGAGGAGCTCCAGCCTTCCTGGAGCGGGTGAGCACCAGCATTGCTGAAAACCTGAGTAACTAATGGCTATCCTCTGTGGGTCAAAACTGATGGGGAGAGACACTGGGCTCCCTAGCAGTAATGGGGATGAGAAGGTCCTAGAACACAGAGGCCAGGTGGAATTACTTAACAGTCAGAAGCAAAGTTGGCATAATTACTAAAATGGGAAGCAAGGCTGGAATGGCAGCTGGGAGAGCCTGGCCTACGGGATCTACGAAGATGGCTCATAGAGCATGATGTTCCTAAGGGCAAGGTAAATAGGAAGCCAAGAAGAGCAGCCAAAACAAGTATAACTATATGAACAAAACAGATCATTAGTAGCTAACTGCAGGATGAGAAAAGCTGCCCCCAGCAGAAAGGTGCAATCCTTTGCCCAGTTTGCAGACTTGAGCCAGGTTTCATTTCCCAAGAGGCTGGGTCCCTATGAAAAAAGACCCCGCACAATGACAATAATTGTATATAGTAGTTGTTCCTACCGTTCTTCCCCCAAAAGACCTACTACTGTTTACTCAGAAAACAGAATATTATAGAAAATGGAATGTTCAGATATATCAAAGACTTCTGGATACAGGATGTTAATTGATGCTGATGACTGGGGGTCCAAAGCACTATCATAGCTACTCTGCCAGAGGAGTGGTGTATGAAGGGTGGTTTTGGGAATAAATGGAGTCCTGGCCCAGGTCCGTCTCACAGTACACACTTAACAAAGTAGGAGCCTCAATTGTAGCAGCTGTGTGAGGCGCATATCTTTATTAGAACAGATTAACACAGCCTTGGTTACATAGAATGTAGCTGTTGATCTGGCCATGTAGTCTTTTCCATACCCTTCAGAAATGAGGATCAGAAGCACTTTGCATTCACATGAGGTAGACAACAGTATACATTCATGGTTTCCCCCAGAGCTATGTTACTTCTCCTGCTCTCTGTCATAACCGAGTATAAAGGGATGTGGACCATCTGGACATCTTGCAGAATATAACATATTGGTTCACTCTATTGAGGACATCATATTAATTAGACCTGATGAGTGAGAAGGGACAATTAGTGCTTTGGCAAGATGACTTTTCAAGATGCATGTGCTCCAGAGGGTAAGAGGTAAATCCTACAAAGTTCTGCTATGAATTTTTAGGGTCCAGTGGTCTGAAGCATGCTGAGACATGCCCTCCAAATTAAAGAGCAAATTATTGCACATTTTCCCTCTTAAAGCCAAAGAGGCAGCACAATGTTTGGTAGATCTCTGGGTTTTGGAGGAAGCACACTCTTCACTTGGGAATACTGTTTGACCCATTTATCTGCTGACATGAACAGGAATGGCTTTGAGTGGGAGCTAGAGTAAGAAAAGGTTCGGTAACAGGTTCAAGTTGCAGTACAAGCAGCTCTGCTGCTTGGGCCATGCCACCCCTCAGGTCCCATGGCCTTGGGGTTGCTGTGGTAGGGAAGGACATCCTGTGGAGCTTCTGGCAAGCCCTGATAGGAAAACTGCAGCACAGACTCCTCGGGTTCTGGAGCAAGTCCATGTCTTCTGCAGCAGAGAACTGTGAGGCATTTGACTGACTTACCATCAAAAATCTCAAACTCATCATATTGCTTCTCGCTGAGGAAGTACTCCACTGTGAGGGAGATGTTATAGTCGGGCTCCACTCTCACCAGCCAAGAGCAGGTCTGGAACTGGGGATAGCTTCCAGGGTAGCTCTGGCTCAGGATCACGCCTGTGGAGTCTGTCAGAAGCTCATTTGTTGGACAGTGCACTTGGAGAAAGAAAGAGAAACACCAAGTACGTGGGGGTGGAGATGGAACTACGGCCAATACATTTGCTTTTCCCAATACTAAAGACAACCCCTAGAAAATCAGTATTTGAGCACATTCAGATAAGATCCCACATCCATCACTGTGCTGCTCCATGACATGAGGTGGGCTTAGATCCTGTGTCAATATTGCAGTATTTCTGGGACTTGAGCTTTGCCAGTTGGTTGGAATCACTTCCTAGATAAGTTGTGGGTTCTACTACCTGGCTTTGAGTAGGGGAGGATGGAACATACATACAGACAACAGTAAGGCTTCCCCAGATCCAAAGGAGATAATCTATAAAATGGGTTTTATTTGAACAAAGATTGTACTGTATAGGGCAGAGGTAAGTACATGGGATTTTGAGTCAAATACACCTGGATTCATAGCCCACCTCTGCCACTTACTAATGGTGTGGTCTTGAACAAGTTATCTCCTCTCTGTGTGATGGCTTCTCTATCTCCAACACAGAGATAACACAGACCTTACAGGGCTGTTGTGAGCATTATATAAAATATTACATGCTGGGTGCGGAGGCTCATGCCTGTAATCCCAGCGCTGTGGGAGGCCGGGGCGGGTGAATCATGAGGTCAAGAACTCAAGACCATCCTGGCCAACATGGTGAAGCCCCATTTCTACTAAAAATACAAAAATTAGCTGGGTGTGGTGGCATGTGCCTGTAGTCCCAGCTACTCAGGAGGCTGAGGCAGGAGAATTGCTTCCCAGGAGGCGGAGGTTGCAGTGAGCTGAGATTGCACCACTGCCCTCCAGCCTGGCGACAGAGTGAGACTCCATCTCAAAAAAAATATATCTATATACATATATGTATATATATATATTATGAAATAATATATGTAAAGCATGCAACATAGTGCTTCAATAAATTGTAGAGGGAATGATGAAAACTGCATCTTGAACAGAAAGGTCTCAGAACTTGGCTGTGGCTTAATTAGTACTATTTATATAGCTAAAGAAAAAAATGTCATTCTAAGGAAGACATTGAGCTTGGAACTTAGAAAAGGAGGAGCTGGAGGAGCAGGATTCGTTATTTCGTCATCACCATGAGTGGGAGGGAAGCTGCTGGTTCAGAGAGGCCCTTCCCCAGCACTGAGGAGATGCTGTGTCCTGGGGCACAGGCAAGCATCACAGCATGAAAGCAATTTCAGGACCATCCACCTCCATTTGTTTGGGTTGCGGACGCCAAAGCAAAGTTCTGAGGACTAAATCAACTTCTTCAGTACATTGTTCTTTCAGTACAAAGGTGTGCATTGACAATAGTTGTAAGTATTCTTATCACTGCACACGGAGAAATCAGTGTTTTGCAGTAGATGTGCCTTTAGACAGGCTTCCTGGGTCTGCTGGATTCTGGGACACTGCTAAAAGGGAGGTTCTGGAACGGGAACTGCAAGACCAAAAATTAATCCCAGGATTACAATTTCAGGTAATGCTATTTTGGGTACAAGACTTTGCCATGGGCTGTTCACCCATCTCACCTCTGCCTTCAGAGAAGTGGGGCTTGGTAATCAGCACGGGGGCTGGGCTCCTAGAGTCTTGCTGTGGCCCAGAATTTCACAGGACGCATCCAGGATTCTGCCTGAGTAGCTTTGAAAGGTACTCACTGACTTTTCCCAATAGAGCTTCCTTTTTAATTTTAAGAGGAGAAGGAAAACTAATGTCTTCTAAGAGGAAACTCGCTTAGCTTTGACATGTTCCTGATTTCACTAATCCGATGACCAGCACAGGGCACTGAGATGTGGTGATACTTAAGTTCTCTCAGGCCTCGTGGTCCTCTCCTGCCTCTACCAGGTCTGCTATTCCTTACTGACAGTCCATATTGCAGGTTCTTCCTACTCTTGCTTTCCCAGAAGTGGGGGAAAGGCTGACCTGTTTCCCCATAGGCTACTGAATATTTGCAGGTAGCAGTAGTTCTAGAAACAGTAGTCGCACTAATGATAATATTAACACAAATATGGAGCAATTACTGCATGCCAGGCATCATTCTAAACTGGTTTATGTTATTAACCCATTTAATACCGCCATGGCATAAGTACTATCATTATCCTCAGTTTATAGAAGGGAAGGCTGAGGGCAGGACAATCAGGTACCTTGCCTTAGGTCAGATGCCTGATGAGTGGAGACTATTTTTTGATCTTAATTGGGGTGACTCGCTGAAGCGAATTCATTTCTGTCAAGGCATGGTACACTGGAATAAAGACTGCTGTGGTCTCTCAGTTGCCTGGTTTGGCACACAGCACCTTGAGTGCATCCGCGCATCAGTAAAGCAGGGATGGTGTGTGAGCCCACGCCCACACCAGGGAGGGACTTCCTCCTTCCAGTACTCAGTATGCAATTCCAAGAAATTCCCAGGAATGAAAAAAAGGCAGATGAAAATAAATGTGGCCACTGTGGCCAATTCACAGGTTCAGATATCAGAACAGGGCAGAGAACCTATCTAGAGTGATCACTCACTCATTCCTCATGCACTTACTCATCCATCAGACAACATTTACCAAGTGACCTTTCATGTTATGGGGCAGTGACTGAGCTGAGAACTGGGAATAGAAAGAGGAGCAAAACAAGAGCTTTGTTCAGGAGGAACTTCTAGGCCCCATACAGATGCGGCTCCATGCAATTACCTTCACATATCGGGGGTGGTCCTTCAAACTGCAGGTAGGTTCCAAGTTTGCAGGTCAGAATTTCATTCCCCACTAAGGTAAAGCCAGGGAGGCATCTGTAGCGTACGATGTCACCTGTCAAAGAAAGACCAACATGTAGACCCTCTTAAGAAGTCCAGTCATTAGTACCTTGAACCCACTTCCAGGTGAGATAATCAGAGGCGGGTCATGTTCTGTTCAGACTTAAATAACTAGCTCAGCTCCCATCAAATGGCCCAGACGACTGCTCCCCTCTCACAACTCAGCCTTGTGTGAGCCTCAGAATGTTTCATATTCCAGGACATTTTATACTGTCTTGCATGGATTTATTTCTCAAAAAGATGCTGACTTGAACCAAAAAAAGAAAACTATTTTTCTGCCTCCCCTTTTGATTTTATTTTGGGTGTAAACTCAGTGGGCAGAACCCTCTGGCACAGGGCCTACTGTTTCTCTCTCCACAGACAGGAGCAGGGGATAAGGTCCACTGGCCCGACAGCTCCCCCCGCCACCTTCCCTTCCTTCCCCAGTCCTGGGTTCACAGTCCTTGCTGGCTTGGGAGGTGGTACCTATATTGAATTCTTCATTCTCTGTGACGACTTCGGCGTTGGGGAGGATGGTGGGAGGAGGGCATTTGGTGAGTGGATAAGCTGAAAAGATAAAAGCAGGCAAGTCAGGGTAAGATCATCATTCTCCAGGTACACCGTCATTCATTTGTTCAATTCTTCACTTTCTCATCCCTCATTTATTCACACACAGATATTCATGAGTACTTATCTGTAAACAGGGCAAGTTTAGCCAAGTCCTTTTTGCTTATCTTCTGTCATCCTTATTGAAATTAATAATAACAAAAGAGGGGCAATCTAAGGAGTCAGTGACACCATCACCAGCACTGAAGGGTGGGAGAGGAGCGTTTTCTGAGTGCCTCGTGGATATTAGGCGTTTTATAGGCTGCCACTCTAACCCTCACAACATCTGACCATGCTGTGAGGTGCTCTTACTCTACTCGTGAGCAAGTGAGATTCAGAAAGGTGAAGTAAGTTCCTCAAGGTCACACAGGAATTAGGTGGCACAGGTAGGATTTGAATGCAGGTCTGGCTGTTCCCAAACCCTGTATTCTTCCCACCACTGAGCATCTACATGCTGCATGTGGCTTTTGCGAGTACCTACTGAAGTCAGCTGACAAGCTGACCCTTCTGATCTTTGACCAGATACTTCTGGATTCACAAATTTTCTAGGCTGGAATTCATCCCTATGGGCAGAGACTGGATGATGCTAGAGGCAGGATGCTATTTACTGAGGCTAAGTTCAGTGTGGGCTCATAACCTGGCTTTTATTACTAACACAGAGTCAAGTGCTATACAAGTGTTAGCTGCTCCTGCTGCCACTGCTGCTGTTATCGTTACTATTTCCAATCACCCCAATCCTTGCTATATTAAAAAAGTGTTCTTTAATAAATACAAATATAGTACATTATCATTAAAGAAAATTTGAGGTATTCTATGGAACAGTAGGAAGAAATCAAACTTATCCATTGCCCTCTCAGAGATAACGACTGTTAACCAATTACAGTACGTTCCTGGAGTGTTTATTCTCTGCAAATATAAATATTTTTGTTTTATACAACTTGCATTATATGTTATATAGCTTGTGTTGATCCTTGCACACTTATTATTATATTGCAAGAATTTCCCATATAATTACATTTCTTAGAAAATATGATTGAAATAACTTCATAGGATTTAATCATACAGATTTACTAGAATGTATTTAACAGATACTCTGTTAACCATTTAGGTTTCCAAAGTTTTGCAATTTAAAATAAAGCTGCAATGAAATCTTTTTTTATATATGCATCTTTTACGTTTTTTTCTTTTTCTTTTTTAACTAGGAAGATTCAAGTACATGACCCTTTTGAAAGTACAGATATCTCCTGCTGAATGTCAGTAATCCTTTCCTGGAAATCAAATGTTCTGTGTAAAGATATTAACTAGGAGCCTATATCCCATTATTTTAAGTGGGAAAAAATTATACTGTGTTGTACTTCAACCCAAAATCCAAAAAGTAATTAAGACAAAATAAAATACCTAAATATATGCAACAAACCATTATGTTAGAGAAGTTAAATACTTAAAACATCACGATCACCCAACAACATGGTGTGACAAAACAGCGCCTCTGTGCATTGCATACTGTACCATCCACATCCAGTGCGCCATGAAATCTTGCAGCTTGAGACATTATAAAACTCTAGGCAGAAAGAAGGTCTAGCTATGAAAGACTCAGTGGGAATGCATTCAGGACTGGCACTAGGTGGTAGAGTACAGTTTACAATGAACAGCATGGAGTGACACCTCAGAGCCAGCAGCCTCTGAGACACACATCCCCGCCATGGAATTGGAGCCCCTTTCCAAAAGTCCGCATGGGATTCTGACATTTTACCAACTGTAGTTGGAATGCAGCTTGAGACTTTCCCTGCATATAGATTTATTGAAAATGGTGTACTATGTTTTGGGGGATCTAACTGTAAATGTTTTCTATAGACGCACTCGCTGAAATGTATCGTACTGAGAGATACGTAAGCTCTATGAAATGTGGGTGTTAAAACTAAGAGGCACTCTTGAGGTAACCAAGTGGGTTTACCTTTGATTTAACATAAGCCTGGGAAGGCCACGTCCACACTTGCTGCATGCTTCCACTTTGCCCTCCAGGAAAATGGTTCCCATTGATACTGTCAACAGAGTGACTGTTCCTCCAGCACTGGGTGCCATCATTCTTCTTTCACCCAGTTCATGTAATGATTGTCTATGGAGGGCTCACCCTGGGTCAGGCACTGTGTCAGGTGATGAGGTTACAAGAACAACCAAAACAAATACATCCCTTGCCCTCACAGAACTTAGGCCCCACTGGGAGAGATAGTCGTCTGTTTTAATCTTTGTTAACTTGCTAAACAAAAAAGCAGCATTTATTTTATTTTAATTGGCATTTGATAACTAATTAGGCTAAGCATTTTTCACGTTAATGGCCTATTTGCATTTCTCTTTTTAACTGTCTATTAAAAGAGTTGTGATGAACCAATATGTTAGAAGTTTAAATACTTAAAACATCACTTCATGATCACCCAACAATATGGCGTGACAAAACAGTGCCTCTGTGCATTGCATACTGTACCATCCACATCCAGTGCACGGTGAAACCCCGCAGCTTGACACATTATAAAACTCTAGGCAGAAAGAAGGTCTAGCTATGAAAGACTTTCTTTGCCCCTATTTTTCTTATAAATTTGAAGAACTCTGAATATTCAAGGTTGACCTTAGCCGTTAATTATATTTTCCCAGTTTATCATTTGCTTAGTTTTATTTATGGCACTTTTGATTTGTAGAAGTATTAAGTTTTTATGTAGCCAATTATAATTTTTCTTAATAAGTTAAAAAAATTGGTGCCTTCCATTCTCAGTGTCATACTTATCTTCAAAACTTCTAAGGCATACTAAACTTTTCCAGGAAAAAAAAATGAATAAAAACAAATCCCCACTTAAATACAGCCTGGGTACTTTATATTTTGTGATTACTGTTTTGATTGGGGTGATTTTCCATTACATTTTAAAACTAGGTTTTTTTTTTTTCAGGGTCTTGCTCTGTCACCCAGACTGGAGTACAGTGGCACAATCATGGTTCACTGCAGCCTTGACCTCCTGGGCTTAAGCTATCCTCTCACCTCTGCCTCCCAAGTAGCTGGGACTACAGACTCATGCCACCACACCTGGCTAATTAAAATTTTTTTTTTTTTTTTTTTTTTTTGTAGAGATCGGGTTTCAAGATATTGCTCAGGCTGGTCTCAAACTCCTGGGCTCAAGTGATCCTCCCACCTTGACCTCCCAAAGTGCTGGGATTACAGGTGTGAGTCACTGTGCCTGGCCATAAAATTACAAATTTCTGTTTAATGCGGGAAGCTCATGGGATACTAAAAAGCAACAAAACAAAAATTTCCCAAATCTCACCATCTAGGCATAAGCATTGTGAAGATTTTGCTGTAGGATCTTGGGTCTTTTACAGACACGCCCTCCCTATTTCCCATCACACACACACACACACACACACACACACACACACACACATATACTCTTACCACATTGATGGTATCCCACTGTATCCACCATGTTATTGCTACAGAACTCTAGGGCAGGGGACATTCAAGGCAGACTCTTCCATTTCATTTTGTGAATACCCTTCTTCTTCCCCTGAGGGGAAGAGGGTGAGGTGTTGAGAGAGCATAGCCAGATTCTGGTGTGTGTGAACATGTTAACTCGTGAACGGTGGGGGCAATTGCTTTATTAATGTTAAGCAGCAGTTGGCTCAGCAGCAGCCATTGTGAGCAATGGTCCCTGTCGTCTTCCTGGGAATGTTATTCCTCAAGCTGCTGGGTGTGCTGAATTGGCCTTTCATTTGAAGCTTTTATTTATCTTTTTTTTTTTTTTTTTTTTTTTTGAGATGGAGTTTTGCTCTTGTTGCCCAGGCTGGATCACAATGGTGCGATCTCGGCTCATGGCAACCTCCACCTCCTGGTTTCAAGTGATTCTCCTGCCTCACCCTCCCGAGTAGCTGGGATTACAGGCATGCGCCACCACGTCTGGCTAATTTTGTATTTTTAATAGAGACGGGGTTTCTCCATGTTGGTCAGGCTGGTCTAGAACTGCCAACCTCAGGTGATCCGCCCACCTTGGCCTCCCAAAGTGCTGGGATTATAGGCGTGAGCCACCATGCTCGGCCTCATTTGCAGCCTTTAAAACCAAATTAGCTTAGAAAAAAATGTGAGCTCACATGGTTCATTTGAGCTTACCAAAGGACTCAGGCTCTGCTTTTGAATCTGGGGTCCATGCCCAGCTAATATTGAAATGCCTTCCTTTGCCTTTGTTTCTTGTCTGTATCTCTTTTTCAGAACATCACAAGGAGTGGTGAGTGTGGTCTAGGGTGGGAGTCCATAATCACTGCATTTTCTTGTGATACCATCACCTGAGTTTTTAAAATCACCTGCTTTTTTTGCACTGAACAATATAAAATAAACATTTTCCTAAATCAGTGAATTGTATTCTACATGAGTGATTCTTTTTATTTTCTTTTTAGAGACAGGTTCTCATTCTGTCACCCAGGCTGGAGTGCAGTACCACAATCATAGCTCTCACTGTAACCTCAAACTCTTGGGCTCAACTGATCCTCCCACATTAACCTTCTGAGTATCTGGGACTACAGGCATGCACCACCACACCCAGCTAATTTTTTTTTTTTTTTGGTAGAGGCAGAGTCTCACTATGTTGCCCAGGTTCATACATGAATGATTTGTAATGACTGTATCTTTCCCTATCTCTCTCTCTCTGAGTATACACTTTAAATTTATAATACCTAATCTCTTACTATTTTTACATTTAGATTATTTCTAATTTCCCTGTTATAACATATCAAGCAATATCTTCATGCACATATCTTTGCATAATTCCCAGAAGTAGGATTGCTGGGTCCTAGGTTGTTGTATTCCTTGGGAACCTTTGGATGTAAATAAATCAATTCAGGCTAGAATAAGCAAAAAAGCCTCTCAGAGAAGAGAGAACCCAAGGGTGGGTTTGCAGCCAGACTTCACAAAGGTAGAGGACGAGGAACTGAAGGGCCATCAGAAACCAAGGAAATTTTTCCACTTCTCAATCATTCTCTTTCTGCACATAGGATTGTTCTACTTTTTGGTCCACATGGAAAGTAGAAGAGCAGCAATCCATTGCACTTGGATTTTTATCTTTTCAGGAGATGGGTCCAGGCAAAAGTAGAATCTCTTGGGTCCTATTTCAACTTCCCAAGAGAGAACATCTGATTGCCCCTGCTGCAGTCAGCTCAGGTGTCCACCTCTGGTCCAAGCTTCTGTGGCTGGGGGGCAGATGTGTGCGTGGAGGGGTGTCACAATGTACAAACAGCTGCCAAGTGCCCTGAGGAGCAGTTAAAGAGAACATTATGAGTGGCACAGGCACCACAAAGTGATTGGAATGTGTAGCTAATCATATTGTGTTAAGGTTTTGGATCTGCAATTCTCAAACTACCTATCACTAAGTGGGCATCTTTCTGCAACCTTCCTAATTGGATAATCACTTTAAAAATTATCATGACGGCCGGGCGCGGTGGCTCACACCTATAATCCCAGCAGTTTTGGAGGCCGAGGTGGGCGGATCACAAGGTCAGGATATCGAGACCATCCTGGCTAACACGGTGAAACCCCGTCTCTACTGAATGTACAAAAAATTAGCTGGGCGAGGTGGTGGGTGCCTGTAGTCCCAGCTACTCGGGAGGCTGAGGCAGGAGAATGGTGCCAACCTGGGAGGCGGAGCTTGCAGTGAACCAAGATCACGCCACTGCACTCCAGCCTGGGCAACAGAGCAAGACTCTGTCTCAAAAAAAAAAAAAAAATTATCATGACATATGTGTACACTCATGATCTTAGCAGCATTATTCACAAAAGCTAAAAGGTAGAAGCCACACAAATGTCCATAGAGGGATGAACAGATAAACAAAATGTGGTCTGTACTAACGTTATTAATAAATATATACCACATGTGTGGAATGTTATTCAGCCTTAAAAAGGAAGGAAACTCTGACACATGCTATAACATGGAACCTTGAAGACATTATGAATTCTGCATTTTTCTTTGATTGTTACTGTTGTTGTTTATGTTTGCCCAATATAATCTCTGGCCACCCTTTTATCTTTAAACTGTGTCACATTGTCTTAGTTATGTTCCTGGTATAGAAAATATAGTTGAATGTTATTTAGGTTAATCTAAATATATTAGTCCATTTTCATGCTGCTGATAAAAACAAACCTGAGACTGGGCAATTTACAAAAGAAAGAGGTTTATTGGACTTACAATTCCACGTGGCTGGGGAGGCCTCATAATCATGGTGGAAGTTGAAAGGCATGTCTCACATGGTGGCAGACAAGACAAGACAGAGCTTGTGCAGGGAAACTCCCATTTTTTAAAACCATCAGATCTTGTGAGACTTACTGACTATCATGAGACTAGCACAGGAAAGACCCACCCCCATAATTCAGGTTCTTCCCACAACATGGGAATTGTGGGAGTTACAATTCAAGATGAGATTTGGGTGGAGATACAGCCAAACCAGATCATTAAGAGTCTTTGTTTTTTAACAGGAAATTGAATTTTAGTAAATTTGCATTTTTCATTACAATTGAATGATTTTATTCTACTGCTGTATCTTATTTTGTGCTTGCTGTATCTTTGTCCCTACATAGTTTCCTTTGTTCTCTGCCTTTTATATTTGGATTATGTTTTACATGTTTTTTCTTTTAGTGATTTAGAAGTACTATACTTTATTTTAAATATATTAGTGACTAAAGTATATGTTCAAAATCCTTATTTCTCTAGTGATCAAAGTCAACAATTGGATAATATATATTGATTCCACCGTCACAAAAGATAAGGACATTCTCTTATCCCTTTTCCACCTTCTTGCACATTTATTAATATAAAATAATTATTTGTAGTCTTTTAAGAATTATTGTATTTGCACTGCTTTGAATCCATATGTTCCATTATTATTTAGCTTTAAGTCTGTGCTTAACTAGTATCAACACTCCATTTTTATCTTTTCTTTCATACATCTTCTCTATTTTGAGTTACTGGTTCATCTGGAGTTCATCCGGAGTTACAGCCACCTGGAGTTACAGCCCCGCTTGAGATAGAGTGGCAATAATTGTAAATTCTTGAATCCCTGCAAATAACAATTTCTTGCATTCACACATGAAGCCCCTAACTTTTTCTCCTCCTTAAACATCACCTCCTTCATTTTCTGTAATCTAACGTCAAAAATTAGCCTGAGAATTGTCTGATTTTGGTTCATTTAAGGTAACTTTCTCAGCCTGGATTCTTGTAGATTTCCCCTACTCCTCACCCTTACAAGTTGAAAAAATTGCCAGCCTCTTTTTTATTTCTCTTGGTATCCAGAGAGCTCCTTTATATACACAGGTTTTCTTTCATCTCAGAAAAGTTTTATCATTTCCATTTGGTTCCTTTCTTCCTGAATGCTTGTTATCAGTGTCTTGGCTCTTTGTCCACTGGGTCTCCTTATTTCTTATCTTCTATCTTCTCTCTACCATTTTCACGCCTCTGCCCTTCTCCCTATTTGGGTTGAGATTTTCAGGTTTGTCCTCCTCATCTTTGCATTGTTTTTCTACAGTGTTGCTTCTGCTCTCGCTGATTCTTGTGATGATGAAAATTACGCTATTTTGTTTCTTTTCAGTCTTGCTATTTTTTAGTATCTAGCTTCCCTTGGAAATAAAAGTTTTAATTTGGAGCAGCCACAAAGGTATAGGAGAAGTTGGAAGTATAGTACAAAAATCTTTTTCCATGAACCGTTTGCAAGTAAGTCGCCAACATGTTGCCCTGTAACCCCAGAATATCTTAGTGTATTTCCTACAAACTAGCACATTCTCTCACATAACCACAAAACAACCATCAACATTGGGAAATTAACACTGACACATTACTGCCATCGAATCTTCACATCTCATTCAAGTTTCACCTGTTTTTCCGATAAATTCCTTGATAATTTATTGATCCAGTTCAGAATCACATGTTGCATTTCATTGTCATGTCTCTTTGGTCTCCTTTAGTCTGGAATGGTTCCAGTGTCTTTACTTGACCTTCAGAACTTTTATATTTTTGAAGACTGCCTGCCAGGGAGTTGACAGTCCGTCCCTCAAGTTAGGTTTGCCTGGTGTTTCCTCCTGATTATGTTCAGCTTGTCTTCTGCAACTGGATAATCATGGAAGTGATGCTGGCTTCTTCTCACTGCATCCTCTCACCTGGAGTATGATTTCAATTTGTCCCATTATTGATGAGGTGGGCGTGTCTTCCAGTCTTCTCCACTTCTTTTTCCCTTTGTTATTATTGTGTGTGGAGTGGGGTGGGGGAAGGGGTAGTTTGAAGTTATGTAAATATCCCCTTCCTTATAAAAACTTGTAATTATTTAATGTCTGCGTGGATATACATAGTGTTCTGTTTGATTCAATAGGTCACCACCATTTGTTACTATTTTAAACAACTTTGATTCTCAAATTATCCCCAATATGGTCAATGAGAACCCCTCCAAGCCAGATTCTATGTCCCTTTGACATGTCTCCATCATGCCTTGGGCATTTCCTTAGTTTCTGCCATAAGATATTCCTGGCTTGTCTTCTACTTTCTCTGCCCCAGGCTTGGGATTAGCCATTTCTTCAAGGAGCCCTGGTCCATTTTAGTGGAAAATGTTATTTAGGAACCAATATCTGGTGCTAGATGTGCTCATTACTATTGAAGAATCACTGCTCTGAAGCCTTCTCAGTAGAAAGAGCTAAGAAATGTATGTGCAAACACACATGTACTCAAACATGCCCCACTCACACACTATTTTCTTCCATATCTCTACATATTGAAAACCATAAGCTCACACTGATACATCCAATTCAAATTTAACACCATTGGGTATATTATAATTTTTGCTCTATCCATAGTTCTAACCCTCTTCTCTGACAGTGAGACACCTGCCTTCTATTGTCCTTGACGTATTAACGTATTCGATCAGTCACCCATCTGGAACCAAGGTTTCATTTCTGCTGACCCCTCCCTCCTCACCCTACTTGGGCTCTGACTTCCTTTCCTGGGCTGAACCTTCTCTGTGTGGCTGTCCGCCTTCCTCTGCTTGGGCTCCAATACCCTACATGGGTGTCTGCTCATCCTGCGCAGAGCTCTGACACCCTGTGCCAGCTCCATCCCTGTACAGATACCTAAGCTCCAGCTGCCCATGCCAGGCAGCCCATCAGTGTGGCTCCCCCTGACACCCCGGCCTGGGCTACAATGGTTCACACTCCCTCTTGCCTGACAGGTATGGATGCTGTATTAGTCTGTTCTCACACTGCTAATAAAAACATACCTGAGATTGGGTATTTTATAAAGGAAAGAGGTTTAGTTGACTCACAGTTCAGCATGGCTGGGGAGGCCTTAGGAAATTTACAATCATGGGAGAAGGGGAAGCAAACACGTCTTTCTTCACATGGCAGCAAGAAGGAGAAGAATGAGAGCCCAGTGAAGAGGGAAGCCCCTTATAAAACCACCAGATCTCGTGAGAACTAACTCACTATCATGAGAACAGGATGGAGGAAACTGGCCCCCATGATTCAATTATCTCCACCTGGTCCCTCCCATGACATATGGGGATTATGGGAACTACAATTCAAGATGAGATTTGGGTGGGGACACAGCCAAACCATATCAGATGTCTTTGCTTTGTCCCATCTCACAGCTTTAGGACTGAATTATTCAAGTGGGGAAGGGAAGAGATTTAGCTTTCGTTTTATTTATCTCTTGGCCAGATCTTTCTTTTCATTTGTGTGCTGTCTGAACATTTCACCTGTTATTTGGAGTCCATGTTATCTAGACTTATATTAGAAGAAGATGCTTCCCAAAATTTATTTCTATTACTTCTAGTTCCTAAACCATGTTTTTTTTTCAAGGGCATTTTTCTCTGTAATTCAAACTTCATGTTCTAACTTTTAATGTTATAAAATCTTTCACAGGTCTCCTTAAGGTATTTTTCCTTTTTCTTATTGATCCTCATATGAAAAGAAAGTTCCTTAGGGCTGCTTGCCTGGAGAAAGGCAAAAATTCTTTCCCCCACTCCCTTCCACTGTCCACTTTTTGCAAGTCTAGCTCCTTTTTTTTTCTTTAGTTCTTATCTTGAATATCCTCTCTTAGGTTTTCCACAATTACTTTGCATGGAATTCTACAACTTTTTGTTTGCTATCTTATCCTTTTATGTCTTTCGAAGCATTTGTTACAATTTGCAAAAATTTTGTCCTCTTGGTTACTCATTATCTCTTTCTCCTTGGAGCAGGAAAGCTGTCTGGGGAGCAGACATTTCACAGAGCAGGAAGCATGAACACTCAGTAACACAGGAAAGGATGCTCTGCCTCATCACAAGCATACAAGTGAAATGCCATCTCATGCACCTACCAGACTGGTAGAAATGTAAAGTCTGCTAAAACCCAGTGTTTGCAAGGATGTACAGCAAAAGGAACTCTACTTCAGTTGCTGGGAAGAGTGTAAATGGTTATAACTGCTTCTAAGATAAATTGAGCATTACCTAGTGAAACTAAATATGTGGATATTTACAACCTCACAACTCCACACAGACATGTACTCAAGAGAAACCCTTGTACATGTTCACAATAAGGAATAAGCAACAATGTTCTTATTGCTTGAAATGAAACAACTTAAGTGTTAACAGTAGACTAAATAAATTGCTATATTTTCATGCAATGAAATCATACAGCATTGAAAAATGAGTTAAGTGCAGTCACGTGCATCAACATGAATTTCAAAAACTTAATTTTGAGTGAGAAGAGCAGGTCACAGAAGAACATTTATAGAATGATTGTCTTTACATAACAGAAATAACATGCAAAATTAAACAACATATTTTTGGAGACTCACATATGGAGTAAAATAAAAAGAAAAGCAATGAATATTAACCAAAAGTACAGGATCATGGTTAACTCTCAGGGTAGGGTAGGGGAATGTGCTGAGGAAGGAACAGAGCTTCAAAGGCTTAGGTGTTCTTTTTCTTAGGCTCAATGATGGTGTTCATTTTATTACTCTTTAAACTGCACATACATGTTACATACATTTTTATATGTAGGATATATTCCACAACTTACCAAAAGTTCTATGAGGCATGGAATGTGCCTCTCTTGCTCACTCATCCCCTAGTCCAGTGCCTCTCCCACTTGAGCCTGCCGATCTGGGCACAGCAGTTCCTCCTCTCTTGCCCCAGACCCTTGCCTGCTCCTGTGGTCAGTGAAGCCTTGGGCTCTGGTCTGAGCTGGGACTGAATGGCTGTCTTAATCCATTCAGGCTGCTGTAACAAATTACCATAGACTGGGTGACTTCTAAACAACAGAAATTTATTTATCACAGTTCTAGAGGCTGGGAAGTCCAAGTTCAAGGGACTGGCAATTTTGATGTCTGGTATGGGCCTTCTTACTGGTTCATGGACAGCTGTCTTTATGCTGTGTCCTCATGTGGTAAAAGCAGCAAATGAGTTTCCTGTGTTTTTTTTTTTTTTTTTTTTTTTGAGATGGAGTTTCACACTTGTTGCCCAGGCTGGAGTGCAATGGCGTGATCTTGGCTCACTGCAACCTCCGCCTCCCAGGTTCAACCGATTCTTCTGCCTCAGCCTCCTGAGTAGCTGGGATTACAGGCATGCGCCACCACGCCCATCTAATTTTGTATTTTTAGTAGAGACAGGGTTTCTCCATGTTGGTCAGGCTGGTCTTGAACTCCTCACCTCAGGCGATCCGCCCACCTCGGCCTCTGTGTTTCCTGTGCTTCTTAGCTCTTTCCACTGAGAAGGCTTCAGTGTGGTGATTCTGTGGGTCTCTTTTATAAAGGCACTAATCCCATTCATGAGGGCTCTGTTGTCTGACCTAATTGCCTCCCAAGGCCCCACCTCCTAATACCATCACCTTGGGGGTTAGGATGTCAGCATATGAATTCTAGGGGGGCCTAAGCATTTACACCATAGCAAGGGCCTTGTGTCTCATCTGAGAGGCAGAAGGAGCATTGTGCCCTTAGGCAAGCACTCTCAATGAAAGACCTTGCTGAGAAGAACTTGGAAATAAGGATGGCCTGGGGCTGTGCTGAGCCTCCTTTGCCTGGTTCTGGTACAGGTGAAGGCTCAGGAACAGGAACAAGAGACCTGGCCTACCACCAAGGTAACTTTACACCAAGCCTGTCAATATCTAGATATAATAAAAATAATCATGACAATGATGACTATTAGAACTATAATTTATTGATCACCTTTTATACTCTGTGCCTGGAGCTAAGGATTTCCAAGCATTGTTTCATTTAACTTTAGGAGGTTAGGTACTTATATGATTCCTATTTTGTGCATAATAACATTGAGGCTCAGAAGGGTGAAATGACAGACAAAGTTACATAGCTTGCATGTGTCAGAGCCAAGGTTTGAACCCGTCTGTGACTCTGAAGTCCATACTCTTATCACTCTATGGGAAAGTCACAAGTCAAAATGACAGAGCCTTAAAGCCTGGATTTCATTAGTGGAGCGACAGGTGTGCCCAATGAGAGGGGCATGGGAACTGAGCAGATGGAGAGGGCGGAGTCTCATTCCCACATTGCACTCACCCTGGACGATAGCTCCTGGGAATGGCAGTCACAGCTGCTTAGGTTCTTTACATCCTTGTTTCTCTCTGTTGCTTCCTGTTTCTTTCACTACCTCTTTCACAGTCTTAGTGTGTTTCTGCAAGTGCACGCATGATGTAATAACACTGTATAGTCACACCAGAGCAGATACTGTAGCAGATACTGCAGCAGATACTGCGGAGGCTGGGTTCTGTTTCCAGTTCTATCCACATGGTTTTGGGCAAGTACTTGAGCCTTCCTTTGCCCTATTTCTTCATTTGTAAAGTGGGGGTTAGAATATTTGCCTTACTACCTCACAGAATTCTTACAGGTCACAAACTCCAAGCCGGTAATTCTACAGGTGAAGAAACTGAAGTCTCAAGTGGGGAAGGGACCTGTGCAAGGTTTTACACAGCTGGCCCAAGGTGGAGCTGGGAGTAAAATCCAGCTTTCCTGATTTCTGGTTAAAATATCTGCAGTGATCTGTAAATTGCAAATATGTGCATCATTCCATAGATAGGCACAAGTCCACAGAGAACATTCTATAAGTTTCTCTAGGCAATTCCACTATAATAAAAATGAGGAAATATCCAGATCCCTAACTTGGGACTTGTAGAAGAAAACAGGCTGCCAATAAAGGCATACCTACTCTGAATTGTTCATACTCTTCCTACTCAAAATCACAATATCTTCATTTGTGCACAAAAACACAGTGCTCCTTGAGAGGTCAGCAGAAGCCCTAGATCCCTTTGGAGAAGGAGAACCCGCTAGAAAGTGCTAAGGGATAAGCTGGGGCACAGGTATAGGGATGATCCAGCCAGTGAGTTGATGTGAATGAGTGGACTTGGCACCAAGGTTTGGGCTTCTGTGCCTCTCTGCCCTGGCAGTGTGGAATAGGAGGAAAACTTGCATTTACAGAACCCTGCACTGAGAGCTCTCACATAGGCTAATACATTTAATTCTCATAACTCTGAAGACACTGAGGCTCCAAGAGGTTATACAACTCACTCAAGGTCACATGATCCGCAAATGGTGGAGACGGGAGTCAAGCTCAGCCTTGACTTGAAAGCCTGGCCCTTCCCACCAGGCCAGGCTTCCATACTGACCGGAGAAAGCTATGGCGAAGATCCCCCCTGTGGCTGCATCACGGTGGAACTTGAGCAGGACCTGGTTGGATGAACTCTGCACTGTTTTCTTGGCCATGCTCCGGGTGAAGACGCCGAGCCGTGGTGCTGTTTGCTGTGGCCCATCCCTGTACACAGGAAACAAGGTCCTGGCATGTCACTAGTCACCATGGCTGCCTGCTCCACTTGGTGCCATCAGTGGCCTTAAGACAGACCTGGAGTGGGAGGCTATGATTCTTTTTGTACCAACACTTCCCCACACCATGCCCTAAATACCTCTCCCAACCGTTCCCAACTTGGTCTCCCAACATAGTTGATAGAATTGGTGAAGCTCACACTGATTCCTCATCCACCTGATTCTTCACCAGCCCAATGGGCTCCTGGGCAAATTTAGGCTCCATGGAGCAGGGGTGTGGGTCTTACCACAGGTCCTCTCAGTCTGGGGCAGCACTAGGACAGGGCTGAGGAGCTGGTGTGAAAACCTGCTGCTATGCATATCGGCTCCATGCTCCATTGCCTTGTCTTCCAAGCAAAGAGTATACCCACAATGCCTTTTGGGACAAAAGATTTCTTCCCTGAAACCTTATCTAACCCCTCCTGTCTGTTCCTAGCCATTGCTTGGAAATCATGCTGGAAATTAACCCAGGGCAGTCTGGTTACAGTTATCCAAGCCCTGGGAATTTTGGAAGAGAATTCCCCTAACCCCGATGATTCTCAGAATGGCAGTAACCACCAAACAAAGGAATTTTAAAATTATTTGCTCTTCCAAAGATCCAGTGGTTTGGGAAGAAACTGTCCAGGAAACTGCACATATCAAATGCTAATTTGTATTCCCAATGTAAAATTAACTCTTGTTGTATATAACTACATAACTCAGAGCTGAGCTGTCCAATTCAGCCACTGCCAGCCACACATGGCTATTTACATTTAAATTATCAAGATTAAATAACATTTAAAAATCAGACCCTCAGTCATATCCAAGTACTCTGTAGCCAGTGGCTACCATATTGGGCAGCATAGACATAGAACAGTTCCATCACTGCAGAAAGTTCTGCTGGAAAGTGCTGGCTCAGCACCAGATGACCAACGGGACATCACAAAATTCCACCTCAAATCTCTTCCATTAGTCTGGGTGGCTTAGCCCAGGTACATGTAGAATGTTGGTTTGAACTCTGGAAATACCGAGGAAAGTCTGTGTACCCACACCTACTCCCATTAACACACCCACTGGTACTTTCCCTGGCCCTGGCAGGGTTGCAGGCTGGGAGCCACTGCCCTCCCATTCCTCTCCCTTTAAGGAGCCATAATGGCCAGTTGGAGCTGAGCCCCATTCCACTATGTTTATTTGAAACCCAGGAGGCTGACAGCCTTTAAAAACCATTCACCTCTTGGTTTTTCTAAACCAATAGGTAACTGACTGGTAACCCAGTGTAGAACCCCAGTAATGCTCCTTTCTAATTGGCTGTTGACATGGCACCTGGCCTACCAGATGGTGATGAAATCTCCAGAGGGCTCTGTCTGCAGCAGGCTGAGGTTGAGGCGGACGCCATGGCCAATGGGCACGGTGATCAGCCAGACACAGTCCTGGGAGCTGGAGTACGGGCTAGGGAACCCCGGGGAGTACACAGTGCCGTTGGAAGAAGTGATGTTCCCGCCACAAGGGACTGCCAGGGAGGGAACACAAACGTAAGTGCAGGGCCTCGGTACCCACCTGAGAATTCAGATGCCTTCCTGAGGAAATCCCAGCTCCCAGAACTAATCATCCTGTCAGGGAGGTTGGGTGGGATGCGGAAGGGGAGGCCAAGCTGAGGATGGCTGCACCTGGTTCTACCCACCAGTCCCCACACAGAACACCCTGGCTGGCTCTCAATCATCACTGCAGGCCCCTCTGTGGGTCTGCCTCAGCCTCCCTCTTTCTCTTTCTTATGAAGAGAACTGCCAAGAAGAAAGGATGCCCTGAAGCTGTCCCCTCTCCCTTCCCAGGAATGGGAGGGAGCAGACGTTAGGGTCAGAGCTGCAGTGCTTTTGCTGGGAAGAGCTAAGAAATTAGGAAAGTCTTTCTTTCTTCCTCTTTGATCTGCTCTTTCTAGAGTGGTACTTGTGGTCTAGACTTCGAGTTGAGGGTTCCTGGGGTGAGGCTAAGGTTGGGTTCAAATCATAGCTGAACGATGTATTGAGCAGATAGTCTTAGATAAGTAGTTTAGCCTCCCTGAGTCTCCATTTCCTCACCTGTAAAATGGAACTAAGAATACCTCCCCCATAGGATTGTGGTGGTGATGAGGTGAAACGATGCAGGCAAAATGTTCAGCCCAGGCCCTGGAAGAGGACGCATTTGCTATGTAGATAAGATCCTCTCTCCTTATCTTCCTGTTCCCCAAAAGCAATACTCAATTTTAGTCTCACTGATTTAGGCCTCAGGCAGGAGGATGAAAAGACTTTGACATCTTCATGGTATTCAGAATCAGTCACCATGGAGGAAAATAGATGGGGATGGTGGACAAAAATCCCCAAACACCATGGTCCAGAATAATGAGTGTTGTAGCTGACATGGGGCATCAAGCAGACATCTGGTTGGGGCAGACCAGACTGAGGAGAGAGAATCCCAACAGATTCCAAGCAGAGGCCAGGGGTCCTGTGAATGCACGTACATCCTGAAAGTGGTGCACAGGTACACGCCATCCCTGCTACATAAGCTGAATATCTCCTGGGTGCCAGCCATGGCCTGGGAGACAGTGGGGAACAAGGTACTCTAGTTCTGTCCCAGGCACACACACCACTGGGACACAGCCAAACACACCAGCATCTGTAGCACAGGCTGGACCATGTCATCATCATGAATGCCACGGGGGTGTTTGGGGGAGCCCTGCATCTGGTTTTGTGAGAGTAAGAAAGGACTCCTTCTAGAATTCATATTTATACTCAGACCTAAGGGATGACTAGGGTTAAGTAGGCAAGGTAAGAGAGAGGAATGCTGTATGGGAAAGGAACAACATATGCTAAGACCCAGAGGCAAGAAAACATGGCACATTGGAAAACAAAGTATTTCAGCTTAGGCTGGAACATAAAATCTGCAAGACTGGAGAATATGGGAGGTCAGCAGGGACTAGGCCCTAACCTAAGGGTCATGTGTGCTATATTAAGGGGCTTAAAATTTGCCATTAGGGACATGGGAGAAAGCAAGAGAGTATGGTGTCAGAGAAGCCAAGGGAAGAAGGCTTCTGAGGAGGAAGAACAGCTTCTGGCTCAAGCTAGCAGACTGAGAAAGCGCTGCTCTTTTCTCTCTCCTGTGATGCCACAAAAAGACAAACAAGGTGTGAGAATGGAAGAAAGCCCAGGATGAGGCTTGTTGCACAGCACGTGATGGGCCAACAATTGCGGAATGACCAACTGGTTACGCAGAGCAGAGCTCTGAAAATCTGAAAAACTAACTGAGGCTATAATAGTTTTAGAAATCATGGTTTTACATTCCAACACCAGAACGGCTCAGTTTCGCAAACAAGGTCCTCTTTCCATCGAGAGTTAAACTGAGAGTTTGAGTCTGAGAGTGAGCCATCTGTGAAGTCCTCCAGCTCTTGTGAAATAAAGATGAGAAGTCCCACTTTACTGAGGAAGAACCTGAAGCTTAGAGAGGCAAAGGGGTTTGAGTTGGAGCCTGGGGTGATCTGATCCTAGAGCTGGGGCACTCTTTCCTGGATTACTGCCCTTGCTAAGGCTTCCTTTTTCAAGACAAATTTCTGCCACTCCTCCAGGAAAATGATGGGATGCCAGAATGAAGAGGGAAGGCAAATGGAACTGAAGTGTGCAGATGAGGGTGGAGGCAGCACAAGCTCTTGGTCACCTTCCTTCCTGGTTCTGGGTAAGGAAGAAGACCCAAGAAAGTGCCACCTCCAGCTCCCTGATAGATCAACTCAGGTCTCTCCAGCCCTGTGTAGAAGGAGAGTATAATGGAGCAGGGAGGGGGAAGATGAAGAGGGGAGCAAGAGAGTTCTTATAAAGAGGCTTCATGCTCTTCTCCCTTTGGGCAGGTGCCTGGATTAACTCTACCTCTCTAGCTCTCAGCATACCACTGGGCTCCCACTCCCTCACATGGAGCCTTCCCTTCCAATGGGAGTCCTCCAGTCTGTCAGGGTGGATCTTCCCAAGGGCTGGGTGTGTCTTCCTCTTGGCTGTGGCCCACATCTCCTCCAGGTCCTCCCTAGTGCTGGCCCGGAGCCCTGTCACCAGGACCCTCTCCCTGGAGAGGCTGGGCCACACCATGTGAAAACAGGATGGACCACAGTTTGCCTGGACCTCCAGCCCTGGAGATCCCACAGAGCAGGTAGGTGGAACATGGGATTGCTCTGGACCAGTCTCCACGAGTACCCCAGGAAGAACTGCTGGGGATGAGGGAGCGACATACCTTCACACTTGGGCAGGGGGTGGTCCCAGTTCCGGTTGGTGCCATGTTGACACGTGAGGACAGGGTGGCCAGTCAATTGATACCCCGGGAGGCACTCGAAGGTCACTGATTGTCCCACGTTGTAGCCAGCTCCCCTCACAATGCCATTGGCAAAGGGCTCTGGGTCTGGGCACTCTTGAAGTTCATAGGCTGGAAAAGATCCGGAGAAAAGGTCACTTTATTCTCTCTGACCAGAAAATAGGAGCGGCAGAAAGCATAGTGGTGAAGCCTCAAGATTTGGACTCAGATGGACCTTTGTCATGTACAAGTCATTGGCTTTGGGTAAGTAATTTAACTTGTGTACGCCTCAGTTTTCCTGTGTATAGAATGATTATTTTGAGGACTAAGTAGGATAACACATACATAGCTCTTTCCACAGTACTGGCACATGGTGAAAGCTCAGTAAATAGTATCTATTATTAGTAATTCCGTAGGAAAAGGAGGCTCAAGGAAGACATTGCTCAATTGAACCTCTATTCACTGAGTGCCACTGGGGGCCAGGCACCAGCCTAACTCCTTTCATGTTGCTTATCTCATTGAACCTTCACAACCAGGATCAAGATCCCAGACATAGGAAGCGGCGACGGGAGGAGTTGAGTTGGTTCTTTCCAACTCCGAGAGATCAAAACCTCTCAGGAAGGAAGAAATCTGGTGGGAGTAAGTCAAATCTGTGGCAAGGAGAGAAGCTTTTCAGAGGGAGTAGCTGGGCTAAGGGACGTGTGGCTGTCACAAAGCAAGTCCCTCCAAAGGGCAGGGAAGCTGTTTCCATGAGAGTGGGTGGCCTGACTCCACAGGAGATGCCTCCATGGAAGCAGCTGAGGCCAGTCCATTGGGGAGAGGCTGCTGAGGGATTCCTGAGCAAGGCCTTTGATGAATTGGGTCCACAGGACACAGAACAGCCTTCGTGGCAGTAATTGCGCCCACTCCACTCAGGAAATTGGCAGCGGGAGGAGACAGAACGTTCCTACAGTGGGAATCCTCAGTGGAAGTAGTTGGGACTGGATAGATGCTTCTTAGAAGTACATGTGTTTCTCATACGTAATAACAACATCAATAACGCGGATCTTGAAGATAACATTTCCTGAGCACTCACGTGGCTGTGTTATGTTTCCATTCAGTACCTCACAGGGAAGTCTCAGGGGGAGGAACTGGGCAGGTTTCCCTGGGAAATCATTGAGGTAATTGGGTGTGCCAAAAACTGAGCAACCACATGGGTGGGGTGGCTGCTTAGCCCCAGGACAGGCCTGGCCCTGCAGCACGGGGGTTTGGGCCGTTTGGCAACGAAAGTCTCAGCGGAAGCAGGGGGCCTTTTGCCCAGGGAGGCAACCCAATGGGATGGGTTGGGTCTTTACAGAAAGGCTCAGGGTAGCCACGTGGACTCAGAGACGGGGAGAGAAGGAAGGGAGTGGCTGTGTGTGGGAAGCCAGGAGCAGCCTTGATGAGAGCAGCTGGGCCTCTCCTACAGGAATCATCTCCAGTGGAAGGATCTAGGCTCTTCAAAAAGACAGAAACTTCAGTGAGAGTACCTCAACACTGAGAGAAACCTCAGAGCCTGTTCCCCTGCAAGAAGCTTCAAAGGGAGAGGTTGGCCATATAAGGCAGAAATAAACCCTAAGAGGAGGAAGGATGAACTTCCCCAAAGAAGGACTCCTCAGGAAAGCAAGTGGGTTTGTTCTAAAGGGACACACCTGGTGACAGTGGGAACACACTTCCAAACAAAGTGCCATAATCAGGTAGATACAATTTCAAGCAAAATGCCATTATTTTAAAACATTAATAATGATGATGCCTAGCATTTGGGGACAATTGTACATCTTAGCCATTTTGCTAAGTTCTTTATAAACAGAACCCTCCTGAGAAATTGTCATGGAACACATTAAGCATGTCGGACCGGGAGGCCTGGCTAGGAGTTGCTTATGCTGCTACTAAGAACTTGATGGGAATCTTTACTTAAAGAAGAGAAAAGAAGACCCTAGCATGGGAAGTGCAGAGTATCAGTTGGAGGAATTTTGAGAAAGAGTAAAGAGTTGGACTTCTAAGGAAAGTCGAGGGGCCATAGAGAGCTGGGTCTGACAGAAACAGCCTCAGTGGGGACAAATGGCTCGTTCATTGAAGCTGGGTTTTTCCCCAGAGGAAAAACCTGGGGAGAGTGGTCAGAGCTTGCTTACGAGGTGCCGCTCCGTACGGCGGAGGAAGGTGTAAACAGAGAGTGTGGGCTTATGGTCAGGGAGAGTTATTTGGGCCTATCACAAATGATGAGGCCTCTGTGGGAATACTTAGGCCTCTGGCCCTAGAGGCAACCTAGCCCAAGAGGTTGGGATCGCCCCAAACGAGAAGCCTTAATAGGGGTGGAGCCCAAGTCTGAGGGGAGCAGGTGCCCCGGCACCATGTGTGGCTCCACAGGAGTCCTTGGGACTGTGGCAGACAGGTGAACGCTGAGGGAGTGGCTGTGCCTGGGACTGAAGGGGAACATCCAGGCAAGTCCTGAAGGTCACATGCTTGTGGGAGGAGGGGGCCCATTATAGGGTGGAAGCCCCATTGGATGTCGCTGTGCCTCTCACATGTTGGGCCAACTCCTGGTGGAGGAGCTGGGTGTCTGAAGGCAACTCGCTGCCCCCTGGCCTCCCTACGCAGGGAAAGTTATCAGAGGAGGACTGGGCCTGTGGAGGCTGCAAACCTCAGTGGGAGAGACAGGCCCATCCCAGGGAGGGACACTAGTCCCGAATGTTGGCTTGTCGTCCAGGAAACCTCAGGGGGACAGCGGGGCCCCTTGTGCAGGGTGGCCATAGTGGGAGCATTTCCAAAGATGGGGGCTGGGGAATCAGGGGCGAGTGAGCCCAAGGCCAGGGCTCTGTGGGGGTAGTTAGGCCTCTTCTGTCGAGGGAGTCAATGGAGAATCTGAGGCGGTCACACAGGCACAACCTTTACAAGGACAAGTGGGCTCATCACACGGGGAGCACAGCGAGTGGCTGGTCCCATCACAGGGATTCAGTGGCAGGACCGTGCCCATTGTCTAGGGTGAAGGCACAGTGCACGGGGTGGGCCCAGGGCAGCTGTCCCTGGCACAATGGTGGCACTGCCATTCCTTATATTTATCCGAGAAGGAAGGTCTCAGGGAGAGAGCACTTGGGCCTGGGAGGGGTGCAAGGGGCTGAAATATGTCTCCCAAAATTCATATGCTGAAGACTTCACTCCTTGTGAATATGACCTTATGGGAAATAGACAGGATCTTTACCAAACTTATGGAAATTAAAATGAGGTCACTAGGGTGGGCTCTGATCCAATATGACTGGTGTCTTTATAGAAGGTGGGAATTTGGAGACAGAGGCACATGAAGAGCACCATGTGAAGATGAAGCCAGAGGTCGGGGTGATACTTCTAAGAGCTGAGAATGCCAAGATTGTCATGAACTACCAGAAGCCAGGGGAGGGGCCCGGACAGAGTCTCCCTCATGGGCCTCAGAAGGAACCAACTCTGCTGACACCTTGATCTTGACCATCCAGCCCCAGAGCCATTGGACAGTAAGTTTCCGTTGTTTAAGCCACCCAGTTTGTGGTACTTTCTTATGGCAGCCCTAACAAACTAAGACACAGGAAAGCCTTGGGGGAAGGCGTTGCATCTGTCTCTGAGAGGACATATTTGGGACCAAGTCCCTCCTGTGACATCACGGCCATCCGACGCGTCATGACCTGTTTGACAGGTACACACCTCCCAGATAATAGGCACAGACATCCTTGGGCAAGGCTGGCCTCTGTGATGAGCCTGCACACACCTTCCCTGGGTGTGGCAGCTGTGCTAACACCAGTGAAGTGGCTCTGTCTGGGTGCAAGGCCCAGCTTCTCCTGAGGCTCCCTCTAGATGACAAGCCCAGCCGCACTTACCAAAGCTTTCCCTGAGATGGACCCCGGAACCCTGAAGTCTCCTGCAGAACTGATTCAGTTGCACCCACCTCGTGGGATGCCCTTTAAGGCTTTCCCTAAATGAGAAGCCCAGTACCCCCTCAGTATTCTTCTCTGGCAAGGGAGGAGCTCCATCCCCACCATATTATTTCCAGAATAAAGAAGTCAACTCTCAGAAAGCTGCATATAGGATGGTACTATTTATATAGAAAACGTGGTCAAAAAATTTTATAAAATGTTACATATTTTTCACAGGTACATGTAGCATACATATATCCAGGCCTGGAAAGGTCACAACTAAACAATAGTAGCCGTTTCTGGAGAATAATCCTGGGTTTGGAGGCTATAGACAAAGAGAGCTTTGGCCTTACTTGTAAGGTTTTAATTTCTTTCTTGTATTTTTCTTTTTTTAAAAGATAAATATGTTTGTAAATTGTTTGTGTAATTAAAAATTAACTTTAAAAAACAAAATTGGAAAACTATAGTACGATCCAATTTTGGCTAAAAATATAGCTACAGCAATATATATACCGAGAAAAGCGGGGAATACATATTGAATTGTTGAAAGTGTGTATCTCTGCATAGGGTAGTGACAGGATGGGATTATGGGAGGATTTTGACTTCCTGTGACGGGTGTTAGGGCCTGAATATTTCTGTCCCATCAAATCCCTATGTTGAAACCTAATCCCTCATGTGAGGGTATTTGGAGGCAGGGCATTTGGTGGCCCACCCTCCTAAATGGGATTAGTTCCCTTATAAAAGAGGCCTGAGAGAGCTCTTTTGCCCCTTCCACCATGTGAGGACGCAGTGAGAAGATACTGTCTATGAACTAGAAAGTGGGTCTTCACCAGACACGGAATCTGCTGGCACTGTGATCTTGGACTTCCTAGCCCTCAGAACTGTGAGAAATAAATTTCTGCTGTTTGTAAGGCACTTGGCTTATGGTATTTTGTTACAGCAGCCTGAGCTAACACAATGTGCTCACAAAATTATCTACAGTGTTTAGATTTTTTTTTTTTTTTTTACAAACATGAATTAGTATTGGAAAAAAAATCTAAAAATATTTTTAAAAATTCAGTGGAAGAATCTGGGAAAGGGATTAGAACAAATGCTTCGGTCAGTCACAATAAGGGAAGCATCCAAGGGCGAGGTTGGGCTTACTCAGGACCATGTACAGCTGCACAGGTTGGGCACAATCTCCACATCCACAGGTGATGGATGGTCTACAACACAGGGGAACCTGAGTGTAGATGGGGCTCTTTCCAGGGAATGTCCCAGAATGAGTGGGGCCGGTCACGGGATCCCACTTCAGAGAGGTGGAGCTGTGGTGAGTGTGGTTGGGCCTCACAGGAAAACCTGCTCCTTGTGCAAGGCTTAGAGGTGCCCTTGGGACTGTTACTAGAATCCTCCATCCTGTCATAGGAAGAGCTTTGCTGAGAGTAATTGGGCTTGATGTGCAGGGAAGGACCCTGGGGAAGTAATTCAGTTTATCAAGCCCGAGGGGAAGTGACTGGCTGGACAGTTTGGGACACCTGAGAAGGCACAGATGGGCCACTTGCCCAGGGACAGCTGTACAGAGTGGGAGCCTCAGAGGGTGCTGTTGGGCCTGCCACTCTTGAAAAGGCTGTGGGAGAACTTAAGCTGACAAATGGGGTCCGGAGAGATCTGCCACCAAAAGGAAGCTTCCCTGACTGGGCCTGCCACCGCAACCCACCCCTTATGGTGTTCTGTTTTCCCCCACATGGAAGGCTGGGAAGGTGGGTGGCTGGGGCAAGAGATGGAGATAGACAGAGAAGCAAAGGCGGTGCTCCTTGTCCTTACCCTGATACTCCAGCTTGAATCCTGGCCGATTCTGGGAGTGGTCGCTGTGGAAATACACGGTGGTCTCGTGGGACGTGGAGAGGAGGGAGCTTGGAAGCTCGCTTCCACTGAATCTTCCCATCATGCGGCTGGTCTCATAGGGGCCATTCCGGATTTCTATGTAGTCGTGGTTGGGCTCGGTGGAGAAGTTCAGGAACTGGATGTGAGCTCCTGGGAGCAAGACAGAGGCAGACAGTGCCCAAAGCAACACAGTCCTGCCTCAAGTGTGCTGCCTCATGAAAGCAGCTCCTGCCAGAGCCATGAGTCCCTGCTACTGATTTCCCACCCAGCCAAGGCTCCTAGAACTGGCTTTGGGAATTGCCCGTCCAGCCAAGTCTCTTGTCTTTGACAGGGCTGAACTTAAAAGTGTATTATTCATTCAAAAATAAAGGCATCAGTCATTTCAGAGCTCCACTGGAGTTCATTTTATTTTGTTGAAAACAAAGTTCAGGGTCAACACTTGTTTAAATTTATGATTCATATGTCCAATATCAGCATAAAGATAGTTTTGCTAGAATAAACTTTTCATTTAAAAATAACACCCCCAATACTTAATCAAAAGACAAGACCTTCAATACTGCTGTTTTCTAGAACTCTTATGATAATTCAGAAACGTAGGGCTTAGAAGTATACATTGTCCCCTCTGTTCCATAAAGAAGCCAAATAAAGTTTCTACTTTGGGATCTTAGTGAGTTAATCAAGACATTCTAGCAACCTGACAGGTTAAATAAATCTAATTAAGTTCTTAATGTACATAGTAATATACTCTTTCAAGAACGAAGGTGGGAACATTTATGTTTGTTTACTGATAAGATTTTTCAAAATTAGATCACCATGGAAAATGTTATTGAAGAAATATATTTACTGAGCATAGGAAAAAGCCCATATTGCATTGATAATTGTAAAAATCAGATGACAAATAGTATGCTGTATACAATTCTAATTTTTGTATTATAAAACATGGAAGAATATTAATTTGCCTGCTAGGAATATTTGCTGGGCATTTGCTGTACATCAGGGCTGTGCTAGGCATTGTACAGGATGAGCAAGATCAAGAAGGTCCTTGTCTTCATGAGACTTACATGGTAACGCTGGGAGACTAAGCCATTAGTGATTATCGCTGCACGATGAGATTATAGATGGATTTTCATTTTTAAAATTGGCTTATCTGTGCTATCAAATAAGCTCAGAATAAGCACGAGTATAATTCTTTTTGCATCTGATCATTTAAAGAATAAAATAAAGACTCGACACTTAATGTTGAAGATCTTTCATCTCCTGCCCTGTTCCATTCCTTTCCTGCCCTCCACAGAAGCAATCACATGAATTTGGAAGCTATCCTTCCAGTTCATGGTTTTGGATTCTTAAATATGTATCTGGGTTTATGTGTTTTCAAGATTTACATAAATGATATTATACTGTACATACAGTTTTTTACATAATATTGTGTTTTTCAAGGTCTATCCATGTTAATATACAAAAATATAGTTCATTCATTTTAACTGCATGTTAATTCCATTTTATGAATTATCCAACCATACAGTTCACTCCCCAACTCATGAACATGCAGATTGTTTCCAAGTTGCAGATAATTTTGTGATGGTTTTTTTTTTTTTTTTTGAGACAGAGTCTTGTTCGGTCGCCCGGGCTGGAGTGCAGTGGCACGATCTTGGCTCACTGCAAGCTCCGCCTCCCGGGTTCACACCATTCTCCTGCCTCAGCCTCCCAAGTAGCTGGGACTACAGGCACCCGCCACCAGGCCCAGCTAATTTTTTGTATTTTAGTAGAGACGGGTTTTCACCGTGTTAGGCTGTGATGACATCTTTGTATACATTATCTGAGGAGCCTGTGCTTTCCATTCCACTGCCCAGGCATCGTCCCCTCATATAGGAGCCCTGCGGGCTGCAGGCCCACAGAAGGGGCTCTTTAAGGATGGCGGAATTTCTGACTTGAACTCCAAGGAAAGAACTGGACTGTGACCGCCATCTAGTGGAGCAGCATGTAGCTGCAGCAGCTCTTTACACGCTGAGACCAGGTACCAAGTTAGGGACCTCGGCAGAATCCAACATTAACTTGAAAGCAAGGGATCCCGGGCCTTTGCAACTGGACCCAGCAGTAGCTTCTTCCCTGAAACCTGAATTAGCACCCAGAATTTAGAGGTGAAAATGGTGGCTGAACATAAGGACTTACAGGGAAAGCCACCTCATTCAAACTTCTGTTTGCCTTTGGATGTTGCCCTCCCCACCTTCTATCATCTTGGTTCTGCCTCAAGACTGGATGCAGAGGTACAGGGTCTCCCAGATCCTCTTAATGTCTCAAAGTCTGGAGTCTCCTAAGACTGCCGAGGGCGTCATCGCTTTGCTCCCAGTTTCCTTCAGAAGATGGTACTGAACACCCAGTTTCCTTCAGAAGATGGTACTGAACAGAAAATAACATCTTTCAGAGGGCCACCAAGCTCTCTCCTCCCCTCCAACCGGATTTAGAGAAGGCCAGTTAGACTGCTTTCTCCCAAAAGCCCCTTCCCTAATCTCTAATCACACTCCAGGCTGAATAATGAAGGATAAAATGGGAGATCTTCATTTCTGAGGCTCACAGACTGGCATTCAGGGCTATGCAGGCATAATCCCCTTGGGACATTTCATTCCTAGAAGCAGTGCAATGGCTTGGGCAAGATGACCCGTGCGTACGGCCCATCAGTTCCATGTCAGCACAAAGCCCTCATCCCTTCAACAGAGACATTTGGGTTAAATGATATTCCCAGTGCATAATATGTGGATCACCAGCAATTACATTTTGTACCCACACTGATGTCCTCCACACCCTGACAACCTCCCATGCCTAGCATACTCCAGCTCCAAAAACAAAACAAAACAAAAATAACCCCCCAAAACCAAAAAAACAACCTTCCCAGTCTCTAGGCCAGCTAGAATGTGCATACGAAGAAGAATGCAAACTCGATTTCTCATTGATTTGGCTCAATTTAATTAGGATGATAAATTAGACACTGGGGTTAAAAGTACAACTTGAGGTCCAGTCTCTGTACGACAGATTTCCGCCCCACCCCCGCCTTTTTTTTTAAGTCCCTGAGTAATTTATTTTTATTTTTTATTTTTAATATCAAGTGATACAGTGTTAGTTAGGTATAATCCGAGTAATTTCTCATTCCACATTCCTGGATTTTAGTTTATGGCTCAAATAATAATAATGGCAACCCCTAAGATTTTTCTCCCCCCTATATGTTAATCTCTGCCATTCTTAATTGGTCTTCACAATTGTACAAGAGGTCAACAGATGAGAAAACAGAGAGGCAGAGTACTAAACAGACTTGGCCCAAGTTTGTGCTAAGAGATTTTGGCGGACAGTAGTTTTAAGCTCAAGGGTCTGGGCTTGAAGCCTGTCTCCTCTGGGGGCTGCAGAGACTTACCAAAGCCCACGGGCAGTGCTATTTTCCAGGAGCAGTCCATGTTACTGGGGTAGTTGCCTGGGAAGCCGGGGCTCAGGATCACCCCCTCCATCTCCTCCACTGTTCCCCCACACTGTGCTGTGACAATGAGATGAGACAGAGGGTCAGGACAACATCAAGGGGTGTACAGGGCCCTGCCAATGTTTGGAAGCTCCCTTCAAGCAGCAGTTTTTAAGCTTTCATGAGTCATATAGCCCCTTGAGAATCCAAAGGAATCTTCTTAAAAGACTAAGCCCACGGGCAACATTCAATATGTACATTCAGGAAGGGAGGTACATTCTAGGACAGCCTAAAAGTCCACAAACCCAAGTTATGGACTCTTGACCTTGAACATGCCCTTCACAGGTCAGTTCCCTGGTGAGGATGTCCAGGAAAAGTGAGGAAGTTCTGTGCCAAAAGAAGTCCAACCATTTCTTACCGTATCCCCCAAATCTCCCTCTCCTCACTGCCCAATCTACTCTTTCAAGACTGCAGAAAAAGGATGAAGGAAGGGGACTGGCATGCATCAAGTCCCCACTCTGTGCCCGGCACCATGCCAGGCTCTTCTCAAATATATATTTCAGGGGGCAGGGTGGGCGGCAGGGGAGGCTCACCACGAGCCCATCCTCAGAAAAGTGACGGTGATCAGCATCCCACAGGAGCCAACCACCAGGCTGTCTGAGTGACCCAGGGGCTTAGGGACATCTGATATGCCAATCAAGGTGAATTCAGAGTCATCTGAGGATGCAGGGCTGGGGCACCCCTGCAGTCTGGTCAGTTGACATCAGTTCTTTTCTTTTGCATCTTATTAGGAAAAGGTTGTGTGAACAGAAAGGGGCTAGCCAGTCTTAGAGACCCAGGGAAAGGATCATAGAACAGGGATTGGCAGGTCCAGGCAAGTGCTTTCTGGGGAGAGGACAGCTTGGCAAACAGACCCGAAAACAGTGCAGAGTAGGCTCCAGCCTCGACTGCCTGTGTCACAATCCCACCTTCACTTCCGATGGGACCGTGGGCAAGTTCAAAACCCTCCAGAACTCGGTTTCCCACAACTGTAAAATGGAACTAGTGACAGCACCCTTCTAATGGGGTTGTTGTGAGGTCATATCAGAAAGGACTGCATTTACTTGGGACAAGGCTGGCACATGTTGTAAACCCCTAATGAACAGCAGCTGCCGTTAAATGAATGGTTTCCATAGCAAGGTCTTTGTAGTCTCTAATGGGGGAAAGTGCCTTGGGCTGACCGTTCACATTTCTGACCTGCTCCACAGATGCCTATGCCCTACACCGTGGTGAAACCACAGAAGAGAAATGCCATCGTGCTTGAGTGTCACTCCCTTACCTCCCTGCCCCAAGGTCAGCCTTGAGGGGCACCTCACAATCGACTGGGCACCAGAGAACCTTAGGTTTCCGTTCCTGACTCTGCCACTTCCTTTTTAATCCTAAAAGACTGAGATTTCCTGTTTGCAAATTGAGGGTAATGGTACCTCCCCTGCAGGGCTGATCTGAGGAAATATGAAGCTCCATGCCTAGCATATAGTAGATATTAAATAAATGTGCCTTTCTTCTTTGCCTAACTGGACCAGAAGCTTCTGAAGGGGAGATGCTGTCTTTTCTTGTGTCTGCTGATCTGCTCATCACTGCCGTAGCACAGGGTAAGGGACGAAGCCAAGTCCTTGTTTCGCACGTAGCCCTCAGCATTTCTTTTCCTTTTTTCTTGTCTTTCGTTTTTTTTTTGGGACGGAGTTGTGCTCTATCACCCAGGCTGGAGTACAGTGGTGCAGTCTCAGCTCACTGCAACCTCCGCCTCCTGGGTTCAAGTGATTCTCCTGCCTCAGCCTCCTGAGTAGCTGAGATTACAAGTGTGTGCCACCACATCTGCCTAATTTTTGTATTTTTAGTAGAGATGGGGTTTCACCATGTTGGCCAGGCTGGTCTCGAACTCCTGACTTCAAGTGATCCGCCTGACTCGGCCTCCCAAAGTGCTGGGATTACAGGCATGAGCCACTGCACCCGGCCAACCTCATCATTTCTTTATTAGATTTGTCTGTCTGTCCCACAAGAAGTCACGGGGGAAGCCCAAAGTGCCTAGAAATTCCATCTGGGATCTGGTTGATTAACTAGAGCCAGAACGGTCATCATCATGTTTTCAAATGGGCAGACCTCCTGTAACTTTTCATTTGGTGGGGCAGAGTTTCCAAAAGTGATGACTGCATTAAATGGGAGTTAGAGATTATAAAAACATCAGTTTAAAATGACTGACTTGGAACAAATCCAGAATATCAAACTTTCTTCTGATTTGAACTTGAACTCAATGATACACTACTGAGCTAAGATCCCTGAGAGAAAATTGGTTGGAATGAATTGTAAAGTCTGGGCTGTCTTACCAATACAGAGTGGAGGAGGGTAGTTCCATCGCCGCACTGTTCCGGGCATGCAGGAGATGTGGGCGTGGCCCTGGAGGAATCAGGAACAGGGATGGGCTAGCTGTCCCCGTGGGCACAATTGTATGTACAACCAGGGGCTGTACAGGGGTCTGGTTCAGGGGCCTCATGTTAAGGAACAAGATACACAAAGACACACAGATCCACTGTGGGATGGGAGTGAGGTAGAGGGAGAGAGAATTTGGGGAAGGACAATTATTAACAACGATTACTAAAGAATTCTCATTATTAGAGGTTTCCTTGTGAGAGTCCTTTAATTACTAAATTCCCTGATGGCCTTCAAAGGGAAATTAAATTTCCCTAAAGCCGAATCAAACCCAACTTTGCAGGAACACATTGGAGGTTGGCTTGTGCCAAATTGTTAAAGTCAGCAGAGTTTATCTTTTGCATGAACAGCTCCAGGAGAGGATAATGGTACCCGGGGGACCTGGGGGCTGCTCCCTGTTCTTTGGTGACTGTAGCTCTGCTGGTGTAAGGCTGGCCAACCACATCTCAGGGGACACCTGTTTCCTGCTCTAGGGTGTCAGGGGAGGTACCTGGAGGGCATATCCCGGCTCACACTGGAAAGACACCACATCATTCACCAAGTAGCGCTCGCCAGTCTTCACCCCGTTACTGGGCACAGCAGGTTCCGGACAACTGCTCAGGCCCACCGCTAGACAAGACAGAGACAGAAGGAAAGGAGAATGGACTAGCCCAGCAGGTCAACGTGGCGGTAGGCTGGGGTGAGATGCTGGTGGCAGGGAGAAGGGGTGCTTCTAATTTGTGCTTTCTCTCATCCTGTAGGCTAGTTCTTCCCAACTCTCTTCACCTTGCAGCACACAGAGAAAAAGAGTATATTTACATGGCACGGAGGCTCAACAGACCAAAGCTCCTTGAGAAGGTGGGTGTGATCCCAGGGGATGCTGGCTGTCCTGTCCACTCACTGAGCTCTTAGCTAGGGGGCTTAGCTAGGGAGACTTCTCTGCATGCTCTCCTCCCACATCCCTCCTGCTTCTTACTCTTAACTCCCCTCTGTCTTCCTTACCCTAAGAAGACAGATCCTGTGGGCTAAGACAGAGAGACAGAGAGAGAGAGAGGGAAAAGAAGGTCAAGAAGGAAGGAGAGCAGGGAGGGACACATCAGCGATGCTCAGGGGCTCAGTTAGAGTCCGACTTTCCAAGACTCTGAGAAAAGTGTGTTAGCAGATAAGACTCTCCACTGCCTTATTTCTCCTGTTGTGTTTTCAAGGTCAGGCCAGCCCCTTTCTGGGAGCAGCACTGGTGGCCTCTCACACTTCAACTCCCGTGTTCAGCTCTGGCCTCACTGAGCACTGGCCCCGCTAAAACCCTCCTTCATCCCCTACCCCAAGCCACTGCTAGTCCAGTCCACCCTGCACTCACAGGCAACTCGTGTTGCTTAAAATCTCTCCTTGAATTGTGGGACCTCCTTGCTCAGTGATTTGAAGCAGGTCCTCATGGCCTATAATATGGAATCCAACTTTCTCATCCTGATGTTCTAAGGACTTTCATGATCTTGGCCTAGTCCTCTTTCAAGATCACCTCCACAGGATCTCAAATGCTCCTCCTTCAGTCTCCTTTCTTGACTTTTCAAATTCAACCTGCACTCATTTATTCCTCATTACATGCCTGGCATTGCACACAATGTTTTGCTAGAGCACCCAGCTTAATCTTCCTCCTCCTCCTTTCTGCCAGTCCATACCATCTTCCCAAGAGAAGTGCTCACTGAGCACTTCCATGAGCAAGGCTGGGGCCCATTGGTGAGGGTATCCCCTCATACCCTTCAAGCAGGTCTTCACATCCCATTTCACAGATGAGGACACAGGCCATAGGAGGCACTGAAACATTTCCTTAGTAAGCCACAGACCCAGGATTCAGACCAAGCCCAGTCTGACCCCAGGTCGGCCAAGCAGAAGCCAAGCCCTGAGGCCACATGAGCCCATGTCTGACCCTGTCCCCTGCTCTCCCTGCCTCCCCTCCTAAAACAGTCCTCATCCTGCTTTGAATCCCTCCCTGGCTGCCTCCCACACAGCAAATGGGAGTGTAGCATTTCCAGACAGGGGGCTTCCTGCCTCTCCTGTGCTCTGCAGGAGTCCATGTACAGGTGCAGGCACTTCACATGCACTAAAAAGTTTCTGTGTCTTGCTGGACTGGACTTGGAGGGCACTTGTCCAGGGGCAAGGGCCAGAAGACTCATGAGGAGGCGGAGAGGTAGCTGTAAACTCTAAAGTGGTCTTCCTAACCAAGGCGGCAGAAATGGAAGGATGGCAGACCGTATCTGGGTGGCATGGCCCAGAGAATGTGGGAGATGGCAGCCTTGGCCCTTCTGGAGGCTCCCTTGGGGGATACAGGCTCCTTTGGGGGATACAGGCTCCCTGAGGAGCCCACGTGTATCCAGTGCCCACAGGCAGCTAGGGGCTCATGGAAAAGAAACAGGAAAGGACCAATCAGCCTAGACCATCAGCCACCAACCCATCTTCCCAGGCAGCAGCTAATGAGTCCTCATGCCACATTCAGAGATGAGACTCTGATAACTACATGTGCTTTTTTTCCCTCTGAGGGAAACTCACATATAACAAAATGCAAAAACTGTGCATGAACATGGTAATAATCAAGTAAACATCATAATCTTGAGTGTACATGTGCTGAGTTTTGACAAATGCCTGTACCTTTGTAACCCAAACACCTGTCAAAACCACAGAACGTTGCTATCACTCTGGAAATTCCTCACACTTTTCCCAGGCAATTCCTGTCCCACATGTGCTTTTAAGATATGAGTGTGATATTTGGAAATGAAAACTCTTTGAGCCTTGTCCAAAACTCTCAGCAGCTGAGACAAAAGACCCCAAGGACAAGCATTAAAAAAAACCCATCAAACTGAGTTTCAAGTGTTTCACTTGTCATCTTGTCTATTTCTCCCCATTCCTCTCCACACTCCAAGTAGAACAAAACTCACTATTTAGTGCAGTAGTTGCAACTAACTAGACCTACTTATTGGAAAGACCTACTTACTGTCCAGTGATGGAGAGAAGAGCAGAATGAGGACAAAAAAGCGTGGTAGGAAGAAAAATGGAATGGGAGAAAGATGAGGCTGAAGAGAAAAATGGAGGGGGATATAGAAAAGTCCATTCTAACTTATCTTATGCTACACAGATTGATTTTATTTAAGCCATGCTTACAACAAAGGAAAAATTATTTTTTATCATATGTAATTTATTACTTTTGAAAGCATATTGCTCCATTTCCATTTAAATTAAATAAACAATTATGAATCATAGCAGTGGATGTGACTTTTCAGTACCCTTCAAAACCATTTGCCTGTACAATAGCAGTTAATTCTCTATTGTCTGTGAGCTCTTTGTAGATTATCCTACAAAATAAAATATAACTACAGGGCCCTGGCTCCTAGGAATTCCAGTCTCCAAATACCAGTGGGAAGCTCTGTTTCTCCGTAGCTCTTCCCATCATGAGGGGACAACACATGAAATGTCAGCTACTGGGAAAACTGCCAGTCCCCTTGGACGAAGAAAATTGAGAAGAGGTGGATTTTTTTCCTGGGAATGAGGCAGTAGAATGGCAAAGTGATTTACAAAGAAAATGTATCTTTGGAAGAAGAAAGAACAGAGAAGATTCTAGGGAACATTTAAGAGCTCAAAATATTGGATAGAGAAAACTGGAGAGAACAGAGAAGAAGGGATGAAAGGAAAAAAATGTGATTTAGTCGAGAAACCCAGGATATTTCACTCCACCAGGGGAGTGAAGCCTTACATATCTGCTGGAAGGAGTCTCAGAGGTCCCTGTCCTACCCTTTACCCTGCAGGGTCTGCTTCTAGCTGTCCTGGGTCTTTTTTTTTTTTTTTTTTTTTTTTCCAGGTGCATGCTTCAGTTCTTTCAGGTGATGAGCATCCTGGGACCTGTTTAATTCTTTCTGAAGCAGCTGGATGAAGTTCATTTGTTTCACAGACCCAGATGGGCATGTGCATAACACAGTTCTGACCCAATCAGACATCTAGCACCCAGTGGGCCTTCTTTCTGCACAGGCCCATGCTGTCGCAGATGGTCTAGCCAACCATGCCTTCCTGCATTTTTCACTTCTCATTGCAAACTTAACTCAGGCATCCCCTTCTGCAAGGCCTTACATGGCTAGCTTTAGCTCCTTTCCTTTGTACTTTCTTAGCATCTCTCCTTTCCTCTGCACTTTCTTAGGTTTCACTAAAATGACTGTGCCCATGTCCATCTCTCCTTCTAGATTTTGTGCTTTTGAAGGCAGGGGCCTTGTCTTATTGACCTTTGTACTGCGGGGACCTAACACAGGGCGGGGCACATTGCAGGTGCTCAATGTTTCTTCACAACATTTGCATCTCCACCCGCCCACAACCATTCTCTCCCTTGAACCATTTCTCTACCATCTAGAGCCATCCATGAGAGCACCTGTAATGCTGTCATGCACCTCTCTGTCTATGTGTCTACCTCTCTTTAGTGGACTTTGACTGACCCATCTTAATCTTTCCCAATCGTGGCAAAACCCAGCACAGTGCCTGGCATGTTGTAAATGCTCAATAAATATTTGCCGAATAAAAGTGTAAAAAATGCTGCTGCCTACCTATTCTTTCCTGTACCCAGTGGAGAAAGGGGGTAGGGCAGGCAGTCCCAGTATGCAAGCAGTTTCCCTAGAAACCTCTTTCTTTGTTCCCCAGAAGGCACATCCACAAATCTTTCTCTGTGAAGAGTATTTGGTAGTGACCACTTAGGGATGCCAGAAGCCAGGATATAAGGGTTTGAGCCTGCAGTGAGAAATCTGGTAGAAGATGAGTGAGGTAGCCAATGAAAGGAGGAACTTCAAAAATAATCGCATCATAGAACTAGGGGTTAGAAAGGCCAGGTTTTAGACCTGGGGGAGGAAAGCACAATTTTCTTACATCCCAATTATATACTGGGACCTTGGCCAATGCAAGTCCCCTTCCCATTCCTGGTGTGGATACTGAACAGGCATACAGGTTTTCGAGTAACAGACACTTGGACGAGAACACAGCCTTGAGGAGGTTTCAGACCTTCTCTGGGCTTTAGCATCTTCACCTAGGTTTGTGGGAAGGCTTAAGTGGGATGGACAATATGCAGCTCCAGTTTAATCCTTGCTCAGAAGGGGCTCAGCAACTTTTAGGTCCCACCCTGAACCCTGTACCAGCCAAGACCCTGGATTCTCACTTTTGTACTCCAAGTGGAAGCCAGCTGCAGATACGCTGATATCTGAGTAGAAATGAAGGTAGAGCTGGTTGGAGGTGCTGTTCAGAAGGGCAGGCACGGTTGTTCCTAGGGCAAGGACACCAGGGAAAACCATTTAAGTTTGGCTCCTCCAGGCCCTTGCATTCCTCCCCATTCCTCTGGATTTTGCTACCTGCTGACATTCTGCTCCCAAGGCCCCCAGATGTCCCCAGTTATGAAACTCACTAAATGACAAATTAGCACTCCTCAGAGGGCTAGGTCTCTACTGGCTGAGGGAGGGGAAACTCCAATCTGCTTCCTGTAAGATGAGCAGTGGCAGAGCCATGTGCCCGCAGGAGGGTGAGGGATGAGTTGGGTCTCCTCATAGCCATCTTCAGGATAACTCTGACCTGTATTATTCTCTGGGCAGTCCTGCAGTGTGGACAGTTTATCTGAAGCATGTGACTCCTCTTTATCTCTTGGCCACCTAGAGTTCTGGGCCTAAAAGATTCAGATAATTGCCCTGGCCACTGGGCACACCTATACACCACACTCAGTCAGAAGTCCATTACTAGAATGGCAAAATGGTGTTGCCACTTTGGAAAACAGGAAGTTCCTCCAAAAGTTAAACATAGAGTTCCCACATGACCCAGCAATTCCACTCCTAGGTATATACTCAAGAGAAGTGACAATGTGTGTTCACACCAAGACTTGTGCATGAGCATTATTCATAACAGCACAAAAGTGGAAACAAGCCATTGACTGATGAATGGACACACAAAATATGCTCTGTCCTTACAATGAAGTGCTGAACCATACTGTGACTGGGGGAACTTTGAAAACATCACGTTAAGTGAAAGAAGCCAAACACAGAAGGCTTCCATTTATATGAAATGCCTGGAATAGGCAAATCCAGAGAGATAGAAAGTAGATTACTGGTTACTAGAGGCTAGGTGTGGGCTGGGGAGGGGAGTGCAAATGGGTACCTGGTTTATTTTGGGGTGGTCAAAATGTTCTGGGATTAGATAGTAGTGATGGTTGCAGGACCTTTCGAATCTCCTGAAAACCACTGATGTGTCCACTTGAAAATGGTGAATTTCATGGAATATAAGTGATATCTCAATAATAATAATGATAATAACAATGTTCATGATGATGAGCTCTAGTACTACCCTCCAAATTGAAGCCCCTGGAAACCCAGCTTACCTGAGAAACTCCCCAGCATGGTTACAGTGTTATCTGCACCATCAAATACTTCCAGCGAGTCCCAGTTCTGCTCTGTCACAAAACTGACAACTTGGATCTGGGAAGGGAGAAGAGTGAATTGTTGGTTAGGCAGCCTGCGTCCCTCCCTCCTTCTCTGCTTTCCCTTTCTGCCCTTCCCGTAGTTAATTCAATTTGTTGAGAATCTACTCTGGGCCTAACACTGTGCTAGTCCCTTTCAATAAAAGTAAGATGCAGAACCGACTCCAAGGAGCTCGTTGTCCAGTGGGGAAGACAGATGTGGAAAAAAATGATTAGAAGACAGTGGATATTTTGCAAGGCAGAGAATGGGGAAAAGAAGTTCCAGGAAGTGGAAAGACAGTCTCACTGACTGTCTCCTCATCTCTGGAATGTTCCTTGGGTTTCCCCACTTTCCTGCCTTGATTTCATCAGACGTCCTGCAGCAATGAGCCCGTAACCCACTCCTGCCCAGATCTGTCTGCTGGACTCCCAGTTTGCTGCCTCTCTGTTGGCCTTGCAGGCTCCTGACCCTCTTCCCTGCCTTGACGCCAATGCTGGGGCCTCCCTCTGCCTGGCTCTTACCCCTGGGTACCAGTTATGCCCCCAGTTCAGCTTCTACAGCTCATGCTGTGCGTGGTTCCCTAGGTGTGTGCCTGGGGGTTCTCTGTGCTTCAGCTGTGCTGGGTGCTTTGCTCTTTCTTCTCATTAGCACTGCCTCCCCTTCTAACCCTCACAATCTTAAGAAAATCTTTAGCCATTTGAGGAACAACTTCTATGAATCCTTCCCACACTTCAGATTCCAGCTCCAGGCCCATTTCTTCTTTTAGCCTCCCCTCCTGGCCATGGCCAATCAATGCCCACCTCTCCTCCTTCCTGGGTTACCCGACTCCCACCGCATGTCCCTGAAGCTCTTGGGGCCTGGAACCTGCTGTGTTTTCTGCATGGGAGCCACATCTCCACACTTGGACTGAGCCTCCTTAGCCGCAGGGGCAGGTACAGGGCTGATATGTCTCTTCCTGGCTCACCCTGACTCAGGCCTTGGCACCAGCCAGCACCTGTGGTTGTCACCTGTGAGCTGTTACCTGGGAGCAGACGGCCACCTGCCCGACCGAGGCGCCCCCTTGCCCCTACCTGGATGCCAGCGCCTTCGGGGACCACGATCTTCCACACACAGTTGAGGCTGTTGAGGTACGGCTCTGGGAAGCCAGGGGACAGGATGGTGCCCCTGCGCTCTGTGAGGTTGCCTCCACACGGCACTGGGAGGAGAGGCCATCGGGTCAGAGGCTTTGTGGCCTCCCGTGGGAGCCTTCCCAAGCTGACTCCTCCCTCATGGCCCCCAGCCTCTGTTTGTCCTCCTCCCCATGGGGGTGTCTCCCTAATGTCCCCAGTCCTGCCTTCTCCACGGCCTCTCCCCATGCAACTCTGTTCGGGGCCCTGGGCCCAGCTCCTCTCTCCACGTGTGCCCCGTCCCCAGTACACCGGCTGTCTTCACACAGCCCACAGCGCCGGGGACTGGGGTTGACTGGGACACCCCACCTCAGCCATGCGGTGGGAAGCGGCTGCTGTGTGTCGTGGGGCATCACTGGGGCTGACTGCCTCCCCTACAGAGAAAGGACTACGTGCCGCCCCCCGCACCCTCAACGCCCGGGTCCTGGTTACTCACCCACACACGTGGGCGCTGAGACATTCCATTGGGCCAAGGCCCCAGGCACAGGGAGGCACTCGATCTCTGGCGACCCCTGCAGGGCATAGCCGGAGTTGCATTCGAAGCGGACGATGGCCCCCACCGAGAAGTCACTGCCCAGCCTCTTGCCATAGCGGGGTTCCGGCACAGAGCTGCACTGCGTGGCGCTGGTTCGAGGAACCGCTGTGGGGGACAAGGGCACTGAGGGGAGGCCTCACCCCTCAGAAACTGGCCCAGGGACGGACATACAACGGGTCTGGAACAAAGACCGTCTGGATGAAACCCTGGGAGGCTCTGGATGCTCTCCCGTAGGGAAGGGCTCGAGGGCTAACTAGGAGGATGCCTGTTATACCGAATTATAGTTGGACACACAGCGCTACAGCACAGCTCCTGGAAAGCACGGGAGGTAGAGCCGTGGACCTCCCACAGACCTTAGGCCCAGTTTTGTTCTTTGCTTTCCCAACGACGCCCCTCACTCATCAGGGTCCCACGTTCCCTAGCAAGGAGAATGGGCCTTCCTCCTCTACCTTCAGGGCCTTTGCCCTGCCTCTGTCCTGTTTTCCCCATGTGCCTTAAGATCCTGCCTGGGGCCCTGCCCTCCATGACCCCCAGTCTCCCCTCCCTCCTGCCGCCCAGAATGGCTGATGGGCCCGGGATGGCCTCCCCTGTGATAGGATCACTCCTGCAAAGAGAAACACAGCTCATCCTGGGCAGAGTCGAATGAACAGGACCATGCTTAGAACCTGGGCCCTACAAAAGTGGATGTTCTCCTGGGCAAGCAGAGGTTGGGACCTGGGGGTGAAAACCAGGATGCTCCAAACTACCTTTCTGGGCCAATAAGGAAGGGAACTAACACCAACTGGCTGGTTGGTACCAGCTACTTCCCGAAGCCTCTTTGCATCCTATCAGTGAGGCATTGTGATTGCCCGCTCCTTACAGGTGAGCAAACAGGCTCTGAGGCCTGGCGTAGCTGGAGCCTAGCTCGAAGGTGGGGAGGTGGGATTCAAATCGATGTCCACGGCACTTCAAAGCCTGTGTTTTCCCCGCACCTTTACTGTGCCTGGCAGACAAAACCAAGCTCCAGGGGAGTCCAGGTAAGATGCCTGGGCTGGTCTCTTCAGTGCCATCTGGACCATGCCAGACAATGGGTGGAGTGGGGAAGGGGAAAAAACTGGCTGCCTTTGTCTGATTTCCTTCCTCATTAAACACAGAACTTGTCTAAGAAATGTCTGCTGAGTAAGTGAATGCATAAAATTAACTGGATTTCAGGGAATTGCCCTACAAACTAGTAACTGCCCCCAAACACCCTGAGAAAGGGACTCAGACTAGAGGTCAAAGATCCCTGTCCCTTCGATCACGAGTCCCTTAAGAACCGAGATCACCTTCCTACCTCCGGCGTCCATGTCCTCCATACCTTGGTAGACAAAGTGGAAGCCTCTGGCTGGTGCGAGGCCTTTGGCGCTGAACTTAATGAGAACTTGATTGGAGGTGGCCAAGGGCAGTGATTCTCCTGCCGAGATAAGGGGCAAGGAGGAGAGAACAGTGAGTCCAGCAGGTGGGCCCAGAAGATAAAATCCTGGCCAGGAAGGAGGGGCTGCCAGTACCCCATGCAGCAATTCCTTCCACATTCCAGGCCTTCCTGAAATAAAATCTCACGTATTTTTACTGCACTTTACAATTTAAAGTTTATAGAAAGCTTTTTCATTCACGGTCTTAACTTGACCTGTGGTCACTGTGAGGTTGGCATGACAGAGTTCAGTACCCTCATTTAATAAAGAAGGAAAGAGAGGTCCAGAAAGATTAAATGACCTGTGCCGGAAAGGAGAAGGCTGCTAGGGATGTGTGGAGCGACAGGGATGGAGACAGCAGCTGTTACCAAGCCGGCTGACTGGTGGTTTACTTGGAAAACTGACATCAATCTGAGTTTTTAAAAATAGCATTGGCCTCTAGGAAGGAGGATGATGTGATCATCTAGGAGCAACTGGTCTTTCCCAGACACTCTCCCACCATCCTGTGAAATGATTACCAGAGCGATGGTGTAATGTATTGTTCATACTAGAACATTTTTGAGAGTCAAAGAAAGTGCTATCAATAGTTATGGTGGGACTGTCCCAGGCAAACCAGGATGTACTATTGCCGGCCAATAACACACAAACTGGGGGGAACCTGCATGGGCACAGGAAACCAGGGTAGACTGACAGCTTTTGTAGCAGAAGACAAAGGTATATCTTCTGCTTGGTGCAGTACAGATGGGCCAGGGGAGAGACAGCACCAACTGGACCTGCAGCCAATTAGTGTAGTTGCCATTCTGGGGAAGCGCAGGGAGAACATGGGTGGAGGCAGCAGCATGGCCACTCTGCCTGCTGCCCCCCTGCAGCCTCAGGGACCCCTGAGAAGCGCTGCTGACCCCAGACCCCATTCTCAGGACGAAGCAGGGATTACAGAGAACCAGGCTCTATCTCCACTACAGTGAGGGCTAGAGTTGGGACCCACAACGGAACTACTGGGAGGTCCACCTGTACTTCCAGGAAGCTCATGTGATGCCACCAATATGGGAGCAGAGAGCTTTTGCAAGGCAGGCTTAGATGTGTATGTGACCCAGAAGGCTGAGCCTGGCTAGGAGTCATTGTCCCAGCTAACAGTTATTGCCCCCAGCTAACATGTAGCTGCCAAAGCAGAAAGAAACTCATGAAGGCAAAGCATCCCTTTGATATCACTGCCATCTCCAACTCCTCCTCCAGATGGATGTGAGCAGAGTGAAACTCAACTTTTCTATTTGGCCTGACAGATGTGGATAACGACCCTAGTGAGCTCTCACAGAACCCATGTCAACTGCAGCCCTGAAGGCACACGGGCCTCCATCTTCAAGGGAGAGCAAATAGTAAAATCACTGGACATAAGAAAAAATGTTAAAGTTTTGAGGAAGGAGATCACTCTAAGAAGTCAAAGCAAATACTTTATGTGAACCACAACAAAGAACAGGCAAAACTCTCAGCAGATGTTCAGTCATGGTTGTCATGAGATTAAATCTAGCATTGCATCTGTGAAGTCAGAGGAAGAAGGATCTGAGATCAATAAAGGCTGCAAAGAGATGAGAAATGCTAGTGCAAGCAGCTGGATTCCACAAAAACTGAACAGTGAAGTCGAGATGAAATTTGGGAAATTCTCTCAGAATCCACAGAAAAAGGATAAAGAGATTAAAATAACGAGAGAAATGACAAGTGACGTGAAAGATGAAAAAAAAATCCATATGCATGTATCAGGAATTTCAGAAAGAGAAGACAGAGAAATTGAAGGAGAAAAAAAATCATTTAAGGCAGGGTGAAGTAGCTCACATCTGTGATCCCAACACTTTGGGAGGCTGAGGCGGGCGGATCACCTGAGGTCAGGAGTTTGTGACCAGCCTGACCAACATGGTGAAAATCCATCTCTACTAAACATACAAAAATTAGCCGGGTATGGTGGAGCACACCTGGAGTCTCAGCTACTCGGAAGGCTGAGGCAGGAGAATCTCTTGAGCCTGGGAGGCAGAGGTTGCAGTGAGCTGAGATTGCACCACTACACTCCAGCCTGGGTGACAGAGTGAGACTCTGTCTCAAAAAAAAAAAAAAAAAAAATCATTTAAGAAAGAAGACACTTTTCCTAAGATGTGAGGTACAGATTGAAATATTTGCCAAGTGCAAGGTAGAATTAGTGAGAAGAGACCTCCACCACAACACCTCCCAGTGGGCTTTTTAATTAACAACAACAAAAAAAGAAAATCACATAGACAGAAAAGCACAGGTTACTTACAAGGACAAAGAATCACGTTGGACCCCAATTTGTCTGTAACAGTAAATGTTGGAATAGAGTGGAATAATTACTGCAGTTTTGAAAGATAAAGTTTGACCCGTAATTTGATTTACAATCAAGGTGTCATTTATATCCCATGTCAAAAGGAAAGCATTCTCATATATGCATGGTACAGAAAGTACTGCAGTTATAAGCCCTACTGAAAAAAAAAAAAACAAAACCCAAAACTAAAGTAGGGAATTCAGACACCAGCAGGGATAAATACAACCAGAAAAGTATAATAACTATTGTCAATGAGCTAACAAAACAAAATGCAAATGCAAATTCAAAAATTTGCTCTTGGGGAAGAAGTCCACAATTTAAAAAATAACTACTATAACATTAATATAAAAGTCCAAATATATCAAGAAAAACTTGAAAATTAGAGATGGGTCAGGTATGTATGGAAAAGCGAGGAAGCAAAATCAAAACAACACAAACAAAAGCGCAGAAAGAACAACACAAGATGACAGATATCAGACCAAATAATTCACTTGTAAAATAAATGAGTCAACTTCCTCTTAAAAGAGAAAGACTTGGAGAAAATGAGAGAAGATATGTCAGGAAAACAGATGCAAAAATTGCTAGATATACAAGAAGACAACAAAATATCATAACTGTAATGGGAAATACTTTCATGCAACATTCACAATCATTGATACATCAAATAGAAAAACAAAATGAAGACTGTTGAGTAGCGGTCCTTAAGCTTTTTCTCCCCCAACGCAACTCAGGGACAGGGACATAGTGCACTCCCATCAGTACCAATGGCTTGTTATCAGTGTTTCTCCAAATGAGGAATAAGGGACTCTCTGAATATACTGATATTGATATCTACAGGTTTTTTTTTTTTCTTTTGAGACGGAGTCTCTCTCTGTCGCCCAGGCTGGAGTGCAATGGCGCGATCTTGGCTTACTGCTACCTCCACCTCCCGGGTTCAAGTGATTCTCCTGCCTCAGCCTCCCGAGTGGCTGGGATTACAGGCACCCACGACCATGCCCAGTGAATTTTTGTATTTTTAGTAGAGATGGGGTTTCACTGTAATCCCAGCACTTTGGGAGGCTGAGGCAGGTAGATCACTTGAGGTCAGGAGTTTTATATCTACAGGTCTTATACATCTTTCTCTCTTTCTCTCTCACTCTCTCATCTTCCTCCCCCATCTTCTTCCTTCCTTCCTTCCTTCCTTCCTTGCTTCCTTCCTTCCTTACTTCCTGTTTCTATTGGTCCTATACACCTATATCTACATCCATATTTACATCTATAGGTCTTAAATGTAGACCTCTCTATAGCTCTTTACTTGAAAATCCTTACTATAACTCTAAATCTATAGCTATACATTATCTATCTATCTGTTTTGAAAAGGCATCCTACTCCAGGAGTTCCTGATTTACACTCTTGGTTGGGTGTGTATGTGTGAGGTGGTGGTTACAAAAAATTCATTTGGTTGAGAATCACTGATACAATAGATCTGAATAACAAAATTGAGTAAGATTGATTTAATGGCAATTACAAAACTCATTTACTCCTAACACTAACTTTAGGAGGTAGGACTCTTTTTCTTTGCATTTTACAGAGGAGAAAACTGAAGCTCAGAGAGGTCAAGTATTGTGCCTTAAGTCACCTAGAAAACAAATAGGAGAGCTAAGAAAAGAGTGTGATTGTAGAGCCTGAGCTCATTCGTCTTGCTTCTCTACCTTACAGAGAACACACATCCTTCTTAAATATTTAGAAAACTAAAAAAAAAGGTCCTTGGCTACTGAAGGGACTTCAATTAATCCCCAAAGAAGAAATGGTACAGGCCACATTCTTTCACTACATGGAAATAAAAATATAAATTAACACAAAAGTTTAATGCAATAAGAACAAAATCCATATTCTTAGGGGAAAAGAAAAGACATTCTTAGCCAACACTTGGGCAAAAAGAGTAAACAACACCATGATGAGCTATTTAAAAAGTAATGATGATGAACATAGTACATATCAAAATTTATGGCATGAAGCCAAAACTATGCTTGGAGGTGAATACATCGCTGTAAACATGTTCTTTATTACACAGAGAAAATAATGAACAGAGCTCTCAATTCAAGATGTTAGAACAAGAACAAAATAATCAGAAGAAAAATATGAGGAAGGAAATGATGAAATAAAGGCAGAGATTAATAAAAAAAAGCAACAACAAACTGCAGAATAATTGATAAATTGCAGCAATAAAAATTAAAAAAAACCCACAAAAACACAAAACACCTGGTACAGCCGAGTAAAAAGGGGATGATGAATGCACGATGCAGGATAACAAAGGCAGGAATATCACCACTAATACAAAGCAGGGTAAACATCACCATAGTACATTATATACATTGTGGTACTAAATGTAAATGAAATTATGAAATGGATTTTTTACTAAAAGCTAAAATATCAACATTGATATTAGAGTAATATACCTGAATAGACCAATAACCATGGAAGAAAATAAAAGAAAAGCCACTGAAAAGGAGGAGATAAAATAATGAGACAAATTTATTTGCAGATGATATTACTTCTTGCCTAGAGGAGCCAGGAGAATTAGTTGGCAGTGTAAGCAGTATTATGAAGAGTCTGATGACTTTACAAAGCAAATATGCCAAAAACAACAGTCTTTGAATATACTAGTAAAGACCAGCTAGAAAACATAATGGGGGAAAAAAGACCCATTTACAACAGCAACAAAAATCTCCATGAAATATCTGGGAATAAAGTTAACAAACAATGAATACTGCCTAAATAAAAATTATAGCACCCTCCCAAGGGCTACAGAAGATAAACAAATGGAGAGACATATTGTATTCCTGGATGGGAAGAAGAGTTAATATAAACGTGAGTTCACCCTAATTTAACGTGTAAGTTTTATTAAATCCCAGTCAAGATTCTGATGCAATGTTTTAAACTTAACAAAATATTTCTAAATATAATTTGGAGGCAAAAGTAAGCAACAACAGCCAATAAAAATTCAAAACAAAGAATGGCTCTGGGGACTTATAGTACCATGTATTTAAAATTATTATATAGTAAACACTATTATAGTGTTATAATAATTAAAACTAAAAAAGGAATAAATAGACACTTGGAAGAAATGGATAAAAAGTCTAAGAACAGACCCTTCATAAAAATTTAGTATATGTAAATTTGGCATTTTGAAAATTCTGCTAGGACAACTGATTAACTATATTTGAAAGAATATGGTTAGATTCCCTATATCAAATAATAAATCAAAATAAATTCCAAAGGTATTAAAGCAGTGTGATGAAACTAAGAAGTGAAAGAAAACACAGAGGAATATTTATTTGACCAGCATAAAAGCAAAGGAGAAAACTATATAAGAAAACATTGATAGATTTGATAGCATGGGAAATTTACATATTCTGACATTAAAGCACCCTGAAGAAAATTATATAGCAAAAGACAAGCTGGAGAGGAGGGCTTTTTATAGCATATTATATATATTTATGTAGCTTATAAAATATGGAGCTCTACTCAATAAATAAGAAAATAAGTGCTTGTAGAAAAATCGACACAAATTCACAATAAATTCACAAATAAAAAATGCACAGGCCAATAAACACATTATAAAAATTTAACCTAACTAGTAATAAAACAAGGCAAATTAGAAAATGAGATACCATTTTCACTTTTCAAACTGATGACGCTTTTGTTTTTTTAATTACCTGGTTTTTGTGAGAATAAAACATGCCCTCTTTCTTGTTGGTGATCAAACTGACAAGATCTTTCTAGAGGGATATTTGATAATCTGCATAAAAAGCCTTAAAGATCTCACATATCCTTTAACTTGACAATTCCACTTCTAGATATTCTAAAGTAACAGAAATGTATATAAAGATGTATGTACAATACATTGCATTACTATTCATAAGCACAAAACATTACAATCTAAATGTTCAATAATAGGGAATTCGTTACATAAATTTTAACTAACTGTATGAGAGACTACTATGTAGCACTTAAAAATCCTAGCCTAGAAGAAAAAAAATGACAGAGAAAAGCTCGTAGCGAATATTTCAATAAAATATGTATATTGGTTTGTTGAATAAAATATGTAAACGTCGAAGTAGATACAAAGACTGGAAGGAAATCCACTACATCTTGTCAGTGGCTCTTTCGGGGTAGTCTTTATTTTGATTCTGTATGCAATTATTTTGTTTTGTCACTAAGTTTTCTATAATGAAAATGCAATACATTTATAGTAAGAAAAAAAGTTGCATCTGAATACGAACCAACAGGAGAAGGCTACACCACAAGGGGGCGGTGTAGACACAGTCTGGGTGAGGGCAGCTGCTGAAGGCCCCGCTAGTTGGAGCTCTCACGAGCTGGCTGCTGCGTTGTAGACAAGCACCAGAACACGACAGGCACGCAGAGCCGTAGGGTTCCACCTGCGGCCATGGGGTGCTTCTAGAGCCTCCTTCCTTTAGCCGGACGTGATGCCCCCGGCCCACAACCATCCCCACACTGGCCGAGCCCCGGATACCTGTATGGGAGCCCGAGAGGGAGCTGAGGAGCCGCGAGTGCTGGCTGTGGCCGTCGTGAACCTCCACCACGTCGTTGAGGGCCGTGTGAAAGAAGGCGAACTGGCCAAACACCACTGTGGAGGAGACACAGTGTGGGGACTGGGCAGGCACGCTGGGGGCAGGAGAGGGGATCTAGGGGTCTAGGGGCCCAAGCCAGGAGGAGGGCAGCCCTGGGGAAGTTGTTGGTTCCTGGGCTGTGGCTTGCTGCACTGGTTAGTGCAGTGGCACAGTCTGGCAGTGGCCAGACACCCGGCACAGGGAGGCGGGGAGCTGGGAAGGCCGGGCTGGCCTTCACAAGGGTCAAGACAACATGGAGGGCTGCACCCAAAGGTCAGGCGGGTAGAGGCGAAATGGAGCCAACTTTGTTCCTTTCCCAGATAGCAGCTGCAGCAGCTATCTGGAGGCCATCAGAGGGCTTTGGGTACCATCCCTCATTCTCCATGCGATGTCAGGACCCCACATTCATGCGTCCCAACGTCAGTTAGTCAGTGTCATTGAGTTGAAAACTGTATACAGAGATCTGTAGTCAGTGCTGTGAGCTCCTTATCACTGGAGGGATCCAGGCACAAACTGCATGCCCACCTACCAAGGATTCTGCTCTGGGTAGCAGATCAGATTGGACAGCCTTTCAGGACTTTTCTAACTGCGATCCTGCAGGTCTGAGGCCCCTGCCACCTCAGTATATTGGGGAGTGTGTGTACATGTACATAGGTGTCCTGGTTCTGGGGCAGGAGTGGGTGTACTGATGGCTGGAGCTATGGGTAGAGATGAGACTGGGAATTTATAGAGGACAGAGAACATGTCTCTCTCATCTCTGCAACTCCAGGACCCAGTAAAGTGCGTGGCCCCCAATGGGTGCTTACTAAATGTTTGGCGAACGCCTCAAGCATCAGGCCTTGCTCTGTGCTTGCCCATCCTGTCTTGGGGAATAAGGAGCTGGCTCTCTGCAGGCTGCTCCCTCCGTCCTGCTCCTCCCCTGGGTGGTCGGGACATGTTGATGTCCTTTGCCACATCCAACATCAATTGTGTTTAGATATGGTTGTTAGTCCTCCTACAAAGAGGAGATCCAGGAAGAAAGAAGCCAGCCTGGTCACCTGGTTGCCCTTCATCTTCCTGAATGCCTCCAAGGCTGGCAGGACTCTTGAATGTCCCCACTGCCAACCAGGTAATGAGCCTGGGTTGGTTTTTCTGCCCACATCTCTTGGAATCTGGAAGTTTCTCTGTCTTCCCAGGGCACTGGTCTGCTTTTCACTTTTTTCTTGCTTGTCCTACCTATAGCTTCTGGACCAGGCTTTGGTTCTCAGATGGGACACCAGAATGATGTGGCTCCTGGTCTCCCTCACCTGCACTTTCAAGCCCAGCTCCATCCCATTCCTCTCCTCCCTCCTGCTCCTTGGCCACTCACCCTGGGTTCCTAACAGGTCTAGATCTGCGGCACCTCCCTTAGGACTTGGGCCATACTGGGTAGTCCCCTGGGGCACCTTGCCTTCCCTCTGTCTTGGCCAGTTTCTCACCAACTCTGTCCCCTTGGTTCTGGCGGGGCTCACTTGTGCCCTTCTGCCCTCTTGTGTCCGGAATGTATTCTGCAGCCCGTTTGAGAAACGTCAGCACTCGGCCGTCCTTTTGGGGAGACTGTTCTGCGATTCCCACAATGGGGCTGTATATAATTGGGAGGCGTCTGAGGAATTGCTCATTTTGGAATGAGGGTGAGGAGTCAGAAAACATATGAACAACAACAACCAAAACCCATACCATAGTCCTTGGGCACAGTAACAAAATACAAGCAGATCTGTCCACTGGTGTAGTTCTGGGGGTAGTTGGGGGACAAGACCACTCCGTCCGAACCCACATACTGTCCCCCACAGGGGGCTGAAAGAGAAACCAGATAGAGAGTCAGGTGACCTTGTGGGCCTCTTACCAGTGACCATCCTCTGTTCTGCCCCAGCCTGAGCTTCTGGCCCCAGTAGGGCTGCCCTGAGGTGGGCAGGCCCTAGCTTGGAGAAGGCAAGTCCTGCGGACCCTGCCCTGCCCAAGAACGTGCACCCCTGGCCTGGCATGTAGCCTGAAACTTGCCCTGAAGCTACCGAGGGCCCTCTTGGGCAGGTGTCAGTTCTTGCCCTCTACCTATTAACCCTGGCATTGGTCCCTGAAGTCACAGCCTTAGGGAGCACATTAGGAACCTCTTCTGCTTACACGTGGAGCCTAGAAATGATCTGCTGCCCTGGCTGACATCTAACCTGGACAGTGAGTGTCAGTGTGAATAGGGAGCTGAAGCTTCCCCGGACTAACCCCATGGGGAGTGGCCAGCCCATGTGACCCAGCCACCTTCTGTTCCTCTCCAAGGTGCCCAATTTCCACAAGGGGCGGGTCTGAGCCTGCCTCTCTTACCATGACAAAGGGGGTATGCTTGGCTTTTCAATGGGTGGTCACCAAGCTCTTAAAGCCCTGATACTCATTCCTATCTCTCTTGTCAGGACCCCCATGGCTCACCCAGACCCACCTGGAATCAGCACACCCTGCGGGCCTTACTTCAACATATCTGATCTCTCAGTGATTTTCCCTAGGCCTAGGAACTAGTCCAGGAGCCACCTTTAAATGACTTCTCCCTGGTGTGAGCTCCCTGATGTGGCATGTCTGGGGGCCTCTGTTGAGGGCATGAGCATCTATGTGAATGGGGGTAGGGACACCATGGGTTCTGAGATGATACCTTGAAAGGAACTGCACACCTAGTGAATTATAAGCCACTTCTATACACATCCACGGCAAACCCAGGTTTGCCAGGCTTGGAGGAGCCGGGCTTGAGGACCTTGCCCCCCTCCCTTCCCCAGCCCACAGCACCCTCTGCCCCTGGCATGCCCTCAGTTCCTCAGACCCCTGCCATCCCCAGGCTTCCACCACCTGTGCAGACTGGCCGGGGATTGTTCCACACGGGCTTCCCATCAGGCCCCAGGATGCAGCTCAGGGTCGAGGTGCCCTCAACTTCGTAGCCCCCGTGGCAGTAGTAGGTGACGGAGGAGCCCAGCTTCAGGTCGGACCCCACCCGTGTGCCGTTCTTGATGGAACCAGGATCAAAACATGACTCCCGCGGGTTTTCTGGGAAAAAGAAATACAAACACGTGCACACACACAGAGGGCTCATGAGGAGGCTATTCTTGGGCTCCAGTGCCCATGAGGAGAACCCGACTTTAATTAGCCACAGAGCACACGGGGATGCGTGACTGTGGCTCCTATTCCCCTCAGGTCTAGAAACGTCTCTAAATTTGGGTAGAAATTGAAGGATGGAAATCACATTGAAGAGGGCAATTTCCCCTCCTCCCCCCATGTTCTTGCCTTGACCCACAGAGGAAGGAGGCCCAGCAAAATCGCTGAGGCCCTCTCTCATCCCCTGCTTGCTCCTCCCCAAGGGAAACATGTGTTTCTCTGGCTGGTGGGGGCTGACAGTCCCTGGACCACATCTCAGCTGCCGGCAGGGTCACTGTGGTAAAGGTCAGTGCTTAGGTACAGCCCATCACTTTACTCATCTTTGACCCCCCACACTCAGCAGCCTCCTGGCCTTTTGTGTTCACCTGAGAAGCAGGGCAGACAGTCTGCTTTTGGAGATGCTCTTTCTCTTCCTCTCTCTTCTGCCCCATCTGTACCACTGGCTGGGGAGTAGAGCTGGCATCTGTTCTGCAGGCCCAGTCATACCCATCTGTTGCAGGTTCTTCTGAGTGCATGGGTACCAATACTTAGATTCAGGGAGGAAGTACAAAACTCACTTCCACCTCTGGGTTGGGTTACCCGACCGGTGGGATAAGTTGATGTCTCCAGTGCAGTTTTCCAGGGCTCTGCACTGGGTATTGGGTGCTTGCCAGTTTATGAAAACCACAGTATTTTTTTCATGTGGCTATTGACCCTTACATGTCTTCCCTATCAGTCATACAGTTTATGAATAAACAGTCCTCTACTCTGTCGCTCTGCATCAAACAAGACCACTCTTGACATTGCCTGTGGCTTGAGAGTACTAGTCCAAGTCCCAAATCTCTGGAGTAGGACACTCTCCAGCATCCCTCACCATCAGCTGGAAATCCTGAGCAGCAACTGGGAGCCCATGCTCACGCTTCTATGCATGATTACCTTTCCTCCGTCCTCCTTGTTCTAAGATAACTGATGGTCAAGAGGGTTGTCACCAGGGCTGGGCAGTAACAGGATACAGCTGAGGCCAGTCAGTACCAGGGAGATGCAACTGAGTATCAGGTTGACTGATGAGCATTTTGGAGGATACATTATTGGGGGGCAACAGAGAGGTCTAGAGATGGGGACTCACAAAAGGGTGCTGACAGTCCTTGCAGAAGGACTCAGAAATTCAAAGAGTGGAGTTAAGGAGGGAAGAACCAGAATAGAAGGGATCAGTGTTCATTCATCAGAGATGAATGGCTCAGGAGGAATTTTGCTGAGGGCCGTCCTTGTCACCTGGGTACCTTTTAGATTACCTACACAGGAGGCGGCCACTACTTGAGGCTGTCACTCAGCTGCCAATCATCTGGTTGACTGATGGGATGGAACTCTGAGAGTCTCACTATTGCACAGGAGCATGTGAGAAGATCCTGCACCTTAAGTCGTTGCCCGCAGCTGAGAGTGGAGCAGCTCTGGATGCACTACTGCATTTAAACCCAAGTGGGACCGACAACATGGCCACTCGTCACAGGGCACTCCTCAGTGGTTTCCTCATGTGCCCCGTGATGCATTGCCTTGACCTCCTTTATCAAATCTGTCTTCTCCATATGCCTAGTGTCTCTGGCCAGAATAGAACTGGCCACTGGGTGACCCATATGTGAGTCATAGAGATCCAGGGACCTGTCATCATGTCTTTTGTTTCATCTATCCTTTTTATAAATTCAAAGTGGGTTAAATCTTACTAAAGTTCAGAAAAATTAAGTAACTTGGAATCAAAGTTCACACAGCTCATAAGAGGCAAAACTAGCTGTAGTCCCCAATAACCACTTTCCCCACCTTCATCCATCAATAACAGAACTCCAATTTTATCCAGAGCTTGAAGGCATCAGCTAAATTCTACATTTCCCAGCCTCCTTGTGTAAACACGAGTTAGATCATGTCTGCTGAAAACAATCCAATAGCCTCCCGTGTCACTTGGGGTAAAACCAAAATCCTTACAGGCCTTCAAGGCCCTGCACATGTGGCCCCAATAGTCCCCTCTGTGACCTCAGCTCCTGTCGTCTCTATGCTAGCTTTGCTCCAACGACACTGGCCTCTGGTCTTTGTGGCTCCCTGTCTTACCTCTTTCAGGACTTAGCTCAATTTCTCCTTCAGTGACACTCTTTGAGCAGCTACTTAAAATTGCAATACTCCTCTCCCCAATGCCCCCAACACCCTCCTCTGCTATATTTCTCTCCACTGCAGTTAATACTCTCTCATCGACTCTATATTGACCTTATTTTTTTCTGTCTTCCTCCACTAGAATATAGATTTCAGAAGGGCAGCTGTTCAGTTTTGTTCACGGCCATATTCCAGTGTCTGTCACATGGTGGGCACTTAACAAATATCTTCAGTGGATTATTGTGGAACTTTTAAAAAGACTGTTTAAGGGAAGTTGACTCAGCTGAGGGAAATGCTTATTGGCCTTTCCTTCCTTGCATCTTTCCTCCTTCTCTCAGTCTGGAACTCAGACATGATGGCTGGAACCTCAGTTGCCATCTTGGATCGGAGATAACGTTGAAATGGGATCCATGGACTAGCATGGTAGAGTAGGGAGACAAAAGCAGCCAAGGTGGAGCTCCCTCATCAATCCTGGGCGCTGTCCTCCAGATTTCTTTTATAGGAAGTCTGATAAATGTCTACCTTGTTCAGGCAACTGTGTTTTTGGGTAACTGCTGCACCAGCATTGGACCCTAGCTGGGAATGACTGGCCCAGAACTTTACAGATGTCAGAATGTCCTTTCTTTCCTTATTTGTGTGGCAAAATCCTACACTTTTAATGCCACCTTCTCTCTGGCAGAATTCTGTTTTTCTTTCCCTGGTTATAACATGTATCACGCTATTTTGGTAACTTGGGTAAGGGTATTTCTTTCCAGTAGGTTCTGAACTCCTGGAGGAGAAGGTTCATCACCTGATCTTCTCATAACCCTGGCAACTAGCACAGAACTTGGCACCAAGGCTAGCCCTATTTGGCACATAATAGAGGCTTAATAAATGGCTGCTGAATTGTTTGGCTGAATACTTTGAGGCTTGGAAAATCAACAACCACATCAACGATTCCAACTACAGACTCTATTCTATATTTACTCACACGTAAGAGAAAGATGAGCTCATCATCCCAAGCATTACCACATTAATAATAATGACATGGATAATGACAGTGATGATAGCCCCTTACATAGGAATATCACTTCATAATTTTCAAGGCACTTTCCAAGCCGTTATCTCATTTGTGTCTCACAATACCCTCTGCAGAAGGCAGGGCCGGTTATGCTCATGTTCAGTTTATAGATGAGGAATATGGTGATCAGAGAGGCCAAATGAGTCTTCCAAGCCTTTCAGCTATTTAGAGGTAGAATTAAGACCAAAATCAGGTCTTTAGTCAGCCAAACCAAAGCTCAGCTGTGAATGATAACACTAAATGACTAAAACATCATGGTGATTATAATAAATAAAACCCAAGCCCTTCAAAATGGGAAAATGAGAAGAGCCAGCTTCTCTCTGGTCCTAATAGATGAGGCTTACTTCCAAACCTTATAACTGCAAAAATCTGAATATAACCCAAACATTCAACCAGTAAGGAACTGGTTACAAAGGGTGGATTAGGGCCATCTACTGAAACACTAGCAGCCTTTTAAAAGAATAGCACTATTCTTTGAATACTGATATGGGAAGGAGTCCAAGATCTATTCTTGGGCTCACATACAAAAAAATCAGATTACAGATGAGTACATATGGTGCAATCTCATTCATATAGAACAGGGATCAGCAAACTACAGCCCACAGGTCGGTGGCTGCCTGGTTTTGTAAATAAAGTTTTACTGGAACACAGCCATTTGTTTACATATTGTCTGTGGCTGCCTTTAGCATTACGAAGCAGAGCTGAGCAGTGGCAACAGAGACCATCTGGAGTAAAAATACTTACTCTCTGGCCCTTTCCAGAAAAAGTTTGCCAACTCCTGATACAGACTTTACATTACTTTATATTTATAGAAAGTATCCGAAATGAGATACCAAGCTGTTAATAATGGTATTGCACGGGATGATGGTATTTGGGGGCATGCTAAGTCTTTAAGAGTATATCTTATATGCTTATATATTGTTTGAATTTTTCCAACAAACATGCATTCCTTTAAAAGGAGGCAGAATATAAGATAGTTCTAATTTGCATTTAAGAAGAATGACCCATAACAGCAGCAGGTGGTGGGAATAGGGGTGGTAGCAGGTGTGGCCGTAGCTTCCAGGCCCACAGTGTTACTTCCAAGGGCTTGAAAGAGAAAATACATGCTTTTTAGGACCTTCCATTAAAAATCGATTCACTTTGGTCTTTCCTGTGTTCTTTCAGATTCTCTAACACACACTTCAAACTCTTCCCTCTGAAACGCCCCTGGCCCCCACTCTGGCACAGAGGGCTTCTACTTAACCTTTAGGGCTCTGTCTAAATGGATCCTGCTCAGAGAGGCCTTCACAGCAACCCTTCTGATTTGTTTCTCAGAGGAGCCTGTTGTTTTCTTTCCTAACTTCTTATGCTTCTTACTTCTTGCTGTTTCCCTCACTCACCTGTAAGTTACATTAGGGTAGGGATGATGATTACTTTGCTCCCTGCTGTATTCTCAACACCCAGCAGAGGGCATGGCATGAAGTAGGAGTCATCAAGCATTTGTTGAATGAATGAATATGTCTTGCATGTGCGTGGATGTTTCAGCACATTCCTGCCTAGGAAAAGGCTGCCACACATGCTGGTATATGAGAATAAAGGTCCTTCCACCCCACTGGTTCTGTTGATATCCGTGGCCTGGAGAAAGACATAAACCTCCCTGTGACTCCATTTTGGTAACTGTATCCAAAACACAGGATCCCTGCTGTTCTTTGTTTCCTTTTAGCAAAGGGTAAAGCCACCCAGGAGGATGAATTCAGAATAGAAGTGCCTCTGATCAATGGTCTAATAGAAATCCACAGATGACATGACTGCATTCAGAATCATCTCCTAGAAAGTCTGCCCAGAGATGACTAAGACACTACAGTCACCCTTCAGAAGCAACTGAACAGAGACATCTAAAAACCCACCCCTCTTTGCCTTAGAACCAGGTGGGCTTCCAACATCTCATCTACAGAAGGGTCCGTCGGTCTAGTTGTCACGAGGATGTGAACTCCATGGAGGCAGAGACTTTGTTTGGTTTTCTGGTCTGTTCTCAGCCCCTGTAAGAAGGTCTGGCATATGGTAGCTGCTCAATTCGTATTTACCGAATGAATAAATAAATAAAAATGCCTGACCTGCTCTTGCCCCTTCTGCAAAAGCCTAATCCCATGATGCTGCTCAGTGGACACTTGAATTAAGCCTGTTCCCTCAGATGATCCTTTGGGATCTGAAACTGGAATCTAAACTGGGAAGTGATTCAAAGCCAAGAGTGATCTGGGCACGGTGGCTCACACCCTGTATCACACTTTGGGAGGCCAAGGTGGGTGGATCACTGGAGGTCAGGAGTTCAAAACCAGCTTGGCCAACATGGCGAAACCCCATCTCTACTAAAAATACAAAAACTAGCCGGGTGTGGTGATGCATGCCTGTAATCCCAGCTACTCAGGAGGCTAAGGCAAGCGAATCACTTGAACCTGGGAGGTGGAGGTTGCAGTGAGCTGAGATTGCGCCACTGCACTCCAGCCTGGGTGACAGAGTGACACTCTGTCTCAAAAAAAAAAAAAAAAAAAGGAAAGAAAACAACAACAACAAACAAACAAACAAACAAAAAAAGTCAGGAGTGAGACAGCCACATTTATCCCAGGAGAATGGAAAAGCAAGGAAAATTGATCTGCAGGGAGGGGAGAATGTAGCAAGTGCTCAGAAGGAGGCAGGGAGGAGAGAGAACGATTCTGGAGTGCGGATGATGGTCTCAGTCTGTGCCTCTGCCATCCTGATTCCAGTCCTTTGGGAGTTTATGCTTTCTGCCCTTGGGCTCTTGTATTCTAAAAGTATTTTGCTTTTTTGTGTCAGAGTTATTGTTATCTGTATTGTTAAAATATAGAAACCTTTTAGCTTAAGTTACTTAGGCTGTTAGTTGTTTTCTCATAATCATGTCTCCTTTTTGTGTCAGATTGTTTTGAGTGGGTTTCTGTTTCTTGTGTTTTTATAATAAGTTACCCCTTTGTTTGCTTAAGTTGCTCTGAGTGGTTTTTTGATATTTCCTAAGATTCTACCAAACTGTTTCTGCTTCTCACTTGGGAAGCTGTGTGTGGAGAAAGGCTCCTGGTCTCTCTGCCTTGGGTCAGGGGAAGGGTTAATCTCAGAGAGTAATTTCCCCTGTGCTGAGCCCAACTGAGTCCAGCAACATCTCTCTATGTGGGGCGCTCGTAGGCCCCTTTCACCTCCCTAAGCAAGACCCCTGAAGCCACAGCTCCCAGGATACCCAGACTCTCAGTTTTAGCAGAGCCCTGGATCTCTCTAAAAGACATGGACACAGATGCTTCCTGGATGCAGAGGCCAATTCTGCTTTTCCTGAGGACCCAGCCCTGCCTCCCTGTGGAGGTCCTCAGTGGGCTGCCTCTCCATCTATGGTTCTCTCCAGACTTACAGGGTGTGGAATGTCTAAATTCTTTGCTATGGGCTGGCAAAGCATATGGGACACATACGTCTATCACAAATATTCATGTTATAAATATCCCACACTTATTACATGTGCAAAACATTATGCTCACACTTTACATCTTCAGTAAACAGAAAAGAACATGTACCGTGTTCCCCTGGGTTAGCCCCATTCTCCCTTCCAAACAAAGGCACAACAAATGCAATACCAGTGACGTAGGAAAAAGGAGGTGGGATGAAAGTGGGTGGATCAAAGTACATATCAAATACTTATTGGCACTGGGCACTCTGCTTGATGCTGTGCCTATGTGCTAATCCTCACAACAACTCCTTCGTTTAGTGTCACTGTCCCTTTTTCATGGATGAGGAAGCAATGCTCAGAGGAGTTAGGCAACTTGTTTCAGGGCATACAGTTATGAAGTGATGGAGCCTACCCTATAAAGAAAGATAGTGTACATGGGAAAATATCCTCAAAGCCATGGGACCTGATAGCAAAGTAGACCCATTCCAGGAATCCAGGGATCCTGGCATAGGCAGAAGCAGACCAGAGGGTAAGGTAGGGGTCCCTAGGTTCCACCAAATGGGCTACTAGACCAGAGGCCCAGGGAGATAGTAGAGGGTGACTAATATTAGGAGGTGTGTAGTCTGGGAATGAAGGAAGGAAGGAAGGAAGGAAGGAAGGAAGGAAGGAAGGAAGGAACAAATGAAATAATGAAGGATGCTTGAGGCTTCCAACAGGCACCCCCTACCCCTCAAACACACATAGTTATCTTTATCTTGGTACTTGCACTACAGATCCTAATAGGGTGATGGGGGATACGTCTGTAGGATGTGCCTCTCTTCTCCCCTCTCTCCAGTAATTGGCTGCTTGGCTGGCTCCGATGGCAGCTGGGGAGGTCTTATTCCCCGGGTTATGGTTTAGACCTAAAGACCCCTCTAGATACCCACCTTGGGTCAACAGGCAAAAGTGGAAAGAACTTCACTGGGAAAGAGGTTTTGAAAGTATGGCTCTCGGACCATGAATTTCCTTGGAGAAGACCTGGGGGAGAGATGGCCACAGGCAGGTAGGCATGAACAAGGTGACTGGAGAGGAAGCTCAGGGGGTTTCTACCCAATAGCTTACTGTATCCAGGGAAGCTGAAATGAAATCATCTTATAAAAAATGAGGCTGACGGGGTGACATTTGGGGTGAATTTTGGAATCTCTGCCAAGAAGAACTCAGTTGGGTCAAGTCGGAGGCAGCTCTGGTGGTTGCTAAGGCTTGGCTGGGGGAAAGGACATCACTCGTAGTGACTCTAAGTATCACGTTTGTGCAGCTTTGTCTGGGTGTCCTCAGCTGTGTGGGTGTGGGTTCAACAAAGGGTACAGTTTTGCAAGGTTTATGCACTTGGAGGACTAGCGGGCAGGACAATTGAGGGTACTGATGAGAATATGAAGGAAGAGATGAATAATAAGAAATGGTGATGATATGGCAGTGGGGATGGTGGTGGTGGGAGCAATGGAGGTCCCAGACTGGGTCTAAGTTGTGGCTTCTGTTTGTTAGAATTCCAAAGTGTCTGACTGTGCTGATATCAGTGTGTGGAAGAGGGTTTGGGCCCAGGAGGTTTACCAAATGGCAGGTGCCTGGAGGAAGAAAGGATGGCAGAATATCCATTGCCTAGGCCAGCCCCGTGAGGCAAGAAGACTACAAGTAAAACATTCTCCATTTTGCACACCAGTCTTCTAGAACTGTACCCGACAAACAGGAGATAATCAAGAACTATGAGGAGTCCAATGAGTTGATGGATATAGAGCACTTAGGCTGGTGCTGGCAGTGGGAAAACACTAAGTTTGCCATTGTTCTAATTAGTGTTATGTGTGAGCTCATGTGAGATATTCCCAGGGGTGGCCGGAAATATTTAATTAGGGGACACTTTAAAAGGTATCTGAGGTCTTATGTTATGCAAGTGGGGAACATGAGCCAGAAAATTTTTAATTTTAGCTGGTAATGCGACCCCATTTGTATGCTCAGGCTGATGAGGCCTGGGTGAACCCGGGTTATAGTAACAATAACAAAATCTATCATTCCCAGAGCATCTGTAGAGTGTTTAGTACATATGGAGCATTATACACACACACACACACACACACACACACACACACACACACACACACACATATATAAAATATGCATGTATAAAATATCTTTTAATCTTAACCTCCTGCAACATAATTATTACTAGCAACAATTTGTAGATGATGTTCCAAGAGATAATACTTGTCAAGCTCACAAATCAAGCAAGGAAGGGAGCTGGGATTTAGATAATGGGATTTGGGATAATTAGGGAAGACTAAAAGGTCAAAAAGAGATAATAGCGTAGAAGACAGTGGAGTGCTCGAGAGCCTGGAACTCCTCTTACTACTACTAATGATACTTGAACATTACAGAATGCATGATATGTGCCAGGCACTGTACCAAGGACTTTCATGTGTGGACTCACTGATCTTTACATTTCTATGAAGCAGGAATTTTCCTACCATCGTTTTATAAAGGAAGAAATGGAGGCTTCAAGAGGTTCAATGCTTTATCCAAGGTCACGCAAATGTTAAGTCATAAACATGAACTTTCAATCCAATTAATTTGACAGTCAATGCTCTTAACTGGGCAGGGACAGCCTGTTTTTGTAAGTGAATTTTTCTTCAAATGCAGCCACGCCCATTTCTTTCTGTTTTGTCTGTGGCTGCTTTAGCACTACAGTAGTAGGGCTGAGTAGTTGTGATAGGTAAACCTACAATATTTACTATTTTTAGGGGAAAAATTGTTGACTCTTGCTCTCTACCACAACACTACTGAACTTGCCTTAATTAGCACAGCTGGAAGGATGAGCAAATGTGATCAGGAGGTATCAGAAAGTGACCAGTCTATGACGAGGTGTCAGAGTGTGGCCAAGGAGTGTCCTTGGGACAGAGGTCTAAGCACCATGACCCTAGGATTAGATGGGCTGTCCATAGGGATGTTGAAGTTACCCAGGATGGTGAGAAGCTCTGAGTGGAGAGGAAGATTGTGCCTCATATCAGAATCCTCTTTAGTGAAGTGGAGTGAAGGAAGATACCAGCTGATAGCTATGAGGTTGAAATAGAGTTAGGAATGACCCTCATAGAAAAAGAGAAGAGGACTAGTGGTTGGAAATAGATGAGGTGCAAAAAGAATGCTGGTTCCCTTTTTTCCCACCCCTGGAGAATATAGGGGTGAAAGACTAAGCCCAGATGGGGGCCGCAGGAAAGGCAGGTTTCTGCAGGCGGCAGCAGTGCTAGGGTTGGTGTGGGCTTGCTGTGGTCCAGCCCAGGGCTCTCCTCACTACGCTACACTACTTGCCCTCTGCCTTGTTAGCTGGACCTGTCCTCAGTACTCTCTGGCACCAGGGCCCTTACCTGTATAGTCAATGACGAAGCCAGCATTGCTCACAGATGCATCGCTGCGGAAGGCGAGGAAGAGGCTGTTGCTGCTGCTTTCAATGCGGCCTGGGAGCTGGGAGCCATAGAAGCTTCCTATGAGAGGGCTGAGAGAGTCCCGTCCGTCGTAGATATGGAGGAAGTCATAGCCAGGCTCCAGGTTAAAGCTGGGGAACAAAAACATCCCACCCCCACCCCACTAAGGTCAAATAAAGGCTTTTGCCGGGGTCTTAGGCTCAACCAAAGCATAGGGCCTCCCAGGGAGCAAGCCCACCATCCCACTGGTACCCAACCCCTGAAGACTGGCTGGTGGGAAGGGAGAAGATGAGGCCCTGATGACCTCAGTCAGGTGAGAAGATGGAAGAGGCAGGCTCAGGGGCAGAGGAGTCAGATTCCAGTCAGTGTCTAAAAATCTGGAGCTGAAAACCTAACGTCCTCCTTATACAGAAGGGAAAATGAGTTGCCAACTCTGGACACCAAGCTGTCAACCAAAGTAGGTCCAAAACCCAACTCTCTTACCTGACACTAATGTCCTTATACTGTGCTCTTCTGAACCTCATTTTCTAAGAGAGAATGAGCCAACTATGGTGCCATTCTCAGGGAGGAAGGGACCTGTTACCATGAAGGACCCTAGCTTTGTGCCTTCATCCCAAGCCAGTGCTCCAGCTCTCCTCAGGGTCTGCTATTGCCCCACGCCTAGCACCCACAAATGTCCTAACCCTTAGCTATTCTGACCCTGGTATGAGAGAAAAATCCATTTTAAAAACTTAGTTGAGCAAATTGAATATTAGAGTTCATGAATGTAATTTATCCCACTGGAATGGCTCGAGTGAAAATGATGGAAAATGCATATTACGAAAAAATTATGCATGGAGTTCAAAAGTTTTTTGCACCAAAATAAACTCACACTAACTTGTTATAACATGTCTGCACAGGATCTAATGTGAGGCATTAAGAAGGACAAGATATCAGCTTGAAAAAAGCCTCTATCAGAGCAACATGAATTCTGCTAAAATTGAAGCAAGGAAAAACATTAAATTTATGGTGAAGCTTGGGTAGAAGAATGGTGACATCACTGATGCTTTACAAAAAGTTTATGGGGACAATGACCCAAAGAAATCAGCAGTTTACAAATGGATAACTTGTTTCACGAAGGGAGGGGATGATAATGAAGATGAAGCCTGCCAAGGCGGACCTCCACATCAGTTGGAGAGGAAAAAAATTAATCTTGTTTGTGTCCTAATTGAATAGGACCAATGATTAATAGCACTAACGAAAGCCAACACCATAGACATCTCGACTGGTTCAGATTACACAATTTTGACTAAAAAATTAAGGTTGATCAAACTTTCTACTTGATGGGTGTCAAAACCATTGTGCCTAGATCAGCTGCAGACAAAAGCAGGGCTTTTGGCCGGGCATGGTGGCTCATGCCTGTAATCCCAGCACTTTGGGAGGCTGAGGTGGGCGGATCACAAGGTCCGGAGATCGAGACCATCCTGACTAACACGGTGAAACCCCGTCTCTACTAAAAATACAAAAAATTAGCCAGGCGTGGTGGTGGGCACCTGTAGTCCCAACTACTCAGGAAGCTGAGGCAGGAGAATGGCATGAACCCGGGAGGTGGAGTTTGCAGTCAGCAGAGATTGTGCCACTGTACTCCAGTCTGGGTGACAGAGCGAGACTCTGTCTCAAAAAAAAAAAAAAAAAAGCAGAGCTTTCAGTGGAAATTTAAAAAATGTGGGATCAAGATCCTGAAACATTTCTCCCAAGAACAGGAGATGGAACATGGATTTACCAGTACAATCCGGAAGACAAAGCACAATCAAAGCAATGGCTACCAGGGAATGGAAGTGTACAGTCAAAGCAAAAGTGGAGCAAAGGTCAAGGTAATGGGTTTTTTTCTTTTTTATGGATGCTCCAGACATTTTGTGGTTGATTTTCTGAAGGGCCAAAGAATGATAACATCTGCTTCTTAGGAGTTTGTTTTGAGAAAGTTAGCTAAAGCTTTAGCAGTAAAGTGCCTGGAAAGCTTCGAGAGAGACTCCTTCTGCCCGACAACAATGCTCCTGATCATTTCTCTCATCCAACAAGGGTAATTTTTCAAGAGTTTCAATGGGAAATCATTAGGCATCCACTTTACAGTCCTGATTTGGCTCCTTCTTATTGCTTTTTGTTTTCTAATCTTAAAAAAATCTTTAAAGAGCACCCATTTTTTCTTCCGTTAATAAAGTAAAAAAGACTACATTGACATGGTTAAATTACCAGGACCCTCTGTTCTTTAGGGATGGACAAAATGACTGGAATAGTTGGTTACAAAAGTGTCTTGAACTTGATGGAGTTTATGTTGAGTAATAAAGTTTATATTTTTTATTTTCATCTTAAATTCAATTTTTCCACAAACTTTTTGAAGTCCCCCCTGTATGCCTGTGCTCTGGTGCAGCAATTCCACTCTTAAGTATATATCTAACAAAGGCAATTGATACCAATCAAGTGTGCAAAGATGAAAACAATAGAAAAGTAAATGAGCTTGCAGAGAATAGATTTCAGATGCAAATTTGCTCCTGCCCAGCCATGGTCTGGGATACTCAGATACAGCAAGTCCTCAGCATTGTCCACAGGCTCTCAGAAACCATGACTTTAAGTGAAATGACATATAACAAAACCAATTGTTTATTTCTCATCAACATACAGGCTGGGCACAGTGGCTCATGTCTGTAATCTCAGCACTTTGGGAGGCCAAGGTGGGCAGGTCACTTGAGGCCAGGAGTTTGAGACCAGCCTGGCCAAAATGGCGAAACCCTGTCTCTACTAAAAATACAAAAATTAGCTGGGTGTGGTGGCATGCACCTGTAATCCCAGCTACTCGGGAGGCTGAGGCATGAGAATTGCTTAAACTCAGGAAGGAAGGGTTGCAGTGAGCCAAGATTGTGCCACTGTACTCCAGCCTGGGTGACAGAATGAAACTTTGTCTCAGAAACAAAACAAAACAAAAACAATATAATGAAATGACATTGAAGGAAACATTTGAAGACCTGCTATACTTTGTTTTACTTAAAGTCAACAGTTTCCAAGAACCTGTTGATGATACTGAGGACTTACTGTACTCTATTTGAGATTGAGAGTAAAATGACTGTTCTACCTTTTGGCTAAGATATATAGCAGGGGGAGGAGGTCATACATCTCTAGGACAAAGGAGATAAGGCTGGCTAAGAGACAGGATGGGGGACTGGGAGGCACGGGGCACAGAGCCAGATGCGCACTGGCCTCCTTCCCACCTGGCACCTTGTCACACTGGTGTCAGTTGCGGGGTCAACACACCATGGCTGGGTGACACGGTCTTCTTGCCCCTGTAATTCAGCTTCTTGACATCTGCTCTTTTGAAAGTCACCGGCGAAGGGTTTCGGAGGGAGTGAGTCTTGGTCACAAATGATGGCATCACCACTTCCTAACTAACTGCCTTCTTTCTGTCTCTCCCTTCCATCATCAAATTTTGAGCACCCTCGATATTCCAGGCACTGTGCAAGGTGCCAAGGACATGGGGACATGTAAGACACCACTTCTGCCTTCAAAAATTGATGGTGCTGTAGGAAGTGACAGATATATCAACAACAAAATAATGTATGAAGTCAGCCCGAGGCAGAGCAGAAACACAAAGCAAGGTTCCTTGGGGAGGATGAAAAATCAAACATTTATGGAGGAAATCAAGCCTGAACTGAGTCTTGGGAGATGAGAAGACCCTTACAGATAGGACAAGGAGGGAACAGGAAGTTGCTGTGAAGGCAGAAACAGAGGCAAAGTCATAAGGGCATGAAAGAATCCGTGAGGCCCTGAAACTGCAAGGAGTTCCATCTGGCTGGAGCTTAGGGCTTAGGATGGGGTGGGCTTAGGATGGGGTGGGGGGCTGACTGGAGAGGTAGGCAAGCACCAGATTGTTTGGAATGAAACTCCAAAGTTTGGGCCTTTATTATAAGCAATAGAGGGCCATGATAGGATTTAAAAATAAAGGATCTATTTGTTTGTTTCTTTGTTTTTGAATTGAGGTATGATTTACACCGTGTGAAATGATCAGCCCTAAGGTGTGCCACTCTATCAGTTTTGACACATGCATATCAAGACCCAGAACTGTCCCACCACCCCAGAGAGTTCCAAATGCCCCTTCCCATTCAACCTTCCCTACCCTCAGATGCCAACACTGATTAGAATTCTTCACCAGGGATTAGTTTTGCTGATCCTACAATTTTATAGGAGTTGAATCATACATTATGTACTTTTTTATGTCTGTCTTCTTTCACTCAGCATAATATTTTTGGGACTCATCCACGTTGTTGCATGTATCAGTAGTTCATTCTTTTTTATTGCTGAGCACTGTCATTAGAGGATGTTAAAATGGAAAGTAGGGTGGTTATTTCAGCATTTTTGAGTGACACGATCACTCTGACAGCTAGCTAAGGGAGAGATCGGCATGGGAGGCAAGATGGGGCAGAGGAACCAGCTAGGAGATGAGGGCAGTAATTTAGATGGGAAATGATAGGACTTAAACCAGGACAGGAGCTAGGAGGATGGAGAAGAGGAAATACATGAGGAGAGTGAAGGCGATAGAGGCTGCATGCCTTGGTTGCTGCTAGTGGAAGAAGCCGTGAGAGCAGGTGTCAATGCCAGCCCCAAGGCTCAGAACAGAGCTCTTCTGGGGGAGAAAAAATATGCTTGATTTTGTACATGCTCATTTGCAGTGTCTGCAGGCCCCAGACAGAGATGCCCAACATCTGGATAGCGATGCTGACGCTCAGAATAAAGCCAGGGTGGGCAGCAGAATGGAGTCTTCCACTTATAAGAGGAGAGTGGAGACAGGAATGACCGAACTTGTCCAGGAAAGGGGTGTAGGGGAAGAAGAGGAGGTTTTGACAAAGCCCGGCAAAAGAAGATGGTTTAACAAGAGGTCCACGTGAAGTCACAGAAGAGCTTGGAGAACTGGGAAGAGTAACTTCACACAAACCAAGGGAAAAAGCAGTCTAAGGATGGAAAGGGTGATCAAGAGGTGGAGTGGATAAAACACAGAAAGGCCCATTTTGTTTGGAACCAGGAGTTCGTGGGTGGCTTTTATCAGAGGAGTTTCCAGTAGAACCATGGAGGCAGAAACCAGGTTCCAGGGGGTTGAGAGTGAACGGGAGGTGAGGAAGTAGAGAAAGGCAGAGGCAGTTCTTTTGAAGAGCTTTTCTGTAGCAGGAATGGAAAAGCAAGTGCAGGAGCTAGATTGGGGGGGGTGCCTGGGACCCAAGCCCGCCTGTTTATACCTCTGGAGTGGGGTGGAAGGGGCCGGGGAAGCAGACTGGGAATGCAGAGGGCAGGGCAAGGGCATCCAACAAAGGCCTCCTTTCCAGGTCCCAGTATCTTCAGAGGTAGAGAGGAAATAATAATTGCTTCCTCACAAATTACTACAAGGATTAGATGTGATGATATGCATGAGACCACTGAGCACAGTGCTTGGCACGTAGATGTTCAATAAATGCTAGTTTCTCTCTCTCTCGGCTTCTTCACCTCCCTGGAGCTGAGAACTCTGCTACAGACCTGTGAATACTCACCTGGAGACCCAGGTCCCAGAGCCCCTAGCCACTCTGAACCCTTCGTCTCCCACCCGGGGGAAAGGTACATACATGTTAAATACCAGGGCGATGACGTAGTCTGGTGAGACGGTCACTTTCCAGTCACACTCCTTGCCTGGCGGGTAGGGTTCTGGGTAATTTGGTGAGAGGATGACTCCAGATGGTCCTGTCAGGTCTCCCCCGCAGGGAGCTGAGGAGAGAAGAAGACGAGGGTGAGGCTGCCTCTTCACCCTGGGCTCATTTTCATGGGTGTTGCTAATGCACTATTGAGAGAGGAGAGGCTGAGGCTGACAGGCTGAAGTTGAACCTGGCTTAGGGACTCAGGAGAAGGTGAAATGATGGACTTCTACTTTGGAGGGTGGGAATATTTCAGAGATAGTGGTGGTGGTTGCGCAACATTTCGAAAGTACCAGATGCCACTGAACTGTTCATTGAAAAACAGGTAATTTTATGTTAGGTGCATTTCACCTCAATAAATTATTATTATTATTTTTTGAGACGGAGTCTCGCTCTGTCCCCCAGCCCCAGGCTGGATTGCAGTAGCGCGATCTCGGCTCACTGCAAGCTCCGCCTCCCAGGTTCACACCATTCTCCTGCCTCAGCCTCCCAAGCAGCTGGGACTACAGGCGCCCGCCACCATGCCCACCTAATTTTTTTTTGTATTTTTAGTAGATACAGGGTTTCACTGTATTAGCCAGGATGGTCTTGATCTCCTGACCTTGTGATCCACCCATCTCAGCCTTCCAAAGTCACAGGATTTCAGGCGTGAGCCACCGCGCCCGGCCTAATAAATTATTCTTTAAAAATACCTGACCCTGCTACTTCCTAGCTGTGTGAACTCAGGGAACTCATCTAGCCTCTCTAGCCCTCGATGTCTCTCCCGTATCATAAAAAGAGACAATATCTTCTCTGTGGGGTGGTTGTAAAGATTATTGGAGATGTCTGCTGAAGTATTTGGTAGAGAGTGAATGGTTGATAGACGGAGCCGGCACTGTCTGTACACCTATGAAGTACATGGCCTTCCTTCACTGCCTCACATCGGCTTCCCGGCAAGCTTTGTGGGTACTGACTGTGAGTTCCCGTGCACTCAATGTCAGGAGGAGTGGGAAACAGGCTCACATTCGCCTGCCAAGCGCAGCTGGTCTCCTACGCTGCCAGTGCTCCTGGCATCTGCTCGCGGCTGCAGATACTTTCCAACTTTCCAAAAGGCCTTGTCCAAGAGTATGTGTGTACCTCAGTTGTATGGAGCTATTATTAATCCCCAATCAGTCTACGTGGTCGCCCTCCCCTGAGATGACAGGTCTCTCAAGCAGGTGGGGAGGGAGAAAGTGGCCAGGTGACACAGCAACCTATTTACCTAGGGACCTTCTGGGGCAGCTTCCCCAGAGCCTGGATCAGGTCTCTTCCTCCATGGCTGGGGCTGCTGTACCGTGGCATGAGGACTGGATAGAGTAAGAGCTGGGAAGCGTGTGGGGTCGTTAGCAGGATGGCCAAGACTATAGGTATGGTTTGGTCTGGAAACCACAGGGCACCATCAGAGGTTGTCAACACTGAGCCCACAGGAACACAGAGAGCCATTTAAGGGCTGGCTAGAAAATCCAAGATGAGTCTTTGTGGGGGGAGCAAAAGGGTATACCTGACTCCAAAGTTAGGAGCAGCCTTTGGCTTGTCATAGAGCTGAGCACTGGTACTTTAGCTGTGTCATGGAGCCACCTCTGGCTGTGGCTTTTACTCAGGGTGAGGCTTAAAGGGCTGGGTCAATCCCTAACAGGGTCTCAAACAAATGGTAGGTCTTCAGGTCAGGCCATAAGAGCCCTAATGTGGCTGAACATAAAATCCGAGTGGTCATGAGTAGTCTGCTTTTTGTTCCATGGGAAAATATATCCCAAGAACCATCCTGAGTATCAGAAACACTCAAATAGGCATCTATTACGTATTAGACTTAACAAATCACATTTTAGATACACTATCTCATTTATGTCTCATTAACAACTCAATGAGCAATGGATTATTCTTCCTGATTTATAAAGGAGGAAAGTGAGTCTCAGAAAGCCTAAGTAACTTGCCCAGAGTCACTCTGAGACTCAAACTCACATGGGACTGGCTCCAAAGTCTGTTGTTTTCCCCCTTTCTACTTCCATACAGTCGGTAGCAGTAGCCAGAGTAGAGGAGGCGTGCTTCTCCCCGCTGGCCAGCAGGGAGAGCACAGTTGTTGCAGGAGCTTCTGAGCGAGGTGGTGCCTTAAGTTGGGTCTGCTTATGTCTCACTTGTGTCTCCACCACTGAATCCTTCAGGAGCAGAGGGCTAGATAAGTGGGGCCAAGCAGAGGCCAGTACAATCAGTCTAGACCCTTGAGCTTAACAAAGCAAGACTGTAATGTCCAGTCCATGGAGCGTGGCCTTGCCCAGGCCAGCCTAGAAACAGAGTCTGATGTGGCCAGTGAGAGTGGAAAGCCAGTGTCATATCAGAAGTCCCAACTCTGGGGAAATCTTCCCAAGGGGGCACAACGAGGCCTCCATTCTGGTTCCCAGCCTCCACGTCCCTTTGCCAGCTCAGGGGCTTCTTCCCTTAAGTTTGCCACAGATGGGGTGAGTCTCTGTGTTTCTGAAACTGCCCCTGTTACTCTCCCACCAACCCCCAAAGTACTATCAGTGTCTCTGGGTTCTAGGCTGCTGTCTGGGCACAGATCTCTTCTAGATAGTTCCATGGCATCGGGCATGGGCTTCCCTGGCTGCTGCCAGTTGTGCCCCAAGGCCTTGCTTGGATCCCTGGGCTGCCTCGCCAACAGGAAGGCTCCTACTGCTCAGGGTTAGTCGAGGGGTCCTTTTGAGCTTACTAAACCATGGTTGCCCAGATGGGAGTGGGTGCAAGCTGCAGATCCTTCTAGACAGCCAAGAAGTGGGCAGGTTGGACTGAGGGTGAGAGTTGTGGAAAGGGCATTGATTTGGAAGTCATACAATCCTGAGCACAAATTCTGACAATGCCACTCATTGGCTGTGTGAGTTTGGGCCAGCTGTCCACCCCTCTGAGCCTCTATTTCCTCATCTCGAAAGTAAAAGAATAATGATGATAATGGCTTCTAACATACACAGTGCTAACTATGAGCCAGGCACAGTTCTTATTGCTTTATAGTATTTTCTTTTTTAATCCTCAAAACAATGCTAGATGGTAAGTACTACCATTTTCACTATTTTACTGGTGAGGAAATTAAGGCACAGGGAAGTTGGGCAATTTGTCTAAGGCCACACAGCTTGCTGTGGTGAAGGCAGACCTGAGCCAGGGAGTGGAATCCCGAGCTCTAACCTCACCACAGAGTGATTTCAGCTGCAATAATGTAGCTAAAATGTTTAGCCCGGTGCCTATCACGGGGACAGCATCCAATGAGTATTTGTTTTCTTCCTTTGCTTCCTCCCTGTAATGAAGGGTTATCAGGGCCAGCTAGACCCGCTCATGGCAGAACGCCCAGGGAGCTGGAAATCAGAAGCATGTCACTGGGATTTCCAGTTCATTTGAGAGAAGAGGCAAAGGCATTTATTCTGTTGCCTGAGGAACATTTCCCAAAGCCGAGTGTAGAAGAACGGGTGATGAAAACTGAATTAACCTCTCCACCCTACCCACTGCACATTTATTGCTCTCCTCAGCTTAGCACAATCCTCCTTCTCCACTTGGGACAATCTCATCTCAGGACCTGCTTTTCTGTAAAATAAGTCTAAGGAATCACAGCCTTGCAGAAGGCTGAATTTGGAAGGAGCCTCAGAGGTTCCCAGATTCTCTCCTGGGCCTCAACAGAATTCCCTTGAGCAGATGGAATTCTGGCTTAGGGAAGGGGAAGGGAGTCTGAAGACTTGAAAGAAGGAATCGAAGAAGGGAAGGATGAAAAGAAGGAAGGAAGGAAGATAGAAAGGAAGGAAATTAGTATTTCTTGAGATTGGGGTTAGGCGTGTCCTCACCCCACAATGCCATAAGGGAAGTGTATTTACCCTCAGAGATAAGGAAACTCAGGCTCAGAGAGTTGAAGTAATTTCCCAAGGTCACCAAAGTAGTAAATGGCAGAGCTAGAAAGTAAATCTGGATGTGTCTACTTCAGTATCCCATACTGTTCCCTACACAGCAGAATACGTAGTGAAGAACTCAGCTGGATCTGAAACCCAGGTCTCAACCTCCTGCCCCACATACCTATGCGGCTCCTAATTCCCACTGAGGAGCAGGATTTAGTGTGTCAACTTCAGGGCCAGGCCTCAGAGCCATGACTGTCATAGGCCAGTCCTCAGAGGCCTGGGCAGCGTACTGCCTCCCATTAAGCCTGAGTGAGAGAGGTGCAGGCCAGGGCAGACGCTCCTGCAGGAGCTGTCTCAGGAAGCCCCTTACACCCATCTCCAGCAGGGGAGGCAGTGTGGGAGGTAGGAAAATGAGAGGCTTTGCATTCAGACTGGCGTGGGTGTAAATCTTGGCTCTGCCATATCCTAGCTCTGTGATTTGGGACAAGATATCCAAATTTGTCTAAGTTTCAGTTTCAAGTGTAAATGAGGAAATGGTGCTAATTTCAGAGAGCTGTTGGGAAAGTTAAATGAGGTTATCTAAGTAAATGTCCAGTATGGGGCAAGTACACAGTAAGGACTCAGTGACCATGGGTTCTCTTCTCTTCTAACAGCCAGCATTGACAGGGGAGATAAACACTCATTATTTCACCTGAGCAAAATAGACATGTGGAAGTGGGCACCTGGAGGGTTTGTCTCTATCTATTTACCTTTCTTTCCCATCCCAGCCTCCCTTCAAGTTCCCTCCTCCTCTCAGTCTCAAGTAGTTAGAGGCAGGATTTTTCAGGCCCCACCCTTTTTAAGTGATGGGACCTTAGACAAGTCTCAGGTCCTTCATGTCTTCATCTCTCATACAGGAAGGTTTTAAGACTGAGGACAGATCTAAAGAAACAAAACCTGTAATCCCAGCATTTTGGGAGGTTAAGGCAGGAGGATCACTTGAGCCCAGGAGTTCCAGACCAGCCTGAGCAACATAGTGAGACTCCATCTCAACAACAACAACAAAAATACAAAAATTTGCTGGGTGTGGTGGCACAGGCCTGCAAGCCCAGCTACTTGGGAGGCTGAGGTAGGAGTATCACTTGAGCTCAGGAGGTCAAGGCTGCAGTGAGTTGTGATGGTGCCACTGCACTCCAGTCTGGGCGACAGAGTGAGACTCTATCTCTAAAACCTAAAAGAACCAAAACCCAGGTAACCAATAATTTCCTTGAGAACAGCAAAAGCAAGGTTCTTTTCTTTACATTCTGAGGCTGTGGGTGCCCTTCTATTGCTTCAGGTAATAGAAGGGTCATTTCGGAATCTGTTAGCCTTTATTACCCAAGATGACCCACTGTCCTCCTTCTGACCTGTACAGCCTGGGCCAGAGAGAAAGGGACAGACCTGTCTGACTTGGAAATCTCTGGGACAATTTTAGCAAGTGAGGAATTTGTAGTGCTCTGTGTATAGAGTGTGAACGTGAGTGAGTGCGTGTGGGGACACATGCATGCAAAGCAGGGTAAACAATGGGTTTTCTGCAACTTTTGTCTGTTTCAATTCTCTTGGCCCCAGGCCCAAGATGCAGCTGCTGTGCATGGAAGGTTCTGGAGCACACAACTGTGAGCCCCAAGAGCAGAGTGCACCCTGCAGCTGCTTTGTACCGATGCATGTTGGCGGGCTGGGCTGCCAGAAGAACCTGTTCTCGATCTTCACACAGCTGATCTCTGCACTTCCCTGCAGCGCGTAGCCAGGGTCACACTGGAACACTGTGGAGTCGCCGGCTTCCCAACTGTCACCACTCCGACTCCCATTCTGCGGGATCCCAGGGTCATTGCAGGACGTTGCTGTGGACACTGGGGCAAGGAAATAGAAGAGAGGGTAAGGTCGCCTGGGTGTCTGCCACTCAGGAGGCTCCCAGCTCATCACCCTCACTGATTGCCATCATCCGTGCATTGCCACAACCACCAGAACCTCCCCATCATCATCATCAGCTGTAGCCACAGTGCCACTATTCTCACTCCCATTACTATCACTGCCTCCACCACCAATTGTGATCACACTTGTCACTCTCACTGATATCACCACTACCATTCTTCCAGTACCTTCACCATTACTGTCATCTGCCTGTCATGAGATGCTATGAGTTAAGCATGATTATACTGTTATAATTATAGAATTGAATTCAGCTTAAGAATACAAGCATTGTTACATAAACAAAGCATTGCAATTTTGTATAATGTAACTAACATGATCAGAAGGAGGAAGTGACAAGATAATTAAGTCTAAACTCCATGCTGCCAGGTATGGTGGCTCACGCCTATAATTCCAGCACTTTGGGAGGTCAAGGCAGGAAGGTCACTTGAGGTCAGGAGCTCGAGACCAGCCTGAGCAACACAGCAAGACCCTGACCCTACAAAAAAATAAAAAAGATTAGCTGGGTGTGGTGATAGTTGCCTGTTATTCTAGCTACTCTGGAGGCTGAGGTGGGAGGATCCTTTAAGCCCAGGAGGTTAAGGCTGCAGTGAGCCATGATCATGTCACTGCACTCGAGTGTGGGTGACAGAGTAAGAGCTCATCTCTAAAACAAACAAACAAATAAACTCCATGTATTCAATTGGAAGGGTTTGCAAAGGACTTTGCGAGTTGGCCTGCCTAAATGCTAAGCAGTGGTTGTGAGGTTACCGGGAGTTACTGAAGTTAGGTCAAGATCATGCTCTCTCTTGCAATGGCAGACAACCAAGGATCCATTAGACTGAAACCATATTTGAAGAAAAGTCAGATATTTGTAGCAAGTGGGCAGAGAAGAATTCAAAAATAGCTGAGATATATTAAAAATTCAAAATACTCAGGAATTTGCGACGTCTTCGTGTCTATTACCTAACCTAGTTTAACATAGAGCAGGTGTTTTATAAGCGAATACTGAATGAATGCTAGATGGAAGGAATACATAAATAGGAGAATGAGTGGGTGAATAAATGAACAAATGTGGCATGAGAAAACACACCGGAGGAATGGGTGCAAGAGTTAGTCCAGAGAAAGGAATCTCAAGAGCTGGAACAACCCTGGCTGCCTCCACAGCCCAGAGCTGACAGCGGGGCCCGGTCCCAGTCCCCAGCTATGTCATCCCTCATAGCCTGTGCTCAGGGCACTCTAGGGCAAGGAGGTTCTTGAAACCACAGGATAAATAATACTGATTTGATTGGAATATCAGTTTTCTCAACAATTTAAGGAAAAACTACTTTTATACTAAAACAAAAGAATTTATTCTGGATTACAAGGTAAAATTCATATTAGTTTTTAAGCAAAAATGTGAAGCCTTAAAGATATTTTGTGCTTGCTACAGCCACCAGACATCCTGAGGATGCACACCCATTCTCTTCTGCTATCAGGAGGACATCAGCGGAAAAGTTTGAGAAGCGGCAGCCTAGGGCAACTGTATACACTGATGTCACTAATTATAACCTCTGGGATTGTATACGAGTCTTGAGTTACACAATCTGATACCTTCTACTCAATAACACCTAAGGAAGCATACAGCAAACTATGGCCCACGGCCATATCTGGGCCTATGCCTATTTTTGTAAATAAAGTTTTACTGGAACACAGGCACACTCATTTGTTTACATATCAACATTTGACAGCTACTGAACTTATTTGTAAAGTCAAATATGCATCAATCTTTTTCCTTCCCAGTTAAAATCAGACTTAGCTTTCATCTCTAGCTTTATAGGGCACTGTACACATGTAAATGTTCCCCTAGAAGAAAAATAGCTCATTGTTCTGGCCATACTTGGAAGGATTATTTATATGGGAGGCAATAGAGTACAATGATTAGCAGCTTAGGTTTAAGAAACAGACACATGGTTTTTGCTATTAACTAGATGACCTTGTATGAGAAGCCTCGGAGCCCACATCTGCAACATGGAGTAATAATGGTGCCCATACTGTAAGGGTTTTGTGAAAATTGTAAGAGCTGATGTAGTGGAGAGCTTAGTGTGGCAGCCACTCAATAGGAATGGCTGTGATTATGCTTCCCGCTCACCTTTTTTTTTGTTCTCACTTTCTCTCTTTAATGCTCCTGAATTGGAGCTGCTTGGCAAAGCACCCGGGGAAAGGCTGGATCCACGTGGTACAGACAGGATGTTAGATGTTACACAGTCATGTTTACTTAATAAAGCCAAGCCTGCACTAATCGTCCCTGGCATTTCTGTACAATCCCCTGTCAAATACACACTATAAAGTTAACATGGGGTGAGCCGTTCTCTCTTCCCTAGAGTAGTCCTGGTATTTGCTAACTGATGACAGCAACAGGGAAGGTGACCTTTCCCAAACCTTGGTTATGCCCATAACACTGGGCCAGGCTGTCATGACCTTTCTGGAGCCCAGGCTAGGTAGCTTTGACCATGCTACTCTGCCTAAGCAATGCTAAGGGCAGCTTGCCCAAGGAAACCCTTCTGTTAGAGAAAACCATCCATTCATGTGTTCATATCTTCATGTGCCCATTTGCTCACTAAGCTGTGAGTGAGCACCTGCTGCATACATACACTATGAGAGAGTCGGGAGGCATGGCATGACCCTGTCTTCTAAGAGCTTTTAGTGGGATGTCAAGTAGGTGCCCAGCTTCAAGACGAGACAGAATGCCTGGTATTGAATAAATAGAAGTAAAGTGCCAGGGTGCCGTGGGCTATAGCAGTTTTACTCTGAATGGGGAGATTAGGAGGCAGTGGCATCTGAGATGAACCTTGAAGGATGAATAGGACTTCCATGAGCTGGGCAATGCATGAGAAAGCAGCCTGCATACAGCATAGGAGAGCACCCAGGGACTCTGTCCCGCGTGGCTACACTGAGTATGCAGTCGAGGTCAGATAATGCAAATCTGTGGGTGAATTTGTCAGCATAATTATGGGCTTTTTCTTTTCTTTTAAGCCGCACCCATCAGCTTGGGCGCAGTTGGAGAAAATATGTCTGGCTTTAATTATTCATAATACTTCTTTCCCCAGAGAGTGGATCGAGCCGTCTCTTTAGCATTCTACCCTCCTTACTGCTGGGAGATCCTTCCATTGCTTATTCCAGCAACTTCCCAAGTTTGTTCCACGAAATGTTAGTCTCTTGAGATGGCCTTGAAAAAAGTCATCCATGATGGAATATGTTTGGAAATTGTGGCCTACCAGACATCTTTTGAATTTAAGGGCATTAGCATAGCAAACGTTCTCAGAGGCCCCATATTGCAGATCATTTCCTTGGGTCTGCATCAGCCTGAGCACCTCCCCAGCATCACTTGATCATGCAAACTTCTTTTTTCTTGCAATATCAATTAGTATTCCATGGAACTCTTAGGAATAGATGGAAAATGCTAGACTAGAAGCATGCATGAGTGTTAAATGGACAAATTTATAAGTATAAAGCAATGTGATCCTGGAGACTCTCATCTGCTCCCCACGCTGCTAAATGCTTATTTCCACAGAGATGACAGACGTAGCAGAAAAGAGCTAGAAGCAGGATTTGCAACTCTGTAACAATCTCAGTGGTGCCAGGGATATACCCCAACCACCCTTAGCTGATACACCAACTGGGAAAGAGCTCGGGGGCAAAGCCACGGCACAGGTGCCACAAGAAATTGCTCTGGAATCACCATGGAAACTCCCCCCCTCCCTCCCACCACACACACAGTGGAGTAAGGAGATGGTAATGAAGACAGCTGCTGTATAATAAACACGAGCAGAAACCGAAGCAGAGTCACTTGATCAGGGGGAGGAATGATGGAAGAGGCACTTCAGAGGAGATGAGATGATGCATTCCAGGGAGAGGCAGGACCAATCATATAAATTATCTCATACTGGGATTTGGATGTTTGAGCATTGGCCATTTTGGGTAGCTCTTTGTCATGCTCCTCCATAATTGGCTATTGCAGTGCCTAATTAATTAAATTTAGATGACTCATGTTCACTTCCAGTCTTTGCTGAGATCTGCACTCAACTAAGAACCTGAGCGTGCAGCATGTCCCATCAGCTTATTCATAACCATGCCCCAAGCCACCGTCTACTTGTACCTCCCACATCCCTCCTTGCTCCCTGTGCTTCAGCCACATGGGGTAGCCCTCCACTTCCAAAGCCCACATTCCTGCATCTACACTTGTTCATGTGTTCTTTGCACCTAGGATGCCCTTTTCTCTCTTTTCCATCTAATAGGGGTGCACAAGTCCTCCAAAGTCCATTTCAGTGGCACCTTTCCTTGTCATAGATGACTACTTGCTCCTTGAAACACTTTCTTTTCTTGAGTAACTTCTACTTGTCCGTTGGGTCTGAGCTTGGACATCATCTTTTCTGGAACATCTTCCTTGATGCTCCAAGGTGACCATTATGGACCGTATGTCTCCATCCAGATGCTTACCTATTTGTATGTGTCTATTAACCCACCTGTCTTCCCTACCAGAGTGAGCTCAGCACAGACATTTGAACAGGTGCTAACCATGTACCAGGCACATAGCAGATGTTCAATAACTATCTTTACATGGACTGAGGGATGAAGGAAAGTGAGGGCCAGAGGAAGGTGGGTGCCATGTGTCAGGACATGTGGAGTGGGGCTGGCAGAGGGCACGCACAGACCTGAAAATTGAATGGCAAAGCCCTGCTTGCTGGTGAAGAAGTCAGTGCTGAACTGCAGGACGACCGAGTTGAAGGTGCTATGCAGGTCCTTGGGCAGGGCCGGGCCACTCAGCTCCTTCAGCAGAACCCCGCTCTCCACAGGCCCATCCCAGATGCGCAGCACGTCGTGAACCTCCTCTGTGTCAAACACCAGGAAGTGTAGCCTGCACGGAGAGAAGAGGCAGTGGTCATCTGGACTCAGCCCTTCTTTCCAGGGGCTTCTGGTCAGAAGGTCCTAAACCTACGAAGACTGGCCCTAAACCTACAAAGCCCTAAACCTCCGAAGCCCAGCAGGAGGGGAGAGAAGGCAGCGTCTGGCAGCATCCTCATTTCACCAGGCCAGCTCCTCCCACTGGGGCCTCCAGCAATGGGGACAAGGGTGCGAGGTGTAGGTTTTGTGCATCCTTTTCTTATTATGAGCTCCATGTTGCCATTGTCAGACTGCATCCCTCTCCTCAACCTTACATAGCCCGCAGACCTCTCCCTGAGCCCATATTGTTACCATTCTAGGTTGGAAGGGGAATACTGAGAAGGCAGGATCTGGCTTGGACAAAGGATATAGGTAAAAAAAAAAAAATAATTGGGGCTAGAGGGCAGGGGGAACTGTGGAGTCTCTGAGAAGCTGGCCCAGCCATGGTGCAGGTAGGGGTGACCTCATACCTTGCTTTCCCAGAGCAGAATTCTGGGGATATTAGCTATATGTAGGCCTGGCTTAGATAATCTCTGCAGACCTCAGGAGGCCAGGTGGGAGTCTCCCTGTGTGGGGGTCTGCAGGACAGAGATAGAGCTCTCAGAGCAAGGGAGCTCAAGTAGTAACCTGAATTTTTCTGGAACCAAAGATTCCAACAGCCAAAGATACCTTGGCTACAAGCCTGTGTGACTCTCTCTGTTAATTAATTTTTTTTATTATTGTGGAATAATTTTAGACTTACAGAAAAGTTGCAAAGACAATACGGTGTTCCCATAGACCTTTCACCATTTCTTCTATTGCTAACATCTTACATTTCCACGGTGCATTTGTCACGACTAAGAAAGCAATGTTGGCATACTTACTATGAACTACACTCCAGACTTTATTTGAATTTCACCAGTTTCTCCACTGATGTCTTTTTTTGTGTTCCAGGATCCAATCCATTTATCACTATCTCTTTTTAAAAATATCTTTTTAAATTTTAAAAATAAGACATACTCAAGGCAGAGAAAAGGCAAACAATATACAGATGTACTGAATTTTAAAAAAGTCTCTCTTTCACACAGCCAACCTGTTCTCCAGAGCTATTCAATTAATAGTAGGTTTGGTACATATGCTTCCAGAGTTTTTTTCAATGAGCACGCAAATATATTGTTCCCTCAAAATGAGACATATTTTATGTAGTTTTCTATAACTTTCTTTCTTCATTTAATACTATATCATGGACAAAAACATCACCCTCATTTTTCTGCAGAAATGGACATTGTTATATAACACAATTTCACATGAAATTGCAAGGAACATTTGCATCTTTATGTAGCTTTGTGCATTTCTGCTAATATTTCAGTTGACTTGCCAAAGTAATTCTAGGGGAAGAAGGGCATCTATTTAAAAATTTTAGGCCAGGAGCGGTGGCTCATGCCTGTAATCCCAGCACTTTGGGAGGCTGAGGTCAGGAGGTCAGGATCACGAGGTCAGGAGATCAAGATCATCCTAACACAGTGAAACCCCGTCTTTACTAAAAATACAAAAAATTAGCCGGGCGAGGTGGCGGGCGCCTGTAGTCCCAGCTACTTGGGAGGCTGAGGCAGGAGAATGTAATGAACCCGGGAGGTGGAGCTTGCAGTGAGCCAAGATTGCACCACTGCACTCCAGCCTGGGCGACACAGCGAGACTCCGTCTCAAAAATAAATAAATAAATAAATAAAAAGAAAATAAAATAAATAAAAATTTTAAAATAAATCTTGCTAAATTATCCTCTCAAGTGATTGTTTCAATTTATATTCGCACTAATCAGTATTGATGTTACTATTCTCTCTAAAGTTCACCTCATCAGCATTAGATATTATAATGTTGTAAATATATTCTTTACGAAAATACTCCCCCATCTGCTAGACCACAGTGGAATCTCTCTGGCAGTTTTGAGTTTAGATGATTTAGTAAGGTTGGGTATCTCTGCACATATTTACTGGGCATTTGTAGCTTTCAAATTCTTTATCCATCTTAATTGATGGATGCAAACTTTTGAAATTCTACTTATATATTATGACTTTTATTTACCTTATATTTTTGATTTCTCTTTTATATGATATATTTGTTGCTAATCTTTTCTCCTAGTGTCTGGTGACTTTTTCTCATTTAACTTTGGTTTGTGGTATCCATTTTGGTAAGAAGTGATTAATTTTATGTAACCAAATACGTTAATATTTTCCTTTAAGGATACTGGATGTCATGTTATGCTTGGGCAGACCTCTCCCCGACCCAACGATTCAAAAACAAAACAAAACTTTAATCAAAACTTTAATACTTTCCTGGGACTTGTATAGTTTCTTTCTTCTCTCTTTTTTTTTTTTTTTTTTTTTTTTTTGCGACAGGGCCTATCTGGTTGCCCAGGTTGGAGTTCAGTGGTGCAATCGTAACTCACTACAACCTCCTGAGTAGCTGGGACCACAGTTAACATGCCACCATGTTTGACTAATTTTATTTTTTGTAGGGATGGGGTTTTTCTGTGTTGCTCAGGCTGGTCTTGAATGCTGGGATTCAAGCAATCCTCCTGCCTCAGCCTCCAAAATTCCTGGGATTACAGGTGTGAGCCACTGCACCTGGCTAGTTTCATTTTTTGAGGCTAACAAGTTCATTACTCTTCCAAATTGACACTCAATTCTCCCAACACCTATCTAAAGTAGCCTCTTCCACACTTTGCCTACCAAAACATCTGTTTACTCCCTCCGTAGCATCTACCAGTCTATCTTTAGTGTACCTATTTGTAGACTATGCTTCTCCCTAACTAGATCATAATTTTCATGAGTGTGGAACCAGGCCTTGTTTGCCTAAGATGTATCTGACATTTTGGATGGTGCTCATGATACCCATGGATGATGACACGCTCATAGCTGAAGAATCCTGATTCTCCCTACTGATTTGAAATATCCCCTTAGTTGCGGGCTGTTTCTGGACTCTTCTCTCAAGTCCAGTGATCTCTCCTTTCCCTATACTAGAATCTACTTGTGGTACCAGGAACGTAGCTACTCACCTTACTTGGGTTTCCATATTCTCAAATTTTGATTTTTTCCCTAAAACTTACTAATTTCCCAAATTTACTCTTTTAGATAAACTTTATGGTTACCAAGTCCCAAAAAAATGTGATTGAGATTTTGATTGGGATTATATACACATTGATTAATTTGGAGATAATTGATATCTTTATGTTACTAATTTTCCCCAGCCAGGAACATTGTAGATAACTTAGTTTATGTACTTTGCAAAGTTTTATGTTTTTCATCTTTGTTATGGTTTTCTTCTTTGCACACCTCTTGTTAAATTTCCTCTTTGGCAGTCCACAAGTTTATGGTTTTGGTTCTATTGTGAATGAGATTTAATGTTTAGTTACATTTTCTAGTTATTTATTGTCAGATATATATATGTGTGTGTGTGTGTGTGTGTGTGTGTTTCTTACTTTCGGTCACTAGTTAGTACTATTAGAAACCAACAGAATCTCTTGGATTTCCTAGGTAGAATCTTTTATAGATATAGGAGGGGATTCCTTAAAACCAGGACCTGTGTAAGGCTGGGGCCCCACATTTGATTTGAAAAGAGGAGAAGGAGATCCCTAGGACAGAGCACAAACACACATACTCACTGCTGTGCCAGGCTGCCCCCTGCCTTCTCTGCTTTCTCTGTGGTGATCAATGCACTGTGAAATCAGCAGCCAAGAGGAGACCGAGTGCCAGCCGTGTGGTGTGGCTGTACGTGCTCTCAGAAAAGACATCGGTGTGGGCCACACTCATCAGGGAAGGCAAAAGGAAATGAGACCTGAAGTTTAGGTGGCGTGAAAGGAGAGTGCTTTCTTTGGATTTAATAACATGAGATAAGACCTGGAGGCAGAGAGGAGGTGAAGCTGTCCGGGAAGAAAGGCAACTCCATACTTGAGTTCAGGTGGTATTAGGATGCCATAGAGAATACAGCTGATTGAGAGAGGGAAGAGAATGAGTCTCAAAATTAGCTATGGGAGTTTGGGCTTTATTGTATTCTAGTTAGAGACTGACTCTAGAGGCCATGTGAAATCCTGAGGGTGAACAACTGAATGAATGAGTGAGTGAATCAATGAATGAACGAATGAAACCCCAGTCTGACACGAAGCTGAGAAAAGCAAGAATATGGGGACTAAATAGACATGAAGGAAAACGTGTTTCCATAACAACCACTGTGTATAAGGCACTTTCACATTAGCCCATGGAGTCCATGCAAGCATCTTTATTTTGTAGCTAGGACTAGTCTCATCTTTAACAATGAGAATACTGAGGCTCTGAGAGGGTAGGTAACTTGCACAAGGTCATGGGCTGGTTAGACAGTAAGCTGGAATTGCTATTATTTAATACTAATCCAGGTCAGACCTTAGTGCTTCTACTCTCTCCTAACAATGCTGCCCACATCTCTGGGAGGAAGAGGCTGTGGTTGAGAGCTAGGCAGGGGCTGGAGAGGCTCTATCAATCATCAACAGTTTATATGTGAGTCATACGTAAGCTGATATGAATTAAAAATGCCAGTTGATTGCATTCGGCTTAGCTGATCTGATAAACAGACAAAGTCAAAGGCTTGGCATTGATGTTGCGGAGAGGAGTGCAGAAGAAGGGAGGAGAAGGCGGGGTTCTCTGTGTGCACGAACAATACAAGTTGGCAACGGAAAGGACAGAGGCTAAAGTTCAAGCCCCTTTCGGCACTCATTCACTTAAGCGCCTCCCATATGCGGGGTGCTGCTGTATAACAGTGAAGATGACAGACAGGGTGCCATTCTCCGGGAGCTTCTGGAGATGGGCAATAACCCCCCAGACACAAACTCACTAAAAAATTATCAGCTGTGTCTAGCACAGGGCAGGACATGGCAGAGTGCTGAGGCAGAGCATCCACTTTAGACAGAGTGGCCGGAGAAGACCTTCTAAGGAAGTGGCATTTAAGCAAGATGCCAAGCCACATGGAGAGCAGGAGGGGTGAGAGGTGGGAGGAAGCCTGCAGTGAATAAAGGAGAGCATGTGCAAAGGTCACAATGGAAAGGCCATGGAGGCGACACTGGGCCAGGAGAGGTAGGCAGGGGCAGGGCTGGCGGGACTCCGTGGATGGGGGGAGATGTTTGGTGTGTACTATAGGAGCTGAGGGAAGTCATTGGTATATTTTAAGCTGAGCTCTGACAGGTTCCGATTTACATTTTGCGATCACTCTTGGTGCCTGGGTAAGAAAAGATTGACAAGGGCAAGAGTGGATGCAGGGAAATTAGCTAGGGGCTGCCACAGGGGGCCAGTGACCCCTTTTATTATAAACCTTTGATGATGGCCAGTAAAGACTTGGTTTGCCAACCCAACCACATTTATTAAGACTCTTATTGAATACTTATCTTATAGAAATCAGAGTCTATAAATGCTAATGAGCAGTTCTGATCGACAGAGATAATTCCAGGCCAAAACAGCCATTGTGGTTTGTGTGAGCAGCTCCCCTGTAGGTGAACACTGGGTCTTCTTCTGGCTTTTGATATCCTGAGAACAGTTTGCAGCTCCCCTCCCCATTGTACTGTGCCCCTAGGTAGGAGAAACTGAAGTGGAGGAAAGAGGTGAAAAGATCTTCCTTCCTATTGATGACTTGCTTGTCTGTGTGTGCGTTTCTTTGGACCACAAACACAAAACAGGCCATTTCCAGGGAAGAGAAATGAAGCATGTTGCATGTCAAGCTCTGTGTTGAGAGCTGCAGAAATGTGCAAGGCTCTGTGCTTGCCCTGGAGGAAACTTACTGAAGGAGACACCCAAAACATAATAATATGTGCAATAGGTGCTAAAGAGTGGAATAAATAAGATGCTATCAAAATAACCGGAGGACAAAAAGAGCTAAACGTTTGTAGAAAATCTCCCATGTGCCAACTGCTTTATGTACATTGCTGAATATCCTCATAAAGCCCTGCAGTTGAGAGTGTATTCTCACTATTTTGCTGTGGAGGAACTGAAGTTCCAAGGGATTAACAGAGGCAACTAGCAAGGGTCAGAGACGGTATTCAAACCATGTCTGTCTGGTACCAAAGGCCTTTCTTTTACACCATCTTCTTTTTCTTTTAATTTGAAGAGGCAAGGAAAGCTTCAAGGAGGCAGTGTCTTTGAAACAGTTTTGAAGAAAGGAAAGTGTGGAGAAATTGAGGGAGAGAAAGATGGCAAAAGAGGGAAAAGCAAATTAAGAGGAATCGAAAGAGTAACTGGCCTTCCTGGATCCAGTTCCCCTCCCATCCTTTCAATCCACCTTTTCCATCAGGACCACGTCTATCTTTCTGAACCACTCCTCTGACCCAGTCTCTCCTCCTTCTCTACAGGATAAAGTCAGACTTCCGAGGGGACACACCAAGTCCCCCCTGGGCTTCCCCAGTTGCCTTCTCCCATTCTTCTAACCCTTTACTGATTTCCTTCTTATTCTCTTGCTTCAGAGCCTTCTCTCTGCCTGGAAGTTCCCCCTGCAAATGGCCCCATGCCACTTGTAGCGGGTTGACTTGTGTCCCCCAAAAGGATATGCTCAAGTCCTTACCCCTGGTACCTGTGTGACTGTGACCTTATTTGGAAATAGAATCAGATGTAATCAAGTTATGACAAGAAGGGCATACTGGATTAGGGTGGGCCGTAAATCCAATGACTGATATCGTAAGAGAAAAGAGAGGGAGATTTGGATACAGAGACACAGGAGAGACACAGGGAAGGAGACCATGTGATGGAGGCACAGATAGAAGTAATGTGTCTGCAACACAAGGAATGCGAAGGGTTCCTGGCAACCACCAGAAGCTATGAGACACATGAGACAGATTCTTCCCCAGTATTTCCAGAGGGATCTTGGCCCATTGAGAACATGATTTTGGACTTCTAGCCTCTAGAACTGTGAACAAAACACATTTCTGTTATTTTAAGCTATTCAGTTTGTTACAGCAGCCCTAGTAAATTCTTCTACCCCCTGACTGATGTGTACTGGTAGGTGCCTCACATCCAGTGGGGAGCTTTTCCACAGGCTTCTCCTTGTCCTCCCCATCCCCTCAGTCTAGTGAGATGCTCCCTCTACAGGCTCCTGCTCTATCAGAGTCATCCATTGACTTCCCTGTCTTGCTGAATCCCTTAACTCTTGTGCCAGTGTCTCATTCACTTCTATATCTCTGGTACCCAGCATGAGGCCTGACCTGTACTAGCCCCTTGGTGAATGTTGTCTGACTGAATTGATGAATGAACGAATGGCTCACCAGCTTTCAGGGACCCCTGTGGTTCATCCAAACTCACCCACTGTCCTTGCCAAGCATCTGTCACTCTACAAGAGGCAACTTAAACAAATCCTATATACTAAGGAGGATACTTCCTATTTCTCTGGAAGTTCTGAGCTCTTCCTTTACCATCCACATCTAGCCCCTCGGATCTTACAGCTGTATCTTTGGTGCTCTACACTACCAAAGACATAGAATCTAGCCACACAGAACCTGGGCCAGAGCTCACTGCTGAATCTAAATCTGGGAGAAACTGGGATACTGCAACCATGGTCTCACACTTTTAAAATCCAGCCCTGTAGGTTCCCTGAGCCTACAGTGATACTGATAGTCATACTTTAAATCTATAAATAGTAAGTACTAGGTTCAGATAGCATACTAGGCACTGGTGATTCAGATAAGAATATGGCATGCTTCCACCCCTGCATGTGGTACAGTCTACAGTAAAGGTATGTACGGAGAAGCCCCCTAACTTAGGCCAAGGGTATGAGACCAGGCCTCCTGGGAGAGGTAACTACTGAGCTGAGTCTTGATATCTTTATAAGAGAAAAGAGAGATGAGAGATTAACAGGATGAGTCCAGATGAAGGGGGTGGGTGAGGAGGGTGAGAAGGGGACAGAATGCAGGCAGAGAAAATAGGGTATGCAAAGACACAGAGGGGATGTAGAGGCTGGCCCACCCAGGAAATGACAAGCTCTTCAGGAAGACAAAGCATGAAATGCGGGTGGCTGAGACCTGAAGCCGTGGCTCAGGGAATGGTGATAATGTCCAAGCTGCAGAGGAGTGAGGAATTCATGGTCCCCATTCTCCTAGTGAGAGCAGTTTCCTTGGTGCTGGGGCAGGGCTGAGGGCAGTGAGGGAGGGGTTCCACCAAAGGAGGGCTTTTGAGTTGGTCTCATCATCCTAAGTCTGGTATCTGGTTTGCCTAGGTTGCATCTTGGGCACTCATGATAATCTGCAGTCTAACTCCAGCAAGTATGCCAGCTCAGGTAACTGGGTCTCACTGGGCCCCTGGTTCTCCCTCCCATTCCTTGGTGGGGCTGCCCTGAAATTCTGCTTGCTCTGCGGGGGCTGGATCTTGACTTCATTGCTGGCTGCAGGGACACCCTGGGATGTGCAGATAACCCTGTTCAAGTCTGAGATCTCCACATGCCTTTCCTCAAAGTGTTTTCAGAGTTCCACCTCCCACTGCCACACCCACGCCCCCACCAACCAATAGCAGGCCCTAGCTAAGGGTGGACCCACCTGGCCCTCACTCCCGTACCTCTTCCCACCAGCCCCCTCTGAGACTCCACTGTGCTTTGCTGAGGCTAGTGTAAGGTTCACAACACTCAGCTTCAGCAACAGGAGATTTTCTACCAGAGCCTAAATCTAAGAAGCTGGGAGGACAGTGGATTTTCACTGCAGGGGCCCGTCCCTCTCAAGTGCTGCCCACAGGCAAAACTTGCTTCTGAGATCACGGTCCTCAGTTCTTTTACTCTGAAGGAAACTTGGACACACTAGGTATTTTTTAAAAACAAAAACAAAAACAAACAAACAAATGATTCCCACCTCCCTGCTTATAGGCAGTTTATCTCTATCCCATTGCAAATTGGAAAGACATGCAAAGGGGGGTGGAGCCAAGATGGCCAAATAGGAACAGCCCCAGTCTACAGCTCCCAGCATGAGTGATGCAGAAGACGGGTGATTTCTGCATTTCCAACTGAGGTACCGGGTTCATCTCACTGGGGAGTGCCGGACAGTGGGTGCAGTGCACCGTGTGTGAGCCGAAGCAGGGCGAGGCATCGCCTCACCTGGGAAGCACAAGGGGTCAGGAAATTCCCTTTCCTAGTCAAAGAAAGGGGTGACAGACGGCACCTGGAAAATCGGGTCACTCCCACCCTAATACTGCGCTTTTCCAATGGGCTTAACAAACGGCACACCAGGAGATTATATTCCGCACCTGGCTCGGAGGGTCCTACGCCCACGGAGCCTTGCTAGCACAGCAGTCTGAGATCAAACTGCAAGGCGGCAGCAAGGCTGGGGGAGGGGCGCCTGCCATTGCCCAGGCTTGAGTAGGTAAACAAAGCAGCTGGGAAGCTCGAACTGGATGGAGCCCACCACAGCTCAAGGAGCCCTGCCTGCCTCTATAGGCTCCACCCCTGGGGGCAGGGCACAGACAATCAAAAGGCGGCAGTAACCTCTGCAGACTTAAATGTCCCTGTCTGACAGCTATGAAGAGAGTAGTGGTTCTCCCAGCACGCAGCTTGAGATCTGAGAATGGGCAGACTGCCGCCTCAAGTGGGTCCCTGACCCCCGAGTAGCCTAACTGGGAGGCAACCCCCAGTAGGGGCGGACTGACACCTCACACGGCTGGGTACTCCTCTGAGATAAAACTTCCAGAGGAACGATCAGGCAGCAGCATTTGCAGTTCACCAATATCTGCTGTTCTGCAGCCACCGCTGCTGATACCCAGGCAAACAGGGTCTGGAGTGGACCTCCAGCAAACTCCAACAGACCTGCAGCTGAGGGTCCTGACTGTTAGAAGGAAAACTAACAAACAGAAAGGACATCCACACCAAAACCCCATCTGTACGTCACCATCATCAAAGACCAAAGGTAGATAAAACCACAAAGATGGGGAAAAAACAGAGCAGAAAAACCAGAAGCTCTAAAAATCAGAGTGCCTCTCCTCCTCCAAAGGAACGCAGCTCCTCACCAGCAATGGAACAAAGCTGGACGGAGAATGACTTTGACGAGTTGAGAGAAGAAGGCTTCAGAAGATCAAACTACTCCAAGCTAAAGGAGGAAGGTTGAACCAATGGCAAAGAAGTTAAAAACCTTGAAAAAAATTAGACGAATGGCTAACTAGAATAACCAATTCAGAGAAGTCCTTAAAGGACCTGATGGTGCTGAAAACCACGGCACGAGAACTACGTGACGAATGCACAAGCCTCAGTAGCTGATGCGTTCAACTGTAAGAAAGGGTATCAGCGATGGAAGACGAAATGAATGAAATGAAGCGAGAAGAGAAGTTTAGAGAAAAAAGAATAAAAAGAAATGAACAAAGCTTCCAAGAAATATGGGACTATGTGAAAAGACCAAATCTACGTCTGATCGGTGTACCTGAAAGTGACGGGGAGAATGGAACCAAGTTGGAAAACACTCTGCAGGATATGATCCAGGAGAACTTCCCCAATCTAGCAAGGCAGGCCAACATTCAAATTCAGGAAATACAGAGAGCACCACAAAGATACTCCTCGAGAAGAGCAACTCCAAGACACATAATTGTCAGATTCACCAAAGTTGAAATGAAGGAAAAAATGTTAAGGGCAGCCAGAGAGAAAGGTCGGGTTACCCACAAAGGGAAGCCCATCAGACTAACAGCTGACCTCTCGGCAGAAACTCTGCAAGCCAGAAGAGAGTGGGGACCAATATTCAACATTCTTAAAGAAAAGAATTTTCAACCCAGAATTTCATATCCAGCCAAACTAGCTTCATAAGTGAAGGAGAAATGAAATCCTTTACAGACAAGCAAATGCTGAGAGATTTTGTCACCACCAGGCCTGCCCTAAAAGAGCTCCTGAAGGAAGCACTAAACATGGAAAGGAACAACTGGTAACAGCCGCTGCAAAACATGCCAAATTGTAAAGACCATCAAGGCTAGGAAGAAACTGCATCAACTAACGAGCAAAATAACCAGCTAACATCATCATGACAGGATCAAATTCACACATAACAATATTAACCTTAAATGTATATGGGCTAAATGCTCCAATTAAAAGACACAGACTGGCAAATTGGATAGAGTCAAGACCTATCAGTGTGCTGTATTCAGGAAACCTATCTCACGTGCAGAGACACACATAAGCTCAAAATAAAGGGATGAAGGAAGATCTACCAAGCAAATGGAAAACAAAAAAAGGCAGGGGTTGCAATCCTAGTCTCTGATAAAACAGACTTTGAACCAACAAAGAACAAAAGAGACAAAGAAGGCCATTACATAATGGTAAAGGGATCAATTCAACAAGAGGAGCTAACTATCCTAAATATATATGCACCCAATACAGGAGCACCCAGATTCATAAAGCAAGTCCTGAGTGACCTACAAAGAGACTTAGACTCTCACACAATAATAATGGGAGACTTTAACACCCCACTGTCAACATTAGACAGATCAACAAGACAGAAAGTTAACAAGGATATCCAGGAATTGAACTCAGCTCTGCACCAAGCAGACCTAATAGACATCTTCAGAACTCTCCACCCCAAATCAACAGAATATACATTCTTTTCAGCACCACACCACACCTATTCCAAAATGGATCACATAGTTGGAAGTAAAGAACTCCTCAGCAAATGTAAAAGAACAGAAATTATAACAAACTATCTCTCAGACCACAGTGCAATCAAACTAGAACTCAGGGTTAAGAAACTCACTCAAAACCGCTCAACTACATGGAAACTGAACAATCTGCTCCTGAATGACTACTGGGTACATAACGAAATGAAGGCAGAAAAAAAGATGTTCTTTGAAACCAATGAGAACAAAGACACAACATACCAGAATCTCTGGGACACATTCAAAGCAGTGTGTAGAGGGAAATTTATAGCACTAAATGCCCACAAGAGAAAGCAGGAAAGATCCAAAATTGACATCCTAACATCACAATTAAAAGAACTAGAGAAGGAAGAGCAAACACATTCAAAAGCTAGCAGAAGGCAAGAAATAACTAAGATCAGGGCAGAACTGAAGGAAATAGAGACACAAAAAACCCTTCAAAAAATCAATGAATCCAGGAGCTAGTTTTTTGAAAAGATCAACAAAATTGATAGACTGCTAGCAAGACTAATAAAGAAGAAAAGAGAGAAGAATCAAATAGATGCAATAAAAAATGATAAAGGGGATATCACCACCGATCCCACAGAAATACAAACTACCATCAGAGAATACTACAAACACCTCTATGCAAATAAACTAGAAAATCTAGAAAAAATGGATAAATTCCTACAAACATACACCCTCCCAAGACTAAACCAGGAAGAAGTTGAATCTCTGAATAGACCAATAACAGGCTCTGAAATTGAGGCAATAATTAATAGCTTACCAACCAAAAAAGTCCAGGACCAGATGGATTCACAGCCGAATTCTACCAGAGGTACAAGGAGAAGCTGGTACCATTACTTCTGAAACTATTCCAATCAACAGAAAAAGAGGGAATCCTCCCTAACTCATTTTATGAGGCCAGCATCATTCTGATACCAAAGCCTGGCAGAGACACAACAAAAAAAGAGAATTTTAGACCAATATCCTTGATGAACATTGATGCAAAAATCCACAATAAAATACTGGCAAACCGAATCCAGCAGCACATCAAAAAGCTTATGCACCATGATCAAGTGGGCTTCATCCCTGGGATGCAAGACTGGTTCAACATACGCAAATCAATAAACATAATCCAGCATATAAACAGAACCAAAGACAAAAACCAGATGATTATCTCAATAGATGCAGAAAAGGCCTTTGACAAAATTCAACAACTCTTCATGCTAAAAACTCTCAATAAATTAGGTATTGATGGGACGTATCTCAAAATAATAAGAGCTATTTATGACAAACCCAAAGCCAATGTCATACTGAATGGATAAAAACTGGAAGCATTCCCTTTGAAAACTGGCACAAGACAGGGATGCCCTCTCTCACCACTCCTATTCAACATAGTGTTGGAAGTTCTGGCCTGGGCAATCAGGCAGGAGAAGGAAATAAAGGGTATTCAATTAGGAAAAGAGGAAATAAAATTGTCCCTGTTTGCAGATGACATGATTGTATATCTAGAAAACCCCATCATCTCAGCCCAAAATCTCCTTAAGCTGATAAGCAACTTCAGCAAAGTCTCAGGATACAAAATCAATGTGCAAAAATCACAAGCATTCCTATACACCAATAACAGACAAACAGAGAGCCAAATCATGAGTGAACTCCCATTCACAATTGCTTCAAAGTGAGTAAAATAGCTAGGAATCCAACTTACAAGGGATGTGAAGGACCTCTTCAAGGAGAACTACAAACCACTGCTCAAGGAAATAAAAGAGGATACAAAGAAAAGAAAGAACATTCCATGCTCATGGGTAGGAAGAATCAATATTGTGAAAATGGCCATACTGCCCAACGTAATTTATAGATTCAATGCCATCCCCATTAAGCTACCAATGACTTTCTTCACAGAATTGGAAAAAACTACTTTAAAGTTCATATGGCATCAAAAAAGAGCCCGCATCACCAAGTCAATCCTAAGCCAAAAGAACAAAGCTGGAGGCATCACACTACCTGACTTCAAACTATACTACAAGGCTACAGTAACCAAAACAGCATGGTACTGGTACCAAAACAGAGATATAGACCAATAGAACAGAACAGAGCCCTCAGAAATAATGCCACATATTTACAACCACCTGATCTTTGACAAACCTGAGAAAAACAAGCAATGGGGAAAGGATTCCCTATTTAATAAATGGTGCTGGGAAAACTGGCTAGCCATATGTAGAAAGCTGAAACTGGATCACTTCCTTACACCTTATACAAAAATTAATTCAAGATGGATTAAAGACTTACATGTTAGACCTAAAACCATAAAAACCCTAGAAGAAAACCTAGGCAATACCATGCAGGACATAGGCATGGGCAAGGACTTCATCTCTAAAACACCAAAAGCAATGGGAACAAAAGCCAAAATTGACAAATGGGATCTAATTAAACTAAAGAGCTTCTGCACAGCAAAAGAAACGAACATCAGAGTGAACAGGCAACCTACAGAATGGGAGAAAATTTTGGCAACCTACTCATCTGACAAAGGGCTAACATCCAGAATCTACAGTGAACTCAAACAAATTTACAAGAAAAAAACAAACAACCCCATCAAAAAGTGGGCAACGGATATGAACAGATACTTCTCAAAAGAAGACATTTATGCAGTCAAAAAACACATGAAAAAATGCTCATCATCACTGGCCATCAGAGAAATGCAAATCAAAACCACAATGAGATACCATCTCACACCAGTTAGAATGGCAATCATTAAGTCAGGAAACAACAGGTGCTGGAGAGGATGTGGAGAAATAGGAACACTTTTACACTGTTGGTGGGACTGTAAACTAGTTCAACCATTGTGGAAGTCAGTGTGGCGATTCCTCAGGGATCTAGAACTAGAAATACCATTTGATTCAGCCATTCCATTACTGGGTATATGCCCAAAGGATTATAAATCATGCAGCTATAAAGACACATGCACATGTATGTTTATGGCGGCACTATTCACAATAGCAAAGACTTGGAACCAACCCAGATGTCCAACAATGATAGACTGGATTAAGAAAATGTGGCACATATACACCATGGAATACTATGCAGCCATAAAAAATGGTGAGTTCATGTCCTTTGTAGGGACATGGATGAAGCTGGGAACCATCATTCTCAGCAAACTATCACAAGGACAAAAAACCAAACACCGCATGTTCTCACTCACAGGTGGGAATTGAACAATGAGAACACGTGGACACAGGAAGGGGAACATCACACACTGGGGACTATTGTGGGGTGGGGGGAGGGGGGAGGGATAGCATTAGGAGATATACCTAATGCTAAATGATGAGTTAATGCGTGCAGCACACCAACATGGCACATGTATACATATGTAACAAACCTGCACGTTCTGCACATATACCCTAAAACTTAAAGTATAATAATAATAAAATTAAAAAAAAAAGAGCGTGGCTCCTCCCCGACTTCTCTTGCTCATTCTCTTGCCATGTGACATGCTCGCTCCCCCTTCTCTATCCACCATGAGTAGAAGCTTACTGAGGCCCTCACCAAAAGGAGATGCTGGCACCATGCTTCTTGTACAGCTTGTAGAACCATGAGCCAAATAAACCTCTTTTCTTTATAAATTAAAAAAAAAAAAAAAGAAAGAAAGACATGCAAAAATGAGAAAATAAAAAAAATTCATGGCACCTTGACCTGTTGATTTCACTTGCCTTCTGACTGGGCCCCAGAATATGAAAGGGCTTTGGATGTTCCCAACCAACAGTCACCACTGCAGGAACACAATAAACCCATCGCTGATGTGAGTCATGATGGTGGATCTTTACATTAGGGGAAAATGGCATGTGAATGAACAGCTGCTGCAGGGGGAAGGGGGTCAGAAATCACTCCTGTCCCCACATGAGAATGCAGCTGCAATTATCCTTGGTGACATCGGAAAGGGCAATAAGAAAATAATACTTGTTTTATCAAATGCCCCCCTCTAAGCTGACCGAGCTGCAAACCAACAATTAAACCATGATCATAATAGCAGACAATAATAATTAAGTATCACGCTATCCAAAGAGCAAAAACTGAGAAGACAGACCAAAGCCCAAATCCAGCATTGGTGTCTATAGCAAAATAAAAGGCTCTTCTCTTCAGGGACCAGCTGGCATGCAAAAGAAATAAAAGATTCTTTGGTTATTTTCTAAAGTGGAAAAATAAAACTGGGCTTCAGGTCACTGAAAACGTTGCAGAATGTTCCAGGGTAGTGACTGCTGTCTTGGACTTAAGCTGTGACCTTGTGCTTCCCTCTAACGTGCTGGGTGACCTCCGGCCAGCTGCCCTCTCTTCCTCATCACCCTGTCACTGGAGGCTCTGAGACTGCCTATCACTAGACAGAGTCCAGAGTCTGCCCTGTAGGTGTCAGGGATTCTGTGAGGGGCCAATGTATCTTTGTCCTTGGAAGAAATGTTTCCATAAAGTCAAAACACTGGCTGTGGAACCAAAGACCTGGGTTCAAATTGCAGTTGTTTTTTTTTTTTTTTTTTTTTGAGATAGAGTCTTGCTCTGTCACCAGGTTGGAGTGCAGTGGTGCCATCTTGGCTCACTGCAATCTCCGCCCCCTGGGTTCAAGCGATTCTCCTGCCTCAGCCTTTCAAGTAGCTGGGATTACAGGCTCATGCCACCACATCCAGCTAATTTTTGTATTTATAGTAGAGATGGGGTTTCACCATGTTGGCCAGGATGGTCTCAATCTCCTGACCTCGTGATCCACCCACCTCGGTCTCCCAAAGTGTTGGGATTACAGGCGTGAGCCACTGCGCCCAGCCTCAAATACTAGTTCTGAGAGAGCTAACTTGGTGACCTTGCAGAGCCTCAATTTACCCCCGTGTAAAATGGCTGTAATTTCAATCTATCAAGCAGCGTTGCTAAGAGTATTATCATAAATGAAATCACATAGAAAGCATCTAGCACATAGTATTAAATAATCATCAAATGGTAAAATCACCTAAAATAATTCCATTTTTGTTCAATTTATTTTATTTTTTACTTGACTAAGAGAGATGTGCTAAAGTCTCCTATAAGGATTGTCAATTTCTCCTCATATTTCTGACAGATTTTGCTTTATGTTTTCTCATTAGGTTACTTAGTGCAGATTCATGACTGTTAGCATTATTGTGGACTATGCATTTTATCATATGAAAGCATTCCCTGTGTCTCTTTTAATGTTATTTAACCTTGAATTTTACTTTTTTTTTTTTTCTTTTTGAGATGGAGTCTTGCTCTGTCACCCAGGCTGGAGTGCAGTGGCACAATCTCAGCTCACTGCAAGCTCTGCCTCCCGGGTTCAAGCCATTCTCCTGTCTCAGCCTCCCGAGTAGCTGGGGCTACAGGTGCCCGCCACCACGCCTGGCTAATTTTTTATTTTTATTTTTAGTAGAGACGGGGTTTCACCGTGTTAGCCAGGATGGCCTCGCCTTTTTTTTTTTTTTTTTTTTTTTTAACAGAAAAGCAATATTGTGATCCCTGCTTTTTACTTCCATGTGTTCTCATGCTATTCTTTTGTCCCAACCTTTTATTTTTAATATTTTGTTGTTCTTCTGTTTAGCAGCATTCTTTTAAATTTTATCCAACCCAAGAATCTTTGCCTTGCAATATGAATGTTTCCCATGTGGGCACCAGCTCATAGCTCTTTACGGCTCCTGCTTTCCCTGCCACAGGTCAGTCAGTAGTTACTCTACACATCACGGTAGAGGCTTCCTTTCCCTGTGCACCGTCGTCTTGGGGCCTCTCTCTGGGATCCTGTGTTTGCTCCCTTTGCAGACCCTTTGCTCAGCATCTGAGTCTTGCACTCCGCCCAGGCACCTGACTTTAGCTCTTTGCTGATCCTTCAGAGAAGCCTCAGACGGTAGCACTTCTGTGCTCTGGGCCTTATATCCGGTCAGCCTCTCAGTCTCCTGCCCATCCTGAGCTCCTGTAACCTTGATCTGCTCCAGAGGCTGCCTCCTCTCCCCCCATTCTCTTTTCCCTACATGAGGCCTGGAGCCTTGAATTACTTTGTGGAACAGACACCTCCAGCCCCACCCAGGACCCTGTTCCCCACTGCAGACTAGCACTGGACTGTGAAGTGTGTGAAAAATTAACCTTTATTGTGTTAAACCACTGAGATTTGGGGGTTATCTGTTATATCAGTTAGCCATTACTGTTGACTAATAATACAAGCTTATTTCCATCATCCTGTTTTATGCTTTTTTTTTTTTTTTTTTTTTTTTGAGACAGAATCTCACTCTGGCACCCAGGCTGGAGTACAGTGGCATGATCTAAGCCCACTATAAGCTCCGCCTCCTGTGTTCAAGTGATTCTCATGCCTCAGCCTCCTGAATAGCTGGGACTACAGGTGCATGCCACCATGCCTGGCTAATTTTTCTATTTTTAGTAAGATGGGGTTTAGCTGGGTTGACCATGCTGGTCTCGAACTCCTGGCCTCAAGTGATTCACCTCCCTCAGCCTCCCAAAGTGCTGGGATTACAGGCATGAGACACCACGCCTGGCTGTGTTTTATGCTTTTGTTTATTATATTTTCTTGCTTTTTTGGGTAATATTCCTTAGTTTGTAAGTTTTCTTTAGTGATTTGCAAAGTACACATTTTATTTTAAATTCTATGGGTGGTTTTCTTTAAGCATTTTCAAAAGTACTCCTAAACTTGTATTTTCTCTAATCATCAAATTTAAGAAAAATAATATATTATACCATTTTACTTCTTCTTATGTAAGACAGTAAATCTTAAAAAGGTTTCACCTTTCCCTATGCCCTCTCCCAACCATCAAACCATTGACAATATAAGTAGGGACTAGAGGCCCAAGTTACACACAATCTTTCATAGTCACCAATTCTTAGTACCGTGTAGTTTTTCTAAACATCTCAGTTGGCTAAAAATTGTATGTCTGTATTAGCTTCCTGTGGATGCTGTAACATATTACAACAAACTTGGTGGCTTAAAACACTAGAAATTTGGCCAGGCATGATGGCTCATGCCTGTAATCCCAGCACTTTGGGAGGCCGAGGCAGGTAGATCACCTGAGGTCAGGAGTTCTAGACCAGCCTGGCAAACATGATGAAACCCTGTCTCTACTAAAAGTACAAAAATTAGCCAGGTGTGGTGGCAGGTGCCTTTAACCCCAGGTACTTGGGAGGCTGAGGTCGGAGAATCACTTGAACCCGGGAGGTGGAGTTTGCAGTGAGCTGAAATCGCACCACTGCACTCCAGCCTGGGCAACAGAGCGAGACTCCAAATCAAACAAACAAACAAACATAAACAAAACCAGAAATTTATTCTTTCATAGTTCTGGAGGCCAGATGTCTGAAATCAGTATTGCTGCGCTTCAATCAATGTGTCAGTAGGGCCATGCTCCCTCTGGAAGCTCCAGAATAGACTCTGTTCCTGCCTCTTCCAATTTCTGATGCTGCTGGCATTCGTTGGCTTATGGCTATATCACTCTAACCTCTACCTCTGTCTTTGAATCACCTTCTCCTCTACGTGTATAAAATCTCCCTCTGTCTTCTTCTTACAAAGTTGCATGTGGTGGCATCTAGGGTTCACCCAGATAATCCAGGATAACCCCTTCATTTCAAAATCCTTAATTTAATCACACCTGCAGAGACCCTTTATCCAAATAAGGCAATATTTACAGGTTCCACGCATTGGAACCTCACATTTTTGGGGGCCACCATTCAACCTACTACAATGTTTTTGTAAGTTCCTCAGGAAGCCGATGAGAGCCAATTTTATGTGGCTTTTGTGCATATCTGAGGATAATATGTTACCTTTGTAAGTGAATCATATTTCCTGGCTGAATCAACAATTCTTGAGGCCAATAGCACCACTGACTTTGGACTTTGGTATTATGGAAAAGAAAAGGAGTCTTAGGAGGGTTGGATTAGTTGTGGTGGTTTTGTAAATGAATATTTTATAGAATGAGGGATGACTATGTACTTGCCTGTGTGAGTCGGTTTTGCCAAATGCTTGTAGGGATTTTTTATAATTCATCCTGAGCTCCTATACCCTTGGTCTGCTCTAGAGGTTGCCTCTGCCTCCCCCTTTCCCTTCTACCTCACCCAAGGTCTAGAGCCCCGAATTACTTTGTGGAGTAAGCACTCCCACCCCTTGGAACGATTTCATTTTTCATCACGTTGTATCTAATTTATTTTTTCCCTGGAAATTCAACGACTCCTTTCACTTCACTGAGCACATTTTAGCCTTGGTCAACCCACTCCCCACCTTTTCCCCAGGGGAGGTGATGGCCTTTTGTATATTATTATTCCTTCTGCTCAGTTTCATTGCTCTTCTGCATTTGTGCTTCCTGGATTGGCACTTTGTCTTCCATGTTTGTCTACTTTTCATTACTTAGAGTCTAGCTTGTCTACTACTTCAATGCTTTTATTTCTTACAAGGCAAATGCTGCTATTGTGGATTTTAGTTGTTGCTGTGTGTTTAATTTCTTCGCATTCCTTTCTTACCTTAATCACTGTCTGTCTATTTCAGAATCTCTCCTCCTGCATTTCATCATCCATCTTCTATTGATCATGCATATTTCTTATATTTAAATGAGATTATTATGTCTATATCCATTTAAATTTTCATGTCTATTATAGTAAAACATGTTTAGAAAAAAATTTTGTATTTTTTTAGGGAGATGGTTCTCTTTTAATGAGTGGTATGTTTTAAGTGGCATCATACAAGTTTATTTTATGTACTTTTTGCTTATTTCTTTACTTATTTTTGGAAAGGGAGAGATCTATACTGGTTCAGTGTGGTCAACCCACAGGGAACGTGCATTTCTTTGGTTGAATAGTTTATTTTCCTCCTAAGAGATGTTGGAATTCAGTTTTGGGATCTTAAACTGGCAGTCAAGTTGATGCATTCTGGCCAATTCAACTACTCAGTGTAGCTCGGTTAGATTATCGTATGAGGATAATTTGAAGTAGTTTGTGTTTCTTTCTCTAGAGGTGTTCTATGAAAAACTGAATGGCCGGAGAGTGCCACCATTCTCAAAGCTTCATTTATACCTTCCAGGCTATCCACATCCTCTCCTTCAAAAAATGTGTACATTCCTTTTGGCTATTCTCCAATTTGTTGAAGACTTAAATCTGACAAAGGAATACCCCACTGTGTGTGTGCTTCTCTGTTCAGTTCCTTTAGGAGATCAGCTCTTGCAGTGTAAGTACACGAACCTTCTCTGTTTAAGGTTTAACTTGCTATAATTGCTCAGAAATAAACCCTCTGGAAGCTGCTGAACCTGTGGCCATGATTCCTGGCAAGAGCTGTGAATGCAAGCTTCACTTCTGGTGCCTTCTGCCTCCTCTGGGCCAGCTGCCCACTTGCTGGCTGGAGGGAGGCAACACTGACCACTGTGGGGAGTTGCTGCCCTGTGACTGATCTGAAACGACAGCAAGGGAATCCAGGCTTCAGGCACAACCAGATGTTTTTCTAGCCCAGCATCCTCCCAGGAAGATAAGCTCCACTGGGCAGGGGTCCTGGTTAATCAAAACCATGCCCGCCAATGCCTGCTGCATGGTGACCAAAATCCAAGAATGGAGTTTTCAGTTTTCCCTGTGTGTTAATCATTAAGAAGTATCCCTGAAGTTAAAAAACAAGGACTATTAGCCAAATATGAGCTTTATGGGCATAGCAGAAATCCGAGTGTCCAGAGTGAGAAGTTCTCCACCTTCCATGGGTCCCAGATCTCTGCAGGGAAAGCACATCGGCAGAGGACTGTCTCCTCTCCCTTCTTCCTTCCCCCTCCACGAAGCCAGACAACCGTAGCTTCAACCCGAACCACATTTGCGCATAAGAAATGACTCAGTTCTTTTGAATATAACCAGGATCCCTCAACAGTGCTCCTAGGCTCCTCCCTGGCTTCCCAGCCAATTTATCCTCTGCACTGCTGCCACAGATCTTCCTGAAGTCCTCATATCCCCCCTAGACAATGAGCTCTTCCAGAAGCAGCTGTGTACATTCATATCTTCCTCCCTTTCACATGCCTGGGAGGGCCTCACCTCCACCCTGCATGGTGAGCTCCTACTGTTCTTTAAAGTGCAGCTGGAAAGGTGCTTCCTCCCTGTAGTCCACCCCCAACTGCCATACAGAATTATGATCTGTCCTCGCAGACACTTTTCTATTGTGTTTCGTGCATACTTCCACTATAGCATTCATCACATTATCTTAGAATCTATAGCAGAAACTGTGGGTTGGATGATCTGTGCTTCATTTCCAAACCTCTCATCTCTCTACTATTGAGGCTCTAAAAGCAAAGCAAAATTGATTTCCCACTTTTTCCCTGCCAGGCATGGCAAGTTCTGACTAATGAGATGTAGGACAGTATCTCTAAGGATAGTGGTTCTTCCCAAATACACAAGCAAACTTTCATCAGGAGAGAGCTCCGTGCCCTTTCCTCTTCCCTCTTCTTTTAGACTGGAACACAGACATAATGTCTGGAGCTGCGGCAGCCAACTAGGTAGCCACGAGGATGAAAGCCTCAGGATGGCAGACCAAGAAGGAAGGTTATGGCTTCCTGAGCAGCGGTACCAAGTCTGGATGGGACCTTCAGATTCTTGTTCCAGGAGAAAAATGAACCCCCATCTGTTGAAGCCAGCTTTAGTCCGTTTTTCTATTTTCATTCCTAACTGATATAATTTCTGTCTATAATACTGAGACCTTCAAGGGGAAAAGCTGTTTCTTATTTATATTTATACCCCCGTGCCTGGCAGAATGCCCAGCACTGAGTAAATGCTCCAAGTTTTTAAATTGAACTGAATGTTGTTACTGTCTTTAAAGTGTTCCAACAGCTCCTTATTATACTGAGAAATCCATTCAGAGTTCTTGTCTTGGCCTTCAGTGTGTAAAGACTCCTCCTTACCCACACAGCCTTATTTGCCCACATGCACGCAGCTCCAGCCACGTCAAGTGAGTGCCCTTTCGTGGCCAGATCCTGTATTTTCCCCTATGTTCATACCTTTGCTCTCTTACCCCTAGCTGGAAAGATTGCCTCTACAGTCCCAGGCAGAACTCCTCTCTCTCTTCTCTGTTACTGAACTCCGTCACTTGGCTTGCACTTATAGCATCTATTTTATCTTGGAGGTACCTGTCTGTTTGACTATTTCCCCACTAGAATGTGAACTCTTGGCAGACAAGGCCTGGCCTTGGTCTGGACTTTGTGTTTCCGACTGCACAGCATCACACAGTCTCTGGCACAGAGCAGGTAATCATTGCATATTTTGTTAGATGGAATCAGACCACAGCCTGAATGGCAGATGGGAAAGAGCAAAGACTGACATTAGACGGAACATGTTCCAATCCCACATTACTGGGTAATTGTCAGATCTCAAGGAAGGTCATTCATTCTTTCTGGGCCTCGATGATCTCATCTATAAAATGGGGACAGTAATAACTGATTCAGAACCTGGTGTGCTATAGGTATTTGATGAATGTTTTAGAGGGGCAGAACCAAGAGCAAAGGGCTTTCCCTCCCTTTCTTTTCCAGTTTTCATCTGAGCTCGCCCACTGATTATTAAAAACAAAACAAAACAAAACCCTCCAGCTCAACACCAGAAGCTGAGAAGAGTTTCCACTCCTATAGGATGAAACTTCTGTGTTCTATGTACTGATGACACAGGCAAGGGTGACAGGGAGGGAGCAGCTCATGGGTCTGCCCTCCTGCTGTCAGCTGCCAGGCCTGGATGGAGTGCATTGGCTCATCCACCCCATTCTTGGCACTTAGGAAGAAGCACTTGCCAGATGCTGTAGGTATTACCAGGGTTCAAGGAAAGGGGCTGCCTTCCATTCCACTCTTGTCACACACATCCAGGCAGGACCCATTTTCCAGCTTGGACCACACCCAAGGGTAAGCCTGACTGTAGATTCCTGCAGCCAACTACTTTGCCTCTTGGGCACTCCTGGGAAGGGACCATCCTTGCCCAGCTTGCTGGAGCAAACCTGGCTACAGATCCCTCTGGTCACCCTCAGTGCTGGATCAGGGCTGAAGCAGGGTAGGGAGATGCATCTGCAAGCCTTCTCCTGTCTGTGCCCCTGGAAATAGCCTCATCGGCTAGCCTGCTGCCTAGCCCATGTCCCTTCCCACCTAGCACACATGCTCCCACCCACAGTACAGCACCCACCACCTGAGATCCTTTAGGGGTGACTTACAGCCTGCTGTGCTTAGGAATACTCTGTTTGGGTAAAATGAACAACTATCCACCTAGCTCCAGGTGGGAGTTCTCATCATTTGGGAATTACAAGCCAGCCACATTCTAGGTGCTTTATATATGTTCACTCAATCTTCATAGCAACCTTAAGGAGGGTACCCTCTTTAATTACCATCTTAAACATAAGAGAACTGAGGCACAGAGGGCTTAAAGAGTTCCCTGAGCAACACAGCAAATAAGAGTTCAGGTAGGCTGGTACCAGAGTCCAGCGCTTAGCTATGACTTGATAGTGAATAAACAATAAAACTCATGGGACATAAAGAATCCAGCTGAATAATCAAACCAAATGGCTCAAGTGCAAAATGCAGTTGACACAGGGAAAAACTGACAACCATTGTAAAACAAAACACAAATAGTATTCTCAGGGATACAAGATGATAACATATTGATAAAAACAAAAGTAGGCTGTCAAGAGCAGTCTAGAAACAGAAAATTAGTTTCCTTGAAATAAAAACAAAAGCAAGATTTCCAAAACAAAAAGAGGGTAAAGAACAGGATAATTACTGTTGAGAACTGAATTAATGAAAACACAAGATCACTGGCAAAATAAAAACAGGATATAGAACTCTGAAATCACTAGAACAAAAAGCCAATTAAAGCAGATCAGCTAACAACAGGAAGAGTTAACAATAAAAAAAAGCAATATAGAAGCATAATGTATTCTGTTTGAAAGAAAGCATAATACATTTTATGTAAAAGAAATATAGCCCCTTGTACTCATTTCATATTCTTCAATGCCCATGGAACATAAATAAAACAAAAAGTTTGAAAAGTAAAAAAAGGCACAATGCAGTCAAAATAAAAATAATGAAAAGCATACAAGATCTATAAACCACTTAGTAACTGAAAAAATTCTTAAATATTATTGGATTTAAGAGAAACCTAAATGAGTTATAGACTAGAAATGAGCCCAGTTGAACACTCTATATGAAAAAGACAAATTGTCCAAACAGAAAACACACAAAGAACCAGAAACAGCAAAGACAATTAAATATCCTATTGTCCATCTAAGCGGTGAAGACTGAAAGTATTGACAATGTCTAGTGATACTGCGTGGGGTAGCAGGCCTTCCCATAGACTTCTGGTAGACTTGTAAATTGCTATAATATCTAGAAGAAAATTTGAGGTCATGTATCAAAATTTACCTCCTAAAAATATATCCTAAGGAAATAAATGGACAACTGTTCGAAGATTCAGGAATAAGAATGTTGGAGTGAAAAGCTGAAAAGATTCACTTATTCAACAGGGGAATAGTTAAATAAATTATGGTGGTACATACAATAGAATTCTCTGTACCCATCAAACAGGATGAGGTAGGTCTATAGACATTGACATGATGAGATGGTGACATATGATTAAGAGGTAAAACAGAAAACAAGCTACTAAGCCATGCATGTGGATGAACTTGGTTTAGAAACATGTGCATTACATTTGCTTTATGTACATATTGGCACACAAAATATCCAAAAGAATAAGTAGAGCAGACAGACATTAATAGTTATTTTATGTGGGGTGTGAGGAGGAGTAAGATTACAGAGTAAGATTGTGGAAACGTTTCATTTCGAGTTTATAAATTTGTTTAAATTTTGAATTTTAAAAAAATGATTATCTGGCTGGGCACAGTGGCTCACACCTGTAATCCCAGCACTTTGGGAGGCTGAGGCAGGAGAATCACTTGAGGCCAGGAGTTCGAGACCAGCCTGGCTAACATGGTGAAACCCTGTCTCTACAAAAATTAGCCAGGCGTGATGGCGCTTGCCTGTAATCCCAGCTACTTGGGAGGCTGAGGCATGAGAACTGCTTGAACCTGGAAGGTAGGGGTTGCAGTGAGCTGAGACAGTGCCACTGTATTCCAGTCTGGGCAATAGAACAAGACTGTCCAACCCTCCTCCAAAAAAAAGAGTACCTAATTTGTATATAGAAAAATTCTATAAAGATATTTCTAATAAAAAAGATAATAACTAAATAAGGACTCAAACACAAAGGGGCTTTTTGTGTTTGTCTAATTATGAGTGTGAGTTATCCTAACTTTGCTGCTGGTTATTCAAGACAGGTGTGTGTGTGTGTTGGGGGTTGAGGCGGAGGGAGAGGAGAAAAAGAGAGAGAGGGAGGGAAGGAGAGGAAGAGAGGGAGTGGGAAAGAAGGAGGGAAGGAGAGGAGGAGAGGGAGAGAGGGAGTGGGAAAGAAGAAGGGAAGGGGAGAGAAAGGGGGAGGACGGAGTGAGCACACATAAATACAGCTGTACGTGTGCATGCTATGCATACTGGCTGGGATGGCAGACTGGGGTGGGAGAATGAGGAAGGGACAGTGTCTTGCCACTCTATCTCCATCTTTCTGCAGCTCTCAGTGAAACTGGGAAGACATCTTCTTACTTCACATTAGCTCCTTTGAGGTTGCTGTGGCTCCAAGAAGCCATCCAGACTAAGGACTGATGTTATCTTTACCTTCTTTGGACCTTTACTTTCTTCTTCCCATTTTGGGATCCTCAGCATGCCCCCCATGACTTCATATTTCTTGCTATGTTACTCTGGAGAGGACGTTTCCTGTATTGGTTTTGATCTTGTCTTCCTGAGGGCTAGAAAGGCGCCTCCTGTCTCCCCTCCACCCCCATAGCCACCATTCTCATCAGTGAAAATGGTCCTCACTACTGCCCAGAAATCCATTCATCAGTTTATTGTAATTTCCTTGTGCCAGCCACACCTAGATCTGCTCTGCTCTCCTTAATTCCCAGAGAATTAATGCTGTGCCTTTTAGGTACATTACGGCCGCTATGCCATGGATGAACACATCCTTCTCTTTAGACGATGTGTGCCAAAGCATCTAGAAATGAAGTATCATGATGTTGACAGTGTACTTTCCAGCAGCTCAGCAAAAAGGAAAACAAAAGGATGGAAAGAGAAGAACAAAGAAAGCACATAAGCATATATGGCAAAATAGTAACGCCATTTGGGTGTAGGCGGTAGGTACGCGGGTACTTGGTGTATTGTTGTCACAAACAGTAGTTGAGAAAAGTTGGTGTGATCACTTGAATGTCCCCTGAATTTTCTCTTCTTCTCCATCTCCACTGCCACTGCCTGACTTCTGGCCTCCTCGTCCCCAGCCACACTCTGGAGGCAGCTTCCTCACTGCGCTTACCGGCCCAGCCCGTCCCACTCCGCCCATTCTCCTCCAAACTGCCAGGAGCTGTCAAAACGCAGCCTCATAGCCCCAACGCCCTCTGTGCTCCCCACAGCCTCCACCACCAGCTTCATCTCCCATGAATGCCGCCACCCACCAAATCGCAGGTGATCATCCAGCTGCGGGAACCATTTCCAGCTCCTTGAGGCTGACCACACTGCTTCACTCTGCCTAGAGGCCCATTACCCTCCCACCCACCTTCCTCCTTGGCTACCTGGCAACCTCCTCTCCTTCCTTCAGGACTCAGCTCTAGGGTCACCTTTTCCAGAATAACTTCTCCCATCTCCTCCTGTCCTGCTTTTTCATTCCCCTTCCTCATTGTGCCACCACCTTGTTCTGGACAGACATGTGCGTCTGCTCTTTGTGAACCATGGCCACATCTCATTCATTTATATAATGCCAGCATCTGGCACAGGCACAACCAGGTAGTAAACAAACAGATATTTGTGAATATGAGGGAATGAATGCATCAATGAATGATGCTCCAAGTGAAGAAAGTGGGAAAACCTCTTGATTTGCACATGTGTATACTAAAGTGAAATAGTCATTATGTTCTCGATCCACTCATTGTTCAACCACTAGTCACCGAGGAACTATCATAGATCCACTAGGCATATAACTACCTTTATACTTGGGTCTTGCTTCATTCATTCTTTCATTCATCAAACACTTGACACTTGTTGAGCCGGGGGCACTGTGCTAAGAGCTGGGAGACTTGCAAAGATGAATCAGGCAGAGACCACAGCTCCAGGAGGGGAGGTAAGGCATGAGCATAAATAAAGGAGAAAAGTGGTCAGTGTCATCAGGAAAATATATGCAACAGGTAATGGAAGTTCAAAAGAGGCAGAAAGGACTCCTAGGAGCCCCGCAAGAGAGGGGGTGAGGGATGACCTCCCGGGTGAGCTGACATTTGCACTTGACTTTGAGGGATGGATAATTTTAGATGTAAGCCTTTGGAGGGAGGAGGGCGTTCCAGAGGAAGGGCAGAGTAGAAACAAAGGCCCTGAGCTAGGCCCTGAGCTAGGCCATGTACAGGGGTCACCAATAATTTTGCTTTGCCGGAATGTCATTGAAGAGAAGTGGAAAATAAGGTTGGGGAGGGAGGCTGAAGTCGCTGTAGCCTCAAAGGCCAGAATAAAATGTTTAGCTTTTATTCTGTGAGCGTGGGGTGGCCATGGAATCCGGTTTCTGATCAGAGGGTGAATTGATCAGGTATGCTTTCAGAAGGTTATCCCAGCAGTGCCGTGCAGGATGAATGTGCATATTTAACTTGTTCCCTAACAATGCAAAGTCCCTATGTACACTGCTGACCTTATTTTCCTCAGAGTTTAGCTAAAAAATTTGTACATATTAAATACTTAATACATTTCCTTAACATTAATTGAACTGTGTACATAAGTGAATATCTATATTTCTTGCAGCAAAACACCCATTCAGCCAGTTCTTCTTAATTGGAAACTCTTACATGCAGGAATCTTCTCCTAGCTATACTTCTATTCCTTTTCTTGGCTCCTCACTATTCCAAATCCTTAGCACTTACTTCCTGGATCATTGTAACAGACTCCTGATGGTGTCTCCCCATGAGCTCTCTACACTGCAAATAACCCTGGTGGACCGACGCTGCTCAAGAACCTTCCATGGCTCCCTCTTAGTTACTGGCATTTAAGATGGTCCATAACCAGGCTATACTTTACCCCTATCTATCTCCCATTCCTTACCCATGTGTTTCCCCTACTCCAGCCAGACTGTTTCCCCCCCAATTCCCTTGTTCTATCCTCCTTTCATACCTCCGCTCATACTGCTACCCCAACCTGCTCTTTTCCTCCTAACTCACCTGAGCCATGGCTCAAGGCCCCGTTTTGCCAGCAGTGCAATAGTGTGAAGATTCAGAAAGACCTGGGTTCGGATCTCAGAGTTTTGATTCCCTGTGCAAACTTAGAAATGCTATGCATCCTCTTGGAATCTGAGTTTTCTCATCTATAAAATGGGAATTACAATAATGCCTATTTGTTATTAGGGCTTACTATTATTATCAATAGGGCTATTGCAGGGAGTTAATAAGGTAGGCTCTGTGTTCAGTAAATGGTGATGGTTCTTTCTCCTCTGACTCCTTGAAATTCCAATAAGGAATGCCTGGAAGGAAGTTACATTTTGATGGCATACCTATTTTGAAGGAATTTATCTTTTGAAGAAGTACATACCACTGCTGGTCTTTTGCTATTTACTTCCTCCACAACTCTAAAATACAAGCATTTCTGTCCTCATTTTAAAGATGAGGAAACAGCCTAAAAAAGGGAAGCAATCTGCCAGGGGCCATACAGCTAAAGCTGAGTTAGTGCTTGCTAACTGTCAGAAATAACCACAGCAACTGTTATTAAATATTTCACTATGTTCCAAATACTATACTGAGCATATTACATGCAATATCTCATTCAAGTGCTTTATCCTGAGATCCACACTCTACAGAAGAGGACAATGAGATGCAGAGAGGATAAGGAACTTTCCCAAAGTCCTGCAAACAGTACATGGAAGGGTTGGATTCAAATGGGGGTCTGCATGCCTTCAATCCATGCCCTCGGCTACTCTGCTGTAACTGTGCTATCTGGGCCAGTGAGGTGTATGGACTTGGCATGAAGCCCTGAGAGGCTGAGACTGACCTTTCTAGATTTTCTAAGGCATCCAGTATAGCAACCACTATTGATCACAAGGTTCTCCAGGTGAGGCAGGCAGGCCAGGCACTAGCTGGATGGCCTGGTGATGATGCTGATGATGGCTCCCCTGAACAACTGGCGATAGTTACTTTGTCAGCCCTGACACTTACCCAATGGTGCAGCCGGCCTCTGCTTCGATGGTCCAGATGCAGTTGAGATTGTGTTCATAGGGAGCTGGATACCCGGGTGACAGCACCTGCCCCGACACCTCTCCTCTCACTGTCCCTCCACACTCGGCTGAAAGAAATCCCAAAAGAGTGAGCTTCATGGGGTGGCCTGAGCTGCCAGCAGTCACTCAGTGGCTCCTTTTGCCTGTTTGCTCTTGAGTCCCTTCCCTCTCCCATTCATTTCAAGTGATTGAGCACAGCATATTAAAAGGTCTCTGGATGAGACTTATATCCAGAACCTATAAAGAACCCCTACAAATCAACAATAAAAAGACAAGTAACCCAATTTATAAAAGGCAAAGGATTCGAATAAACATTTCTCCAAAGAGGATATATAAATAGCCAATACATACATGAAAAGATGTTTAACATTGTTAGTCATTAGGGAAATACAAATCAAACTCACAATGAGATATCACTTCACACCCACTGGGATGTCTATAGTCAAAAAGACTATACAAGCGTAGGTGGGGAGTGGAGAAACTGGAACTCTCATCATTATTGATGGAAATGTAAAATGGTGCAGCTGCTTTCAAAAACAAGTTGGTGGTTCCTCAAAATGTTAAACATAGTCACCATATGACCTAGCAATTCTGCTCTTAGGCATATACCCAAGATAAATGAAAACATGTTCACATAAAAACTTGAACATGAATGTTCATAGCAACGTTATTCATAGTTATCAAAAAGTGGAAACAACCCAAATGTCTATCAACTGATGAATGAATAAACAAAATGTGGCATAGCCATACAATGGAATAGTATTCAACCATAAAAAGGAATCAAGGCGGCCGGGCATGGTGGCTCATCCCTGTAATCTCAGCATTTTGTGGGGCTGAGGTGGGTGGCTTACCTGCGGTCGGGAGTTTCAGATCAGCCTGACCAACATGGAGAAACCCCATCTCTACTAAAAATACAAAAAATTAGCCAGGCGTGGTGGTACATGCCTGTAATCCCAGCTACTCAGGAGGCTGAGGTAGGAGAATCACTTGAACCCAGGAGGTGGAGGTTGTGGTGAACCGAGATCGCACCATTGCACTCCAGCCTGGGCAACAAATGCGAAACTCCATCTCAAAACAATAACAACAACAACAACAACAACAAGGAATCAAGGCTTGCTACATGCTACAATATAGATGAACGCTGAAAACATTAGTTAAGTGAAGGAAGTCAGACACATTGTGCGATTCCACTTATGTGAAATACCTAGAATAGGCAAATCTTGGAGACAGAAGGTACGTTAGTGGTTGCCAGGGCCTGGGGAAGGGGACAACGGGGAGTGGCTGTTAATGGGCATGGGTTTTCTCTTGTGGGGGACAAAATGTTCAAAAATTAGATTGTGGTGATGGCTGTACAAGCCTGTGAGTATACTACTCACATGGTTAGGCTTTGTGTCCCTACCCAAATTTCGTCTTGAATTGTAATCCCCAGATATTGAGGGAGGAACCTGGTGGGAGGTGACTGGATCATGGGGCCAGTTTTCCCCATACTGTTCTCATGATAGTGAGTGAGCTCTCACGAGATCTGATGGTTTTATAAGTTCCATCAGAACTTATGAAGTTCCTCCTTCTCTCACTTTTCTCTCTCCTGCTGCCTTGTAAAGAAGGTGCCTGCTTCCCCTTCCGCCATGATTGTATGTTTCCTGAGGCTTCCCCAGCCATGAGGAACTGTGAGTCAATTAAGCCTCTTTTCTTTACAAATTACCTAGTCTCAGGTAGTATCTTTACAGCAGTGTGAGAACAGACTAATATAACTACAAACAACTGAATTGTACACTGGTAAATAAAAATGGTCCCTGAGTGTAGGGCTGATTGCCTGTTCTGTGACCAACCTCCTCAAAGCCTCCTAGGGAGGAACATGCAAGTACTTCAACCTGCTTCTTGATAGCAACAGGACCTCTGCTGGCTGCCAGGACAGCAGAGATCAACAGGATACTGCCCTCCCCTGGAAGAGTTTACTGTCTAGTAGAGAAGACAGCCACACTGTGTGCTAGGTATCCTAACAACAAGTAGCAGCAGAAGTGACCAATCTCCCTGAGCAAAGGACAGCGAGGGTCAGGGAGGGTGCTGGTCTTAAATGAACCTTGAAGGAGAAGCAAGAGTTGACCAGGTCGGTTGGGTGGCAAGGGTAGGATGGGAAGGAGGGCACTGCAGAGAGAGACAGAAGAGTAACTGCAAAGTTCCTGGAGGTGAGGAACAGCATGGCAGGCTGGAGGCTGGGGTATGAGATAGGGAGATGGGGGAGATGGGACTGGAAAGGTGAGGAAGCATCACAGGTTGAAGGACCTTGGATACCAGGCTGTCATATATTCACTGTTCCAGGAAAGAATTGCAGTGATTATACATGTGAGTTAATTGACTGCATGACACATCAGTGAACTTTGCATGTTAGGAGGAGTCACTGTGGTGGCAGTATGATGGGGTACAGCAGGGGTGAAACTGGAGGCAGGGAGGCAGGTGAAGAGGTCTACATTCCCCATTGGAGCAGTCACTGAAGTCAGAAGCTGGGGGTTCCTGCTGGTGTTCTCCTCCTTCCTCCCCGACATCTAATCTGCCTCTGAGACCCAGTCGCTAAACCTGTGTGGTATTATTCATGTTTGACTCTACTTTGCCCACATTGCTGGAGTCTTGACTCAGGCCCTCACAATCTCTAGGCTGGCAGAGTTGCCCACGCTCTAGGCAGTGCCATCAACGGATCTTTATCAAATGCAAACAAGTCACTGCTTGCATTCACTCCCCAAATGAAGTCTAAACTTTTCAGTAGAGCCCACTGAGCCCACCAGAGTGGCTCCCTTTGGCCTCCGTGAACTCTTTGGTCTAGGCTGATGAAGTCCACAAGCTCTATTTGGATGGAGGACCTGAATAAACATCCTCGCTGTGACATCTTTTGTGACATACCTCCCCTCCCCAGGTAGAACTGACACTGCCCTCCTTTGTGTCTGCATTACAATGTGAATAGATTTCTACTATAGCATGTGTAACATGTTATTAAAATCATGTCTATTTCCTCCACAAGACTAAGAGCTCCTTGGCAGCAGGGACCTTGTCTTATATCTGCACATCAAGTACCTAGTATACTGTTTGGCACATTATAGATGCTTAACGTTTATTGAATTAATGGATGGCTGGACAATCAAATGAATGGAAGCAGATTATTGCTTTCCATGCAAATTACTATAAGCGTCTGAATCAAGGGAGAATGAGTACAAATGAAGAGGAGGATGTTCATTGCAGAGCTATTTAGGAAAAGGAATAGTTGATTAGGCAAGATGCTAGAAATAGGAGAAGAAGGGATCAGGGTCACAGATGGAAGACTGACCCCTACCTGTTGCTATAAAGGACACATCAAACATTTCATGGACCCGTTGGTTTCACACAGGACCACTAAGGAAGGGTTGCAGGAGAGGCCCTCTACAAGACCCTCTGCTCAAGCTTCACTCTTCTCTCCAAGGTGCTGTTGGGGTGGGAGGTGCCAACCTGATTGAAAGATGCCAGGCTGAATGGACCCATGGCAGGGAGTAGGGTGCTGGTGAGAGGATGGACTACAATTGTGGGGAGGAGGCTTGACTGGTTCCACAAATAGAGGAAGTAGCTAGAAAGGTGGGAGGGCATTATCCATGTCCTTGGTTAGAGCTTCCTTCCATATTCCAGACAGAGAAGGACCTCCTGCTTCCTGGGAAGTGAGGATTTGGAGGCAGCAGCACTGGGAACATGTCATCATGGACAACTAGATACCTTACCTGGGGCCTGGCAGGTGGGCAGGAGGGGGCTGAGTGGGCCAGCATGTAGCAGATTCAACAACATTGAGAACATGTAAGTCTACTCTTTCTGGTCTTCTCCCTTCTTCCCACCCTTGAGTCTTGGCTGCTTTGTTTGGGCTGCAGAGTCCACTCACCGAAGAATAAAACATTTGGATGTTTTAAGCTATAGCAGTCATTTGTGGTAGACCATGATGAAGTCGACCACAACATGACATATACAAAAATATGCACATAATCTCAAATACACAGCCTCAATCCCCTAGCAGGCTAGAGGCAGTCTCAATGGGGAAGGCCTCCAAGGTTCTAGTGTAAGTCTAAGTTTAAATGCTCTTATACTGCTTGAGTGAACCCAATAAGTCCAGTCCAACTGGCATATTTGATATTCAAAGTAATCTTACAGTGAATCTTTTCTGCAAAGCAAATAATTATCTTGTAATACGAGTCATCATCCCTCCTTTTCATTTTGTGTGCTCTGGCTTGCTTGTCTGTGGCATTATACGGTTGTGTGTTTATGCAAGCATCACCCTTCCTGGCCTGAGATCTGCTCTTCTCTGTATTCCTAGTGCCTAGCATAGTTCCTGGCACATGAATGAGGGGAGATATAAAAAGAGATGGAGGGCGAAAGGGGAGATATGCCTGAAGACCAGGTCAAAGGCAAAGGGAGAGGAAGACCCTAGAGGTTCCATAAAGGCTACTGTTTCGGTCTGTCCACTTGCAGAGGGTCCACTTAGACCCTCCATTGTATAACAGTGTTAAAGATCCTGTGAAAATGTAGTCGTCTAGGGGAAAAGCATCTGTGGCCTTTAACACTTCCCACCATGCTGGTTCACACTTTCACCCTTGCACGTGCTCAGTCTAGAATGTCAACCTCCCTTCCTCTCCCTCCTGTTGGTGAATTCTAATCCATTCTTCCAAGTCTCAATTGAAATATCACCTCCCATGCAAAACATTCTCATATCCTCCCAACATTTTGCACTTAACTCTTTTTACAGTGCTTCTCTTACATTATACTTATCTGTTTATGTGTCTATTCTCCATGCTGGAGTATGGGCCCTGACAAGGGCAGTGAACAGGTTTTATTCTTCATTTATTTCTCTGCCTCCACAAATACCCAGACATACATGTGCACCAATTTTGGCATGTGGGGCTTGGTAGGCATGTATGTGTTTTTCCAGTGGAGGTTTTGTTCTTACAAGATTAGCCAGTGCTGGCACAGACACGTTGAGGTTGTGGGACATGGGGAAGGGGGTGGAGAGAGAGACAGATCTGGTTTTGGAAAGGTAGGAGGCAGGACGAAGCAGTATGGGGGAACTCACATTAGCAGGGAGATGGGTGGTAAGAGATGAAAAGGCCAAACAGAACAACCAATTTTGCCTATTTTGCACTTCTGCCTCAGATCACTGTCTCTTGTCCTGTGACACATGTGTAAAGATTCTAGAGAACCTCTGATGACATTCTGGAAGAATCACAGGTTTAAGAAGATGCAAGTTCATTATTGCATTCTTTATCAGTGAGAGCAATGGGTGTTCTTTATCTTACTATGTCTTTTGACATTCCTCCAGTAAAGGGAGAATGAGCCCCATTTTACCTATAGGGAAACTGAGACCTAAAGTGGGTGGGAGACTCATTTGAGTCTTGGCGTTACGATAAGCCCTGGAACTCAGGCAAAAGCCCCATCTCTCCCTTTCTAATGGACTCTCCCACCTCATCGCTATCACCCGCGTTACAATTTTGAGGGCATGACTTGGCTGTGGTCCCACTTGCTAAATGTGCGACAAAGGCAAGCCACCCGCCTGACTGCACTGCTGCATGGGTGTAATGAGGTGTGAAAGTGAGGAAGTGGAGAAGGGGTGCAGGTGAACCATGATGCCTGTTAACAAGAGGATTCAGTCCAAGTTGATGGCCCCCAGGCCCTGGAGCATGGGGTCTAACTGGAATGAGACCAGGACTAGAGCTTGGTATTATGGGAGACCCAAGGGTTCCCTGCAGAGGAAGAGCCCTCCTACCGACACAGGTGGGCAGAGGCCGGTCCCAGGTCCGGCGCTCTCCACTCAGACACAGCAGCTCCTCACTACCCCGCAGGCTGTATCCAGGGTCACAGCTGAAGGACACGGAGCTCCCTGCAAAATGACCTTCATCATGAACCTTGTAGCCAAACTTGGGGGTTCCTGGGTCCTCACATTTGATGAGTTCAAAGCCTGGTGAGGAGAGAAGAGGTAGAGTGAGTAAGACCTATTGTGGCAGAAACCATGCTTCCTCTCTTCCCTCAAAGCCCACGTCCTCAAGGAAGCTGTCTCAGCCACGGACCCTGGGTTCTGATGGATTCACCAGTCAGGATTTCCTCATTTCTATGCTCAGTTGAGGGTATATTAAGGAACATCCATTTCTCTGTTGCTATATGTAAATGATTTCTGCTTTTAATAGTTTTCAGGCCTAAGGTCTGCATTTTCTATTTCTTTTGTTTGACCCCGTAGCATTTTTGCTAGCAGGAGCGTTCTTTTCATTTTGCTTATTGAGACATTCTGATAAGATGGTGTAATATGGAGAAGTCACTTTAAATGTATGTTTAAAAGCTGAGTTATGACCTGCTTAAACATACGCTGTTGAAATGGGCTGGAAAAGGAAACAGATTTATGCAGAGCTCCCACTCTACGGCGCTATACATGTGTTCTCTCTCATTTGTTATTCACAGGAGTCTTACAGGTGGGTATAATTATCTGCATTTTACAACGGAGAGCATTGATTTGGGAAGGTTAAATAAATTGTTCCAAACTTACACAATTTTCACATGATAGAAGTGGAATTCAAAGGTGTCTCTAATCCTCTTCCACTGAACCTCTTGCTGTAACAGGCAAGGATCCTCTGCCAGGCAGCCTTGAGCCCAGACGAGGGGAAACCTGACTATACTCCGTGCATGATTTTCCCCAATAGCTTTCTTTATTGAGATACAATTCACATACCATACATTCTCCCACCTAATGTGTACAATCCAATGTCTTTTAGTAGATTCAGAGTTGTACAGCTATTGCCATAATCAGTTCTAGAACATTTTTATCACCTCAAAAAGAAGTTCCATACACATTTTTCCCCCAACTCCCTCAGCCCTAGGCAACTGCCCTTTACTTTCTGGCTCTATGGATTTGCCTGTTCTGGACAGTTCATATGATGGAGCTCAAACAATATGTGGCCTTTGAGACTGGATTCTTTCACTTACTGCAATCTTTTCAAGGGTCATCCATGTCAAAGCATGTATACTTTACTCCATTTTTTTTTTTCTTTTTTTAGACAGTCTTGCTCTGTCACCCAGGCTAGAGTGCAGTGGCGCAATCTCGGCTCACTGCAACCTCTGCCTTCCGGGTTCAAGCAATTCTCCTGCCTCAGCCTCCCAAGTAGCTGGGATTACAGGCACCCGCCACCACGCCCAGCTAATTTTTGTAGTTTTAGTAGAGATGGGGTTTCACCATCTTGGCCAGGCTGGTCTTGAACTCCTGACCTCGTGATCCACCCGCCTTGGCCTCCCAAAGTGCTGGGATTATAGGCATGAACCACTGTGCCCGGCCACTTCACTCCTTTTTATGGACAAATGCTATTCCATTGTATGAACATATCACATTTTGTTTACCCATGCATCCACTGATGGATACATATTGGATTTTAAAACAGTCTTAAGAGCACATTCTTTGTATCTCGTGAGCAAGCAGAAGCTCAAATAAATGAATAAAATGGGAAACCCTGACTTCCTTGTCCACACAGATGCAAGAAAGACTTACTGGAAAAGTGCAGTTCAAAGCCCTTGCTGGTGTTTTCAGCATCAGTGATGAAATCAAGCCACAGACTGCTGGATGTGCTGTTCAAAGTCACCCCCATCATCTCAGAATGGCTAAAAACTCCCAGCAAACGGGCGGAGTTGTTGTTGCCATCATAAACCTGGACACAGGAGAGACCCCCAACCCAATGTCGTCAGCATGGCCTTATGTTGAACAACACCTCCTTACCCCACAACCCACACTCCTGGAGTTTAGCACTGGTAACAACTATCAGAGGCACAGTGAGTTATCAGATGCAAGGAAGATGGCAGAGGGAAGCTATCAACTGAGCAAGTTATCTCGTTTTCCCTTGATGTCAGTTCTATGCTCAGCCCATCTTTAGTGTGAATCTAGTCTTTGGGAACTCATTGCTATTCTAATCTTTCCAGTGGAGATTTGTTCTTGTTCCCGCAATGCCCATATAGCACCAGCTTACTCTTTAGCAGCCTGGGGAGGCCAGGTTTGGGTTGCCTGCTTGTCAAACCATCTGTTTCTTCAGAGAGACAGGCTGAAAGCATTCATCTCTACATTGCTAAACCCTCAATCCTGTCCTTCCAGTAGATGAGACAGCCATCCTCTCACCTGATCCCACCCCACTGTGGCAGTAGCCTGTCTTGAGCACTCTGCTGGACATCATCCCTGGGATCCAGACACCAGCATGTCATGGTGACTTTTTCTTCCCCAAGCTCAGCCTCTGCCCCTTCCCTCCTAAAATGAGGGCTCCAGCTAGGGCCTGCTGGGCTTGCCAAGGGTGGAATCGTACAGGCATCTGGCTTCCCTCACTCCCATCTGTCCCCTGAACTTCTTAGTACCAGCAAAGACAACAATCATCAGAATAATGAACTGGCTCCCCAGGTTTCAAGGTTGCTGCTCCTTTCCAGATAATTGTACAAATAACAACAGAAGTTGTGATTGAGTGAAAGACCCCCTGGTGCTTTTGTAAATATCAAAGATGGGATCTCTGAGTGGGTGATGAATATTTGTGCATGGCACACAATGTGATGCCAGCTGCCAGCAAATTGGCACAATATTTCCATTGTACTATTTATGAAGCAAAGCTTTCTAAAAGAAGCCATCCTTCAAACTAACAGTGTTGTATATTACAGAGATTTGTTTAGGCTCCTGGGAGCCTGAAGTCTGTTTCCAGATCCTTGTGTAATTGCTGTGTATCACTGATAGACTGAGTGAATTCTGGGGTTCCAACAGACATCAAGATAATACAAGTTCAAAGAGTTTAGCTTAAATTGTTACAAAAATATTTTTAATCACCGAAACATATGGAAATCAATGGACCAAGGCATTTATCATCAATGGACTAGGAATCATCAATTGCAATAAGAAATAATAATCATCAATTGCAGTAAGAAAGACAATCAGACACCATGTGTTTCTTTAATAAAAGATATACCATCACCCATGGAGTTATCTTGCCCAAAAAATCAGACCTGATCAGATCAAGCCACTGGATCCAATTTCCAACTTACAGGCAATAAATACCGAGGACAGAGGAACATACGAAATGATACCCTGTGAGTGCATTCAGCAAAATCCAGAGTGGAAAGTTCCACTGAACAAATGATCTGATTTCCTCAACAAGTAAGTTACAAGGGGGAAAAGAAAAGAGATGGAGGGAGAAACCTACAGATTAAAAAACACATCAGACAATGAATCTAATGTGTGGACCTTATTGAATCCTGATTCAAATAAACTATAAATTTAAAAAATATTATGACATCTATGAGATAATTGGAAATTTAAACCCTCACTGGATATATGATGCTATTAAGAAATTATGGTTAATTAATAAAAAGTATGATGGGAACAGGATATTTTCCTTAATTTCCAAGCATAATTCATCCTAATTCATCAAGAACAAAAATGTTACTTGCATCATTACAATATTAATTGCAGAAAAACTTATAAAACAGAAATGTGCAAATAACTTTCAGAACTTACAACATGTTGGTAAGTGTCCTTCTAGCCTTTATTCTATGCATTTATTTCCTTGCATAAATTTATGTTTTTATAATTTTTTATAACAATAAGATCGAATTATAGATACTATAGGGCAAACTGCTCTTTCACTTAATATAATGTGTATATTTTTAAAGTCATTAAATATTTTTTCCATAACAGCATTTAAATGGTGGCAGGAATTTCTATAATAAAAATTAACCCAATCTGCAAGATAATTATTTACATATCAGCGCCCAAAATATATGCTCTGGCACATAAGGCTCACTCAGTAAATGTATGATAAATAAACCAATATTTTCCTCTAGAATTCATGTCGTTAAATCTACCTGGAATTTATTTTGGGATATGATATACAATTCTACCTTAACTCCCTGATAGATTAGTCATTTAACCAAACTCTGTTTGTAAATATTCCACACACTACTAATTTCAAATCAGTCTTTATCACATATATAATTAACATATAATTATATACATTTGGTTTTGTTTGTCAACTTTCTATTCTATTGCATTTGTCTATTTGTCTATTCCTGTGCATGACCCACACTGTTTTAGCTACTGTAGCTTTACAATATATTTAAATAATTAGTAGGAAAAGTCCTCATTTGTCTTCTTTTAACTTAAACAAAATTCTCCCAGATGTACTCTTCTAAACTCAAGAATTTTCCTGAATTATAAAAAGTAAAACAAAAAACTCCCCAACAAAACTTGTGTAATTCTGACTGAGCTACATTAAATGTATAGACGGATTTGAGAAAAATCTATCTATGTGATATTGAGTCTTCCAATCCATATACATGGTGTCTAGCTCCATTTAATCAAAATGTCTTTTATGTCTCTCACTACCATTCTGTTCTTATTCCTGGGTATTTTTATATTTTTGATTGCTATTGGGAATTGGGCCTTTGTATACATTTATTTCCTAACAGAATATTGCTTGATGGTCCAATTCATCATTATGTGCAGGTGATTGAGAAATCCAAGAGAATCTATGCACATCCATTACATCCAATAAAGCAGGTCAGCAAGATGGCTGGTTTCAAAATGAATATGCTAAGCAGAAAGCTTTCTATACACAATTACAAACAATGTAAGCATAATTTCTATGAATATTCCTGCATGTCCGCTTGCACACGTGTGCTTGAGTTTCTCTAGAGCATACATCTAGCATGGAAAAGCTGGTTGTGGGGATGACACATCTTCAATTTGGTTAGATATTACCAGATTGCTCTTTGAAAAGGAATAGCAATTTGCTCTCTCACCAGCAACGTCTGACAGCTTTCATTGCTTTATATCCTTGCTGATACTTGGTATTTTAGGGCATTATGATGTTTTCCAATTTGATGAGTGTAAAGTGGTATCTCACTTTAATATGTAAATCCTTGATCGCCATTGAAGTTGAGCATCTTTTTATGTTTATCAACAGTTCTTACTTCCTTTTCTGTGAATTGCCTGCCTTTTCATACCCTCTGTGCATCCATGAGAATGAAATCTCCCTGCATTTATTTTAGTTACATCAATATCAAAATAAAATTTTATCTTCTCTCAGTTAAGATCATGCACATTTTGGAGGGCTTATTTCTAGGTGTCTTACAGTTTTTGTTTCTATTATAAATGAGACTTTCCCTCCTGATTGCAAGTTTTATTTGGTTATAGAAACACCAGAAGCTTTGTGAATTTTCTTATTGATTTTGAGTTTATTAGTTGATTGTTTTGTATTTTTGAAACAAAAGTCACAATTTTCTATATTCCTTTCTAATTTTTATAGTTCCTTTTTTTCTTTTTCTGGTATAAATGTAATGGTTTGTCTCTTCAGTACAATGCTGCGTTCTATTGGTGATAGTAGAACTATTGATCTTGTTCTTGACTTTACTGAAAATCTTTAGGAAGTTTTGCCATTAAGTATAATGTTTGCTATAGGCATTTGGTAGAAATATTTTTATCAAGTTAGGAAAGTTCTATTTGTAGTTTTATGAGATGTTTTCAAAAATCATGAGTGGGTGTTGAACTTAATCACATGATGTTTTGGGGTGTATTAGCAGGATAATGTCTTTTTCTTTGCTAATCTGTTTATAGGCTATTAGGTTGAGCCATGAAATTGCCAATATTTTAACAGTTTTGACCTACAAAAATAGCAATTTCATATGGTTTGTCTAACAAATAACATTATGAGCTTTTCTAATTTTGACACATCCTCACATTCCTGGAATCAAACCTACTTGGTCGTCTTTGTTTGCTTGTTTGTTTTTTGAGACGGAGTCTCTCTCTGTCACCCAGGCTGGAGTGCAGTGGCTGCAATCTTGGCTCACTGCAAGCTCCACCTTCCAGGTTCACGCCATTCTCCTGCCCTAGCTTCCCAAGTAGCTGGGACTACAGGCACCCGCCATCACGTCCCGCTAATTTTTTTTTTTTTTTTGTATTTTTACTAGAGACAGGGTTTCACTGTATTAACCAGGATGGTCTCATCTTTGTTTTAATACATAGCCAAATTCAATCAGATTTATACTCAAAATTTTTAGATCTGTGATCAAAAGTGAGACTGCCCTAATAGTTTCTGATTTCTGTTCTTTTTAAAATTTTTATTTTAAATTATAAATTGATAAATTATAGCTGAATATATTCATGCAGTAGAAAGTATGTTATGATTTATGAATACGATGTGGAATTAGTAAATCAAACTAACATAACCATCACCTCAAATACTTATCTTTTTCTGTGGTGAGAACATTTGAAATTTACTCTTTTAGTGATTTTGAAATGTATGATACATTATTATTTGCTATATTCACTGTAACGTGCAATACATCTCAAAGGAAAAAGAAACCCTTAATTCTTCTGTCTAATTGATGCTTTCTATACTTTGACCATTATCTCCCCATTCCCTCAATCCCCTGGTAACCATAATTTTACTCGTTGATACCAAAGTTTCTACTTGCCTCATTAAGAAAAAATGAGTTGGGAGATGGTTCTTTATTTTTCTCTCTTCTGAAGAGTTTATTGCAGGGATTAATTGCTTCTTGAAGTTTTGTTAAGCTTACCTGTAAAATAGTTAAGGCCTGGGGCTTTTGAGAGAGGATACGGGGGAATCATAATTTTTTAATGGTCATTGTTTTTTTTTCAGATTTTTTTTAATATTAGTACTTTTTATCTATAAAAATTTCCATTTCATCTGAGCTTTCAGATTTCTTGGCTTACAGTTGTTCCTAAACATTCCTTCTCTTTTTTGAAAAAGGGTCTCACTTTGTCGCCCAGGCTGGAGTGCAGTGGCGTGATCCCTAAACATTTTCTTATTTCCATAATCTCTCCTATATCTTTGATTATGTCCCTTTTCAATTCCTAATATTACATATTTGTGGCTTCTTTATTCCTTGATCAGTTCTGCTAGTATTGTCTACTTTATTATTTAAAAAAAAAAAAAACAGTTGGTTTGGTTGACAATTGCTATTGCTTTTTAGTTTTGTTTCTCTAGTCATTTCTGCCTTTATCTTTAAAAGTATCTTTCTCCTACTTTCTTCTGATTTATTATGTTACATTATTCAAGCTACCCAAATCTTTATTTATCGTTAAGTTAGGTGATATGTCACAGACTTACAGAGGTATATTAAAATCTTCCATGATGGCTGTAACTTTATTAAATTGTTTTACATTTCCAGCGGTTTTTATTTAATTTATTCGTGCTATGTTATTTGGCACATAAAGTTTTACTGTGGATTGATTATCCATTTTATTAATATAAAATAATCCTCTTTTTCATTTCCTTATGAGATGTGGGAGAAATTCTCAAATTTATCTTTTAATAAACTGATTTCATTTTTCTGTGGTTTACCATCTTCCGTTCATTGCCTCCATTCCATTTTTTAATTGGGTGATCATGTTTTTCATCTCTATTCAATCTCTCCTCATCTCAGATTGCTCTGTTTTCATTATTGCCTATTTTTGTGTCATAAATATAATATTCTCTCAAATTCTCTTAAGAATACAAATTAGGAGCTTTTAAAGTATGTCTCTGTTCTTCGTTGCCTACAGAGGGGCAATTAGCTCTGATTCCGAAGACATGTCTTCTTCTTCTGATCTACTGAATATTTACACATATCCAGTTAATTTTCTTGTTGGCACACCACAACAGAGGGAAAATGGAAATTGGGAATGGAAACACTCAGCAGTCTCTAAGGGAGAGCAGAGGAGCTAAACTCAAAGAGGCCGTAGCAGGAGCATTTCCTACCCTGGTGCTAAAGAGTGTGTGTGTGTGTGCATGTACGTGTGTGTGTGTGCGCGTGCATGTGTTTGTGCGTGCGTGTGTATGTGTGTGTGCGTGTGTGCATTGTGTGCGTGTGCATGTGTGTGCATGTGTTTGTGTATGCGTGTGTGTGTGCACGTATGTGTGTGCACTACCTGGGCTCCTGCATCCTCTGTTAGTCCTCCCTGAACTCTGACCTAGGTTTTATGCCCCATGTCCCTCCTCCTTTCTTACCCTGACCACCTCAGAAAGACTCTCTCTGCTTATCTACTGAGCTGCCCACCTGACCCTGAAGCCAGAACCCTGACGGTGCCGTTGAGTGTGCACACCTGCTGACTATGTCTTAGGTGCTATTCTGAATCTAGACCCCCTTAGTGAGGAAGCATGGGCACTGGCCATACTCCATATGACCTCCAGCAACCTGGGAGCCATTTCTGCTGGCTCTATCAGGTCACTTGCACAGAACCACTGCTTATACTCCCTTCAAAACCTGAAAATTGTAAACTATGCCTCAAAGCTGGCTTTTTGTGCTAATGGCCTTCATCCAAGAAAGCCTCTGCATTGCCCAGCTTGCGTTACTCCATCTGTACCTCTACAGAGAGGAGGTCCCTCTGGTGCTGCTGTACTGATTGCACCCTCTGAGACTCAAATGGATGGAGGGAAGTGAAGGTCAAGGGTGATGCCTAAAGACATGGTTATTGGAAGGGCATAAAACCCTTGTCTTGTATTCTCTTGTTGGGAGACACACACTGTTTTTATGTGGGGTTGGAAAGCAGAGCTTAAGAAGCCAATGAGATTGTTCTATCCCATTTCAGGCACATCCAGTCCCAGCCAGTGATCTCATGAGTGAATCTTCTTGGGTTCAAAAAGGATTAGGTAAGAGTGAGAAATGCATTTCAAACACGCACGCGTGCACACGCGCGCGCGCGCACACACACACACACACACACACACACACACACACACACACACACACACCATACACCCCAGAGGACATATGCCCCAGGGGGTTGGCCAAGAGTATCCATCATCTGTACATAAAAAGGACAGCACATTTATCACATCTGGAGATAATCTGAAAGCATGGAAATTTAATGGTTTATCTTTGGATTTTCCAGAGTAGTGGGCTCTGGTTCAACTTTTTCCAATGTAAGGACTTCTCTGGCTACAAGGAATAAAACTATATTAGAAAAAGCTAAAAAAATTCCTTGGCCTAGAATGAAAATGAACATGCTTTGTATGAGGCTTTCCTTATCATTCATTTTATTAAGGCAGCTCTTTAATAAATTCTCCACGCTCAACTCTGTGATTACACAGACATACACCACACATTATTGGAGGTACTCAATCACATATTCTTTGTATTTATGCAAAGAAACATAAGACATATATGCTCAGTGTCTTAACAAATCCCTCTCTATGACCTTCTCTGTAATCCAAGTCCTATCATTTCCTTCCCTTACATATGTCTCAAACTCACTTTCTTTAACCCCACTGCCACACCAGGCCATCATCGTAGTACACTGAAGCTACTGCAATAGCCTGTTATTCAACCAAAACATACACAATGCACAAGTGCACATACACACAATATGCTGACACAGGTATGCACAGACACAGATCCCCAAAACCAAATAAATACATGGACACCGATTCACACACAGGTGGAAACATATTTAAAAAAGCATCTATATCCATAAATACATAGCTACACAAATGAACACACACATGCATATATATACATGTTCTATGAGCTCTTCATCATCCATGTTGACGGTCAGGGCTCAAAATGGAAAACTGGATCCATTGGCTGCTCCAACCGAACTTATTATTATTATTATTATTATTATTTTGAGACAGGGTCTGACTCTGTCACCCAGTCTGGAGTGCAGTGGCATGATCATGGCTCACTGTAACCTCAACCTCCCTGGCTCAAGTGACCCTCCCACCTCAGCCTACCCAGTAGCTGGGACTACAGGCATGCACCACCACACCCAGCTAATTTTTGTATTTTTTGTAGAGATGGGGCTTTGCCATGTTCCCTAAGCTAAATTATTGTCTTTTATTATGCAGTCAACCCATACTCAATTACACATGCATTTGATAGCAGGCAGCTTCTAAACAAACTCTAAAACCATATTCTTAGATACCCATATACCCCTCTCTTTTGGTCCTCTCTTTCTCCCAGATGAGTGAGGACAGTATTTTGGGACTCAGGAAGGAAGGAGAAAGTTTGGATCATTCACACAGAGACAAAGGAGTGAGTATTGACTAGACTATTGCATACTATAACACACATACTCTGAAATCGATCAATTTTACCTTGAGGACATCTCCTTCGGAGAGTTCGAATGCCCTGGCTTTCAGCTGAATTCCCTTCCCTGGCTGGGTCTGGATGGAGTAGATGCATTCATGATTGTTATTGTAGTTCACAGGAAAGTTGGGGGACAGCAAAGTACCCTGAGTGCCTGTGACTGAATTCCCACACTCAGCTGGAAAGAGAATCACAATAACCATAGATTAACCCCCATCAGCTGCATCCAGAAAGCAACTCACAGCTCTGAAGAACCTGACAAAGATGACAAGTCGTTTGCCTGTCTACCTGCCAAGGTGCCTGCGTGTCTGTCCAGTTGTTGGACTGTCTACAGAAATGCCTCTCAAACTTAAAAAAAAAATACTTCCCTACCTATGGTGCTGCCTGCTTTGTTTCTGTCTCTTGTGCTGTTTGTCTGTCTCTCTCCTACAGAAACAGACGCTAACCCACCAGGCATCCTTTACAATTTCTCAGTGCTATAAAGCAGCCGTGCCACATACCTATTCATATAGTAGCGTAGCAACAGAAATGACCGAGGAGGAGGTCAGGGGAAGAGGGGGGCAGTTAAGTGAGGAGAGATGAAGCCTTTCAGTATCACAGAATAGAAACTAAGAGGGGGCAAGATCACATCATAATCGCTAACCCTTATGTGCAAAACAGCACGATTGACACTTTACAAGGACCATTTCAGTCATTAGTCGCAACAGCCAGCCCCATAATGTAGGCACAATGATCATTTCTGGTTTAAAGATAAGGAACCAGGTACTCAACCACTGAGACCAAGCCTCTCTGTGGATTCACGAGGAGGAGGGGGCTGAGAACTCAACCTCCTGGGTCCTGGGGAAAGTTTTTAGCATAGTCTCATTGCAGCCTGTTTCATTCAACAGCTAATGAAATCACACCCTCCTCTGGAAACTGCTTCTCCTCCTCCAGAATTAGTCATTCTTTCCCCATTGTTCTCATACCTTTATTTATAGTAGTCATCCCATTTTACTTCACTTATTTGTTAACATTTCTATGTCCTCTACTGCACTGTGGATCCTTTGGGGCTTGGTCGTGTTACTGTCTCCTTAACACCCACACAGTGCGTAGGCAGGGCAGGCTTAGGGCATGCACAGAGGAATGGGATCTTTAATAATTGGGGGGCCCCTCCCTGTTCCTTCCTGTATCTGAGCACCTCCCATATTGCACCTTGATTGCTTGCTGCCTGTCCTGTGTCCCCCACCTAAACTGTCAGTAACTTGAGGGCTAGGGTCATGCTGGATGAATCTATGAATTTCCAAGGCTTAGCCTGGATTGTCTGTAAAATAAATATTTACTGAATGAATGAATGAATGAATGAATGAATGGATATGGAGTACACTGACCTCAGAAGATGTACAGTCCTAAAAATAATAATTAGGTTCCGGAAGGATGTAAATACAAGTCCAGATGGCAGGCCTGTTATTCGTGTGGACATATGGGGAATTTGGAGCATGCCTTGAATCTTTCAGGCGGCTGGTAGCAAATCTGCTTTCTCTAAACCATCCCTCAGTATCCTTCAGTCCAGGCACAGTCTGTGGCTAGAAAAGCCCTGGGGTTGACCAAAGGGCCATTGCTTGGGCCTTATAGTTAACCCTAATTACCCTAAGCCAGGAGCGTACTAGGCTGAGGCAGCATAGATGGAGAACATGGAAACCTTCAGAACATGGAAACATAAGCTGCTCATGGGCTTAGTTATACATCTTGTGTTTTATCTTGTCCTAAGGCTCCTCATTAGTCCTTTGAAGATGGGGGCCACATGTCCCACCACCAAGTCCCTACTTTTCTGAATGGACCCTCCTCCCTGTGTCCTGCTCAATTCAGGACCAGCTTCAGTTTCCTAAGACTTTATATATGGCCTCATTTATTTCTCTTGGAGGAGAAATCTAACTTTACAGTACTTTTAAACTTAGTCTGTTTGCAAAACTTCCAAATATCATGATGAATGTGCTGAGATGGCTCATAAAACTCAAGGGACAGTGGTGGGCAGGCTCCCTGGGGGCAGTGGCTGCTGATAATTTACATAGACGTTTCCAGCATGTGTACATTTCTTTGATGATCTCAGATGAGGGTGAGGGTGAGGATTTGTCGGGGGGAGGGGGAGTTGCTTAGGGCCATGCATATGTAAACACTTATTACTCAGTCATATCACATGGGCAGCCTTCTGAAGCATCTCTCCATTTTCTCTGAGATTACTACCTTTCCCCTCCATCTAGGCAGAGGCCTGTGGTGCAGTGGGATGATCATGGACTTTGGAGTTAGATACATTGTGTCAACTCACTGAAATTTAATCTCTTCATCTGCCTTCATCTGGACAATAATAGCATTCTCATAAGACTGTAGAATCAACGCATGAGATTTTATATATAAGATAGGTAAACATAGGGGAATGGTTAGCACATAGTAGCCTCTCCACCAATGTCCCAGGTGAATCTACATGGATTACCTGCTTCCATTTGGAACCCTAACTGCCTGGATTCTGGGACTGGCAGAAAGCCTGAGAAGCATATGGGAAGCGTGCATTAGCTGCCCGAGGCTCACAGCACCCTCATGGTTCCTGATGCCTCTTGCCCTCTGCCTAATTCTCGACAGCTGGCTTCCCTTAAACATGGGCTTGGGTGTGTTTTTGGACCTCCTTCCTGGCCCTGCTTCCTGCATAAGAGCTATGTGCCCCACCTCTGCCCCAGCACGAGCCTCTCCTCCTTCCCACACGCCTGATACCTTTACGAGGAGGGGCTGATAGCTTTAGATGTGGCCAGTCCTTGGCCAATCCCCAGGTCCTGACTCCCTGTCAGGCCTTTGTCCTGGGCACCAGGGAGGGGACAGGAGGGATAGAGGGACGGGGCACTTGCTTCCGGGAGAGTCTCCAAAGTAACAGGGGAGGTGAACAGATGAACTTAGAAGCCAAACACAGGCACAAATGGAAACAAATAAATGTTCCAGAGAAACAAACAGTCACAACCACAGGTAAGTGCTGTGGCTGATTCTGGCATCTGTGACTTCTGTCGCCCCCATCAGAAGGGGTCTCGTTAAGGGCAGAGGTTGTACCTTATCCATCAGCCTGGGGCTTCTGAGGCAGAGGGTTAGGTCTTCTCCATCACACCAGGATTCCCAAGGACAGGGCCATGTCTCTTGCTGCAGACTGGGGTCCCCTGGGGTCAGGGCTGTCTCTTCTACATCAAATTCAGGGGCCCCTGATGTCAGGGGCTATGTCACCTCCCTCCCCGCCACCCACGTCACACCATGCATTAAAGCCCAGGGCTGTTCATCTCCTTCTCGGCTGGAAATGTTCCTGGTAGCACTATGTGGACTAAATCATCCAATTTGCATGGCGACTGGGAGCAGCCCCCGGTGGGCATTCCTGAGATGCCTCCAGCCTGAGCCTCGGCAGCAGGGCTGGTGGTAATTAGAGGTGACTATAACTACTGTGCATTATTAATAACATGTGAAACAGAAGACAAATGTAATAATGAAAATATTGTGAGGTGTCATGAACAAACAGTAATTGGAATAATAAGTTAAAGAATGAGTTTATGTAATGAGATCAATGAGGCAAGAGCTTAAGGGCTGTGTGCATCTGTGGTCCTGGTTAATTCCATTCAAGGAGAATTTCCCCCAGAACCATTTAGCTGAGGATGCTTTCCCAGAGACTAAAGGAGCTGCTAGCAGCCAGACATGAACTGAACCTTCCTGGGGTGGGTGGCGGGGTTCTATGTGTTTCTGAGTGTGTGTGGCCAGATCAGGGTGGGTGGATGCCTTTGGGGATGGTTATAGGAGACGGAGTAAACCCTGGGGTTATTTAATTGTTCAGAAATGGAATTCTGTAGCTCTTTGTTTTAATGTTTCCTTTCTGAGATTGTAAAAGGTTATTGGCAAAATAACAATAATTGGTTATTGATAAATACAGATAAAAATGTTATTGGCAAAATGCTGATAATTATATGCCACCTCTTGGTTTATGTAAATGATGTCATCTAAGGTAGAGTAAAGCCTGTGAATTGGATGCTGTTATCTCTGTTTTATAAACAAGGAAGCTGAGGTTAAGGGGGTTTGCTGGCCTGCCTGAGATCTAGGCGTTGGTAAGTGGCAGAGCAGTGACCCCACCTTGGCCTGCATGAGTGCACAGCCTGGGCCCGGCTCATCTTGCCAGCCTGTCTAAGCTGTCCTCGGCATAGCCTGAGGGCTCCATGGACTTGTCTCGGGCACAGCTGACCTCACTGGCATTTGAGATGCTGGTCCCTGTTTCAGTCAGTGCAGTGCTGCTTTGATCTGTTTTGTATATTTTTATGGGGTTTTATATACTATTTCACTTTACGTGAGGTCCATGGCTAACAGTGAGCATGGAAAATACTCCATGAATGCAGCTAGTGTTTTATCCAGCCCTACATTATAAGGATTGAGCAAACAGGCACCCAGGAGCCTCATACATTAGGGACAGACAGCAATCACTCCGCCCTGGGGAAAATACTTGCTTCCCCTACTACCTGGGCACAGCGCTCTGAACAGACTTCTTTAAAGCTCTTGCAAGGAGGCTGGCAGGGCCCACTTCCAACTTCCAACAGCTGCCTCTAACCTCCACATCTCCTGTTCTCCCTGCCGCTTGCTCCAGCTTGGCCTCTGAGCTGTTCCTCAAATGCTGAGCATGCTCATGGTTTGGGTCTTGGTCCTCTGTTCCCTCTTCTCCCAGATATCTATCTCTGGCCAAACGTCAACTCATCAGAGAGGCCTTTTCTGACCATGATAAAAGAGCAACCCTAGCTCCAGCACTTTCTAAGCTGACTTAATTTTTCTCTGTATGCCTCAACACTGCCTGACACATCACATATCTAAATATTCACAGCTTGTGTCCCCACCACCAGAATGTGGACCACGAGTGAAGAATTTCTCTGTTTTGTTCACCTTTGTACCTTCAGAACCTAGCAGATGCCTGAGATGTAGTGGGTCATCTATAAATGACCCCGCCCCTGTTCCTTTTGTCCTCCCCTGCTGAATGGATGAAGCCTTCCTAAGGCGTCTCTAAGAGTGAGCACCGCCATTGGATTAGTAAAAGCACCCATCTACTCCTCCAGATGGGGACTCCCCCTGGGCAAAGGTCATATACCCCTCCTACAGGCCCACCTAGTGCCCATCCAGATTCCTCGGTAAGAGGCATCCTTAAGCCATGGGTCTGTGTGCTGAGGGTGGGGAGGTAAGAGTACTGAAATCGACTTCATGTGAGTGCCCACTGTGGACCTAATTTGTAAAGGTCACTGTAGTTTATACAGAACTGCCTGATGAAGCAGGGATTGCCATCCCTATTTTGCAGATAAGGAGGATGGAGCAGAAGGAGGTTAGGTTACCTGCCCCGGGTCCCACTGCAGGTAAGTGTGGTAAGTGTGGGCTAAGTCAGCCTCTTGGCCTGTGTGCCGTCCACCACCTCACATCAATTGACTATAATCTGTCCCACCCCATTAGTGAAGCAAAATGAAAGCACGTGACCACCTACCAACACACCTTGGCAGAGGCGAGCTCCACAGGCGCCGTCTGCCCCCCAGGCACGTGATGCGGGCGGTGCCCTCCAGACGGTACCCGGGGAAGCAGGAGAAGGTCAAGGTGTCGCCCACGCCAAACTGCAAGCCCTTCCGGATGCTGTAGGCTGGGACCTCGGGCTCCTCACAGGGCTCCAAGTCGTACTCTGGAAAGGTAGCAGGAGATCCGGGCTCAGAGACATTGCGGGGAGACACAAAGCAAAAAGATGGGAACGCACAGGCAAAACACCAGGGGGAAAGGGCCAGGGACAACGAAAGACAGAGAAGAGGGCATGCGCACACTGGCCCACAAAAGGTGACACTGGCCCAAAAAGAGAAGAAGTGAGAGCCCGAGGGGAGCAGAGGCAGAGAGAAACATGGGGAAGCACGGGGAGGCAGAGGCAGAGAGAAGCACGGGGAGGCCAGGACGGGCGGTCTGCACCCACTCCTGTGAGCAGTGAAAGGGCACAGCCTTTCCTAGACAGGCTTCCCAGGAGGATTTCTGAGGATCCTCAGGACTCAGCTCTTCTCTGTGCTATCCTTTTATCTCCATTTTAAACCTGTGCCTTGGGGCTCACAGGCTCTCCTGCTTCCTTGTCTCTGGGCAACAAACTAGATACATTCAACCAGCAGGTTCTAGAAGGTCAGAATACATGACTTAGCCTCAGGCAACTCCCACTGGTGAAGACACTCCAAATGCCTGACGAGAAGCCATGTCTCAGCTACGTTGGCACTTGAGGCAGACGGCAAGCATGACCAGGGGCATTTATGGGCCAAAGCCCTGCCTGGGGCCTCTAGTGACAGCATAGAAGTGACTAGTCCCTCGTCTGCAAGGGCTTCTCCCTTCAGGATGCAGTCCTCCAGGGATGTGTGATGAGAAAGAGGGTCTCTCTCATAAGGGTTGAGTCTCACTGGCTGGATATGTCCCATTGGCCAAGTGAATCCAGGGATGTGACAGGTGACTTCTGCATTGGAGGCCTGGCAGGGGACTAAGCTGGGCCACACCCCAGTTCCTAGAAGCTGGATACCTCTTGTCCATCCCAGGAGGAATCCATCTGATACTCCTGGCCGTGGCTGAGAAAGGTGGAGGGAGGTACTCTGGGGTGCTACGGGACAAGAATGGTGAAGGGCTCGGTATGAGAGGAGCCAAGGGTCCTCTTTTCTCCCTGAATGCCAAATAAAAGCACTTTCTTTTCCAAATCCCTAAACAGAGAGATAAATATCTATTACTACAAAATTAGCATTGATGAAAAAGATCCCAAATGAGACTAAACCACTCCAATATGTTAATTTCAAACCTTTTTTTTTTTTCATATTGCTGGGGTTGGCAATGTGGAAGTGGAATCAGAAGAAAAATCTCGAATAACTAAGGTAGGAAGGGACTTTTGTGAAGTCCTCTAGTTCATCCAGCTAGGTGGGCCATGTTCAGAGCAAATCCTAAACACCTTCATAGAATAAGAATCCTCAGTGATTATGCTAACTCCTTCCAAGACCATTATAGGTAAGTTCTTACTTGGGTCTAACCCAAGCATCTTTTGCTGAAGCACTAAGGTCAACTTCCCAGGGACTGGAGAGTGGATTAATATCTATCTGCTAGGAAAACCAGAGACTGGTAGCAGAAGGAGAGAGCAAATAGCACCATGGTCTCTTCCCCTCAGGGACCCTCATACTCTTTACCTGAGAAGGTGATGTTGAATCCTTCATATGACATGGAGAAATCAGAGATGAAGCGGACCTGGGCAGTGAAGTTGCCATAGAGCCCAGCGCTGATGGGAGCTGGCAGCCGAGATCCAGTTAGCTGCCTCAGGGGCTGGGTGAAGCTGCCGTTCTCAGTGATGAGGAGGTAGTCATGGCCACTTTCCAGGTGGAAGGTGTGGAAAGTGAAGAACACACCTGCCAAGAGACCAGAGGGTCAGGTTGTTGATGGCGAGATGGCTGGAGAACCTCAGCTGCAAGACAGGATCTACACAAACATTTCCAGTTTGCAAATGTCTATCTGTGTGTATGACTACAAGCATGCATTGACAAATCATACAGGTGAATCTGAATGAAGGAACCTGAACACACAAGTGCCCAGAGATTCAGTCAGGGAGAAGAATTTTACAGTTCTTCTTTTACAGTTCTAAAATTACAGGGAGAATTTTACAGTTCTCAAAATTTAAAAGAGAGATTTATGGCTTGACCTATGAGAATGCTTTAGAGACATTCATTAATTCATCCAACAAGCATTTGTGTATTTGTTGAGTCTTTACTATGGGCTAGGATCCAGGGTTAGGTGCAAGAGGATATACCAGACATTAAACGAATAGCTGCAATACAGAGTGCTGAGTGCTGGAATGAATGTAGACAGCATGCCATGGGGGCCGGAACAGAAAGCAGTTGACAGCAGGAAGAGGCAGGTGGAGGATGGCTTCACCAAGGAGTAAACAATTGACATGGATCTTAAAAGGATGCACAGGAATTAACCAGGTAAGGGAAGGAAGAGTGTCCCAGGCAGGAGACCCATATGTGTAAAGGGACTGTCAATTCCAGGTTTGTTGAGCAGCAGCTGGGTGTGGCTACTCCTGGAATTGAAGCTGGATAGGTAGACGGGGGCCAGACCCAATATTTTTCTGGAGGCAATGAGAAGCCATCCTATCCAGAGTGGACCAGATCTCAGTTTTAGCAAGATGTTGGTGGCTGTAAGGAGGATGAAGTGGAGGGAGAGCAGGGAGGGAGATCAGTTATATTGGTGGCTGCTCTGCACTGGGAGAGGATGGGGCTTGGCAGAAGGAGCAAGAGCAGGAGATGGCCATGAGCCTTCAGGGGTCAGGGTAGGGTAGCCAAGACAGCAGGCACTTAATGCAAAGGAGAAATAACATGACATCCAGTGGCACGTCCACCTGAAGGATGGTGATGTCTTCTGTTACCTAGGGAAGGGCACGCAGGAGGAAGGTGTGGGTTGTAGAAGAGTAATGGACTTAGCCTTTTCTGCATGCAAGCAGTGAGAGCTAGTGGGCCACTGGAAGGACAGATTTGGAAGTTCAGGATTAAAGGGGGACTACAGAGGTAGATTTGAGTCACCAGCAAATAGTTGATATCTGAAGCCACAAGCAAGGAGAAGAGGGCTAGGAGAGAAGAGGGCAGAGTGAGAATCAGAGAAGGGGTGATTGGAAGCATGGGCAGAAGTGACAGGGAGTAGGAGACCAGGTGAAGTTGGAGCGATGGGGGAGATGGTCAAAGAGCAATCAGAGAGCTGGAAAGAGGGAGGAGGGAGCTCCAGTAAGGGGGAAGGTTAAGAGCATAAAATAAAATCAAAGTAATGATATTCATTAACATTTCAAGCACTAAATATTTACTGTCCTAACTGCTTTTACTTGCACTATAGTCAGCCCCTGTCCCTTGGAAGGGAGACAGAAAAACTCATTTAATTCTGCCAGGAACCCTGTGGCGTGGGTATGTTATTATCATCTCCAGTTTACATCCAAGGAAACGGAGGCACAAAGAGATGAAGTCATCTGTCCAAGGTCGCCCAGCTAGTATGTGGTAGAGCTAGGATCTGAACTAAGGCAATCCGATTGCAGAGGCTGTGCTCTCAGCTACTCCAGGGTGCGGCCTCTCAGGCTACAGAAAGAGAGCAGGTAGTTAAGAACAGCCAGGTAGGGTAAGAGATCAGGTAGTGAGGGAAGTTATAGAGCAGCATGGTCTTAACACCCAAAGCAATTCTAGAACTTGTCCAGATGGCAGTTGTGTTTGGTGGGCATGTGTGTAAGTGCGTGGCCATGCACATGGGCCATGCCCCATGTCGGAGCTTGAATCCAGATTTGATGTGACAGATGCACACACAAATACTTAACTTGAATGAACCATGCAGAATCACACCAAGTGAGTATCCTATTGGGACTATGTGTTGTGGATGGTGCCAGGACAGGAACTCATGTTAGACTAGGACCCACCTGCTACTCCAAGTGTGATCCCACTTTCTACTCAAAGTATGGTCCATGAACCAGCAGTGTGGTCAGCACTGGGGGACTTACTAGAATTGCAGAATCTTTGGCCTCCACTGAAGACCTACTGAATCAGAATCTGCATGCTCTTCAGATCCCAAATGATTTATACACACTTACAATTTGAGAAGTACTTCTCTAGATAATTACTGCTACATTTTTTATAAATGATGGTTGGAGATAAGCCTCTAATGCTAAAGCATTTTAAAGGTTTTTATATCCTTGCATCTCTGTTGATAGAGGCTGGTGATCCTGGAGGATTTGGGCTTCTATAGATAGAGGTGGAGGAGACAGAACCCAACAGAAGCGATGGGACCAAAGATGCAGCTTGTAAATACCCTGTTCCCAGGCAACTGAGAAGCATCAAGGCCTAAGCACCTACCAAGTGCCAGGCCTTGTGCTAAGCACTGAGAAAGATCTCCCAGTTTAGTGGAGAAGACAGACACATCACTACTAGTGAGAATTCAGAGTGGGGCATGGAGGAAGAATGGGAACTATGCCTCACTGGTTGGGAAGGCTTCACGGGGGTCAAAATCCTTGATGTGAAAAGGCTTGTGGGTGCATGTGCCCACGTGCATGCTCTACTCCTGACATACAAACATGTCTGCAAATGAGAAAACTGTTCTCAGTCTATACAGCTTAGGAAATATACGTCCTTTCCCTCCTACCTAGGACATGGAGTTGGGTGGAGAGCGGGTGAGACCCAGTCACAGGTGGAAACAAGTTGATTAAGCATCGCGCTTTGCACTCTATTCTTCTAGCATGCAAATAGAGCCCTTCCAAAGGGGTAAACATTTGGCTGGGATTCTAAGGATGAGCAAACATCTGAGCTGAAACCTCTGGGTTTCCCAGCTGCGCTGACTGCTTGGGGCTTTTTGGGCCATTGTGTGAAAATGAAGACATTGTTGCAGAAATAGAGAGGCCCCATGTTGGAGTTTGAATCCAGATTTGATGTGACAGATGCACACACAAATACTTCACTTGACTGAACCAAGCAAAATCGTACCAATGACATCAATACCACATAGGAGCAGAAAGAGCAGGGCAGTGGAAAAGGCATGGACTTGGGGGTAAGAAACACCTGGATCAAAAGCCCATTTACCTGCTCAAAGGTCTTGGCTAAGGTTGCTTAACACCTCAGGTTCCAGGTTCTTCAACTGTAATATGTAGGCAATAATATCTCTCTTACAGGTGACATTTACCCCCGAAGTGAGTCATAACTGGGAAAGTATATGCAAAGCACACAGCATAGTGGCTGGCACACAGTAGGGGTGCAACAGAAGGCATTCCCTTTGCTCAACTCATCTAACTCCCGGAAAGCCTCACGGGTTAAAAGGTGTCAGCTCTGGGGTCTCAGCAAGGGCACATTCTCAGGACTCCTGAATTGGCTGCTCCCTTGGACTGGGCAGGTGGCAAGTTGAACTATTTCAAATTTCACAGAGTTTTGAGTTTCCTGAGCCATACTGCTGCCTCTTAGGGAGCAATCACAGACAGCAGCTTAATAGGTCTGTTAACCCGAGATACTCTTAGAAACAGAGAACGAAGAATGCCCTCTGGAGAAGGGCCTGGGCTCAGTTCAATTTGATTCATATCACCAAATGCTTCTTGAGTTCCTTATGTGCCGGGCATAGAGCCAGAAGCCAAGAAAACTACAGGAAACAAGACAGACCTATCTCTCACAGAGCTCCTAGTCTGTCAGGGAGACTGATGATGAAAATGCAAGTTCTCTACAGTGGAGTAAAGTCTGAAATCATGGAGGTATAGAATGCATGCTATGGGAGCCCAGGGGAGAAGAGCCCAACCTAGATGCAGAGCTGGGGAGAGGGGGTCAGGGAAGGCTCATTAGAGGAAGGGGATTCAGAAGGATGAAGGGCTGGCCAGGCAAGGGCAACGGCAGAGATTCCCATTCCCCTTGCTTGGGGAGACGAAGTGTTCCAGAGAGAAGAACATTGTACAAATGTGTAAAGCTCTAGAGGAGAAGGGAAGCCTGGCAAGTTCCAGAAACTGAAGGAAGTTTTGTGTAGCTAGAACTTAGTTTAGAGGGCTCAGAATGAGGCTGAGACAGGTAAGGACTATGAGGCTGTGCCAGCTATTTTATTTTATTTTATTTCTTATTTTTTGAGATGAAGTTTTGCTCTTGTTGCCCAGGCTGGAGTGCAATGGCACGATCTCGGCTCACCGCAACCTCTGCCTCCTGGGTTTAAGCAATTCTCCTGCCTCAGCCTCCTGAGTAGCTGGGATTACAGGCATGTGCCACCCCCGCCAAATAATTTTTTTTGTATTTTTAGTAGACACGGGGTTTCTCCATGTTGGTCAGGCTGGCCTCGAACTCCCAACCTCAGGTGATCTGCCTGCCTTGACACCCAAAGTGCTGGGATTACAGGCATGAGCCACCGTGCCTGGCCTAGCGATTTTATAATTTGGGGATCTATGCTAAGAATTAGGTGATGCCTTTAAGTGGTTCTAAGGAAGAAGTGATCTGGTCATTCATCCATGATTTCTTGTTGATTCTCTGCTGAGCACCTTTCAACCGGGCTATGTCCTGTTCATCTTTGAAGACCAGCTGAAGTCTCAACTCCAGGACACCTTCCTAAGCCCTGGGCTGGGCTTGGGATGTTTTCACATCTCTGTCTGCTCTATCACATATTGGTCATGCTATATACTGAGATCTTGGTTTAGGCTGTCTACTACCACTAAAGCATAAACTTCCTGAAGGCAGGCACTGGCAGAGTGGCTTGTTCAGCTGTTTTCCTAGCAATTTGGGTAGTGCAAGTATCAAATAAACATTTGTAAAATAGTTGGTGAGCTTGATTGACTTCCAGGAAAAAACACACACATAGAAACTCACAGAAAAACATACACCTCCTGTAATCACAGATGCCCAGACACAGAGAAAACCACAATGACAGGGGTTGTTTCTCTAGGGATCGTGAGGGGCTGCTTTTCTTTCCAATGGTCTCCTCTGACCAGGCTTGGTGGAAACAGCTCTGCAGGATGAACAAGGACACTGTTCCAGCCCTCCCCTCCTTAGGAACAATGTTGTGGGAAGCGGACAATCCTGGGCCTCACCCTGACCACCTGGCTAGTCTTGCCTTGATGCAGTAAGCTCCAGGCCACCCTAGCCCTGGGTAGGGCAGGCCTAGTAAAGGCCAAGTGACACACTTAAGTACATGTGGTGGGACTATAAATGACTTTTCTTTCAAATCTTCTTTGTTATACAAATAGTATATTTTAGATGTAATGTGTTTACTGCTCAAAATTAGAAAAAAGCCAAAAGATGAAAATAAGAGACAACATCTTGGGGTATATTTTTTCCAGGCTGTTTTCTATGCAAACAAGGATGTCTTTTAAACTAAATATATTCTTTTGGCAAACTTATTTTTTTTACTTAACAAAGTATTGCAACCACCCCTGTAGGTCTTTAAATATTCTTTCATGTTATTCCTTTTAGGAGCTGCCTAGTATTTTATTCTATGGCCATACCCTATGTTTATTTAACATTTCCTTATTGATGGACATTTTAATAGTTCTTAATTTTTCAGTATAATACATAATATCTTAGGGGAAATCTTTGAAGCTAAATCTTGATGTAGAGTTTTACTTATTTTCTTCAGATAAATTCCAGTAAGTGGAATTGCTAGATGCAAAGGCAGGTACAGTTGTCCCTCTGTATCTGCAGGGGATTTGTTCCAGGACCACCCTTGGATACCAAAATCTGCAGATTCCTAAGTCCCTTACAATATATTTTCGAGACTTTTGATTCACATCACCAAGTCACCCTCTGGAATGCCTGAACCATTTCGCACAATGTCAGCAGTCAATAGCATGCAAGTGTCCACATTATCCCCCAGACTGTTACAATTTTCTTTGATGACTTAAAAAGGGAAATGGTATTTCTCTTTTAAAATTACACTTGTTTCATTATTAATGAGGTCCATGATTTTCCATTTGTATTTCCTCTGTTACAAAGTGTTACTTTATAGCTTTGCTCATTTTGCGGGCTGGTTTGGCTAGGCATATGTCTCCTAAAAATTTTAAAGAACTCTTTGTGTGTCTGGTTGCTAATCCTTAGTCGATCACATGTTGCGATTTTTTTTTTTCTATTTAGTATTTGACTTTAAATTTTTATGGAACTTTTTTTTTTTAACCTAAATCCTTTCAAAGTTTTTTTTAATTGAATCTAGCAGTCTTTGCCTTTATGGATTCTACCTTTGTTGTTACTCTTTAAAGTACGTGCCCACCTGAGGTTAGAGATTCATGTTCCTCTAGTGCTGGAGTTTATGTGATTAAATGCTTGAGAATGCTTGAGGTATAGACGGTTTTTTTTTCTTTTGTTCCAATGGTTCAACCCACTGTTTTAACACCATTTATTACATAATCCATCCTTTCTTCAATGGATCTGAAATGACACTTTACTTATATACTAAAGTCTGTCTCTTTCTCACACGTACACAGGCATGTGTGTGCACACACGGAGGGATCTATTTCTGGACAATTATTCTCCACGTCTTATTTGTATGTCCACTCTTGTACTCATACCACATTGTTAACATTAATTTAGCCCATAACAACATTTTAATATCCGGAAGGATTAATCTTCCTTTAAAATTAGTTTTTTGGCTCTTCTGCATGTTAATTCTTCTAGATCAGAGGTTCTTAATTAAAAGCATGCATCAAAATTACTGGCAAAGTGTTCTGAAAACATAGATGCCTGGTTTCCACCGCCAACGTAGAAAATCAAAACCTCTAGCCTTGGGCCTAAGCATTAGTGTATTTGCCAAACTGCAAGAACCATGACTCTGGATGAACTTGGCAATAAGCTTCTGAGGCTAGAAGCCAAATCTGCCTGGTTACTGCTGATGCCCAGCCCCAGTGTCAGCCACATGGGTGGCACCGAATACATATTTGTTGAGAAAAGAGTATTAATATATTAATTAACATTTATTTATAACCAGCACTTTTACTTTGAACTTGGACTCCCAAAGGTCACTCACGTTAGGGGAGCTGAGGCAGCAGTGCAGGCTGGTGACCCATATGAAAGATGGCATCAGGGGAGGAGCTGAGTTATGCAAGAAGGGGATCGCTGTGTTCAGTATCTGAAGGGTGAATGTGAAGAAGAGGGAGCAGGTGTATCTGATGCTCCTCCAGGATGCAATACAAGAAAAACATTTTCAGAGACACCTAATAGACTATTAGAAGAAAGCATCTGTGCAAAAATGATAGTAGGTGCCCATCTGTTGAACGGGTTGGTGGCCTCCCCACATCAGGCATGTTTAGGCAGAGGGTGAGCTGAGCTGGCGTGTTGCCATCTTGCAGGGAGTGATTTAGAGAAGGTTCCTGTACTGAGTGAGATTGGACAGCTGGTAACCTCTAAGAGCTCTTCCAGCAGGGAGATTTTAGAATCTCAACAATACTTATTGAACAAGTTCTACCATTCAAAGGGATGAGAAGACTCTGGAAGTTTTCTTGTTGGTGAGAAAAGTTCAGACGAAGCCCAGAGGTCACTATCTAGGGAGATCCCCATTGAGGTCAACTTGACCTGAGGAACTTGGGTCCCTGACCTCGTCACATCCCAATGCCTGCTATGGGCTGAAACACTCACCCTTGCCATGAGATGTTTCGATAATCCAGGTGCAGTTCAAGTTGTTGGGGTAGAAGTCAGGGAACCCTGGCGACAAGATGGTCCCACTGGAGCCTTGAATGAAGCCACCACAGAGAGCTACAGAAGGAGTGAAGAGGGCAGTGAAAGACCAGAGGGCCTCAGGGAGCACCCCCGTCATCCTCCTGGGACCCCATCCCCCATCTCTCGAAAGCCCAACCTTCGCTGATGGGGTGAGGGAGTCAGTGGTCTTTTGAGCACCTGTGTTTCTGTGGCAGGAGAGGAGTCTGCTACTTTAGCGCCCCCTCATGGTGTCCCTCACCTTCACAACTGGGCAGGGCCCGGCTCCACTGGAAGTTGGGCTCACACTCCAGAGGCTCCCCGTCACTTAATGTGTAGCCCGAGTCACAGCTGAAGGTCACCAGCGCGCCCACGTAGAAGTCATTCCCATGACGCTGTCCATTTACTGGGATTCCTGGATCCAGACAGTGGTCTGACTGCAGTGTTATAGCTGAAAGAGAGAGGCCACAGCTGGGACAGACAGCTTACTGTCACTACAGAGGGACCCCAGTTGACTCCAAAGAGTAAGAAGAGAGCCCTGGTTTATTAAAGGCAGAAGTTGCCAATTACTGACTCATGAAATGTGGCCGTCAGAATTTGCTGAGAGTGGCTTAGGTGCTATGCTAAGGCTTAGGAGTAAGAAAATGACCTTGTCCTCATGGTGCTCGCAGCTCCAGCTTTCTATGTTGGTCTACAGAGAACTGAAGTGACAATGATCCTTTAAATCGAGGGGATGAATGTGGGAGGTGATGAGGAAGGACAAGTGTGGGTGTGAGATGCCATCTTGGGTTAACTTCATGGTCAGTCAAATGTTCTGATCCCAGAGTGCCCAGCGTGGCGGCACCCAATCACCTGCCAGGAGGTCTGCACGCAAGGGCCTAGCGTGAAGGTTGTGAACAACTCTAAGCTCCCATGACCTGAGGGATGCTGAGAGCAACAGAGTGCCTTCCCCAGGGCCTTCTGAAGGGCACAGCCTAGCCAAGAACACCATGGGGATGGGGCCAAGCAGGGGCCTGTGGTGGAGCACAGTCCTGAGGCCTTTGACCCACCTGGGCTGACCTTGTCATCCCTTTTCCTGAGCCCACTGAGACTCACTCTCATAGCGGAGCTGGAAGCCGATGTCCGAGTGACTCTTGTCGGTAGAGAAGAGGAGGTAGAGGTAGTTGCTGGTGCTGATGAGGAACTGGGGAACCTGGGTCCCGTGGTAAACCCCGATCAAGGGCGCTGAGTAAGTCCGCCCATCGCGTACTTCCAGGGTGTCATAGTTGACCTCGGTTTTGAATCTGCCAAATGACAGAAATGAAGCCTTCTTGAGAAATCCAAGCTTATTAATTTGCAAATGACATAAAGCCCTGCCTGACCCAGGGCTTCCGAATAACCAGATTTTGGCAGGCTGGGATCTTTTAATATAATTTGCACACATTCACTAGCGATGCAGAAGGACCTTCTCCACTCTATTTAACATCCCTCCTCCTCCTTCCATGGTTGGAAACTGCTCTCATCCTCTCTGTGGCCTGATCTGTGAGCCAGCTTAAGACCTAGAGGCACAATGACTAGCCTCATGGAGGTCAGAACATTCTAGGCTAGGGGTCAGCACACTAAAGCCTCAGGGCCAGATCTGGTCTATAGCCTGGAGAGCTAAGGATGCTTTTTACATTTGTAAAGAGATCTTAAAAAAAAAAAAAGGCAAAGCAGAGCATGCATCAGAGATATGCAAGTAGGCAAGTGGCCCACAAAGCCTAAAATATTTACCATCTGGCTCTTCACACAAAAGTTTGCAGACTGCTATTCCAGGCCAGGAACACTTTGTCCGGAAGAAGTTTGTTTTCACATTTAGGTGGCTACGTTCTCCACCCAAGGGGCATAGCCAGGGTGGGAGCTAGAAGTGGGGCACATGAGCAGGATTTGGGGCAGAGGTGGGGGGCTGCCTTCCCACGTTGGACATTTCCAGGAGAATGCTCGTCAGATACCAGAGTCATGCTTTAACATCTGATGGTGTCTATCTGCCCACTCCCCCTCCTTGGGGGCTGGGGAGGGGGGAGCTCTAACATCCCAAATGGTACCCAAGCCTTCTCTTCACCCCTCCTGCCATAGTCCCCTAAACAGCACAAACCAAGCCCAAGGGCAGAGCCAGTGAGGTCTGCCCCACCCAGGGCAATTTGGTCCAGTGTTCTCCAACCTTGCTGACATTTCAGCGTTGGTACTGGTCCCCTATCCACCCTGCATTCCCTCCCACGTGGCTCTGTAAAAATCTCCCCCTTGCCCTCTCCCCCAAGGCTGTGGTCACAAGCACCTGTCGAAGGTGATTTTGATGGGGTAGCCTGGCTGGGCCTCAATCACCCAGGCACAGCTCAAGGCATCCTTGTAGAAGCCAGGCCAGCCCGGAGAGAGGATGGTGCCGCTGGGCGAAGTCAGGTGACCACCACAGGGAGCTGGGGGGACAGAAGGAAGAGAGGCAGCTTTCTTCAGGGACAAATGAGTAAACAAACAGAAAATCTCTCTATAAAATGTGTCAGGCAATAAGTATAGTTTTTGTTTTTATGGAAAATTACATAAACTATAAACTGTGAGTTTTGTCTACTGGGACCTTTATGGGTAGGTCCAGTTATATCATGTGGAGTGTTATTAAAGGCCAGATGGGAGAAATGAAAAGAATCCTTTAAGCAAAGTCCCTTTGTCATTCTAGAAGGGCTGAAGTACAACTAATATTTGGGCCACATGGTGTTTTTCCTTCGTTCCTCACTCAATTGTCAGGCCTGAGGCAGGGGCATAGACCCAGCCAACCTCCTCACATCTGGCCCTGGAGAAGGTCAGAACCCCAGGACCCTACAACTCAGACGTTCAGCTCAGGGTGCCGGTACTCCCTGCTTCACTGTAAACTCCAGGAGGGCATGGGATGTGTTAATTGTGTTACACAACTGGGTATCCCCAGTATTGAGCATGGTGCTTGGCACACAGTTGTTTCTCAATGATTGCTGGTTGGATGAATCAATGAGTTAATGACAGGATGAATGAATACAGTCCAAGGCAGGGAACTCCACAGGACACTGGGAGGCCTAGGCACAGCTGCTGGCTGTCTCTGGTCTTGCAAAGTCTGTTATTTATGCCTCTGTCCACATGTCCCATCCTGGGCTTCCCCATTCTCAGCTGCCTCTTTCCCACCACCACTGTCTCTTCCTGCAACCAGACCCTCAGCCCCTAAGGTAGTCATTAGAGCTATTCCTCTTTCAAGGGCACATGATTGGATTTCACTGCCCACCCCTTTTGAAGTTATGCAAGGTCACGTGACTGCTGTGACCAATAAAATGAGAGCAGAAGTGCTGTACATCATGTCTCTGTGGAAACTTTATAAGCCTGTGTGTGATCTGCACACAGTTTCCTTTTCCGGCCTCGGTAATTGTGGAAGCAAGTGTCAAGAGGGAAGTCTCATCAATCTGGGCCCCTAAGTGACTCTAAGGAGCAGACATCCCTGATGACCCATGTTAAATATGTAGCTTCAGTGGTCTGTGTGAGATATAAGCTCCTGATTTTTAAGCCGCTGGGATTTGGAGGTTGTAAGTTAACACCGTGTAGCCTAGCCCACCCAGACTAGCACACCTCCCCAAGGCTGATGATGAGGATGATGATGACATCCACTATTACTGCTTCTGTCACTGCCATCACCACTGCCATTGACTGGGGGTTGACTCCACCTCAGTCAGGCACTGAGCTTACATACGTAATCATGTTCACTCTTTGCAAAACAAAATCCCCTGTGAGGTTGGTGCTATTATTACCTCCTAGGAAAGCTGAGGCTTACGGAGGTTGAGTAACTAGCCTTGGGTTAGCAAGTTGCAGAGCTTGGATTCAGACCTAGGCAAGACAGCGTAAATCCAGAGATTTTAAGCTAAGCCGCCTCCCATGTCAAAGGAACCTCTGCTCCTTTGTACTCCCTTACTATGGAGCTATCAGATGCCAAAAATTCCCTGAACAAGACTGGGGAGGAATAAAGAGCTACATAGCACTTCTCTCTCTGCAAAGTTTTGTAGATTTCTCGAGGTAATCAGTTTCATAAAAGATAGTCTAATATACCCAATCCTCTTTTTTTTTTAATGCTATAACCTTCAAGAATTATCTAAAATAGTTGTCAAGTATTCTTAATAGAAACTTATATTAGGAAGTTTAATTAACAAAGAAGATTATAATAAGGGTAGTAGTCGTCAACTCTTACTGATGACTTACTATGCTAATTGCTACACATGTGTTATCTCATTTAAATGCATGCATTTATGAAGTTATTATCCCTATTTTATAGAGAAGAAAACTAAGGCCAAGTAGGTTAAGAGACTAGATCAAGGATACAGAGCTAATGAAATTAGAGCTGAGATTGAATCTCAAGACTTCTGTCTCTAAATCCCCCGTGACACATAATAGTGCTACAACCACAGCCAACAGTAATAAGCTCATGTGTATCGATAACTTACTATGTGTCAGGGCTTAATGTGGATTATCCTTGTGACAATGGCAACACTAAATGGCACGTACTATTATCATCCTCGTTTTATAGGCGGGGATTATTACCCCATTTTCAGTAAATTGAGGCTTAGAGAAACTAAATAATTACATAGAGCTATATCAAACATTGGGAGAGTAAATTGTGTATGTGTATTGTCACTTCCTGGGTAACCCCAGTTTTCAAAACCCATCCATCCATCTCACTGCAACTACTAATGCTTTCCTCCATTTCTCAGGTGGACACATGAGACCTTAGAGGTGGGGAGGGGCGTGCCTATTGCTACATCCCATTGTTACAATACAGGTTTGCATCTCAGCAGTGAGGAGGGACTCTTTCTTGGCTCCATCTCAGCACAGGCCCAGCATCTCTGGTTGTTGGACTGTGATTTCCCCATTTACTGCCCGGGGAGCTACAGATCATGCAGTCTCCATTGCCTGTCTAGGCCACTCTCCACTCAGTGCATACATATCAACGAAACCCCATCTACAATCTCCAGAGAGGGAAATTCAATCCCTTCCTTTGGCGGTCACCACTTTGCTTTCTTTCTCTGCTGTGTTGCTTCATTAGTTTGGCTAGTTAATCTCTTCCTGTGCACCTGTGATTGTCCAGTGACCTATTTAATCATTCTGTCCTTCACTTTCTCTGTTGTTCATCTTCATATTGCAGAGTGGTAGTTGCCCGGCAGGGATTTGGAGGGGAGGATTCTTTTTTTTTTTTTTTTTAATTTTTTAAAATTTTATTATTATTATACTTTAAGTTTTAGAGTACATGTGCACAATGTGCAGGTTAGTTACATATGTATACATGTGCCATGCTGGTGTGCTGCACCCATTAACTCGTCATTTAGCATTAGGTATATCTCCTAAAGCTATCCCTCCCCCCTCCCCCCACCCCACAACAGTCCCCAGAGTGTGATGTTGGAGGGGAGGATTCTTAAATGCAATGTCTCTTTCACATTTGAAAAGATGATTGACCTCACTCTTAAACATAAAAATACATATTAAAAGCACAGTGAAATATTGTTTCTCATCCATCAGATAGGCAAAATCCAAAGTTTAATGACACATGAGGCCGTGAGAAACCAAGGATTCTAGGACCTTGCTGGTGAACGTGCAATATGGTACAACTGCTGTGCAGAGGAATTTGGTAATATCCAACAAAATGCATATGCATTTACTCTCTGACCCAGCAATTCTATTTCTAGAACTCTCCCAAAGATACACTGGCAAAAATATGAAATGACATATATGTACAAGGTTATGCAAGGTAGCACTATTTGTGATAGCAAATGTATGGAAACAGCCCAAATGTTCAGTGGTAGAGATCTAACTGAATAAACTAGGGTAATCAACAAAATGGACTATTTATGCAGCTATAAAACAAGAATGAGGGATATTCTATATAATATCATGGAGTGGTTCCCAGACTATGTTGTTAAGTGAATAAAAGCATGGTAGAGATTAGTAGGTATGGTATGATTCTCTTTATCTAAGAAAGGGGCAGAGGCATACACACATATTCACTCATATTAACAATCACTGAAAGGATAAACCAAAAACTAAAAGATTATTCACAGAAGGACGGAGGGAACAGGGTAGAGAAGATAGGGATAGAAGCTAGGCTTTCTCAGAATATACCTTTTTTATATATTTAGCTTTGGAACTATGTAAATATTTTAAATAATTAAAATGAAAGATTAAGCAAATCAATAAACTGATAAGCAATTTCTAGAAACTCAGAAGCAGAGTGAAATAAATGAATGCAATGCTAGATTAGTTGGTAGCATAATCCCACATGAAGAAACTAGTAAAAGAGATTTTAAAACACAATAATTTGATAGCCTACCTTAATAGGATACAAAAAGAAATGAAAAAAAAAAAAACCCTTAAACTATTCTCTGTAATTATATTATTGTTGGTAGCCATTGGTATTACTACTTTGGGACTCTTAGGCATGTCCTATGAATTGGGAAATTATATTAATGGTGTTGGGAACTGGGATTTTCAGCAAGAGTGAAAGGAGATATGGATATGATATTAAAGAAGTTAAGTAAAAAAGAAAAAGTGTTTTTACATTGGAAATGAAATAAACCCATGACGAATTTTCTTTTAAAAACTGTTTCCTAGCTGTGTTCATTGAAAAGGCTTAGAAACAGGAACGAAGTCAATAATAAAAAGTACCCCTAGTGCCCAAATTTTAAATATCAGTTTCCACTAAAAGGAACCAGGGTTTCTAGGAGAAATAACTGATTCTGGGTCAGAGACAGAAAATGTACAAGATGATGTTAGGCCAACTTCAAAAGGCTCCCACTAGCCAATGACACAATTTGAGCATTAATTAGAACAAACTGCAGTAGATTTAAATACATAAAGTATGTTTGGATTGTAATGATATTTAAAAATGTGCAACTTTGGAAGGTGTTAGGGAATCAACTCATTAATACAAAAACCGGCAAATACAAATAATTATTTCCTTGCTTTTCCTTTACAAACTGTATCTCGGAGTAACCAAATAGTTGATGAGGACAAGTTTTCTTTAAGTGTAGCATTTCAGCTTATGAAAAAATAAATTATAGCATGTTACCATTTTGTAATTCCTAGGGTATGATCATTAATGGTTCCTAATGACCCCAAAAGAGAGATACCCAAATATCATATGATTCTGTTGAAGACATTGCCTACAAGATATTCTCGCTAAAAAAATGGAAGTTCAATCTGATTAAGTTTCTAGATCTTACTGCCAATTAAAGGGAACATAAAAGAGAGACAATTGTGTTAAACAACCTCCCAGGGAAGCAACTGGCAAAATTCCGAATGCAGGAGACTCCTCATTCTGAATAATTCTCATTTATCTCCAGATAAATGACCCGACTTCTGCAACAACAAAAAAATCTCAAGGGGGTGGGGAGTAGACACCTATAGATTAGAAAAGACTTGAGACATATCAGCCAATTATAATGTATGAAGCTAACAAGGATACTGACTTAAAAATACTATCAAAGAACGTATTAGCCAATCATGGAAATTTGATTATATTAATTGTTTTTAATTTTTTAAAATGATAGCAATGTGGTTATGTTTTAAAGAGCTAGTTTTATCTGTTGGAGACACATTACTAAAATGTCATAGATGAAGTGTGATGACTGAAATTTGCTGCGAAATAATCCCAGAACCAGCAGGGTGGTTGTGGGGGAATGGGTGGGGATATAAATGAAAACAAAATAGGCCATGAGTTTATAATTGTTGAGGTTGACTGATAGGTACATGTGGGTTCATTATACTATTCTCTCTGTTTTGGTATATGTTTGAAATTTTTCATTTAAACAAGGTGAAGGCAAAAACAGGGAAGCACACACATGTCTGTGTGCGTGCACATGCACACACACACACACACAAAGAAAAGAAGGAAAAAGAAGGAAGGATCCTCTCTTGAACAGGGAGAAGAGCTCAGCAATAAGACAAAAGAGGGACCCTGTGACTGTCCCAGCACCTGGTACTCACTAGATGTTCAATATTTGTTGAAGGAATGAAATACTGGTTGATAGGCAGGGATACTGGGTGTTATGGATGGAATTGTGTCCTCCCAAAATGTAGAGGTTGAAACCCTAGCCACCAATGTGACTGCATTTGGAGAGAGAGCCTTTCAGGAGGTAAATAAGGTTAAATGAGGTCATGAGGATAGAGCCCTAGTCCAGTAGGACTGGTGTCCTCATTATAAGAGGAAGACACCAGGGGTGCATGTGCACAGGAAAACAGGCCACGTGAGAACACAGAGAGGAAGTGGGCATCTGCAAGCCAAGGAGAGATGCTTCAGGAGAAACCAGCCCTGCCAGTACCTTGATCTTGAACTTCCAGCTTTCAGACCTGTGAGAAAATAAATTTATGTTGTTTAAGGCACCAAGTCTGTGGCACTGTGTTACGGCAGCCCAGGCTGACTGATACACTGAGCTTCTGATGAGGGGTTGCTGTCCCCTGTGAGGGATGAGCCACTTCTCCTGACCCTGATGCTAAAGTTGTGCAAGGCAAAGAGGAATAGGGAATGGTGACAGAATAGAATACAGAGAACAAATACTCATTGAGCACTGAGCTCTACAACATGCCAGGCTCTGACCTTCATGTATGCTTTTGCTTCCCCTGTGTGTTAGTCTTCACAGCCACCTATAAGGCGGGCACAGACATTAACCTCATTTCATAGCTGAGGGAACATACTTGAGGTACAAAGAGCTTAGGCGACTGGCCAGGAACACACACTAGGAAGTCGCAGGGTCAGGATTTAAACCTGGGCAGTCCAGCTCCAGAGCCTGCATTTTTAACCACTCTGGGTGGACGTGGGAATGCCCACCTCAACCACTGCTTCTGTAACGGGATGTAGGCTGCTGCTAAGGGGTTTTGTTGACTAGCTGTCCAGTGTGAGTGACCAGAAGTAGTGGAAGTCCTTTCCTCTGACCAGAGTGCCTCTGGAGTTACTCAGCCCTGCGGCTGGAAGTGTTGCCTCCTACTCTCTAGCTCTGCCTCCCCACTACCCACCTGTGCCCCTTACCACCTGTCTTCCACTGTTTTGTGGTAGAATATAAGCAGAATGAACTTGGGACTCAGACCTCACTTGGAGGTTAAAAGTGATGATTCTGGAATCAGAATATCTGGATTTGAACCTTGACTCTCTCATTCACTTAGCTATGGTCTTAAGCAAGTTACATAACCATTTTGAGCTTCAGTTTCTTCATCTGTGAAGTGAGGATAACAATACCTCCTCATGAAGAGTCAATGGGGCAGTGGATGTTGATATGGTTGGGCTCTGTGTCCCCACCCAAATCTCACCTCGAGTTATAATCCCCATAATCCCTGCGTGTCAAGGGCAGGACCAGGTGGAGGTAATCGGATCATGGGGGCAGTTTCCCCCATGCTGCTGTCATGATAGTGAGTCGCAGGAGATTTGATGGTTTGCATCTGGCATTTCCCTTGCTTGCACTCACTCTGTCCTGACGCCCTGTGAAGAAGGTGCCTGCTTCTCTTTTGCCTTTCACCATGAGTGTAAGTTTCCTGAGGCCTCCCCAGCAATGTGAAACTGTGAGTCAATTAAACCTTTCCTTTATAAATTACCCAGTCTTGGGCATTTCTTCATAGCAATGTGAGAATGGACTAATACAGATGTAAAGCAATTGGCCTGGTATTTAGCACATAGTATGTGCTCAATGATTACCAGCTGGGTGATTTTGGGAACGTCAACTCACCTCACTGTTTTTGCGGATTCTCATGGATAAAGCACAATTACATCTTTCTTGCAAGAGTGGCAAGAAGATTAAATGAGAGATTGCTAGAAATGCAGTAACTACCCTTATAGTTCTTCCTTAATGCCAAAATGAGCTACCACCACCACTTAGATTTCTTTGTGGTCATGAGGAGAACTGACCTTCTTTCTTTATTACAGTACTTGCTTTTTTCCTGATTTTAAAAGTAACACATTTGGTGTAGATAGAGAATAAATGTGGATGTGTTTATACCAAACTGTTAAACCATTTTCCTCTGGGGAGTGGGACTGGGAAATGAGCATTTCCACTTTGAGCTGTATTGCACTTGTGCATCATTTGAAATTTTTACAACCACCAAGTATTCCTTTATTTGTTTATTTGACAGAGTCTAGCTCTGTCGCCCAGGCTGGAGAGCAGTAGTACAATCATAGCTCACTGCAGCCTCTAATTCCCAGGCTCAAGCAACCCTCCGAGTATTTCTTTAAAATTTAAAAAATGAAAATACAGGGGCCAGGTGTGGTGGCTCAAGCCTGTAATCCCCGCATTTTGGGAGGCCGAGGCTGGAAGATCATGAGGTCAGGAGTTTGAGACCAGTCTGGCCAACATAGTGAAACCCCGTCTCTACTAAGAATACAAAAATTAGCCAGGCATGGTTGCATACACCTGTAGTCCCAGCTACTCGGGAGGCTGAGGCAGGAGAATCGCTTGAACTTGGGAGGCAGAGGCTGCAGTGAGCTGAGATCACACCACTGCACTCCAGCCTGGATGACAGAGCAAGATTCCATCTCAAAAAAAAAAAAGAAAAAAGAAAAAGAAAAAAGAAAATACACACTCACTGTAGATAATTTATCTTTTTTTGTGTGTATTTCTTGTAAGCAGAATATTCTTAAAGCTCAGCTCTTTGTCTTTTAATAGGGAGTTTAATTACTTTTATTATCATAACTGATATGTTTGTCTTCTGCTGTCATTTTGTTTCATGCTGTCAATTTCCGATGTCTCCATGTGATGTCCTGTCTTCTTTGTCTTATGCATTAGGCAATGTATTTCCTTTTAATTTTCTACGGGGATGTCGAAAGTAGAAATCCTGCTTTTCGTTCTATTTGGAGATGCTTTTAAGTCTTTCATAGAGGTGTTGGAAACTATATTCTCTTCAGTGATATAATTCAAGAAAAATACAGTAACAGGGTAGCCAAGAGTCTGGATTTGAATTCTGGCTCCATCATTTACAAGCTGGGAAGATCCTACGCAGGTGACTTAACCTGTCTGTGTCCTAGCAGGGACAATAACGACATCTATTTCCTAGGACTGGTGCAAGGTTGAAATGAGGTGACACTGTAAGACACTTATCCTAGTGGGGTATGATTATTTTTCCTTTAAAGAGACAAGGAAGAGGTAAGTGTAGGGGAGAGAAAGTCAGGCAGGTACGCCGGTGTAGCTGCCTTCACTACCCGGAAGTCTTTCTTGGGAAATTTCTGATTTTACACCTAAGGGACTCCTGTGTCCTGTGAACTCAAGATCACAGACTTGGTCAATCTAGCCCATTCACTTCCGTATTGTCTAAGGCTGCTGTTGCATTAGGACAGCAGAGTTATAGCCCACACAGTCGAAAATACTTCCTCTCTGGCCCTTTAAGAAAAAGTTTGCCGACCCCTGCTTTAGATCCTCCAGATAATCATCCTTCTTTCTAAATTTAGGAGAAGCCATCGTCTCTCTTGTCCTATTATAGCCTCTCAAAAGCTAAGTGGCTCTTAGCATATATTAAAAGATTTTCTAAAAGACCATTAGCTTCTGCATTTAATTGTCCACAAGGTGGGGACACTTAATCAAAAACAAAACTAGAAAAAAAACGGAAAAGACAAAGATGCTGATTGCAAAGCAGAGCTCTACCAAGGCTCAGACAAAAGGAGGGAGAGGAGCCAAGAAGGGACAGGTTCCCAGGGGCTTCTTTAGCCAGCTCTGTCTAAGGTTTTAAGGCTGGGATTCAGCCACCCTAAGTGGCATCAGGCTCTCACACTCTGCCTGGCATGCAACTTCCCAGATCCCTGAAAACCAGGCTGGCATCAAATGCCCATCGCTCTGAGAAAACCGAGCGGGCTCTCCCTGGGGTCAGGGTCTCCAATAGACTGTCCCTTACTTCTAGTGCCTACTGCCCCAACCCTACAGCATTTCCCCCTCCAGGGACAGAATGAAAAAGACCTTTTTAACTTTAAAATGAAGACCTTGCTTATGAAATAGTGAGCCGCGGGAGGCTGAGGTGGGTGGATCACGAGGTCAGGAGATCAAGACCATCCTGGCTAACACGGTGAAACCCTGTCTCTACTGAAAATACAAAAAATTAGCTGGGTGTGGTGGTGGGCGCCTGTAGTCCCAGCTACTTGGGAGGCTGAGGCAGGAGAATGGCGTGAACCTGGGAGGTGGAGCTTGCAGTGAGCCAAGATCACGCCACTGCACTCCAGCCTGGGCGACAGCAAGACTCCGTCTCAAAGAAAAAAAAAAAATAGTGAGCCACTTGAAGATCCATTAACAAAGGTCAAATTATCTCATGTGTTCATACATGGCCTTGAAGGTTTCAATGCATCGCAGAGCTAAAGTCTAAGAGCACTTGATTCAGGAGGGTGGCAGGTGGAGAGGAGGATTGTGCAGTTACTAATTCCTGAGGGTTCCTCAGAGCAGTCAACTAATTTGGGACTAAGCCCCTGCAGGCTCAGGGGCAATGGGAATCTGGCCTTCTGCCCTGAGACCACTCACAGTCTTGTTGGGCAGACAGGACCAAGGCCTGTGGAACTGGTAAATGTAATAATGGTAAGAACCAGTATCCAAGAAAGTGGTCCAGTGGTGGTGGCCCATGAAAAATAATAGAAATTAGGAGAAGGAAGAGATCAGGTGAGCTAGAGACAGCAGGGAAGATCTCAGAGATATGAACCAACACAACGAAAACTAAAGAAATTAGAAGTGGTCAATGAGTGCAAGGGAAAATGAGGGGGCTGGTCTGTAGGAAGGTGAAAGACCACCGATTCACAACCCTCCAGACTGGGTTCTGCATGGATGCTTTGTACGGTGACCTGTTTCACCAGCAAATAACTCCATCAGATATGCATACTTATTCCCCTGTTGCCAGTGAGGGACCTGAGGTCTAGGTCTAGTTACTTAACCTAAGCCCATTAATTCTACAGCTGGGAAGCATGGAGACTGAGTTTCGTGTTGTTTCTCTAACTCCAAAGCTTCTGTTCTTTCCAAAAGTGCTGATTGCACTGAGGAAGAATGGCAGATGAGGTTGTACAGACCACACTGCGGGAAGTTTGGAAGTCAGAAAAAAATGTCTATTCATGTCACGGTTGGGGCAAGTTCCTGGAAGGATGGAAACGCACCACTTGATCCCCCAAAGTGGAGCAAATATTGATCTGGTTGGTCCAATGAAGAAATAGTTAAAATCAAGTTAACGCTAATGGCCAACACTTATTGAGTGTTACCTCTCACCAGGCACTGCTCCAAGAACTGTGCATGCTCAAGACAACTCTTCAAGCGGGTTCCCATTATCAACCTGCATTTTACAGTGGGGCAACTGAGGCACAGAGAGGTCAAGTTACTTCCCCAGGGTGGCTTGGATGATAAGTTGCAGGGTGGAGACAGCAGGCAGTCTGGTGAGAGTCGGGGCTCTGGAGGCCTTTCATTGATATGCGTCTCATTAGGGAGGCTCTAGCCTAGTTAAAAGGCCATTCATTCATTCATTTATTCGGTGACTCATCAACCAGTATTGATTGAGCATCTACCAAGTATCAAACAACACACCAGCTGTGGGAATATGAGGCCAAGGAAGATTCCCTAACCTCATGGAGTTTACGTGACAGTGAAGGCGCAGCTTATGAGGACTTACTTTATACCAGGACTGCCTACTCCATACACATCTGATAATTATCATTATCCCTCCTTTTTTTTCCAGCTGGAAAATACAAAGGCTCAAGGGGAAAAGTGAATTGCCAGGATCCCAGCTTGGGCCCCTCTCACTCAAATGCCCACCTGGACTGCTTGCCACCTCCAGTGTTCTCAGTGGTCCCTTGTCTCCCATCGAGCCATTTGTAAGCTCTGGGTAATACTCTCTCTCAGGCATGCTCCCTTCTTCATTCTCCTGTCCTTCCTGTTCATGGCCACTATGCCCAGATTTGAGTTTAGGAATTGGGTTAAGTCAAGAGGTCTCTTAAGTCTCTATCCTCTTTCTATCACATGAAATGTGAGAAGAAGGTTTCTGCCTCCTAAAAGGAGAGAATCACAGCCTTCGTCTCCTTGGATACTGTCAGTTTCCCCAAGGGGCCCTTGGGATACTCACTATTCATCCATTATTCACAAATATTTATTAAGCACCTATTCCGTGCCAGGTACCACGGTTGGTACACAATGCTTGGTACACAAATTTGCCTGGTGCACAAATGCTTGGTACACCATGCTTGGTACACAAATTTAACCTGACTCCTGCCTCAAGAAGCTTTATCTGTATTTTAAATGTCTGTAGTTTGGTGGAACAGATGGCTGGTCTTGAAAATTGAGTCAAAAACTGTCTTGTGTGGCGAGGCAGGACTGAAGAACTGCCATCATCAGCCGTGTGCCTGCTGCAAGCTGTGTTTCTTCTGGCTGGTTGGCCCTGAGTCTCCTGGAGACTGACCACAAGGATATAAAGTCAGCATTTAACAGGGCACAAAGGCCGAGACTGGGAGACATCCCAGGGAATTGGGGAAAATAAACATGTGGAGAAGGAAAGAGTGACAGGCAGCTTGAAAGACCCGAAAACTCGCAGCGCTGCCAATGCTACTTTGGGCTGCCGGAGCTCCCCTGGGCAGGAGCTGGAAACAGGGATCTTAATGGCTGTGATACCGAAGAGAGTTCTCATTTGAAAGAAGAGGTGCTTTTGATGCCTGACAATCCAGAGCCGTTTCTCTACTTTAATCTCTGGTTATAATTTAAATTCCTACGCACAGTGGCCTTATGAAGCCCCTGCTATTCCAGCATGAGGGTGAGAGAGTGGCCCTTCGTTCTGGGAGAAGAGGAAGGACCAACGCAGAAAGGAACCACCATGGCCTGGGCTGCTTGCTCCCCCTCCCCAGCCTCTCTGGCTGACAATGGCCACTGCTCCCAGCCTGCAGGCTCGTACCTTCACACCGCAGCACAGCGCTGTTCCAGACCACGCTGCCCTCCTTCAGGACGCAGGTGATGGTCTCTGAGCCCTGAGTCCCAAGGAAGCCTTCATCACAGAGGAAGGAGATGGAGCTGCCCAGCTGGAGGCTGTCCCCAAACCGTTTGCCATTTACTGGAACGCCAGGATCCGGGCACTCGTTGTGTCGGAAGGCTGTGTAGATGGAGTTCAAGGACATGATCAGACATTGCTGGAGTAGAGAAGAATCCCTAAAGAAAATTAGCTTCCTTGGGATGGGAAACCCTAGAACTCCACCACCTCCCCAAGAACTTGCCATGTTGGCGGGAGAGCTAGGCATTCTAGGACCTCGGCATTAAGCAGGTGCTCATTAAACTTGATTTCCTGCCTTCCCGAGCACCTAATCCCACTGCATTCTAATGGACATTTATAGATCAGGCAATAAGCTAAGTGTTTCTGCTGTTAGCTCATTTACACCACATAATGATTCTATGAAGTAGCTCTTGTTACCCTACTTTACAAATGAGGAAACTGAGGCTCAGTGTGGTTAATGAGCTGATCTGTCTCCTCAATGTCAAATCCATTCCAAGATTCCCTAACTTCAGACAGTTATGGGATCATTTCTGCTTGAGGTGAGCTGGACTCTAAATTCTGTGACGCTAATAGACTCTAAGCATCATAAAGGAGGTGCCCTAGAATTAACCCTGTCTGAAGCTATTTCCTTTATTTCCTTGCCTATTGTCAGGGCTGCCTCTCACTCTACCCAGGCAATTGATAATGCAGAGTGGGGAGAGGACAGAGTCAGAACGCTGTAGATTTAATCATGCTTTGCCTTTTATTCGTTACATGGTCCTGGACAACTTATGCAATTCTGATGAGCCTTAGTTTCCTGACTGATAATATGGAGATCATCCTTCACTTGCAGGGTCATTCTGAGATAGAAATAAAATGAAAGTTGATGTGAATATGAGAGTGGCAATTGTTCGGTGCGGCACGTGACAGATGGTAAGTGCTCACTGAAGATGAGTTCCCTTCCTTCTTCCCTCCTCTGCATGGGAAGATACTCTTTCCTGCTCAGTCTCTACCAAGCATGTTCCCTGCCTTCCTCCAGCAGGGGCATCACAGTTCTCTTACTAAATGTCTCCGAAGCCAGGCTCTATTTTCACCCCGAAGCCAGGCTCTATTTTCACCCCTGTTGTTCTGAGGATGGCAGCTTTCCAGTGGAGACCAGGATCCATGGCTGCATGGGTATGGGCCACTTGAAAAAAAAATTTCTTGGCCTCTGAAATTCCCTAGTGATAGAAACATTTGCACATTCAGAAACAGCAGTGGCCCTAGGGGCTGCTGGATCTTGCTAGAGGCAAGAGGCCTGCAAACCTGACCCTTCCCATTGCAGATGAGGTAAGGGAGCCTCTGATGTGGAGATGACTGTGATGATCCCATGCAGGGCTTCAGTTGAGTGCCCAACACCCTTCCATTTGAACGCTTAGGTCAGCCCAGACTTGAGTCTCCCAACCTTTCTTCGTTGGAAACTATGACCACGAAGTCACCCTGACATTTAGAAATATGGTGTGGGAAAAAAAATGATGCTTGGGGCCCAGAAGTCCAGGCATTTTTCTTTCAAATGCATCAGTCATACACATGTAGGCACAGATACATACACCCACATATGAACACACACATACACGCGCGCGCGTGCATGCGCACACACACAAGCGCAAATGCACATAGCAGGAATATGGAGTTATTTCCAACATCTGGGAGCAAAAGCTCTGAGTCAAGGACCCACTTCTCCCTGTGTACCTTTCCAAACCTCAGTTTTCTGGCATGTGAAAGGGGTAGATCTTGCTTTATGGAGTTTTTGTTGTGAGGCTTCCAGTGATGACTGTTGAGTGCTCAGCACCAGGTTCAGCCCACAGGAGGTGCTTAATGGATGGCAGCTACTGTCATTGTTGTTCATTATGTTCCATGTGGAAGAGGAATTAGCCTTGTTACCGGGAGTTCTAGGGGTGGAAGTGGGACCACTGATCCTTGTTACAGGGACACAGATTTCAAGTCAACATAAGTTGACTTGAAATCTAGAGTGCCTGCTAGCTATGGAGAGAGCTGTCTGGGGAGGCAAGCTCCCTGACACTGGGCAAATTCAAGCTCAGCCTCAGTGATCATCAGTTGGGATGTAGGAGGAGATTAAAATCCTATGGGAGAGACTACACTAATTCCCTGACACTTGGCCATGGAGGATTGTTTCACTGACTGCATCCGATCGCCTCAGAAGCCTACCAAAAATGTAGATTCTGGGGCCCCATCCCTTTAGTGATTCTAATTCAGCAGGTCTAGGATGCGGCCCAGATTTTTAAAAATTATTTCTATCAATCCATCCAACTGTCTATTTGTATAAATGCATAGAAAACTATGTGATATCTGTAATAGTGTCCACCAATTGTTGGCAAGAATCATTTCTGGCTGGGGGATTTTGGGTAGTGGTTAACATCTCTCCTTTGACCTCTCCCATTTTTTGAGTATTTACAGATTGGATGTGTATCATTTTTACAATGGTAGAGAAACCTTGGAAAGAAATACAAGTAAGAGCTATCCTCAGGTTAGTCTGCTGCCGTCATGATGAAGCTCAGCCCCTGGGCCATCAGCTGCCTCCTCCTCCCAAGTTCCCACTCAGTGTCCACACATGCTGCAAACCCACATGACTTCTTGGCCCTCACCATCCTGGATAAGTGTGCTCCCCAGGATACCTTTTATCCTTGTTCTTCCTACTCCGCCAGGGCAAGAGAAAGCATTTACTCATTCATGGATCCTTCCATTCCGTAAACATTTGCTGATCCTTAGCACACACCAGGCCCTGTGCGGGGCCAAGGGATATAAAGATAAGGAAAGCATACTCGCTCCTTTCTAGTGTGAAGCAGCATGGTCAGTGCTAGACTAGGGTTAGGAAAGACAGAACTAGGATCTCCCCCTGCTTCTTCCTGCCCACAGCAGATGAAACAGGAATCCCCTGGAGGAGACATGCCCTGAGAAGGTTGATTGTGTCCTAAACAAGAGTGGTGAGGGGAATGGAATGGGCTTTACCTGGCTGGTCTCTTGGAATCGGGGGACCCAAATGGCCCACCAGGTAGCATCTAATGTCTTCAGTCCAACTGGACTCCAGAGATAGGTGGAAAACGGAGGCAAGGCCTTTATGCCAACGGTGGGAATGGGGGTTGGGAGATCAGTGTTTGTGGGCATGGAGCAGAGCTTGCACTGGGGACTCGCCCTTCACAAGCAGCCTCTGGGAAAGGATCTAGTTAATTGCTCAGATGGACCCACCTCCAGCCTCACTTGACTGTTTGTCATCAGCCAAGTCCACTGGATTTATAGCTTCTTACGACCTGATAACCACTTCTTGCTATCTTTGGTGGCTTGCTATTTCTAGTCACCAAGCTTCTGCCCCCCCCCCCCCAACCCCCTCTGTAACCACGAGATACAGAAATAAAAATAATCACTGCTGAGTTTAGGCTGCTTCTAGAGAAGGGGCCCAGGATTGAAACTGGAGGTGGCAACTTTCAGATGGTGGCCCTCAGAGGGGCTATGAGGAAATTCCCTAAGAGTTGTCCCCAGTAAGTCTGGGAGCCCAACAGAAGTGTTGCTCCAAAGCTTTGATTCTGATGTGACTATGGGAATGGGAACTGGGCAAAGCAAAGTGAGCAGCCCCGGCACGAACTCAGAGGTCAGCAGCAGGCAGGCATTCAGGGATTTCGGAGAGCACCTCAGAGAGGGCATCAGAAACCAATGAGAATGATAGAGGCTTTCTTTCTCTTGGGCCCTCCCTAGTTCTGGTTGGGTCTTGTAGGATGGGGAAGGTTGGGGCAAAAATGAGGTTCCAGGTTCCTTTTACATTATATATCACAACTATGGGAGATAAATGCCCTTCAGAGAGGGACTTCCAGAAAAGAGCACCCTGCCTGGCAGCCAGTGCTTTATGCCCTTTCTTGGTCATGCTGGGAGCTCCATGACTGGGCACTGCAGCCCTGCAATGCCCTGGGAACTGCCCCATCCACACCTCCTCCTCCCTCCATGGGAGCACCTTCGATCATCCTCAGAGGCAGACACTCAGATGGAGGGCCAGCTGGTGACAGAGGGAGGACTCACTGGTAAAAGTGATGTTGAAGCCCCTCTTCCCTGTGGAGTGGTCAGTCTGGAACTCGAGACGGGCCACGTGGCCACTGCTTGTGATGGAGGAGGGAAGCTGGTTTCCTGAGAAGGTGCCCAGGACGGGCGCCTCGGCGGTGGCCCCATCCTTGATGACCAGGAAATCAAACTGAGGCTCCACGTCAATGTCGTTGAAGGCCAGGTGGATGCGGCTCTCAGGCCTGGCCAGGATGAGCCAGACACAGTGGAGGTGGTTGCCATAGTCCTCTGGGTAGTTGGGAGACAGGACAACCCCAGACGGGCTGGTGAAGTTGAAGAAGCAGGAGACTGCAAGAGAAGAGCAGTGGAGGTCAGTAAGCATCCCCAACATTCTGCCTGCACCACTGAGGGCTGGCAGGGGGAACATCTTCTTAGTCTAAAAAGCAACAGAAAGAAAGAGTGGCACAAGGGTTGGGCTGGACTGGCTGGGCTCTGAGCTCCAGGTGGGGAGACATGCTGGGCTCCATGCTGGACTTAGCAATGGGTAGGGCCCCTTTGGCAAAAGGCAGACATGGCAGAACTGGTCTTCTCTTGGCCCCTCTCCCCTGGTCAGCACGCCCACCTAGGATGCGGCCCAGATTTTTAAAAATTATTTCTATCAATCCATCCAACTGTCTATTTGTATAAATGCATAGAAAACTATGTGATATCTGTAATAGTGTCCACCAATTGTTGGCAAGGATCATTTCTGGCTGGGGGATTTTGGGTAGTGGTTAACATCTCTCCTTTGACCTCTCCCATTTTTTGAGTATTTACAGATTGGATGTGTCTGGATGTGAAACACTGCGTCTTCGTGCTTTGGGTCCCTTGGGTGGGGCAAAGCCACAACTCAAGCCTAAGTGTAGAGTCACAGTCCCTGACCCCTCTCAGCTGGGTTTACAGCAGTAGGAAAGGACATTGCTTAATGACACAGCAGTGCTAATTCCCCAGGCGGTAACCGGGTGGAGACAGCCCAGGACCATTTGTCTCCTTCAAACATTTTTGATGGAAAAATGATAGGTGTGCCATGGGATTCTGACAACCCCAAGATGCCACACTATGCTAAAGAGGTGCCAGGAGCACCATCTTTCAGAGACCAAAGCTTCTGAAGAAACTGGGGGAGGGAGGTGACAGCATCCATTGTGATCCCTGTCCACGTCCTGTTCTCTCTCCCCTATTTCACCCTAAGGATCCACCCTTCCAAAAACCCTTATTTTAAGCTATTTTCATGCCAACTAGTAGCAGACCCTGGAATAAGAATAGGCAAAGAAAGTGCTGTAAATGAGAAAACAAATAAATACTAAAACAAAATTATAAAAGAAAATAATAAAATGAAAAAAATAATCACAACGCTTATGACACAGGAAAAATATCAATATTGAATTAGAACCTTTATAATTATCTAAGAACATCACTAAGATGAGTAAAGAGAGTGCTTAGAGGATTCATATGAAAGAAAATAGAATTAATATGACAACACAGTCCATTTCAATAGAAAAAATAAAGAAAAAATATAGAATCCAATATTGTTGAGGCTTCATGGAATCTCATACATGCATTTATTGCCAATTGCAGAGCAAAACTGATATGATCCTTTTTGAAGGGAGTATGTAAGTTCGCATCCAGAGCCACAGAACTACTCAAAGACTGACTCAGTAATCTCTAGGAATTAATTCAAAAGAAAAAGAGCCACCTAGCCAAAGATGTTTACAATGACATAATTTTATTATAGAGGAAAAATGTGAACAAACTATATGTCAGCCCAATAATGTGAGGTAAATTATAGCCTTTAATGTGATACAGTTTGACTGCAATCATTAAAGTGATAAATATGACCCTGTAGAAAGAATGTTAAACATAATTTTAAATAAAGCAGTAGATCATAAAATTATATGCATGCTTTTGATTATAGCTATTAAATATTTGTTTATAAATGGATAAAGACTGGACATAAGCCCCCAAATAAAAACTATATCAGGGTCGTAGGCGTTCAAAATGAAACAACATTTAATTTTTCTGATTGCAAAAATGCTGTAGGTTCATTCTAAACATCTTTTAATATATACAAGCATAAAAAAGGTAGTTCCAAATATGGATAAACATTTAAGTCCATTTATAACATTTATATAGATGTTTGGTGTTAATTAAATTGATATTTAAGTGAGTAAAATATTTGACTTACTAAAGGTAATGATGCTAAGATGAAAAATAATAAAATCATGTTTGCCAAAGGGGGGAAAACATTAAAACAAAAAAATTGGTGACTCCTTGTGATGAGTTTAGTCTTGATTCTCCCTGACTCTGCCCAGCTCCCCATTTTCTGCATTAAGTATTTCTTTTCCAGTCTGCAGCTGTAAAAGCCCTCCCATGCAATTCAGCAAAGTAAGCCTGGTTCTTAAGACACATTCAGTCTCATCCCTGTAATCCATGTATATTTTAAGTATAGAAAGAATTCGAGCCAAGGGGAGAGAAGGACATGAAAAGGCTTTTAGGTAATGTAATATATAGTTAATGGCAATTATTATTATATATTATTGAGGGTTTAACTAAGAGTAGACACCATTCTAAGCACTTCCATCACTTGCTCAATTTAACTGTCACTATAATGCTACGAGGTAGGTATTGTTATTAACCCCATTTAAAGATGAAGACACTGAGGCACACAGAGGTTAAGTAATGCAGGGCCAGTAAATGGTAGCGCCAAAGCCAAATCAATGCAGCCTGATTCTAGAGACCAAGCTCTTACTAACCCCCCACCATGTCTCTCAGTATGAGAATAACACTTCCCCCTGGGCCTATGTGACCGTGGAGTCTTAGAAGGCGTTCCTCAAATCTGCTGAAGATTCATCTGTCGACTTGAAATATTACATTAGCACTGAATTGGGAGTCTCTAGGCTGGACATGGATGCCCCCACACAGCCATCTTGTCTCCAGCTTTGTGGGAGTTCAGTTGGGAACATAATGCAAATAATGAGGAATCAAAACCCAAAGGCAAAGACCTTGAAGGCAGAGGGGGCAAGTCACAGGGCCTGCTGAGCAAGTCCAAGGCAGATGAAGACAAAGAAAGGTGCTAAAGTTTCAGAGGGAAGATGGTCAGGGGCACTGTGAGTATGTGAGCAAATAAATTTGCTGCAGAGGACTATTTAATTAATAAGGCCTGAGACCCTCTCCCCACCTCCATCACTCTATCAGTGTATTATTTTTTCTCTAGAACCTTTAACCAGGATTGTCATGTTGCAAAGCTCCAGGGGCACCATTTTGGAATTTGAGCAGCTATATATGATAGCTCTGCTTATCATTCTCTAAAATTATCTTGTTTACATGTTTAGCTGTTGATGGTCAGTCCTTCCCTCTCCCCAACACATACACAGATCTTCCATGACAGCAGAAATCTCATCTGATTCTGCTGAATCCCTAGTGGCTCCCACAATGCCTGACACATTGTAGGTGCTCAACCAATATTTGCTGAATGAATCAATGAGTACCTAATGGTTGAAACCATTCTGAAAGAAGGTGACATGAACATGTGGGTCTCATAACCCCATCCCACTCCAAACCTCGACCAACAGATTGACCAAAGTCTGTACAAATATTAATAGATGGATACCTGTGTCAACTCTGGAAAACAGAGAAACATACTGTGCTGTAACCCTGCATGTATTTATCTTAGACATAGTACAGATGTGTCCCTAGATAATTTACAGTGGAAAAGGGTATGAATGAGCCAAGTTGTTAAACAGCAAAGGCAACAGAAAGCTGCTCTTAAATATCAAAGGCCTCAAAACATGTCCTACTCACATCCACTCAAAGATGTCTCCTATCCAACCAAGAGATGAATTTAAACAACAAACTCAAGTAGGATAAAGTTGAGGTTAACAAAAAGCATAAAAAAAGATTGACAATGAGCAAATAAACCAATATGGTAATGAATTTAAATAATTTATGTAAACATAGTTATAAAATGAAATGCAAGCGTAACAAATATTCCTTGGAACAGAAAATATAAGACGTTATTCCTGCCCAAACTCTAGGGTAGAATATTCCAGATTCTACTGACACAAAGAGTAAAGTTGGAGCAAGGAGATATGCTAATTTGCTCATCTTGCAAGAAATCCTGTTTTGTAGTTTCTGTGGTTAATTAGAGAAATATAGGTTGGAGCATGCTTTTAAAGATGTTAAGTGTAATTAGTAATAGAATATGAAATAGCTTGTCTTCAAAATTACCAAAGGGGAAAAAGCAAAGTAGTTCAGGGAGGAAAAAAGAAATTCAAAGGAAACAACAAGGAAGCATGGGGTAGGGGGGTTGTAACGTAAGATGCTTTAAAAAAGATAAAACATCAGTTATGACAATAAATGTATACAGGTTAATCTCCCAGTAATATACAACCCTCTCTTTGGGACAAAACACACAGCTAAGACAAAGTGACTCTGAATACTCAAAAGTAAAGGAATGGGCCAAGATAGCTCAGGCTTTACATTAGAAGAGTGCTGTAATTTATCAATATAAGTCTCAAATATTCCTATTTAATTGGTGGACTGGGCTCAGGGCATCACCGATTTTAAAAAGTTCCCCAGGTGATCCCAAATTGCAGCCAGGGTTTGAGAACTACTGGTGGAGGCAAATGTGAACAACAAAAAAGGAATTTTAATATTAATATCTGATCCTTGGATATTATATTACACCTGACTCTTGGATGATCCTTTTCTTATGCCAAGAGTTTTCTGGACAGCTACCAAGAGGCATTTCTTATTATACCTGGAAGGAGACAGGGCTGATAAACTGACACTCTTAGAACAAGAATGTGGCCTTATAAAGCTCTGTCTTCCATCTCAAAAGAGTACTCAGACTTGTTGCAACAAGGGCAGGAAGAGGAAGTGTGCGTTGTCTTACAAAGATCTAATCTTTCTTGCTCTGGAAAATTATGTATGCATGTTGTATTGTAATATTTCTGTAAGAGAATAGGAAGAGCCTACTTCTCAGTGTCGCAAATGAGGGATTTTTAAAAAGTTGTAATTGGATCTCATCACCCTCAATCACCCAGGTTAAAAGAAGGAGATCAGGCACCTTCCTCCTTCAGAGTAGTGACCAGACTGTGCTCATGGATCTTGATGTCGACTAAACTTTTAAGTCAGAAGCGTCAGACTGTTGACAAATAATAAAGGTGGGAAACTTATTAACAGGTAGATGTGTAATTACTGTGCATTATATTAGGTTATTATTTAACATGAGCTTGAGTAGAAAATAAAAGGGGCTTGTTGAAGACCCCTCTTTTATTATGTTTTTCTTTTGGTGTTGTCACCAAACAAAGAGAGTTTTCAGTAGTCCTTTATAGAGACCTAATACAAAATCCAAATATCATATTTAAAACATGGATAATGAGCCCATTACAAAATAAAGATATGACAGTTATAATACTTTATGTCCAAAAGCATGAAAGAGACAAAATAAAATATACTACCCTGAAATCAAGATCAAGATAAAAAGGATCTGAAAATATTATGAGTGTGTATATTATATGAAACTCTGTAGTCTTCAAACAAGGAATGCAAACTTCTTTACAGGTGCCCATGGACTATTACAAAATTGACCTTACATTAGGCTATAAGAAAATCCCCATAAATTCTATCACAATGCAAAAACTGTTGGGCCACATTTTCTGTTCACAGTACAAATAAACTAGACATCAATAAGAAAAGAACAAAGAAAAATCCATAATCACTTAAAAATTCATAAAACTCTTTCCAAATAAGTTCCTGAGCTCAATGAGGAAAACAAAGCTATCAATACAGACTTCTTTTTTTTTTTTTTTTTTTTTTTTTGAGACGGAGTCTCGCTGTCACCCAGGCTGGAGTGCAGTGGCCTGATCTCGGCTCACTGCAGGCTCCACCCCCCCAGGTTCACGCCATTCTCTTGCCTCAGCATCCCGAGTAGCTGGGACTACAGGCACCTGCCACCTCGCCCGGCTAATTTTTTTGTATTTTTAGTAGAGACAGGGTTTCGCCGTGTTAGCCAGGATGGTCTCGATCTCCTGACCTCATGATCCACCCGCCTCGGCCTCCCAAAGTGCTGGGATTACAGGCGTGAGCCACTGCGCCCAGCCAATACAGACTTCTTATAATGATGATGATACTAGACCAAAGCTGTAGTAAGGAGAAAATTCATAGCTTTATTCATGATTAAACAATAAAGAAATAAAATAAGTGCAATTAGTGTTTATACTTAAAAAGTTACCAAAAGAATAACTGAACATGATTAAGGAGAGAAGAGAGAATAAACTTAGAAAAGACAAAAACAGAAAAAAAAATTGGCTTCTGAAGAGATCAATAAAAATTTCTGATTGGTTTGCTCAATAAGTAGAAATAGAAAAGATAAATATACATAGGGATAGGAGGCTATAATAACACTAAGGTGATAATCCAACTATAAAAGAATAGTATACATAACATATGAAATATGGATAAGATGGAGCATTTCCTAGAGAAATTTGAATTACCAAAATTAGCATGAAGGGAAAAACCTGAGGAAACTGGAAAATACTTAGTGGGTAGGTGGTTTCATGGCCAGTGCTTCAAAACTATAAACAAACTTGTAATAGCCATGCTATTTAAATTGATTTTGATACAATACTCCCATAACAATGATATGTATGATACACACACAATCATATCCACCAACACAATGACACACCTACAGTATAGAAAATCCTTCATGCAAAGTGCTAGAAAATCAAATTCAGCCCTACAACAATAAGCCAACATGACCTACACAACAAAAACAACAAAACTGTACTGATAGGAAGAAAAAAAATTTTTAATGGAGAGGCAAACTATGTTCCTGGTTGAAAATAATTCATATTACTAAGATGAAAAGTGTCCTAAATCATGGTACAAATTTAACACAATTCCAGGCCAGATCTTTTTTTTTTCTGGAACTTAAAACCATTGCAAGATCCATCTGTTGGTAAACAGGTGAAAACAGCCGAGCTCTCCTTGAGACAGATAAGGAATAATAGCATATAAGGTGCTAGTTGGCATTCTGAGAGCTTCCTGTATCTCAACTCATTAACTCTCACAGCAACCCTCTGAGATAGGTACTATTATTAACCTACTTTACAGAGACAGACGCTGAGTCCAAATGTTAAATTAATCTGCCCATGGTCATACAGTCACTGTAGATGATAGAGCTGGGAAGATGAACCAGTCAGGCCAGTACCAGAGCTCAAGCTCTTGACCACGACACCTACTTCCTCCCAGAGGAGGAAGGGCTTGACAACCCAGATATTAAATACTAAAACATATTATAAAGCTGTAATAATATAATTTATACTATATTGACTTCAAAAGAGAGATCAACAGAGCTGGAAAAGAAAGTCCAGAAAAGGAACCAAAAATATATGATAAAGGGGGCTTTTGAAATTAGCAGAGAGAGGGTTGATTGATCAATACCTGATGCTAGAACAAATGGCTAGCCAGTTAATGACAAAATTAGGTCCACACTTCATTCCATGTACCAGAGAAGTCCTAGAAGAAAATATAAGGAATATTTGTATAATGTTGGAGGCAAGGAAGGACTTTATTAGTATTACACCAAAATTAGAAATCATAAGGGAAATTTTAAACTACAGAAATGGAAGATTTTAGATTTCAAAAATCACCATAAACAAAAGCTGAATAATGAGAGACAAATGGAGAGAAAATATGTGCAAGTTACTACATTTAAATATTTACTATCCTTCATCTATGAAGAATTGGAATTTGACAGAAAGATGTACACTCAACATAGAAATATTGGCCAAGGAAATTAAGAGGCAACCAACAAAGAATAAATAAAGTTGGTTAATAAAGAGGTGAAAAAACATATAATATTATTAGAAAACAAAAACTTAAAACAACAGAGCTATTGAGTTGGGAAAAAAAAAAAAGATGGCATTGAACTTTTTGAGAGAAAGGGGACTGGCAGGGCAGACAGGGACCAAGCAGTCAAGAGGTAGGAGAAAACACAGGAGAGTGGTGTCATACAGACAAGGAAAGAGGGTTTCCAGAAGGAGGAAGGGACATCTGTTTTGAAAGACTGCTGAGCGCCATGTATCATCTAGGCTGAAAATGATCCACTGGGTTTCAGCAACATGAGACTCATTGGTGAGTTTTGTGAGAGCAATTTCAGAGACGTGGTGGACTCAGAAATCAGAATGGAGTGGGGTAACAGGGTACTGGGAGGTGAGAAATGAACACAGCAAGGGTACATAGACATCCTGCTACAGAAGTTTGGGTATGAAAGAGACTTAGAGAACCTGCAAGGAGATGAGAGTGTGAAGAAAGATACTTTTTAAAATTATTATTATTGAGACGGAGTCTCACTTTGTTGCCAGGCTGGAGTGCAGTGGCGCAATCTTGGCTCACCGTAACCTCTGCCTCCTGGGTTCATGCACTCCTGTGTCAGCCTCCTGAGTAGCTGGGAATACAGGTGTGTGCCACCACGCCCAGCTAATTTTTTTTTTTTTGTATTTTTAGTAGAGATAGGGTTTCACCATGTTGGCCAGGATGGTCTTGATCTTTCGACCTCATGATCTGCCTGCCTTGGCCTCCCAAAGTGCTGGGATTACAGGCATGAGCCACTGTGCCCAGCCAAGTTGGGTGTTTTTTGTTTTGTTTTGTTTTGATGAGAGCAGCCTGAGAAAATTTCAATGTTGATGGAATGCAACTGGCAGAAGGGAAGTGGCTGAAGAGTTAGCAGAAGGAGGAAGAATTATTTGAAGCATAAGATTCATGAAAAGGTGAAAGGTGAGGAAGAATTTATAGCTAAATGTATTAAACAGTGGATTGCAACCCGTTATTAGCTGGTCATAAATTTCATGTTAAGAAACAAAACAAACAACAAACAAAAAAATATATAGTTTGGTTTTTTGTCTCCTCCAAATCTCAGGTTGAAATGTAATCCCCAATGTTTGAGGTTGGGCCTGGTGGGACTCATGGGGGCAGATCCCTCTTGAATGGCTTAGCGCCATCCCCTTGGTGATGAGTGAATTTTTGTTCTGGTAGTTCACATGAAATCTGGTTTCTTAAGAGTGTGGTGCCCCCACCCTACCTTGCTCCTACTTTTACCATATGATACGCTGGCTCCGTTTTGCCTTCTGCCATGATTGTAAGCCTCCTGAGACCCTCACCAGGAGCTGAGCAGATGTTGGTGCCATGCCTGTACAGCCTGCAGAACCACGAGCCAAATCAAACCTCTTTTCTTTATAAATTACCCAGCTTCAAGTATTTATAGAAATACAAGAATGGGCTAACACAGAAAATTGGTACCAGGGGTGTGGGATGTTACTATAAGATACCTGATGATGTGGAAGCAGCTTTGGAACTGGGTAACAGGGATAGGTTGGAAGAGTTTGAAGGTCTCAGAAGATAAGAAAATGAGGGAGAGTTTGTAATTTCTTAGAGACTGTTTAAAAGGTTGTCACCAAAATGCTGATAGAAATAGGGACAGTGAAGGCCAGGCTAACAGGTCTTAGATGGAAATGAGGAACTTATGGGGAATTGGTGTAGAGGTCACCCTTGCTACTCCCTAGCAAATAACTTGGCTGCATTAAGTCCATATCCTAGGGCTTTTTGCAAGTTTGAACTTAAGAGTGACGACCTAGGGTATCTGATGGAAAAAATTTCTAAGCAGCAAAGCATTCAAGAATTAGCATGGCTGCTTCTAACAGCTCATGATCAGAACAGGAGCAAAGAGATGACTTAAAGTTGGGACTTACATTTGAAAGAGAAGAAAAGCACAAAAGTTTGGAAAATTTGCAACCTGACCCTGTGGTAAAGAAAGAATCTAAGCAGTCTGTAGAGCAACCACTTGCTAGAGAGATTAGCATTACTGAAAGGGAGCCAAGTGCTAACATCCAAGACAATGGAAAAAAGGCCTTGACGGCATTTCAGCAATCTTTGCAGCAGCCTCTCGCATCATAGGCCCAGAGGCCCAGGAGGAAAGAATGATTTCAGGGACCAGGCCTGGGGCACTGCAGTCCTGTGCAGCCTCAGAACATCGCTCCCTGCATCCTGGCTGCTCCAGCTGCAACCACAGCTCAAAGGGCTCCAGATACAGCTTGGGCTGCTGCTCTGGAGAGTGTAAGCTGCCATAAGCCTTAGCAGCTTTCATGCGATATTAAGCCTGTGGGTGCACAGCATGCAAGTATGAAGAAGGCTTGGCAATTTCTCCATAGATTTCAGAGGATGATGTGGAGTGGCAATGTGGGGTTGGAACCCCCACACAGAGTCCCACCAGTGAAGTGCCTGGTGGAGCTGTGGGAAGGGGGCTGCCACCCTCCAGACTCCAAAATGGTAGAGTCATGGCAAGCTTGCATCCTGAGCCTGGAAAAGCAACAGGTGTTCAAGTCCAACTCATGAGAGCAGCCACAAGGACTGCACTCTGCAAAGCTACAGAGGCACAGCTGTCCAAGGCCTTGGGAGTTCACCCCATGCACCAATGTGCCCAGGATGTGGGATATGGAGTCGAGGGTTATGTTGGATCTTTAAGATTTAATCTCTGCCTTGCTGGGTTTTAGAACTGTGTGGGGCCTGTTACCCCTTTCTTTTGGCCAGTTTCTCCCTTTTGGAATGAGAATGTTTGCCAAATGTCTGCACACCATTGTATCTGGGAAGTAAATAATTTGCTTTTGATCTCACCAGCTCATAGGTGGAAGGAATTCATCTTCAGATGAGCCTTTAGACTTAGGACTTTTGGGTTCATGCTGGAATAAGTTAAGACTTTGGGGGACTATTGGGAAGGGATAATTGTATTTTACAATGTGAAAAGGACATGAGATTTGGGGAGCCAGGGACAGAATGATATGGTTTGGATATTTGTCTCCTCCGAATAGCACATTGAAATGTAATCCTTAATGTTGGACATGGGGCCTGGGGGGAGGTATTTGGATAATGGGGTTAGATTCTTCATGAGTGGCTTAGCATCATCCCCTTGGCTACAAGTGAATCCTTGCTCTGCTAGTTCATGCAAGATCTGGTTGTTTAAAAGAATGTGGTACCTATCACCTACCCCACCCCCATCTTGCTCCCACTCTTGCCATGTGATACACTGGCTCTCCTTTGCCTTCTGCCATAATTGTAAGCTTCCTGAGGCCCTCATCAGGAGCTGAACAGATCTTGGTGCCATGCCTGTACAGCCTGCAGAACTGTGAGCCAAATTCAAACTCTTTTCTTTATAAATTACCCAGCCTCAGAAATTTCTTTATAACAATGCAAGAATGGGCTAATAAAGGAAGAGCATAGGAAATATCTGAGTTCAATGTAAGTAGTAAAGGTAAGTACTGCTTGTGAAATGTATGTTTCAATTATGTGCAAGTGTGTACAAAGTTACAAGGTAAAAATACATTTCTCACTGTTATGTTAAAAGTTTTTAAAGGTTCCTTATCTAAAGCATAAATGGAGTTATGCTAAAAATTTTTTGATGGGTAATTTATAGGGAAATTGTTTTTTGATGGGAGAAAGGATTGATCATCTCTTATAAAAGGTGGGAAGAATAGAGGAAGGGCGAGGATGGGTGTTGGTCTGTAGGCTTGGTGTCTTTAGTATTTGAAAATTGAGAGTGTTGCCTGTGAGGTAGGAGTAAGGTGAGGAGAAGGGGCTGTTCATGGGTTCGAGCAGGGTAGTGAATGTTTGGGGTAGTTTCCATGGAGAAATGGAGAAGAGAATGACTTGAGAAACACAGATGGATTGCTAGGCACTGTTGTAAGCCTGACTGAGATTGGTGTTCATGAATTTATAGCAGTGCCAATTTGTCTGGTTGGGTGATTTTATCCAGCAATGCTCACCCAAGCAGAAGTGGCCCAATCAGATTGTTCTTGCTTCAGTGTATGAATCTAGGTAAGTAAACTGAGGCAGCTCTGCTGATTCAGCTATTGTTGAGCTGGAGGCAGAGGCTTCACAAACCCAACCTTAAATTTCTTTCACCTCTTTCTGCTCAGAAGCTCAGTGTATGTAAAGTTGTGTCTCAGTTATCTTAATGTCATCTCTGGCACTAGAGCCTGGTGAAAGTTATCATTTAACTATGTTAGTCCCAAAGACACTGTGTGAGTTTCTCAAGGTCACCTGCATCAGGGCAAAGCTAGTTACTGGGCAGGGCTTATCCTTATCATAAACAAGATTAAGTTAACTTTAGGCTCCTTTCTTTCTAAGGAGAATACTGAGGATGCAGTCTAGAAACTCACACACATTCCAAAAGGAGTATGAAGGATAAATGGGCAATACTGGCTGCACATTTCCTGAGCACATGTATGTCCTCCTAGATTCATATTTGATATAATCCAGTCCAAAAACCATAAATTGTGCCCAAGTTATTTTTTCTTTAAACAATTTTTTAGAGAAAGGGGTCTCACTGTCTCTAGGCTGCAGTGCAGTGGTGCAATCCTAGCTCACTGTAGTCCTGAACTCCTGGGCTAAAAGTGATCCTCCCACCTCAGCTTCCCAAGTAGCTGGGACTATAGGTGTGTGCCACTATGTCTGACTAATTATTTTTATTTTTTTTTAAGAGATGTGTGTGTGCGGGGGGAGGGGGGTCTCACTATGTTGCTCACTCTGGTCTTAGACACCTGGCTTGTACACAAGTTTTTGTGTTTCTTTTTTTTCTGCCCAGTTTCCACCTCTTGGACAGGTAGAACTTGAGCATCGGTGTTCTGAGACAAATTAGAAGGGCATTCAACAGAGCTAGCCCTCTCTCATTCCTAAGACACTTTGGTTCTTCCATAATACCTTCTCCAGGTTTTCCATCTCTAGCTCTGACCGTCCCTTGGCAGTCATTTGAAAGCTTTCCTCTCTACCTGGCTTTTACCTTTTGAAATATGAACAGATCCATTTCAGGGTCATCTTCTCACTTGCTTGTCCTCTTTAGGGCACCTCATCCTCACGTAACTCCTAAGTGTATGCCTGCAGGAAAGACATTTCTTCTGAACGCCAGACCTGTGTATCCAGTGGTCTTTGAAATGTCTCCACCTAGCTCAAGTATTGATGGAGTGACGGAGCACCTGCTATGTGTCTGTCCCTATTCTAGGTATGGGATCAGCAGCCACCAAGATGGATAAGCAAGTCCTTAGCCCCTCTGAAGTTTACATTCTAAGAGGTGACGAAAAAAGGAATGAATGGCATAGAGGTGGGCTGCTTTTAATAAGGCAGCAGGAATGGCCTGTCTGAGGAGGTGGCCTTTGGACTGTGGTCTGATGATAAGGAACCAATCATTCTAAGGAAGGTTCACTGCAGGGGGAAAGAATTACAAGGGCAAAGGCCCTGGGGTGGGAATGAGCTTGGTGCATGTGAGGGACAGAAGGGAGGCCAGCATGGTAGGTAGAAGCAGGGTGACAGATGGAGCAAGGAACACAAGACAAACTAAAGAGGATGACAAGGTCTTCTAAAAATTATGAGAGTTGGATGGCAAGGTCTTTTAAAAATCATGAGAGTCCAGGGATCTAGAACTAGAAATACCATTTGACCCAGCCATCCCATTACTGGGTATATACCCAAAGGATTATAAATCATGCTGCTATAAAGACACATGCACACGTATGTTTATTGCGGCATTATTCACAATAGCAAAGACTTGGAACCAACCCAAATGTCCAACAATGATAGACTGGATTAAGAAAATGTGGCACATATACACCATGGAATACTATGCAGCCATAAAAAGTGATGAGTTCATGTCCTTTGTAGGGACATGGATGAAACTGGAAATCATCATTCTCAGTAAACTATCACAAGGACAAAAAACCAAACAACACATGTTCTCACTCATAGGTGGGAATTGAACAATGAGAACACGTGGACACAGGAAGGGGAACATCACAATCTGGGGACTGTTGTGGGGTGGGGGGAGTGGGGAGGGATAGCATTAGGAGATATACCTAAAGCTAAATGACGAGTTAATGGGTGCAGCACACCAGCATGGCACATGTATACATATGTAACTAACCTGCACATTGTGCACATGTACCCTAAAACTTAAAGTATAATAATAAAAAAAAATCATGAGAGTCAGTTTGGATTTTGTCACAGCAACTTAAAACATGTCCACAATTGAACTTTTTGTCTTCTTCCCCAAACTTGATTCTCAGGGGCTAAGGTTCCCCAAACTTGGTTCTCAAGGGAACCAAGGTTCTCTGGGACCTGGAATGTTCCCTGGCATTAACAAATGACTCAGCCCTTCCATCACCCAGGTATAGGTTTGCCCTAGGCGCTCTTCTCACTCCCCACTCTTGCTTCCTTTATGCCACTGCCTCCAAAATAAATTCTAGTAACCCAAACCCTCCTACCACACTCCAGACTTGAGGCAAAACTGTCTGATGTACATCCCTCCTGGAGATCCCACCGGCACCTCAAATGCATGTCCAAAATTGAACTCTTTATCTATTTTCCTAAGCCTCCTTCATTCCTTATCTCCATGAATGACAACACCCAGTTGCCTAAGCAAAATATGTCAACTCCTTCTCCCTCGCTCTCATATTCAATCAGTAACTAACTTCTGTTGATTCTATCTCTTCAGTATCTCTTGTACTTGTCACATCCTCATCACATCCCTATTAAGTGGAGGCCCTCTTTCTACTGCCAGAGTCTACCTGGTGTCCTATTTTAAATTTCACTCATTTTGAATCCATCCTCCATATCGGCTCCAGGGTCAATTTTGAAACTCACAAATTCTTTTGCTGTTACATCCGTGCTTGGGACTTCTTAAAGACTCCCTGCTGCACAGAAGATAAAGTCTAGACTCCTCGTAGGGGCACAAAAGACTCTCAGTGACCTAAGGCCCTTGCCAATCTTTTTTATTTTTCCACTCTCCCCACCCTCCCCTATTGCACCCTACACTCCAGTCAGATTAAACTACTTGCAGCTCTCCAAATGTGCAAGGCTAATCCATGTTTGTATTTTTGCCCCAGTGATTTTCTTTTTCTAGAATGTTCGCTCCTCCCCCACTTACCCTTCCTAGCTGCAGTGATAGAGTCTGTATGACAGGCTCATTGCACTCAGGGCCTCAGCCACTCTTGGCTATAACTACACTAGCTTGAGGGCTGTGGAATAAAATCCTGCTGCCAGTAGACCCTGGGTGGCCAAGCATCTTCCAAACCAAATGCTCTCTCACTCCAGCTGTGTTGGCTTTGTTTATATAATAGCAGCAATATAACACTACTAATAATAATTGTAACAAAAATAGGAAAATACTACAAAGAATTTGCTGTATGATTGGTACAACAATGAACTAGACATATACAGGTCTGCCCTCAGGGAGTTTATAGTTTAGTGAGGGTGCCAGATAATCAACAAATAAAATAAGCATCACTTATTATGGTAGATCATACTAATTGTTCACAATCATTTGTTCTCTCCTTGCCCTTGCTATACATCTCTTGAGGTGGTGCTCTCTTCCCTATCCCCATTGACTTTGGGCTTAGTCTTGCAATTTACTTTAGCCCACGGAATTGTGAGTGGACATGACGTAGGCATTTCCAAGCAGAGGCTATAAATGTACTTGAGTAGTTTGGCTCTGTTCCCTGAAGCTTCTGCCTTCTGGCATGAGAACAACATGCTCTAGGCACAACGTGGTCCTTCAGCCTGTGTCCCAGAACGAGATGTTATGTGGAGCCCAGGAGAGCCCTGCAGAGCTGCAGCTGACTTACAACCCTCTTGAGATATGAGTAATAAATAAATATTTATTGTTTCAAGTCATTGAGAGTTTCGGGCTGTTGATGCCACAGCAAAAGTTGACTAATACACTTATAAAAAAGGGTATGAAGGAAATAAAAAGTGACATCGCTCTTCTGGATAAGGTGGTTAGAGATGGTCTCTCTGGGAATGTGACAGTTAAGGAATGATGAGATGGAGCCAGTCTTGTGAGGGACACTCCAACATGGTGAACTGTAAGTGGAAAGGCATTGAGGTAGGCAAGAGTTTTGATGGAAGAGCGGCATGGGATGAGGGGGAGAGAGGTAGGAAGGGGTTAATCATACAGAGCTTGAGTTTCTTTTCTTTTTTTTTCTTTTTTTTTTTTTTTTTTTGAGACAGAGTTTCTCTCTGTCACCCAGGCTAGAGTGCAGTGGCGCAATCTCTGCTCACTGCAAGCTCTGCCTCCCGGGTTCACGCCATTCTCCTGCCTCAGCCTCCTGAGTACCTGGGACTACAGGCGCCCGCCACCATGCCCGGCTAATTTTTTGTATTTTTAGTAGAGATGGGGTTTCACGGTGTTAGCCAGGATGGTCTCGATCTCCTGACCTCGTGATCTGCCTGCCTTGGCCTCCCAAAGTGCTGGGATTACAGGCATGAGCGACTGTGCCCAGCCCAGAGCTTGAGTTTCAAGTCAGTGACAAGTAAGAAAAAAAAGATAAACCACTATATATAGCCTCATAGACCTCTGACTCAGATCCCTCTTGGCATGGCATTCAAATCAATCACTGAGGCCCAATTCCTTTCTTGGCATGAGGTCTTTGGCATGTTAGGGTACCCACGTAACATATTGCCCAAACTGGTTTTGAGAATGAAAGATGGCACTATGGATAATTACCTAGAACAAAAGATGTAAACTGGGATTGTCCCAAGCAAATAGGGATATATTGTCACCCTACTCATGGTAGCAGCTATTCATGAAACTAGCTTTTGCTTCAAGTTCCTCATTCACAACTCAATCCCCTCTGGAACTGGAATCCTAAACTGAAGCTCATTGGTAGGGGTCTGATGATTGCTAAGTTCTTGCCCTCTATGGCTGGACCCTGTTACCTGTATCCCATAGAGGTTGGCTAGGTTCTTGGTATAAATTACATGACTGTTCATCAGCATAACCTTTGGAAATTACCCACTGCCTGGAATTACCCTGTGGCCATGACTGATTCTTGCCACACCTCTGGAATAATGCATTGTCCCCACCAAACCATTCCAGGTGCTTACCCCGGCCTTTAGGCCCTCTTCATTGAGATGTTTAGAGGTCTTTCCCAAGGCCAGGCTCTGCACTGGGATTTTCATGCATTCCTCAGTGGCTGGCTGAGGAACTCATATCCCCAGCTCACAGGAAAGATTCTGATACCTTATGGAACAAAGCACAAAAAAGGCCTCCTGCCCTATGCTACTGGGAAGTAGCTGAGTCCACACTCTTGGGGCTCAGCTTTTACCTTGAAAACAGACCATAAGTTCTTTGGAAAATATACGTAGCCAGACCAAGCCACCATGCCAAAGTTGGAGCAAATATGAATCCTTCTAAAAATTGGGGGTTTGCATGTATTTTTCACTTATTAGCTGTACGCATTTGGGAGGAAGGAAGAGGGCAGGTACTTTACATCATTGAGTCTTTCCCCTCATATATAAAAATGGGATTAATAACTTCTAAATTACAGCTTTGTTGTGAAGACTCAACGCAATGAAGTTTGTGAAGGCATGGAACACAGCACTGTGCTGGGCTCAGGGAAGGTATACATTCAATTTTGGCTGAATTTGAAACAAGAGGGACATCCCCACTCTGCTGCTGATGGCTGTCTCCACGCATGCTTCTGCTTGGTGTATCTCCTAGTCTTAATCAGCCTACTAAGGCAGCAAAAGTGGTGTCTCCCCACTTCTCCCTTACCACACCCTCAATCCAGCAAGACCCCAGGCCAAAAGGTTTGCTCTTTGATCCTCAGTCCCTCCTCTCCTCAAGGAATGAACAGGTAACTCCAAGTCCAGAAGATTCTGACAAAACTCCCCATTTGCAGGAATGACTGACTGCTCGACTGCCAACTGTGACCTGGTGAGGCACCTTCTGTGAGCAGATCTGTGGGCAGATAACCTTAGAAAGGAGAGGCACTGTCAGCTGCATGGGGGTACCTGGTACTGAACAGCCCTTCACTTGAGTGTTGGATATTCTGTCAGTCTTGAGTCTCACTGTGAGATTCTGAGGAACTGTGACATGTTGGGGAACAGATGGAAGTCCTGATGACCCAGTCTTTCCATGTCCCAAGCAAAGGCTACTCAAAAGTGCTTCTCTCCTGTGAGATCCCACAGCTGCCTGCACCCAGCCCCCAGGATCCTATGAGTGATACTCGTAGCGTCCTATTCTTCCTACATGGGCAGATCCCAGATGGTCTCTATGCCCAGCTAAGGTTAGCTTCAGCTGCTCTTATTAATCTGGTCAGCCAGACACAGGTATTAGCTAGGAAAAAAGTATCTTGGCATGATGTAATCCAAGAGCTCAAGCCTTCCCATTAGCCCAGAGGAATTCAAGGAAGGGTGTGGATCACATCTTCAACAACTCAGGGGATGTTCTCAGGACTGTAGGCCCAGGTCCCTGGGTCTTTGAGGCACTCAGGGCCTGTCCTCTTCACTTGAGCCCCTGAGCTCTGTTAGAGAGCTCCATCATGCATTCTAAGCCTGTTCGTCAGAGCATCCTCACTCAAGGAGTCTAGAACTGCCATGGTCCATTCATGCCTCAGACCACCACCCACTGAAGACTGGAAAACAATACATGCTGATTGTTCTCCATGACACAAGGAAGTACATTTGGATTTTCTTCCAGGGGAAACACGATAATCCAAGGGAGTTTACAGGTAGCCTGGGGGAGCTCCCTGCAAGACCATGGGGGAGTCTGATCTAAGTCCCAGAGCAAGATGAGAGTTGATCAGGTAGCCTAGGGCCAGGAGCCTTTTCTCTGAACCCACCTCCCCTGAGTCACCCAAAAGATTGCTCTTGTACATAAGGCCTAGAGGAAGGGCCAATCAACACAAGAGGGGGTAACCCAAGGCCCTCTTAGAAAGCCAAGCCCTAGAAAAGGTATGTAGTGCCTTCCCCGAGGACCACAGAGTCTGAGGACACCCACATCACTGAGGGCTGATAGTAATGCACATATGTTCAAGTAAGATGACAAATTCACCAAGAGGCTCAAAGAACAGGGTTGGGGTATTGATAGAACTTCAAGCTCCAGCTTTTGAGCCAGCAGCTGTGAAAACAGACCCTGGCTGGGGAAACTCTGTTGGCCTCCACAGCTCTCTGAGTCAGGCATGGCAGAGCACAGTGGAGAATGCATACACACAACTTTGGATATTTTACAGAGAAAACAGAGCCTGTTGGCTTGATCCCAAAGGTGAAAGCTGAAATGAGAATGACAGAGATACCTCATTCCCCTATAAGTAGAGGTCACAGCCCAGGATTAGACTCCTAAAGCTTGACCAGTTTTCCCAGTTCCTCTTCCACGCAGGTAGCTGTGGTCCTAATATACCTTGGACCAGGACTCTTAGCTGGAATAAGGCCTTTGAACTGGGCCTTGGATTAAACTGTGTTCACAGTTTGGTTTTGGACAGATTCCTGGGTTGGATTGGACTGAAATTTTTGCCTGTGCTACAATCTTCCAAGAAGACTTCTGAAAATCTGCCAGTTGGAATGAATTTTTCTTCCTCTACATTCTGGTAGCACTTTGTGACCACATCTATGTGCAATAATTCAGAGACTGCTTTAAAATAAAAGCACATGCTTATCTTACTCACTAGACTATGAGCTCTTGGAGGGCAAGAACCATGTTTGAATCATCTTCATCACTTGCCCGGTGCTGAGTGTAATGGCCAGTACATAGTACCCACTCCCTTCCACATTTTGCTGCATTTAAATTAAATGAAAAACATCAAGTTGTAATGTGGGAGTACTGGACCATGCATCTCACTCCTTGATGGGATACCAACATGGAGGTCAACATCCCACGGACCCTGGGAGACTACAATCATCCTAATAACTGAGTTATGGCAGCTCAGCCTGGCCAACTTAATAGCAACAGCATATGAACACAACGTATCACCACATGTATCACAACCCCATGTATCTTGGCATGACACAAGTATTAGCTAGGAAAAAAGTCTCTTGGCATGATGTAATCCAAGAGCTCAAGCCTTCCCATTAGCCCAGAGGAATTCAAGAAAGGAATTCAAGAGACAAATTCAAGGGACCAAACCTCACAGAACTGACACAAAACTTTCCCCAAGCAACTGGCATACAGTATGTGTTCCATACTAGTTGTTCAGAAATATGACCTAATGTCTAGATCATCTAGGAGTTTTTTAGAACTACAATTCCTAGGCCCCATTTTGGACCTACTGAATTGGAATTTTGGGGGACAAGGCCAAGAATTTTGTATTTTAAAAGGCCTATGAGTGATTCTAATGGTTAGCTGGGTTTGGGTCTACTTTAGACCACGCAGGGCCACCAAAGACACTTCCTTCTCCTATAAAGTACCTGACTGTTTAGGCATAAAGGAAACAAGTGATGTATGTGACTCACACTGGCCTGGCAGGGAAAGTGTTGACTAATTCCTTGGACATCCTGATAGGAAATGCTGGGAGCCTCCTTCGTGAGCCATCCCTTCAGTCTGCCTGATTTCACCCTGGCCAGGTACACTGAAGAGCTGGATCCCACGGGCTTGGTTCTTACAGCCAGATTCTAAGCCAAGCCCAGCTAAGCATGATGGTACTTTGGGAAGTTCTAGTCCTACAAACTGTTGGGGTGAGATGTGTGTGGCTGCACAGAGCCAGTAACTGGTGGGCTTGTGAGAAGCCCAGCATACATATAGGCCCACTCAGTTTTAGGATCTCCCTCTCCTGCTAACCCTTCTTCAATATGTATGCCCCAGTCCAAGGACTGGGCTTCTATTCTGGTTCATGGTTTCCTCTCTAGTCTCTGCTGTGAGACTGAAGTCTCTTTTTGGAGACTGAAGCCTTTGGATGGGTCAAGGATATACTTTGCCGGGATACACCCTATTCCCTTGGGTGAGGACATGAGTCAATCCAGAATCTTCCTTCCCCCATAAAGTATCTGCCTATTTGAAAACAAAGGTAACAGGCAATGATATGACCCATACTGGCCTGGTAGGACAAGAATTGACTCCACCTCCTTGTACATTCTGAGAGGCAACACCAGCAGCCTCCTTTGTGACCCATTCCTTCATCCAGGGTCAGCTCTTTCAGCCCTGGACTCCCTCAACTCTGGCATACACTTCCCAGGCTGCCCCATGGCCCTGGGACGCTTCATAGCTATGACTAGTGCCCATTCTCCAGTACAGTAGCAGATACAGACCCTCCCCCATCCTGCTACCACCCCTGACTTTCCACTCAAGGCGACGTCCCCTTCAGATCACTGGGAGAATTCTGCAGAGCGGGCACCCCCTGCTCTGCCTGCCACTAGCAAAGGGAAACCACAGGTCTTCAGTGTTCAGGTTCTTGAGGACTGGATAACAGAGGGAGGGAGACCTGGGACTTCCTAAGTTCCCTGTTTATTTTCTGGGGCTATCTGTAGGTCAATGAAACCTTGAAAGAAGTCTAGAGAAATGAGGGGAATGTTACATTAAGCAGAGGAAGCTCACACCGATCACGGTCCCTGGCCTAATCACAAACAGTTCCCAGGAATATTATCCCTCATGCTGAGGCTGATGCATTTAAATCTTTGCTGATCCCAACTCTGGCTCTGATCATTTGAAAAAGGCAATTTCCAAGGACTCTAGCTATTGTGATCATATTTTCTGGGCCAAGGGAAATGATGTTTGAAATTGCATTTGTCCTGGAAAATCTGGGATTGTATGTTTACAGGGAACACTAGGTTTCAGCCATAGAGGGGAGGGAAAATAGAGCATGCTTCACCTGTGCATGTGGCATTGAGGTCAGGGTGGGAGGAGAAATGAAAAAAGTACCTGCCTATTTAAGAATAAAGGTGACAAGCAATGTATGCGAAGCAATGCATGTGACCTATATGAAGAAAACCATGGAGCTGTTATATTTAGAAAGACGGAAGTAGGCGAACAAAAACATGTGTCTGGATATGAGGGCTGTGTATTATAAAAATGCCTATTTTCTTCAAGTTAATTTATATTTTAACAGGAGTGCACATACAAAAATCCCAATAGGATGTTTTTTTTACTCTGACAAAATGATTCTAAAATTAATCTTGAACAACAAACAGATGAGAATAACAATGAATATTCTGAAAGAGAAAATAATTCAGGGAGGAAGGAGTTGTTTCTAGCTCTGCCAGATATTAGAACACATTATAAAACAACAATTAAAATTATTCAATACCAGTGCTAAGATAGAAATAGAGCAGCAGAACAAAGTGGTGACTCAAGAAATAGACTTAACTACATTTGAGGATTCAGTATGTAATAAAACAATTCATTTCCCTCAAATCAAAAGGGAAATGAATTACTTAATAAATTGTGTTGGAAAACTGCATAATAGTTTGGACAATATTATACATTCATCTAAGTAAACTCCAGATGGAGTAACAAATTATATTTTAAAAAATCAAATTACTGACAAATAACCAAAAATAGAACGAACTGTTTCTCAGATCCATGGCAGAATAACTTTGTCAGCTTTGAAAATAAATCACAAATACTGAGAGACTTGTTTATATAGAAATGTAAGACAACTATACAATGAAAAATAGAAAATAAATAGGGAAAATGAGGTTGGGAAAATACATATATCAAATACCACAAAGAATTTCTATACACAATGTAGAAAGAATGCCTTCAAATTGGGAAAGAATACCAACACCTCAGTAGCCACATGTCAGTACCAGTAGTCACTATACAGGGATTGGAAACAGCAAATGCCCCATGTCCCTCCTAGACAGGGCTGGAACCAGGTCGGCTGAAGAAAGGCCAAGACTGAAGTCTCTATCCAGTGCCCTGTGATGGCAATCTTGGCAGTCCTCCAGACACCTCTTTTATACCTCTTACCCCAACAGGGACATGTCTCTGGCCCATGGCTACCCAGCAGTCTGTCTCCAGACTGTGCTCCCATAAACCCACCTCCCTTCTTCATTCATATCCATTAGGCAACAGCCAACCCCTATAGGAACCATTACAAACCCAAGTACCCAGTCCTGCAGTGTGGGCGCGCGTGTGTGTGTGGGTGTTTATGTGTGCGTCAATGTATCTACGGAACATGTCCCTTTTGCATAGGCCCAAACCCAGTGGCTTCTCCCAGAACCCACTGCTGCCTCTTGGATGTCTCCTTTTCCAGCAGGGCCTCTCATCTTTCGGGCCCAACCATTCTAACAGAGAAGATGTCAAGTCTATGCCCCATGAGAAGAGGGGCTGTTGCTCTTCTGTTCAGCACCCACTATGATGCCCACCACATTGCAGGCACTCAATAAATATGTGTTAAATAAAAGAATGAACCTAATATTCATAGCATCAATGTTTTCTCATTGAAAAACTAAATTATAAGCCACAAGGGCCCACTTCATTTATATAATGGTGTCTATCTCCACATGAGAAGAGCTCCTTGAGGACACGGACCGTGCCCAATTCATCTCTGAATTCGTGGCACTTAACCTTGGGCACTTCACAGTAGTCCACAAAGGTGTGCTACAGAAATAGATTCAACTTACAGCTATTAAATTAGCAACTTTTAAATGGCCACACAAATATTTGAAGTTTAGTGAAGCTAACAAAGTTTACAAGCAATATATATGTGACCTAAACGAGAAAACCACAAAGTTGTTATCTTTAGAAAAGTGAAAGTAGATAAACATGAAATAGAGGCATGCCATGTTTCTGGATGGAAAGACCATACGTTTTGAGTCTTGTTCTTAATCTTACAGCTTTTGCTACTGGCATTATGAACCGACACCATATTTTGGGGAAACCATGCAACAGTATGCATCAAGAGTCATAAAAATACTCATGTCCTGATCGGATAATGTCAATTCTAGAAATTTATTCTAAGGAAATAATTCAAGAGAAGAAAAAGCCATAGGCTGAAGATGCTCATTATAGCCTTATATAAAATAATTAAATATAATTGGTTGAATAAGTCATGGTTTATTCACTTGACAGAAGAACCCACAGATTTTTAAGAATGATAACTATGTAGCAACATGGTAAGATTCACAGCAGAATATGGGCTTTAAAACATAGAATGCAAAATGGTATGCTCACTCTGATGAAGACCACATAACATATGTGTATAGATGGGTAAGAATAAAAAAAGACTGGTCGAATTTGAAATCAGTTTGGTTTAAGGGAGAGAGAATATGAATATTTTCTTTATTTAAACTTGTAGATTTATTTAAACCATTAAATTAGCTTAAACTTGAAAAATATGAGAACATACCAAAAGTCTCTGTCAAGTATTGGCCCTTGAGCTCCAGATACGTCTAGAGATAGAGTTACAGCACATTATATAGGGCATGACACCATGAGATTGTCCCTTTAACCTTAGCAGGATCATCCCCAAAGGCCCTTCAGTTTAGAATTTGACCAGGAACAGCCATACCCTCTTATGCAGCTAACTTTGTACATAGCAGGTACTCAATAAATCAAGATGGATAAATAAATGAACGGGTAGAAGGAACAGAGAAAATGTAAAGATTAGGAAGAGGTTTCAACCCCAGTATATTGTATGTTGGGGGTATACAATATTGATAGATTTCCAGTAAGGGTCACAAATCTACCTTTCTTGGATTTGTCTAACTCCTGTCAACCTTTGTTGCTTCATACAGGTAACTCGGCCAGCAGTTTGCTTCTATACTCTGGCCTAGTATTTTTATCCTAAGGCTTCCTTGTCCTTACATTTGCAGATGATCCCTAAACTTCTAGAAATCTAGTGCAATGGAGACAGGGCAAGACTTGCAGCAAGAACCTGGGTGCAAATTGCTGCTCTGTTAATTAACAGCTCAAATTCCAGCCTATTATTTAGTGGTTCTATGACCATCGTGTTAGTTATATTTCTTTGAACCTTGTTTTAATCTATAAATTGAGAGAATAAATACCCTATAACACAGTAGGGAGGACTCATATATTCCCAATAATGTAGAACATTTAATAAAATTGGCATTCTCCTCTAACCCATGCCTTCCCACTGTCATAATGCTACAGACTTTAATCATAGCCTCACTTAAAACACAAATCCATAGGATTCTTCATATTTGGAATTTGACAAAACTAAGTTATCCTAGACTAGTCGTTCTTAATCTGTGATTTTTTTCCCCCAGGGAATATTTGGCAATGTCTAGAGATATTTTTGGCTGTCACAGCTGGTGTGTGGGGCGGGTGCTACTGGTAGATGACAGAGATGTGTTAAATATCCTATAATACACAATACTGCCCCACACAAAAAGAATTATCTAGGCCAAAATATCAATAGTGCTAAGTTTGAGAAACTCTACTCTGGAGTAATGGTCCATGGGAGAGACCAGATTCTTGCAGATCCCATTACCCAATTCATCCCGGAATGTGTGCGTGCATGTGTGTGTGTGTGTGTGTGTGTGTGTGTGTGTGTGTGTGTGTCACCAGAACAGAAGGTGGGATAAGTAAGGAGGAAGTCAGAGTAAAGGACAGGAAGATACTAGCAGAGGGCCAGTAGGGCCATTTCCCACAGCATCTCTGTGGGCCATTTCCCACAGCATCTCTTTCCCTTCCAACTCTCCAAAAGCCCAGCTCAAGTCTTGTATCTTCTGGGACATTTTCCCTGAGCACCCAAGGATCCAATTTTCCCTCCCTTGACCTCTCAAGATTAGATTGCTGATTTGTAACTTAAATCGTATACATCCAAGAAGTTCCTGCCTTCACATTTCACACATATACTATACACATTAAGAACTGAGCAATTAGGATTCACATCTTCTTAAGGTGGTTTACAAAATGGCAAAGGAAAGTGTGCATTCATGCATTCTTGGCATATCTCTGGTGAAGGCTGTTTTGAAGCTTCTTTTGAAAGTGGCTGCTAATGGATTGATAATTGGTTTCCTGGCTTCCTTAAGAAGTGTGAAGCATTCTGCCAGCCTGTCGTCAAAGCATCAAGTATTGTGCAAACCACCATCAGAGTTATTTGTATCTTCCTTGCCATTGTATCTCTTGTGGTGGAAGAATAGCTGGACAAGATTGTATGGGAAATGCTCTCTATTCTTTTGTAAGGAAGGAAGTAAAATGGCAAAGCTTCTGGAAGGTAAAGAATATATGCAGCCTGGCCAAAGCTTTCCCACCATGACAGCCAGGATGAGCAATTTCCTAGGCAGAGACTGAACAACTCTGAATCCAATGCATGGTGCTCAGCACAGGGAAGACAGGCAGTCAATAGCTTGAATGGATGGAAAGTGGTATTACTTCCCATTGATTTTGAGCAGGGGTCCCGGGAGATGTGAATTAACTGAGGACCAGAGAGTAAGAGCAAAGAAGCTAGCTCCACCTTTTCTTTCAAAACGTTTTTCACTGTGAGATAAATCATCTTCTTAAAAACCTAAATTAAAAAAAGACTATCTATTGAGCATCTACTACTGTGAGGGCAGCTCAAAAGCCAACAAAATGATTCTGAAGTCTCTGCTTGCTACAGAAAATGTTTTGGAACATGAAGGAAGAGTGTATTTGTGTATTCTTGGCAGGGTAATTCCCTAGTAAAGAGTTGTTTTGAAGAAAATGTTTCAAGAGAAGAACAATACAATACTTTGCACCTCTTCAGACAACTTCTCAAATAAATTTGAGCCATTGAAATAATATCCCCAATCCCCTTATAGCTCTCAATAAGGAAAGGGCAATGTTATTTGCCAAGTATTGTATTAATATTTATTGTGACTAATGTATTGGAAAATTTAGGGCACTTATGCTGACTTTTGCTAGAGGAGCTTTTGTATGTACATTTATGAGCGCTTTGTAAAACACAGAGACCAACCTTATATTTTATATTTTTATAGATGTTTATAGGTATTGTCCCTTTTCTATTGATAACATTATATTTGATCTAGAGTTAAGAGCAGAACTCCAAAGTTTAACATTGTCTCTCAATCGAAGTATGACCTGCTCTGTAATGATCCACTTTCAAAGTAGCTTCCAGGTATTTATTGTGGGAAATGTGAGGACTATTCATGTCATAGTCATCTTTTTCTACAAATATGATCATAGAGGCTTAGAATATTTGGAGCCACAATGGAGTGCTACCCTATTGGATAGGTCAGTACATGAAAATCCAGAGAGAAGATGCTTGGCTTTAGCCACAAAGCTGAGCTAGAACTAAGAACCTGGTCTTCAGATTTTGAAACCAAAGTCATCTCAGTGTACCAGGCCTTTCTTATCACCATACTTTCTTATCACCAATTGGACTATGAGCTCCCTGAGGGCAATGCCCAGGACCTATAAAAGCATCAGCTTACCTGCTGGGTACTCAGTAGGGAGTGGGCAGATGGAAGTCCCTCACTTTGTTGAAATGCAAGGGTGACCTGGCTATATGCTGCAAAGGCATGGGGCCGGTTGGCTCCCTCTGGCTTCCTCCATGGAAGCCAGCATCCCTGAGATTCAAGCTGTGTCCTCTTACTCTCCAATGTCCAGACACACTTGAGTGATGGAAGGGCCTGGGGATGTCATCCTGCTCTATCCCAGAATTGTCTAGAAGAAGAAATGCCATGTCAGCTCCCCAGAGTACCTGCTTAGCTTTCATCCATAAGCCTCAGACCCCTCATCCTTGTTTCAAACCACAGGGAGCACTGACACATACTTGTTGGGACAGACCTATCTTCTTTCCTTCTCAGCTGTTTGCAAGCAGTGCCCAGCTCACTGGAGGCTGCCGGCCCTGCTTGTGGACACCAAGGGCCTGCTGGGCAGCACTTCAAGGTCTTCTGCCCTTGGTGAAGGTTTTACAGGGATGTTATAAACCTGCTCCTAAGAGCCAAAGGGCCAAGTAAACTCTTGGAGGGGTCAAGCAACAGTCCCTCAGCTGGCATTCTGCTACCTGCCTCTTTCAGCTTGGGGGACAGTGAATCTTATCCTGGTCCTAAGAGGCTGGCTGGTTTTGCTTCCCATGTGAATCCTCCCAGCTCTTTGTCGCAGAAGCTAGACCCTCCTCCATTTCTCCCTGCCTTGTTTTATCTAGATGGATTTCAGAGATTAAGCCCCCATGGCACCTGGGGCTCCCACTGTGTGTACCTTTATCTTCTCAGGCCCTGCTTCTGCAGAGCCCTGCCCCGTGCACCTGTCCCTGGGCTTGGTCTCTGCAATGGGCAAAGCCTTTGTGTTTGCCTGCCCCGAGCTGCTCCCTGCTCCTCCAGGTCCTTGTGGCTCCCAGCATGCTACGTGGCTAATGCTGTTGGGCTCTATATTCTAACCACAGTGGGGAGCAGGGATGGGCAGATATCATGCAATTTATTTTTTTTTCAATAAGGGTGAGTTGTTCAATGTGTATTTAAGGGTGACTTGATCTTTAAACCTCTCAAGACTTTTTACATAAATAAACTCAAAAGTCATCAAAATGCTTTGTTGGACAACGTGATTTTTTTTTTTCATTTAAAAAGTATCATCACCATGGTTCATCCCAACTCATCAACTCATACACCAAACTCTCAGTCATCACAGAGACCCTGACAGTCTCCCAGGCTATTCCTCTCCCAGCCCTGAGGGATCACCGATCTCTAGTGTGCAGAACTCGAGGCCCCAAGTAACCCACTGAGCCGGGTGAAGGATCTGAGGGTCAGGCTGCCTGCCTTTCCCTGAGAGAAGCACATGGAAAGAGATGGAGAAGGTGGAGTGACAAGGGATGGGAGAAGACGTAACAGCCCAGAGAAGCTGGAAATTTTGATTTCCCACAGAGACCATGTCTGGGCCTCCCTTGGCTACACACAGCCCCTCATCCTTGCCAATCCCAACGCGACTGAAGATTTAAGATATCATTTGTGCTGCAAAGTATGGTCAGGTCATCCAAGAGGAAGGAAGAAGGGCTTCTTTGTTATCTCCACAGAACAGAGCACTCAACTCCAACCCCTTCCCCAAAAGATCAACAGTCCAAAGATAGCTTGATCCCTTTTCCCTCCCTAAATCCAATATGAGATAAAGCAATTTTAGGAAACTGTTTATATCCTGGCAAGGCCAGTTTCCCACAGTTACTGGAGGCTGGTGGTGTCTACAGCCTTACAAACTTGACAGTCCCTTCCACCCTGCTGGATTAGATGGTGTCAGGGGTGGCAATGACGGTGAGCAGGAAATGTCTGGGTCTGAGCCTGGTGGGCTTTGTCCCAGTGGTGTCTCCTTGCTCTTAAGGATCACCAAGAAGGGTAAGACGGTGTTGAAGAGCATCCCCAAATGTCAGGAGCACTTGTTCTCAGTGCTACAGTCGACATTCCTGCCAGAAATAAGGACCCCACCAGCAACGTTCCGAGGAGTAGAATAAACCAACCAGAGTGCAGCTGTTGTTACAACCTGCAAGGTTCCCAGGGACGGGGCCCCTGGATTAGCTAGGAAACGGGCCCCTGCCTCTCAGTGAAGACCCTGGCGTGGCCTCCTCCCTGCTCACTTACACACGCAGCCTGGCTTCTTAGCCGACCATTGGTTATTCTTTTGGCATGTGATTGCCTTCTGTCCCACCAGCTCAAAGGCGGGCTGGCACTCAAACTTGAGTGTGTCACCGTGGTGAAACCGGGAGCCTTCCCTCCGGCCATATGCAGGTATGCCAGGGTCACCGCAACTGCCCTGCTCGATCTCTGAAAGACAGGAAGATGAGAAAACAGAGACAAAAGGTGACTTTATACCTCTTTTGGAGCTGAAGGTCCACATGACAAGCTCTACTGCTCTTCTGCCATAAGTCAGTGCTCAGAGTGACACAGGTAGGATTCAACGTTCTTATAAGGAATGAGGTTTGTGAGAAATCCTGCAATGTCCTGTTTCATCGCAGCATCCTAGGATGAATGGGCTTCCAGCTATCAAGTGCCTGAGACTCTGTGTCCACATAAAGTGTTCTAGATGCTTGGATGTTTTGATCCCTTACCCCTCCCTAAATCCAATATGAGATGAAGCAATTTTAGGGAGAAGGTGGGTCTACATTCTTCACAGGTTACCTGTCCCAGGAGCAACAAGTTCCACAGCATTAGAAGTCTTTGGAGACTTCCTCACTGAACCTGACCTTGCATCTGAACTGCTAATGTCACGACAGATCTCAAGTACAGTCCATTTCTGAGCAGCAAAGGCAAGTCAAGATGACACAGCAGTTGAGGCTTTGCTCCCTGTCTTTTTCCCAAACCAGAGATTAATTGAGAATAAATGTTCACTGCCTGCTGATGTGGAAGAACCTTCATGGAGATGTTTCCTTAATTCAATTTGCAATGGTAGCAGGTAAAATGAAACAAATGACTCATTGAGTATGCTTTGAAAGTTCACTTGAGTCAACAGTGGTGAGACAGACATGGAGTGGGTTCCCTGAGACAGCTCTGGGGGCCCTGAACCCAGTGGGCATGATGGGCTGGCTACCTCACCGGAGAGGCAGTCAGGATCCAGATGCTTCTGGAAAGGAGTATGTCCTGGCCAAGCCTCTGGAGCTTCCTCTGGAGTCACCTCCACTCCCACTCATGCTGTGCTTAATGCTGTGAGAGATGGACGAGGAGGAGGGGGTGGTGGAGGGGAGGAGGAAGAAGAGGGAAGGAGGGGAGCTCTGTTTCCGGGGAGAAGGGCGTCCTGCAGGATAGACAGGAGGTCATGAAGCCAGTGCCAGACGGTGAGGTGAGGACTGTATGAGTCCCGAGATTTGGGAGAGAGGGGCCCAGAGTCATCAGGGGAGTTTTTTGGACACTACCTAGGATTCTCAGGAAAAAGGGACCCTGCCTGTTCGGTAGACACCATCATGGGCTGTCAGAGCCACAGTCCCTGAAGTTGGTGTGTGTGATCCTGACAGGGATGATTCTGCAAAGGCTTTCCTACCACACTGGGGGCTTCTGTGGGCTGGGCAGCTCCAGGCACTGCCTTTTATGGGCGGGCTCTTGACTGTTGCATTCATGTTAACCCAAAACGAAGGCTGCCAGCTTTGTGCTGAGAGCAGGCAGGACAAGGCATTCTATGGCTGGGATTGTGTGTGTGTGTGTGTGTGTGTGTGTGTGTGTGTGTGTGTGATCATCTAAGTTGAACAACAAGGGTCCTCCCCTTTGTGCAGGGGAGTCTGTGTGACCATGTGCCAGGTGTGAGGCATCTCAAATCAAATGTAAGTCAGCCCACTTGCCTCTCACCTCACATGTCCCCCTGGCCTCACCCTCTACAAGTACATCTGCTGAAAACATAGCTGAAACCCCTCTGAAGCTGGCTTTGCTCAGGCTCAGGGATGGGGGAGGGGATACACTGAGGCATTCCAGGAACATGGTCCCTTTGCTACAGGTCCCAGAGCTCCAGGGAATCTGAAGGAAAGAAGGGGCTCCTGTGATAAGTCAACGTGGAGAAGCAAGCAGCAGGACCCACCTGCCTCCAGATGTCCCCAGACATGCTCTCTGGGATGCGAGAGCCTGGGGTGTGAGGGCTGTCACTGCAGGCATTTTGAGACCTGGTGAAAGTTACACAGCATTTCAAGACAGAGCTGGATCCTTCCTGCTGCCAGGGGCAGAACCCAGATATAAGGTTTCCTAGTGAGGCCCCACCATTGCTGCAGGAGATATGCACGTGGGGTACATGTGCCTGTGTTCCTGCCCACAGCAGCTAGTCTGAGGCTGTGATTGGCTTAAGAAAAAGGGGATCCTAAGGGGGATGAAGGAATCTGCCCAGCCTTCCCATCGTGTAGGCACAGCCCTGCGCACATGCCCACATCCACCCACCCATCACTTCCTCCTACCATCATGCAATCACAGGCACCCACTTACGAACAATGCAATGAGCACCTACTATGTGCCAGTTGCTGTGCTAGACCCTTGACATCTGGATATGGTCTCTGCCCTCAAGAAATGAACAGACAAGGAAATAGGTGTTTATGATACAGGGGATTCGTGCTGTGGATGCACATAGGAGAAGCACCTAACTCAAATGTGGAGGATCAGTCTGGAAATAGGGTGTGGAGAATGGAAGTACTAACCTCATCTACAAAATTTCAAGGGGCGCCAAAATCTCAGTTATCATGACAAATAATATCTTAGTGCGATATTTTTTTCTAGAAAATTACAATTAATGCCATAAATCCAATTCACAATGAAGAAAAATACCAACATTTAAAATAAAGCCTGGATCCAACCCTATGCTCAGATCACTCACCTCACTGGTCTTCACCATAGTCCCAGCACTGTCAGAGCCTGTCTTTGATTCAAATGTTGATGTGTTTTAACACGGATATTTTGCACTAATATTAATTTTTAAAAAAAATTTGCATTAAGTGTTATTTATCTTAATTGCTGAGTTTTTTTTTCCCCATCACTTAAATTTCGTGCCCATGAGTGCCCTGCTCACCTGACCCTAGTCCCAGACCTGGGTCAGGAAAGGCTTCTTGGAGGATGTGGTCCTCCAATAACCCAATAGTTATTGTCACAGCTAACTTTAGTTACATAACTAAGTGCCTGGCCTGAGCACTTGGGTGTACCCTCACTGAGACAAGAATGCAGAAAGAGGTATAGGTCTGAATGGAGGGTCATCAGTAGGGGATGCTGAGTTTTAAGGTACTAGTGGGACCTCCAAGTGGAAATATCTAGCAGGAAGTGGCTATATGGGTCTTAAGTTCAAGAGAGAAGCCTGGTCTAGAAATTCAGCTCATAGATTGTAAAAGAAGCCATGACAAGGATGAAATTACCCAAGGAGAGTGAGAAGGGATGTTGGTCTAGGACAGGACAGTTAGGAACAATGTAGGGACCAGCAGAATGCTAGACTGGGAGAGTGGGGTCACAGGAGCTTAAAGAAGAATGAGTTTCAAGAAGGAGATCAACAGCCTTGAATGCTGCAGGGAAGTTTACATAGGATTGAAAAACAGGTTAGCAAAAAGAGGTCACATTGATACTGCCAGGATTGTGTGTACTGATGGGGCCAATACCAAACAGGAGAAGAGAAGGTGATATCACTCTCTCTAGAGAAATTAGGTAGCAGCTCATGAGGCATATGGCCTGGGTGGGAGTGGTTAAAGTAGTTTAGTACAGGAGAAACTTGACCATATTGAAATGCTAGAGAAGAATGAAGGGGTGGGAGGAAAGATGTATTGAATGGTTAGCTGAAGATGTGGAGGAGAAAGGGGCCCCCTACAGGGGCTCCAGAGAAGGAGAGAGGCATGGGACTGAGAGCACACTAGAGGCCCAGCCTTAGAGACCGTGAGGGATGTCCTTCCCTCAAGACTGCAGTAAAGAGGGAAGAAGTGGTGGCAGTGAGTTTTCAGGTAGGATGGCAGGAGACCGAGGGAGATCCTGTGATGACACAGGCTCTATTTTCTAAGTGGAGGAGGTCACAGTCTTTGCTGAAGGTGAGGGACAAGTCATGGGAAAACGACTTGAAGAGAATGTCTGAAGCTGTCACTCTGGAGAAGAGGAAATCATGCCTAGATGGATTGCCATGCACCTCTGGGGCCCGCCGAGGGTGCAGATGACTCATTTGTAGGGATACCATCCAGCAGGGCTATATGACTTGTCCCAGCAGCCCTTGGCCACTCAGTTCCTGTAGAAGTAGAGAAAGGGGTAGGAGGATTGACTGAGTGAGGGGGGATTGGGCTTGGAGAAATGGAAGACAACGGGGCAAAGGAGCTGAACATGTTGTTAAAAAGAATGGCCAAAGTGTTATCCAAGAGGCTTAGAATGAAGAAGGAAAGAGGTGAAAGGAGCAGGGGGCGATGGGGGAAATAGAGGATGGGAAGGGATGATGGGCAGGAGTAAAGGGAGTGTCATGTGAAAAAGCTGAAGTATGTGGAATTGAGATTTCAGAGGTGCTTGATGATGAGGTCCAGCTGCAGCCAGGGTGAAGTACACTGAAAGGAAGTGAGAAGGTCAAGGCCTGAGAGGCAAGGTGATGGCAAGTAGGGAGGAGGAGATCAGTGACAGTGATGAGGAGGGGTAGAAAGTGTCAGAGCTGAAGACAGCATAAGGTCAAAGGGGAAGGGGTTTACACGTGGGTGGAATGGCATCGGCGAGCAAGCATACGAGCCCCTCTCAAGGTGAAGTTCATTGGGTGTGGGGAAGTGAGCTGCTAGCACTGCAGAGGGCTACAGGGTCGTGGTGACTTCACGGGAACTCAGATTCAAGGAAGCATTTGGCAAAGAGTTCTAAGGCATTGGGGGATGTGTTGCTCAGAGAATCAAGATTGGGTGGAAGGAAGAGGAAGAACAGAGCAGGGTGGGGTGAGAGTTTGGGAGCTCCTTCCAGGAAGGCAGAGGGGGCTGCTGGCTGGCTTCTGTCCCTTTGACACCTCCTGTCCTGGCCTAAGCCTTCTCTCCAAGCTCAGAGTCAACTCCTGCTGGAAACACAGAGACCACGGCCGCTGCCTTCCTGCAAAGGGCTCCCTGTGCTCCACTGCCCTGCCTGAAAGGTGTTTGATCTTGGCACTTCTGGTCAGGTGCTGACCAAGTCTGACGTCAGGACCCAGAATTGCAAATAGACAAATGGATTTTGACTTGCAGAAAAATCACACATGCAATTTCCTGTTATCTGGTTTAATATAATTCCGTTTTATGAGTGTTTCTCCTGTCTCTCTCCTTTTGCCTACCAAAAGCAAACTGGAAAACATGAGATGATTGCTTCTAAGATGCCTCAGAAGTCCATCATGACTGAGCTCTGCCACTCAGCATATTTGCTTCCCCTTTCTCAGCTGTTTTATCCCCATCATCTGTGATCAATCTCACTCTTCTCCCCAGGTTTTTCCATTTCTAATACCAAATTGGAATCGTCTTTTATGAAAATGTCTGTACAGAAGGGACTGTATCATGTGGTTCTGTAAATTCACTGAATATTTGATGTGCTCCAAGAGGGGAGGCACTGCTTGGAGGAAGACGAGGATTTGCTGCCTTTCACATGAGGCTGGGAGGCTTCACTGGCTCCTTCACTAACTCATTATTCCCCTGGCTTGAGCTTCCTCTCCTCTTCCTTTGGCATGACTAACGCCTTGCATTAACAGACTTTGGTTTACAATGTTACCTCCTCCAAGACATTTTCCTTGACCACACACCTTAGATCTTAGACATTTCCCTTTTACTTTTCTTTCTTTGCACCCCATTCTTTTTATTTTTTCTTTTGAGACAGGGTCTTGCTCTGTTGCCCAAACTGGAGTGCAGTGGTGCTATCACAGCTTACTGCAGCCTCGAACTCCTGGGCTCGAGCAATCCTCCCATTTTGGCACCACATTCTTTCCCTTTATAGCAATGATGCCCCTTGTAACTACCCATCTGTTCATTCAACAAGTATTTTACTGGTTACTGTTCTAGACATTGGGGGTATAACAGCGAATAAAAGGATGAAAATTTGTTCTTCTGGAGCTCTGGTTGGGCATTGGGCACAAGATGATTCACCACCCAGCCCCCCTCACTCCCACCCCCTAGAATGTAAGCCCCATGAAGGCAGGCATCCATTATGTATTTTTGATCACTGTGTACCCGGCACTTAGCACAGTCCCTGGAACACACAGAATACTCTGAGCTTAGCAAATATTTTGCATGGAAACCGTGCCAAATGCCACACTAAGCACTAAAGGTATAGCATTGCCTGCCCCACGGCCCCTGCCCCTGGAGAACTCAGGGTCAGGTGGGTATGGAGATAATTCCAATACAAATGACCAGGGCAATGGAGAGGATGTAGACCTGACCACATGACTTGGGTGATAGCAGAAGGGGCAGCTCAAGCCTCTGGCTGGGAGCGCTGGACAGGTTTCTTACAGGTTGTTCAAATCTGGGAGTCAGCCTGGATTGCCCTGTCCTTCTCCCTCAGCTCTCCTTAGTCTCCTCCTGTTGACTCCTCCTCCCACATACCCAGAACCCTCTGCTATCCACCCCGTCTCTCCCTGCCTGAGTTCAGCCCTTGCAACTCCTCATCTGGGTGCCAGTAGCAGCCTATGGTTCCCCTGGCTCTTCCTTCTATTTCATACTCTACAAAGGAGCACAAGATCACTCAGAAATAAAAATATGATGATTACCATCCCCTGCTCATTGATCCTTTTACAGCTTCCTGAAATCCACAGACTAAAATCCTAACTCCTCAGCATGGCAGGACCCTTGCCTACCCCTCCCACCCCAGCCTGCTCTTTGGCCATCAGCGACCTTGAGATTTACACGGCACAGCAATGAGTGATCTGTAGGGAGGTAGAATAGTGCAGTGGCAAGAGCTCTGGGATCACAAAGTCCAGGATCTAAATCCTGGCTCTGATACTAAGGAACAGACCTTGGGCATGTGACTTATTTTCTCTGAGCCTTAGTTTTGTCATCTGTAAAATGGAAATGGTAATAACAAGGTTGTTGTGAGGATTAAATGAGCTTCTGTACACAAGATAATTGTCAAAATGTCCAGTATGCAGTGTGTAACCAGTGACTAACCATATTTCCTCAGTGTTATTGTCGCTGCTGTTTGCAGAGCCCAGCCGCCCCTCAGATGGCTGTAACGTGGCACCTGCCATCCTCTCTTCCCGAAATGAACACCCTTTGCTTTGTCTACCAGACAAAGAATCATCTTTCAGTGTTGGTGCAAGTGCATTCCCATGTGGGACCTTCTTTCGAATCGCCCAGGCAGACTTAGGAGCTCTTTCTCTCTCGCTCCCAGCCCCCTTGGACATTTCTGTTGTTATAGCAACGGGTGCTGCAATTTTGGGCGTGTGTTTCCCACTGTTAATTGGTAAGTTCCTTGAGGACCGAGCCAATGTTTTTTGAAATGTCTATATCCCAGCTTTTCTAGTGAAGTGCAAGGCACAGAGAGGGGATTCAATAAACTTTTGAGGCATGATGGGGGAGGATGGAGGAGAGGATGGAAGGAAAGCAGCAGGAAAGGAGAAATGGAGGACAACAGCGTAGAGTCTAGAGAAGAGCTAGAAGCTCAGTGTAGTGGGAAGCTCAAGTGATGAAGAGAGAAGAGGCCGGAGAGATGGTTGGAGGGAGACCCTGAAGGGCTTGGTTCGATGAGTAATAAGTCATTTAAGCTCCATCCTGTGGGTTGTCAGCTCCCTCAGAGCCAGGGGTCGCATCCCTTCCACTCTTTGTATCTCCAGAACCAAGCCCAGTGCCTTATGCATACTAAGTGCTCAGACCTGTTGTTGAATCAGCACAAACTCCTAGTGAGTGACCAGGACATCTTCGGTGCATTAGGAACACCCTGTGGGCATGCCCAGACCACCTGGATTGCCTCAGAACCACACCCCACTCTGCTTTTCTACTTCTGATTATGCGAAGGGCACCAGGAGGTGAGAGACCCCACATCTGTATGTGCACCTATGGGGACTGATGTGTTTTTCTGCACACGATTGCCACAAGTGGAATGGAGGTATGGCTGGATGAAGTGGGTGACATTCTTCCCTCCCCATCTCCTTCCTCTATAACACTGTCATGGGTTTGTCACCAGCCAAAGGAGGCTGGAAACAAAGGACATGGAGGTAGCCTCCAAGCTGTCTGCATTAGCCCCAAACTAAAGCTTACCGTTTGCAAAAGCTATGTATTTAGAGAGCACATCTCACTGACAAATTACTTTCTACCAAATTTTAATGCGGCAGCATCCTCTGCTGTTTGCCAGCCCAGCCTCCAGGGGCTAGAACAGGCTGGATCCCACTGGGACTTTTTGAGAAGAGGCAGCTGCTGCTTGTATCTAGCTCAACTTTGGCTCCCAGTGCCTGAAAAACCTTTAGAGGTATCATGGAAACTCAGCGGGCATCTTAGGAACATGTTAGTGACATTCTTGGCCAAAGTTGGAATGTTTGGGCCTTCCAGTTTATGGGGAAAAGACAAGAAATAGAGGTGTACTGAAAATAACAGAAGAGAGGCTGAAAATAGCCATGTGCTTGGCATCTGACAAGAGGAAAGGCGGTGTCCTAGAGGGAGTGGTGAGTGATGCTGGTCGGCTGCCCTTGGCCTCCTTTGAAGTCTGCTTCTAAAACCACCTCTTCTGGGGGCTCAGCAGTGCCCACCACTGGAGTGAAGTTCTGAAGAAGGGGATGTGGCACTGCCTGCAGAGAGCAAGTCTTGGCCCTCTTCTCCCCAACTTGCTCTCAGACTTTATTTTTACTGAGGTTTTAGCCTCAATCTTATCTGCATGTCAGCTTTCTAAGCCCACCTGTTCCCTCTCTCAAGGGAGTCTGACAAACTCTTTTTCATCCTTCAAGCAAGTCTCAGTTTCAGACATCACCTCCTCCAGGGAGACTCCCCTGATGCCCTTGAGCAAGATTTGCTGCCCCTCCTTTGTATTTCCCTGTCTTCTAGCACTTGTTCTATGCTACTGAAAATGGACTATGAATTAGGTGAAGGCAGAGATTGTCTTGCTGTCCTTGTAGCCTCAGTGTCCTGAACATTGTCTGCAACACATCACAGGGCCTTAGAAAATGTTGAACAAACAGATGAGCTCATTTCTAACATGAGTGCCCTGGACTGTTGGGCAGCCCCTCTGCATAATCTCTACTGTCCTGCTCCTTCATGTCTGTAGGGTCCAGGTCCCAGCTTCTTCCTCCCCTGGGCCAGCCTCCCAGACTCAGCATTAAGCTGCCAGATTCCAGACTCCAGTAAGGAAGCAAGGAGACTTCCAGATTGATGCTAAAACTTGTTAGCAAGTTGTATGTAATTTTATAATGTTTCTGGTAAGTGCTAATTGCCTGTTCCTTAAATATTTCTTGTTCTACTGGGAAGCAAAGAAATTGCAACTATGACTGCATTTCCCACAGCTGGTCGCCCCCATGGAGGGAGACTGGCTCAGAGTGCTCAGATATTGACAGATCAGGAGTCCCCTCCCCCGCCCCCTGACCTGGGATTGTGACAAGCAGAACTGGAGGGATTTCTGGGAAGCAAATGCCCCAATTTTCCCACCAGGTTCATGCTTTCAATGAGGAAGAAAGGATGATACTGGAGTGCCACCTGCCTGCCCCTAAGGTTGTATCTCTCTGCTCAAATTGGGACAGAGTGGGTATTGATGATGATGATGCAGCCAGATGTGCCTAAGGGATGAGTGGAAATGATGGATATGGGAGGTCTCTGCCCTTGGATGCCTTATGCCATCCTACGAGAAACCTGCATCACAGCTACCCGCCCCCCAACCCCTGCTCGTTCCTGAGTCGAGATGTCTATCCTGTGTGGAACTCCCCAGGAGCTGGAATAACAGGGGCTAAAATGGAGGCAGAGGTAATTCTGAAGCTTCAGGTAATGATGTAGGTTGGAAGAAGAGCTGTAGGCCTTGGAGAGCAGAGAAGGGAGTAAGCTTCCAACTGAGCATTTACTAAATGTCAGGCCCTATGCTGGGTGCTTGACTATACTGAGTCCTCATGAGACCCTGGAAAGATAACCATTCATCAGCCCCTCTTCACAGGTTAGGAAATTCAGGCTCATTGATGGGGAGAGACTGGCACACAGGGAGTCAAAGGAAGATCCTGATTATAAGCTGGGTTTGCCCAACCCCAAATCCTACAGGGACAATAGAGAATGCATGGGCTGTTGGCATCTGTGCACTAGGAAGGTGGTAAAGTGGACCAAAAGGGAATTGAGAGGGTGCTGAGGAGGGTACCTGATTATGACTGAGTAGATCCTCATTACAATTTAATTCTACATGCTTTTCTGAGCATGTGTCCTGTGCCAGGCACTGAATTAGGCTCTACAGGACTGCAGAGATTTTTGTCTTGAATGGATTCGTAGAAACCAGAACTTGGTGGAATTATTATTATGGAGAACTTCGGATGTCATGTAGAAAACGTTATACTTTATCCTAAAATCAATGGGAAGTTGTCATTTTTTTTTTAACTAGGGGGGAATTGTGCCAGATTTGGATTCTGGGAAGATCACTGCTCCATGTGGCAGATGGGTAGATGGGAGTGAGAGGACTAGAGCCAGCGATGCTGGTTGGGAAGACTCTGCCACTATTCAAGTGAGAGGTGATGAGGGAGGGACTCAGCTCAGCAGTGAAACAGAAGTGGGATGCGGAAAACTGACAGAATCTGGGAATGGAGTCAGAGGTGGGGAGAGGGAAAAGGAGGAGGCGGAGATGAGGCCTAGGGATGGCATGGATGGTGGTGCTGTTCGTGAAGATGGGGTACACAGGTGCAGGTCACAGGTGTGGGGGCAGAGATGGCGAGCTTGGTTTTGGATGGTATTACGGACTGAACTTGTGTGTTCCCCCAACTCCCCCAAATTCCTGTATTGAGGCTCTTAGCCCCCAGTGTGACTGTATTTGAAGATGGGGCCTCTAAGGAAGTAATTAAGGTTAAATGAGGTCATAAGGGCAGGGCCCCGATCTGAGAGGATGGATGTCTAAGAAGAAACAACACCATGCTCATTCTCTCATTCTCTCTCTCTCTCTCTCTCTCTCTCTCTCTCTCTCTCTCTCTCCTGTGTGTGCATGCACCCAGGAAAGCCCATGCAAGGCCATGGTGAGAAGGTAGCTGTCTACAAGCCACGAAGAAAGCCCTCATCAGAAACCAAATTGGCCAAATCCTTAACCTTGGATTTCCAGCCTCTAGAACTGGGAGAAAACGGGGTGCTGTTCTGCCTTCTCTAGACACATGGCCTCCTATTAAAACAGTACAACCGTTATCTTTACCCCAGGGGACATTGTGGTATGACAGTGTTAGTGTAGGAAAGATGGGCCGGCCTTCTGTTATGGGGTGCTCTGTGCCCCCCAAAAAGACGTGTTGAAGTTCTGACTCCGGTACCTATAAATGTGATCTTATTTGAAAACAGAGTTGTTGCAAATGTAAACCACCCAGTCTTTTTTGTTTTTGTCCCTTCCGCCTTTGACTTTTTATTTGAGGGGCGAAGCCCATCATTCTCACACCCTCCTGGTGAGGAGCTCCCTATACTATAAAAAGGTGGGTGGGTTGAGTCCCCGGCCCCCACCATGTGACTCCCTATCCCAGGGCATTTTGTTGTCAGCAGACTATACAGGTGGGTGGGTTTGAGACAGCTGAGAGGGAAGCCATATCAAAATGTGTAACAGGAAGACTGAAATGCAAGTGGAGAACAGATGTGGAAGTCACCAGAGTTTGGGTTGAGGCTGAAACCATGGAAGTACACGTGATCAACTGCAGAAGGTTCTAGAATAAGAGGACTGAAGGCTGAGGATAGACTCTGAGGGGCAGTGGGGAGCCATGGAGGAGCTGTGAAGGAGCAGCCAGAGAGGTAAAAGAAAACCAGGAGGTGGAGGTGATAGGAGCCCAAGGAGCAGGATGGGCAAGGACAGGGAGTCACATCGGGGTGCCGGGGACTCAACCCACCCACCTTTTTATAGTAGAGGGGGCTCCTCACCAGGAGGGTGTGAGAATGATGGGCTTTGCCCCTCATATAAAAAGTCAAAGGTGGAAGGGACAAAAACAAAAAAGTGGCCCACCCAACTTAGCCCCTTGAATTTTCACTGAGCCAGGTTCCAACGCACTGTGAGGCCTCCAGGCTCCTGCGAGCCTGATTCTGCCTCCTGCCACTTCTGGCTCCACGCCCTGCACTGAGGCCTTACAGAGCCACCTCATTTCTCTGCCAGTATGGGGAGGGAGGGCCCTAGGTGGGGAGTGCTGGTGTAAGGCAGGGACCTAAACCCAGGGCCTATCAGAGCACCTGGAGGCAGATCCAGGTGCCTGGCCTGGAGGACAAGAAATGTGGAAGGTTTGGCTGGAGAGAAACTTTGGTGACACCCCCAGGGAAGGCACCATCTCTATGCCAGGCAATGTGCAAGGAGCTTTGAGATCTCATTTCACTCTCCTAACAACGCTCTCAGATTGGCATCATTATTTCCATTGTACAAGTCGGGGAACTGAGGCTCAGAGAGACCACAAGACTCAAGCTTACACAGCTGGGACCACACTGGGATTTACTAGGTCTGGTGCAATTTCAGAGTCTGTGCTATTTTCTAGAATCCACTGCCTCTGTGCACAGAACCTGACGTAGTCCCTGTGGGTTTGCCATGTCTCTAAACACCCAGACTGTCCTTCCTAATTTGTCACGGCTCCAAGGAGAAGTCCTGCTGACACCTAGTCCATGAGCAGCATTCACATAGCATATGCTTTATACCACATCCAAGCTGCTAGCTATTATAATCACAGCACCCAGCAAAATGTTGGTCACATAACAAAAGCTTAGCCAATACTGGCTGAGTGAAATGGACAAATGAACTTGTGAACTAACTCCCCAACCTCTGGTGACATGGAATCCAGGCTCATGATACTTGGTCTATTTGACTGGGGCAAAGCTTTGGCTTCTATTAAAGATTTTATAAGGAATTGAAATTATGTAACCTTGGGAGGCTTCTGGTGCAAGGGGAAAATCCATGGGCTTCTGAAGCCAGGGAGACATGGGTTCAAATCCCAGCTCTGCTACTTTCCACACTTGTGTGTGACCTCAGGCAGATTACTTCACCCCTCTGAGTCTCAGATTCTTCATCCATAAAATAGCAGCCATTTTATCATTGTAAGCAATGAATGAGATGAAGTAATGTCTTTCAAGCCAGTGGTTAGCTATGAATCCTCTCTTAAAAGAAGGCTTACAAAGAGCAAAAGAGAAGAAAGGAGAAGAAACAGAGGCAGGGTGGTCAGAACCCTCCATCCTGGGCATGCCCTATCCTACCATGGAGGTCCCTGGAGGGTACCGCAGGTCTTTGCAAGACACTGTGAAAACCCTGAGATAATGAACATAAAGCTATGGCACATAGCAGGCTTTCAACAAGTGGTATGTCCCTTTCTTTTCCAACAAGATCACACCAAATGCATCTAATTCCTCTTTCCCACATGAAAGCCCTTCAGATATCTGGACACAGCTCTCAAATCTCCCAAGTCCACTTCTTCTCCTGCATAAACATTCGGGGGCCATCAACATTTCTTACAGGAATTGCCTTAAATCCTCTCCTTATCTATCCCAAGCTGAGGTCCCACATCTAAGCTCAATTCTCTGGTGCCTGCTCAGGGCAGGATAAAGCACAACTAACTTCCTGGGATAAATTCCAGTAGCTAATTTCTTTTTAAGTCTTAAATCATGACTTGATATTTATTCCCACTTTATCTTTTCCTACTAATTTAGTCAATGGCTCTACCCCACCCAGATCTTTCTGCACTCTGTTTGCTGACTAGTATTGTCATCCCTTTCAAGTTCACGCTATTTACTTCTTATTCAAACCGTTGGCAAAATATGGACAGATTAAGGGCATGAGGATGACATGGAATCATTTCTCCCTGCTTTTGGGAACATTCACTGCTGAACATCCATAGAATTTCTGAAATGGGTGAAAACTTAGCAACTTTGCATCCATCTCCATTCCCCTTTTCAAAGTAGTGAGTGACAGGGCTTGGACCTGAATCAAGGTCTCCTGATAGTTTTGTCTGCTGCTCCTCTCATAGCCCCACAGCTGCTTATGTGTAACTTTATGCACCGGAACAGCCCGCTCATTGAACTACCTGTGTACTGGCTCATTAGTTACTCACTAATTGCTTTGCAATTTGCAACATTTCTTATGTTCACATTTCTTAATCTAACCATCTTCACAGGACCCTTGAGACCTAGGTTGTATTATTATCTCTGTTTCACAGATGAAGAAACAGATCCTGAGAAAGGTTCCATGACCTGCCATGGAGCTAGAAAGTGACAGAACCAGGATCTGCACTCAGAGTCTGTCACCCCATAAGTATTTTCTGTCTGTTGTTCTGTCTTCCCTAGACACATGGCCTCCTATTCTTAAAAAATCTCAGTATAGCTGTCATCTTTACCCCAGGAGACATCATTGTATGACATTGTTAGTGTAGTATGGGCTAGCCTCCTGTTATGGGGTGAACTGTGTTCCCCAAAAAGACGTGCTGAAGTTCTGACTTCTGGTACTTATAAATGTGATCTTATTTGGAAACAGAGTTGCTGCAAATGTAATCAAGTTAAGATGGAGCCATGCTGGAGTAGGGAGGGCCCTTAGTCTAATATGCTGGTGTCCTTATAAGAAGAGGACAGAGAGACACACAGGAAGGTTGTGTGATGACAAAGGCAGAGACTGGAGTGATGCAGCTACAGCCAAGGAACAGCAAGGACTCACAGCCACCACCAGAAGCTAGGGAGAAGCAGGGGAGGATTCTACCCATAGTGGGGGCATGGCCCTGCTGAGCCTTGGCGTCAGACTTCCAGGCTCCAGAATGTGAGAGAATAAATGTCCGTTGTGTGAAGCCAGCCAGCCCAAGAACACGAATACACCTCCTGTGTACCTGTACCCAGTTTCGAAACAGAGTACAGGTCCTGGAGCAGGAGGAACCTATGGTACACTGGGGGTATGCTGTGTGAGCCACACTGAAGGGACACCTTCTCCCCGCTCCCTGGGCCTGTCTCCCTAGTAGCCACCTAGTCATTCTGAGGACTTTAGGCTCACTTTTGTGACAAAGCGCTTTCCTGATCCCCTTTCAGATGTTCCTGAAAAGATGTCTGCTCCCTTCTCTGTGCTCCCACTGGCACTGTCCAGGCAGCTCTTTTGCATGCCACTTCGTTTGCTTTCCCCTCCATCTCGCCACTAGAGCACAAGTCAGTTGAGACGATGCCTAGACTTGATGTGTCTGTCCCCCTTGTGCTGGTCTAGCGTCTAGTACCTAAGAGGGGCTTAACAGTAACTTGTGGATGGCTTCTCCTTCCACCTTTGTAGGGACTGGCGTTAGCTGTTATTGGCCAAAGGGGGTTTGGAAGTGGTCAGAAGGGTGATGTTGAGGGTATCTCCTGGGCCCCAGGGTTTGCAGTTCCCTTAATGCCTATTCTAAGCAAGAGATGAAGACTCTTGTCTGCATCTTTCTCAGGCCACCAACAGTGGTGTTTATCTGTTCCTAGCCCTATGCACAGAGTCACTCATTCATCACATGCAACCCAATAGGGTATCTTGGGAAGCTATTGTCCTCTCTAAAGATTTTAAAAATAAGTGAGGCCTCTTAAAAGTCTCCATGAACCAGGTATGAATTGGGGATGGAACTGAGGTGTGCATCTGATGCTGGGTGCCTAGCATTTTAAGTGTTTTATCCCAGATAATCCTCAAAACAACCAGAAGGCCCTCAGAACAAAGAGGTGGCTGGGGCTCAGAGAAGTGGAATAACATGCCTAAGGGGGAGGAAGCTAGTGCAGGGGAGAACCAGGATCCCGTGGCCGGGCATGGTGGCTCACGCCTGTAACCCCAGCACGTTGGGAGGCTGAGGCAGGTGGGTCATTTGAGGTCAGGAGTTCGAGATCAGCTTGGCCAACATGGTGAGACCCCGTCTCTACTAAAAATACAAAAATTAGCCAGGCATGTTGGTGTGCGCCTGTAGTCCCAGCTACTCGGGAGGCTGAGGCAGGAGAATCACTTGAACCTGGGAGGCGGAGGCTGTAGTGAGCTAAGATCGTGCCACGGCACTCCAGCCTGGGCAACAGAGTGAGACTCCGTCTCAAAAAAAAAAAAAAAAAAAATTCTGACTGCAAATCCAGACCCCGTCTCTGACTCCCAGGACACAGTTCATCTGGCTTGCCAAAAGCAGTTACCTTCATAAGAAGCCTTGAATCCCAGGGAACTGCCACTGCCATCAGTCTGGAAGAGGAGCCACATTTGATGATTGGTGCTGACAATGAGATCCGGGACCGATGTACCTGTCAGGCTGGCAGGAGAGAGATATTTAGAGGTGTGCTCTCCACCATGACACCCGAATAGAATGATTGCCTGACCGATGACATTTAAAGGACTATCCAGGATCCAGGCCCGCTCGGGCAAATTCTGGGCCCCACTGTGTTTCTGACTCTGGAGCCCAGCAGCATGCTCTCCCTGTGCTGGGAAGACTCATCCTGTCTTCCCCTTGGCTGTGGGTAGAATCTCATGGGTTGAATCACAACTTTGACTCTCTAGCCCTGACCCTTGGGCTCACAAGGGAGATCTGTGTCCTTACTTGCTCAGGGGACAGGGATAGTTGGAGCCAAATCCAATCAAGAGGGTGTCTACATTCTTGCAACTTTTGATCTCTTGTGTGACCTGTATTGCAGAAAAGACCACCGCCACCCCCACCTCCTTGCTGTCTTTATGTGGGTTTCCCCTCACAGAAACCCATTTCTCCAGTTGGAACCCAAGCCATTCTTTCAATGAGACATCTCCTTCCATTCCAGGATAAGGAACAAGGCTTAGAGTGTAGTCATTATCTGAGGGCCACATTCTTATTGAAGAAGAGGGTTTAAGCATGGGTGTGGGGGCGGGGAGGGGGGGATTCAATTCACAATCCCAACCCCAAGCACCTACCCATGTAAGATACTGCACTTATCAATTTCCTACCCATTATCTCATTTAATGGCCCTGTTGCCAGGAAGGTAGGGGTTGTCAGCCCATAGTACAATGAGAATATGGAAGTGCAGAATGGGCAGTGGCTTCTCCAAGGTCAACCTGATACAGTGGCAGAGCCAGGGGTCCCCTGTGCAGGCTGGGATTTCCAGAAGAAATCCAACCTCATTCTTTTGTTGAGATCAGACAAATTACCAGCACAGATGGAGGCAGGGGGTTGTGGAGTGGGCAACTGAACTAATGAGTCCTAATCTCTGCTTCACCCAGGGTCTCAGAGCTTGGGAGGCTGTTGAGTCAGCTGCAGAGAGGTCATCACACCATGGGGGATATGGAAGTGGAGCTCGGATAGAGCACATGGGATCCAACAGCCTGGCCTGTGTGACATCCCTGAGCCTGGGCTCTGACAAGCTGAGTAAGGATTGTGGCCAGGCCAGTGCTGGCTCCTGACTCTGGGGTGCTGATGAGCAAGGGAAAAGGCTGGGACCCCTGCTTTTCCTCTGTTTGACCCAATTACAGCACCAGGCTCTGAGTCCACCATTCATTTGCTGTGGGACCTTGGGCAAGTGGTTGAGCCTCTCTGGGCTTTTTCACTCTATGTTAAATGAGGGGATTGTATGGTATGATCCTCAATAGCCTTTTCAAAAGTTCTGCTATTCTAAGGTTCTCTCTATGTCAAAGCACATTGGGATTGTGGGAGGAAAGAGAGCTGGGATCCTAGTCTCTTGGGCACAAAGAGCTGAGGCACCATATGGGTCAGTAAACTAGGGCAGAAAATGAGTGATGGGGATGCACCAAGTGAGGGGGAGAGGTAAGTGTGATGGTGAATTTTATGTGTCAACTTGACTAGGCCACAGGGTACCCAGCTACTTGGTCAAACATTATTCTGGGTGTTTCTGTGAGAGTGTGTTTGAATGAGATGAACACTGAAATCGACAGACTGAGTAAAGCAGATTGCCCTCTCCAAGGTGGGTGGACCTCATCCAATCAGTTGAAGGGCCAAACAGAACAAAAAGATGGACCCTCCCCTGAATAAGAGAATTCCTCCTGTCCAATTGGCTTTAAACTGAGACATCAGCTCACTTCTGGCTTTTGAACTTGAACTGTAACATCAGCTCTTCCTGGATCTTGAACCTACTGGCATTTGGACTGCAACTCCATTATTGACTATCCTGGGTTTCTAGCTTCTTAACTCACCTGGAAGATCTTGGGACCTGTCAGTCTCCCAAAATCACATGAGACAATTCTTTACAACAAATTATCTATCTATTTGCTGTTTGTCTGTCTATCTATCTATCTATCTATCTATCTATCTATCTATCTATCATCTATCTGTCTATCATCTATCAATCATCTATCATCTATTTATCATCTATCTGTGTATCATCTATCATCTATCAATCAATCGTCTATCATCTCTCTAATATCTATCTATCTATCTATCTATCTATCTATCTATCTATCTATCATCTATCTATCTATCTCTATCTCCTATTGTTCTGTTTCTCTGGAGAACCCTCACTAATACAGTGAATTAGGCATGGGGGAGAATGCCCTGTGGGCTCACATTCCATTCCTTTGTCTGGAGAAATCCCAAGTCCCAGCCATGTCACCTGATTCAGTGGGTACCATTGGATAAGATGAGTCATGTAACTGCCTGTATAGCATCATCTCCAGGTAGGTGTAGGGAAGTTGTGAAAAACACCCAGAAAAGAACAGCCTCAGGACAAGCCAGCTGTTACTAAATGGCCATTTTTCATTCAGCATTAGAACCAGAAGGAGATATCCTGGAGCTAGCCTTGTTGGGAAGGAGTGTGGCATGGGACATTGTCCTTGGCTGAAATCAAAAGACATGAACTTGAGTGCTGGTTCTGCTATCAACCTTCTCTGAAACCTTTGGGCCTCAGTCTCCCCATCTGTTAAAAGAGAATAATAACACCAGGGCTTAAGCGAGATAATTGATGCAAAAGTTTCCATCCCAGTGCCTGGGAGCATGGTAGGTGTTTAATGTTGGTGACACTCCACCTCCTTCCTGGAAGGGAGATGGATGTGGTCAGGGTGTTTGTCTCTGAAGCTAAGCCACATGTCCTGAGCAGAAGCATTTCCTGACTTTTTTTTTCTTTTTTTAGACAGGATCTCACTCTGTCACCCAGGCTAGAGTGTAGTGGCATGCTCTCAGCTCACTGCAGCCTCAACCTCCCAGGCTCAAGCTATCCTCCTGCCTCAGCCTCCTGAGTAGCTGGGACTATACAGGCGTGCACCACCACATCCAGCTAATTTTTGAATTTTTTGTAGAGATGGGTTTTCAACATGTTGCCCAGGCTGGTTTTGACCTCCTGAGCTCAAGCAATCCGTCTGCCTTGGCCTGCCAAAGTGCTGGGATTACATCAATACACCACCACGCTTGGCCTTTTTCCTGGTTTTCAAGTCAGGCTATTGGTGGTGGGCAAAAGAGAAGCTAAATGGTCCCCAAGAGCACAGACTCAACATAGCAGAATCCCATGACAGCTTGATATTCTCCTCTCCCTTGTCTGGAACATGTCATACTGGTCTTTTTTGGCTCAGGAAGTGTGGCCACTATGTCTATATGGTCCTGATTCTCTGAAACCATCCATTTCCCAGGGAGCTCTGAGCATGCAGAAAGGTTAGCAACTCATTTCCATTATCTCTGTCTGAGGTCAGGCTGCCACGGCTGGATGTGGCCTGGAGTAAAAACTGTCAGGGTGGCAGAATCAAGGTCTGCATGGAAGCAGCCAGCCAGTGGAAGGCTCCAGGTTCATCCACAAAACCTCGATCTCCCCTGCCCCCTAACAGACTGCTCATTCTATTCACATTTCATATGAATTCAGTGAGAAGGTGCCCAGTGCTCTTTTCCCCTTGGTCAGAGTAGAGAGAGGTAGAAGGATTATTGCTGAAACTAGGAACATTGCAGGATACTGTCTTTGCTGTAGTATGGTCTAGGGACCAGGCAGGACTCCACAAACCCCACCCCACCAACCCCAGCCACCGTCCCACCTTCCAAACAACATGCCCCACTGCACTTACATGTAGAGAACTGTCTTCTGGTCCCCATCCTGACCACCATCACCGACCGTCAGGGTGTCATAGCCCCTCTCCAAATCAAACTCCTCAAAGGCGAGCTTGATCACCTAGGGAGGGAACACAGGGTTAGGAGCAGGCAGGGGCTGTGAGGAAGCCTTCCAAAGCCTTGAGGGGAGGAAGGATTTTCTGTGTTATGTCCCAATGCTCAGAGTCACTGGTGACACCATCCTAAACAAACTGACCATTTCTGTCCCACTTTAATGAGTGTGAACTATTTCTCTCCAGGCCATGCAGTCTCCAGGGCCCCCTGATGTTTCTGAAGATGTTCATAGCACATCTGGCCAATTCTGGTGGCTGTCACAGCAACCGGGCACATCTGGCCAACAGCGAGATGATTAGACTCTTTCTTCACGCCTTAATGCACAGAAATCCCCATGGGCTTGTTGGCAACTTTTCAGGCCACATGTGGAATCTCAGCTCTCTTGCCCCCAGGGACCTGCAGAAGTTTCTCTCGTCTTCTCCTCTGACTGCTTTTCTCCATCCTTTTTGTTTATTTGTTGAATAAATGAATGTTCTCAGAAAGAGATTTCAACAAGATTCCCCCCTCTTGTTTTAATCCTGCCTTCCACAAATATTTACTAAGCACTCCCCATATGCCAGGCTGGGCGGTGGGTTTCCACAGTGAGCATGACATGGTATCTGCCCTCGCTAAGAAGGGGAGATAGAAATGCAAACTGATAACCACAGCACTGGGGTGGGATGGATGCTACAGGGGGCTGTGGGAGCGAAGAGGAGCCTATGGCTCACCCAGCTGGAGTCAGGGGCAGGTGCTACTGGAGATGGGGGTGTCTGAGGAAATTCTGAAGGCTACTGATGACCCCATCAGGCCAAAGGGGGATGCTTGGAGAGGGAGGGAGGGGGATGCTCTGGGAAGGAGTCAGGTGCACAGGGCCTGAGCTATGGCAGAGATGGAACATTCCAGAAGAAATTATTCAGTGTCTGTTGCTAGCAGATCTACAAACTGAACATACCTGCTAGCTGCCTGGCTCTCGGGGATAATGTGACTGGGCCTTCAGTGCAAGAAGGTGACTTGGGAAGGTCTGGAATTTGAAAAGTTTTCCTGGAGTTTGGTTCAAAAGGTCTCATACCTCTACCCTCCAAAATTAGAATTTATGCCAGGGGAGGAGCAGTAGAGTTTTAAATAGTGGGTGACAGGGACGCATAGGTGTTTGAGAAAATGTCAGTGTGGCAGTATGTGTGGAACTCATTGGCAGGAGTGAGGATGGTTGCAGGCTTTTTTGGTAGTGCAGGTGAACGATGGAAGAGTAGCAGTGTGGACGGAGAAGAGGGAGGGTCCTAGTGATATTTAGGGCTTTGAGACAGGATGCATGTGGTGCTGAGGGGAGGGAAAGATCCAGGATAAGTTGCAGGTTTCTGGCTTGTGCAATTGTTTGGGTGGGGGATGGTGCCATTCATAAGGACAGGACACACACAGGCACTCACTCCTGATGTCTAATCTGTATCTCTTTTTGTCTGTTTCAGTCTGGTTTCAATCTGATGATGATCCTCATTCCCCCAACAGGGAGACTGAAGTTGCTCCTTTGCTTTCTGTTCTACAACTCAAGGAGTATATAATTTCTGTGGATATTTTTTCCTAGTTGTGGCTGACGCCTTCTGCAGGTTTCCTCCATCCAAATCAAACCGTTCAGCACCCACATCCTGCCAGGGACCCTGCAGAGCCTTACCCCAAGGTGCTTTCTCAGGTATCCCAGAGGCAAACTGACACTGCCCTCATTCATAAGCCTGGGTAGTGTCTATGCAGGGCCCCTCTGCAGTGGCCTGAGAGTCACAGAAAGATGCATCTCTGGATAATAGTATCTGTGAGCACGTCAGTGGGTCTACAGATAGACACAGAAGAGGAAGGAAGTGATTGCTTTTGACTGGGAGAAAGGTTAAAGGAGGCTTCTTGGAGGAAAGGAAACTCAGGCTGAGTTTGGAAGATGAACTGGAGTTCAACCAATGGATATGGAAGGGAAAGCAACCCAGGCAGAGGGAAAGGCAGCGGTGTGGAACAGGATGACTTATCCAGAGAGGTCTAACTACTGAGTAGTTGTTTAAGCAAGGAGGTGGTGGAGGGTGGCGATAGGAGAGAAATAGGAGCAGTCAGATTATGAGAGGCTGCCGGTAATGCTAAGAATTTTGGGCTTTGTCCTAAAGTCAACGGGGAGTTATGGAAGGGTTGGCAGTAAAGGCATGACATGAGATTTTTGTTCTAGGAGCAGGAGCATTGAGGGAGAGTTGAAAGCTCGGAGTCCAATTCGCAGCAAGGTCTAGGTGAGGTGGGATGTGAGCCTGTAGCAAGTTCTAGATGAGGCAGGGTGTGGACCTGTAGCAAGGTCTAGGTGAAGTGGGTTGTGGGCCCGTAGCAAGATCTAGGTGAGGTAGGATGTGGGCCTGTAGCAAGGTCTAGGTGAGGTGGGATGTGGGCCTGTAGCAAGGTCTAGGTGAGGTAGGATGTGAGCCTGTAGCAAGGTCTAGGTGAGGCGGGATGTGGACCTGTAGCAAGGTCTAGATGAAGTGGGATGTGGGCCTGTAGCAATGTCTAGGTGAGGCAGGGTATGGACCTATAGCAAGGTCTAGGTGAGGCGGGATGTGGACCTGTAGCAAGGTCAAGGTGAGGCGGGATGTAAGCCTGTAGCAAGGTCTAGGTGAGGTGGGATGTGGACCTGTAGCAAGGTCTAGGTGAAGTAGGATGTGGGCCTGCAGCAACGTCTAGGTGAGGCGGGGTGTGAGCCTGTAGCAATCAGTGTTTGGAGCGAGTTATTAAAGAGGAGATGGGATTTGTCAATAGTGAGTGGGGATTCCTTGGCCCTTCTGGGTTTCCTATCCAGAATGTTCCCTGTTGGCTAATGGCATCATCATGGGATCATTTCCTCAGGCTGGGATCTCCCACCCATCTCTCACACTCCACACTCCTGCTTTACAGAACATTTCCTGGAGTCTCATTTCCTAGCATGAAACATAAGAAGGGCATCTCTGCACCTGCTCCCTGCTGACTGCCCTCCACTGCACAGCCTGTGTGGCCACTTGAAGTCCTGGGCATTCACACCAGGGCAGCCTATTCATGACCCTGACTTACGCAGGCTCTTCCTGCTCCCTGTCACTGCCCTAGAATATTTCTTCTCATCTGTGAGCCTGACTTGTCTCAGTTCTCTCTGACTAACCTTGACAAGGGGAGCAGCCCCTGCTCAGCCCCTTCCTCTCGTCTGTTTTAGCACTTACCTGCTGGACTGTGATGGGTCTGTTTACTTATTCCTCCACTACACCATGAACTCCTGGAGGGCAGGGGTCAGGCCTCACTGCCTCTGTACCAGTTCCTGTCGGTGGGCCAGGCCCATGCCAGGGGCTGAAAAAATGTAGACTGGGAGAACAATTTCCAAAGCTTTCCTGCTTCTCTAGCATGGATGGATTGCTAGGCTCTCAGACCCCTCACAGTGGTTACCATCTAGAACAAAAGTTGGCAAACTTTTTCTGTAAAGGGACAGATGGTAAATATTTCCCCCTTTGTGTGTCATGTGATCTGTATCACAGATATTCAGCTCTATTGATGTAGCATGAACATAGCCATACACAATGTGTACATGAATGGGTGTGGCTGTGTTCCAACAAAACTTTATTTACAAAACAAGCAAAGAGCTGTATTTGGCCTGTAGGCTATAGTTTGCTGATCCCTGGTCTAGGAGATTCTTCAAGACAATCATAGTCTTTGATCATCTTCTCTTATGCGATTTCATCACTCCAAGAGCTGAGACCTACAATGTGCTCAATTCTGTTCTGAACACTTTACACATATCAACTCATGAGAAATGCAGCACTGTTGTGGGAAGTCAGGGACACTGAATGGAGGGACCAGCTGGAGCTGTGGCAGAGGAGCATAAATTGTGAAGATTTCATTTTAATATGGACATATATCAGTTCCCAAATAATACTTTTATAATTTCTTACGCCTGTCTTTACTTCAATCTCTGAATGTAAATTGTGAAGATTTCATTTTAATATGGACATTTATCAGTTCCCAAAATTAATACTTTTATAATTTCTTATGCCTGTCTTTACTTTAATCTCTTAATCCTGTTATCTTTGTAAGCTGAGAGTATACATCACCTCAGGACCACTATTGTGTTAACTGTACAAACTGATTGTAAAACGTGTGTTTGAACAATATGAAATCAGTGCACCTTGAGAAAGAAAAGAATAACAGCAATTTTCATGGAACAAGGGAAGACAACCATAAGGTCTGACTGCCTGCAGGGTTGGGCAGAATAGAGCCATATTTTTCTTGTTGCAGAGAACCTATAAATGGATGTGCAAGTAGGGAAGATATTGCTAAATTCTTTTCCTAACAAGGAATATTAATAATTAAGACCCTGGGAAAGGAATGCATTCCTGGGGGGAGGTCTATAAATGGCCGCTCTGGGAGTGTCTGTCTTATGTGGTTGAGACAAGGACTGAAATAAGCCCTGGTCTCCTGCAGTACCCTCAGGCTTATTAGGGTGGCGAAAAAAACCCACCCTGGTAAATCTGAGGTCAGACCGGTTCTCTGCTCTCGAACCCTGTTTTCTGTTGTTTAAGATGTTTATCAAGACAATACCTGCACAGCTGAACATAGACCCTTATCAGTAGTTCTGAATTTGTCCTTGTCCTGTTTCCTCAGAAGCATGTGATCTTTGTTCTCCTTTTTGCCCTTTGAAGCATGTGATCTTGTGACCTACTCCCTGTTCTTGCACCCCCTCCCCTTTTGAAATCCTTAATAAAACTTGCTGGCTTTAAGGTTCAGGTGGACAGCACGGTCCTACTGTTATGTGATGTCATCCCTGGAGGCCCAGCTGTAAAATTCCTCTCTTTGTACTCTTTCTCTTTATTTCTCAGCCAGCTGACACTTATGGAAAATAGAAAGAATCGATGTCTAAATATTAGGGGCAGGTTCCCCCAATACAGCACAATAGCTATTTTGAGTACCTCCATTTCACAAATGGGACAGGCTAGGCACAGAATTTAGGCAACTTGCCTGGGGTCACACAGGCAAGTGGTAGAGCTGGGACTCCCACCAGGCAGGCAGTCAGAGGCCAGGCTCTTTGTCACTCTGCTCTACTGCCTCATGATGTTCCAACAAGGTCACAGGCCCACAAGGTAGGAAGCATGACTTAAGCCTCTGTTTTCTCTCACACTTTCCTTGAGTTCTTTTTTCTGGGTCCCAGCAGGGGGTCAGGAAACAGCTGCTGCATATAAAACACCACAAGGCAGGTAGTGTCTTCTGCTGGAGGAAGGGCCTGGGCTCTGCAGGGACTGAGGGGCCCGGCTGCATATTCTCACCATATCAGCCCCTTCCAGCCAGCCCTGGGGCAGAGGACACGGCTCACCCAGCCACCTCCAAAAAGGGAGTGTATGATTATTACGCCTATAATGGGAAAATATTGCTTTGAAGGCCAGAACCCAGAGCTATAAAATGATTCACATCACTGGTTAGAGCTGCCATTGATGTGAACCACATTTCAGAGTGCCGACCCTGATGCAGGAGCTAATTACACAAGAAGACTGTTCAACATACACAATGCTGCAGTTTCAGGACGAGCCTCTAGTGCACAATGTACTAGCACTCTCTTTTTTTCGTTTCTTTTTTTCCTTCTCTGCTTTGGCCTTTGTTTAAAGACAGGCTCCTATAATGACTCATTAACTAACATGCAGATCAATCAAGCTCACAAAGCGCCTTTCGGAGGCAGGAGAAATGGCAGCACATGAAATAGGCATGATCAAAGAGGCACATTTGTATACAGCTCAGACACCCAATTTAAACCCATTAGATAAATGAATAAACAAACCCATCATCTAGGACATAATTACTGAGCACCTGCCATGTGCCAAGCCCAGAGCTAGCTGCTTCCCATAAGTTATCTTGCTTGCCTGACAATTTAGAGTAGAATCTAAATGCCCAGGACATGGTGCTGATGGTGAGTGCTGGAGGAGTGCAAAGAGGAGAGAGATGGAAGGGGGTCCATAGAGGAGGTGGGTCTGGGCCTGGCGGGATGGAGAAGGGTGTGTGTGGGCTCAGCCCAGGCTACACTGTGAGAAGTGAAGGGCCAAGGAGAGTGGGACAGGAAGAAGAGCCTGGCTGAGTCTGCAGGGGATTTTACCCACAGCCAGAGCAGGCAGTCTGGACTTCATGGTCAAGTCGATGGGAAGCTATAATTCAGTGTGAAGGGAGGATTGGAGGCAGAGAGACCAGTGGAGGCTGATGCAGGGTCCAAGAGCATGAGGAGAAATTAGGGGGTGTCACAGCCACCTTGTCCTGAGAATCATGGGAGATGGAGTGGGACCCTGGAGGACACCCACTGGAGGCCCTGGAGAACATTCTCCCCTTGCCACGTGCTGTCCAGGATTAGCCAAAAGACAGGACTCCAGGTGCTGCCAGCATGTGCCCAAAGCCTGCACAAGCCTGCAGAGGATCTGCCAGCTCAGGGCAGTCTTGTGGGAAGCTAGAGTCCCGGGAGATGTAGACTGAGGCTGTTTTGTTTAAGGACTGCTTTGCTACAACACTTTCCTAACTGGGCTGTCTGTCTCTGCAGCCCATCCTTCACTCTGTACCAAATGCTCTTAGCACCTCCCTATCTCCTACAGCAGGGGTTGGAAAACTAGCTCTCAGACCAAATCTGTCCTATAGCCTATTTTTATATGTGGACCTGTGGACTTTGGAGTTAAGAATGATTTTTTACACTTTCAATGAGTGAAAAAACAAAACCTACAACATAGAAGAATATGCAACAGAGACCTTACATGGACTTTAAAGCCTAAAATATTTATGGTCTAGCTCTTTACAGAAGAAGTTTGCTGATGGCTTCCCTAGAGCAATGGTTTTCAAACTGGGCTCCCAGGTACCCCAGGGTTCCATAAAGGTACTCCAGGGCCAACCCACAAGGGTGGAAGAGGAGCCAGAGGAGGGAAGCCTCTGCTTAAACCAAAACAGCTCCATTTTGATCTAGTTCATAATTTGGGATGCTGTGAACACCATGGATAGTGGGTTACTTAATGTCCCTTCCTCCATTTATTTCTCCCTAACAGAACCCCAACTTTATTGGGAGTGTGGCAATGTATGTATCTTGCCAATCTCAGAGCTAAAGATGTCTATGTGACAGAGCTCTGGGCAAGGAAACATGGGTTGAGGAGTCCTCAGACCATTTCCTCATCTTTCTCCTTGCTTTTCCTGGAATACAGATGTGAGGACAGAGAGGGAGCAACCTTCTTGTGATCATGAGGATGAGAGTCATATGAAAAGCAGCAGAGGGAAAAATACAAGGAGCATGAGACCCGGAGGGAACCACCAAGCCAGCCCTGGACTTTCTGCCTCTGGACTTTTGGTATGTGGAGAAAATAAACGGTGTGTTTTTTAAGCTTCTGCAGAGGAATTTTCTGCACCTCCCAGTCAATTACGACCTAATGGCTACAGGTTCTGAAGACAGGTGTTTGTCACCGCAGAAGAGTTTGCCAACTCTTGAAACTGCAGGATAGAGTTCAGCATCTTGGCTTGGAAAGTGTGGGCTTTGCAAGGCCTGCCCCTGCCACTTCCTGGCTAGGTAGAGGCCCTGCCACAATGCTGTGCTCCAGCCTTACCTCCCATATTTCTCCTCAGAGCATTTCTTTGAGCCCCTGAGGGCTGACCTTGGCCCACCCAGCCTCAGTTTACAATGTTGCTGCCAGTGTAACTATTAGCTCCATGAAAGGAAGGGAACTCACTTTTCCTGGGCACAGCTTGAACCATGATTCCCTCCAGGGTCTTGCTGAGGCCCTAGGGAAGAGCTAGAGAATTAACTCCTGGGGTGAGGAGGAGGGGAGGCCAGTAGGAAGGCTGAAGACCTGAACTCCCAGGAGTTCAAGGACAGAGGCCTCCAGCAGGTACTAAGAAGGGTCAGAGGTTCTGGAACTTTGGTCACTACCTGAGGTTTCATTTTGGTGGTTCTGAGAGCAGTAAGCCCTTGGACTCATTCACTTATGGATTGACTGATTCATTTATTCACTGATTCATTCAACAGTTACACACCTGCCAAGTGCCGGGCTTTGGAGGGGCATTGGCAGGCAAGATAACATGGCTGCTGCCAATAGAGACCTCTAAGTTTCTAGAAAGCTTCACAGAAGACCCTGAGTACATAGACTACAATACAGTGGGATGAGGGCTCAAACCAGGGAAGCATGGATGGGAGACAGGAGGGGCACAAAATCCTGGCTAGCAAGCGGGCAGGGTTTGTCTTCAGCAACAGAGAAGGTGTGTGGGGATACCACATGGCCACAGCCAGATCTGGGCGAGGGGAAATGCCAGCACATGATTTCGAGACAGCTGTAAAAGGGAAAGGAATGAGGCTTTGGACTTGAGGAGGCTATTAAAGGGTCCCCCAGATGTGAGGAGGGGCTGTGGAGGCACACGGCAAACCTCTGATCGCAGGTGTCTTGCACAGGGCCTGGCACAGAGAGGGTGTTTGAGTAAATGTTTGCTGAATGAATAAGTGAGTGAACAAATGGGCCAACGAGTATGTCCCTGACATTTGCACTAGCTGCCGATCACCTGCCTGGAGAATTAATTCTCAGTTCTTCAGGTCTACAAAGGAAACAGTGACAGTGATAATCCCCAAGGAGTGAATAATCAAAACGCTGTTATCTTTGCTTTGAAGTTCATATAACGAGCTTTCCTTTCCCTCTTCCTTCCATGCCCCCTCCCTCTCCCTCCCATCCTCACTCTCCATCTCTCTTCTGTCTCGCTTTTCATTCTTTTCTAGCAAAGGTGGATTAACTATCCTGATCAAATCAAGTGAGGCTCATGTGCAAATTGGATCAAATGTTTTGTGTTCATACTGAGAAGCTGCAAAAGAAAGACAGATGTGTGTAGGTAGGGGGCATCAAGGCAGGTCTGGGTTTCAGTCCTGTCTACATCTTTGTTTTTCCATGAGGCTGAGCTGAAGGGACCTAACAAGAGGAGGCCCTGGAGGAAGAAGGCCTGAATCTCAAGCCTCTGGGATGGGCAGAACCATCCCAGAGGAGCTCCTCCTCCAACAGTCACTCACATGTTCAAATATCGCTGAGCTGCTTCTCTATGCCCAGCACTGTGCTAACTGTGGAAGAAATAAACAAAGTGCTATTCCTGCTTTCAGGATGCTCACGAGCTATGGGGGAAATAGATTCTAAATGCAAGAAAACAAAAAGTGCTGTAGGAACAGGAAGGAGCAACACATGATGAAGTTAGGAAGGCTTCTCAGAAGAGGGGTTGTTTGGACTGTCTCTCAAAGGGGGATAGGAATTTGCCTGGAGGAGAAGGGAAGGCACACTGGGACCAGATGTGCCCAGACAGGTCTTAAAGGGCCAGGTGTGTCTGTGAACCTGAGTTCAGTGTGGCTGAAGCTGGGGCTGCCCAAAGGGAGAGATGGGGCAGAGAGACCACTGTGTGCTTTGCTGGAAGAAGGAATTGCATTGTTGACAGAAGTTTAGCTGGTCAGAACCACCAGGGTCGTCTTTAAAAATAAGTTCTGGTACCTACCCTAGACCCACTGAATCAGATCTTTGGGGAAAAGAGCTTGGGAATCTGTGGTTTTAAAGTGTCTCCAAGGCATTTCTGATGAAATTTGGGAAAAATTATTGTAGGCAGATGTTAATGTCAGATTAATATTATAAGGACTGAGATAACCCAAATGCCCAAGGTGAGGTCAACATTGCCCGAGGACATCCCAGTCGAAGGGAGGGCATGGAGGCTGCATGTGGAGTAGGCCTGCATCACTTGCTCTGAGCCTTCTTTCCTCTGTTCCTTGAATCTATGAAGTTTCCAGGAGGATGCACTGGGGTGTTTTTATTTCCCTTACTCCTAGTTTATTGAGTACAGACATATCCTTAACTTGCCTCTCCAATAAGACTGTAAGTTCTTCCTGTTCCCACAGTGCAGAGGCGCACAGCCCATAGATGCTCAGTTAATGCTGGTGTCTTGATGTAGGTTCTTAGCCATTCCCACACCACAGCATCCCTGCTTCTCTCTTTGGGCCTTCTCATTGCCCTTGGAGGGCCCCAGTCCCTGGGACATTCCTAGCTCCTTGCCAAGCCCAGGTAGCAGAGGTCCTACAAGGGAGATGGAATTACAGGAAGGATCCTCCTGCGTAGGTGTCAGGGATGCATCATAATCATTCCATGACTATGAGGAGAGCAAGGGGACACATGTCCCTCTTACACTCCCACAAGCAAACCTTTCAGCTCCTTCTAACAACAGCATCTTTCTCCCCCTGCTCCTCGCAAAGGGAGCCCTGCATTCTCAATCCCGTGGCCCTCTCACTCCAGAATCTCCCTTCTGTCACCATCCCTCTTCTCCTGTACCTTCACTCTCTCCCTCTGTGCATATTTTTTCCTAAGCCTACTAACATACTCCAGTTCCAATATTTTAAACACATGCCCCAAAGTAACCCCAAACTTTCTCTCTATCTTATGTTCCTTGCCGGCTACTGCCCATCCTGGCCTCCACAGCCTCACCTCCCATCCATTTGCTTCCCACCCTACTGCTGTCTGTTGCTGCCCCTAGAGCTTCACTGCAAAGTCTTCTTCCAAGGCCAAAGCCAATGGTCTCCTTCTAGCACTTTTCCAGCAAGACATTTGTCATCGTTGCCATGATCAGACATGCCCTAGTTGGAAACTCTTCCTGTGTTTGCATCACGATTCTCCTCCCGCCTCTCAGATTGCTCCTTCTCTGTTCTTTCACTGGATTTTGCTCTTTCTCCTGTCACGACGGTATTCTCAGATCCATTCTGAATTTTCTTATTCTCTTCAGTCTTTCCAAGAAATGTTGTCCATTCCTTAAGCTTCTATTCTCACCCACGTGCTGAGATAACACCCAAACCTCTCTCTTAAACTCAGATTTACCCAGAGTTTCCATCCAGTATATCCAAATGACATTGAATGAACCACAGACATTCCAAATGCACTGTTTCTCTCCTGACCCCTGCAAAGCATGTTCCTCCATCTGTATTTCCTTTTTAACTCTACCACTGGACCAAGCCAGAAAGCACTAAGTCATCATTCATCTGTTCATGGAATAAATATAGGCCGAGTACCTACTATGTGCCTGGAACCACGTTGGTCACTTGGGATACAATATTGAATAAGACCTCTCTTCCTCCCTCAGCTCCCACATCCAATCAGCTACCAAGTCCCACTCTATCTCCTAAATCTCTCTCATCTGTTTTCCCCTCCACATTTCCAAAGCCTTGGTGGATGTCCCCATTTTTCCTACTTAGGTAACTGCTTCATCCTCCTAACTGGTCTTTCTCCTTCCAGTATCCACCTCTAAACTTCTCCATTGCTGCTAGAGTAATTTTCCAAAAACTCAGATCTTCCTGCTATTGCTTTAGTTCAGGAGATAGAGTGATCCTCGTCCTTCCAGGCTCATCCCACTGAGGTGAAGCCCAGCCCCTTTCATCTACTCTGAGATCTTGTTCCATCCAGCAGCACAGCCCAGCTATGTAAGTGCATGGGCTTTGGAGCTAGAAAGACGGGGTTTAAATCCCAGTTCTGCCACTTACTGGCTCTGTGCTTCAGCTGTTTCCTAACCTTTAACCTTTCCATGATTCAGTTTCTTTATCTACCAAATAGGTATATTAAAATAAAATTCATTGTCCTATTACGAGAATGAAATAAAATCATTCATATAGACAGCTTAGCTTAGAGCTTGTAATGGGACAGGCATACAATAAGAGCTATTATTGTTGTTAACAACAGCCTAACACTGCTAGCCTTAGCAATCTGTGTTTTGAGATAAAACCCAAACTTCTGGGCCAAGCATGTGGGCTCACCATGATCTGAATCCTGCTTACCTTTCTGTCCTTACCTGCATCCAGGCATGTTGAATTACTTCCAGTTCTAAGGGGCTATTCCAAACCTCAGTGCCTTTGCACATTTGTCCTCCCTGAGATACTGATTTCCAAGCCTACTCATCCTTCAGGACCCTGTTGACATGTCACTTCCTTTGTGAAAACTTCCCTTATCTCCCAGTTAGCAGCTCTTCCCTGAGTTTTCCCATAGCGCTCTGGACATGCCTCCATCAGGACTTACCTGCACTCTTTTTTTTTTTTTCAGACCTGTTCTTCACTCTTACGTGCACACTCCTCAAGGGCAGAGGCCATATCTACATCAATGAATGAATGAATGCTCATCTCATAAAACATACTGTGAGCTTAGAGACTATGCTTTTTGCTGAAGGAGATGTCTGAAGGTGAGTGGATAGGCAGTCCTTGGATACACCTGTATCTCACCTGTAGGCCAGTTCCATGAACAGGGTTAGGCACACAGCATCCATTGTCCTTGCTGTTTCCCAGAAGACAACTTCTATTCCTCAGTCTTAGACTTTGAGTTTCCACACTTAGACCCTCCTTGTTGCATTGTATGTTCCCTGGGTCTCCTCCCGCCTGGATCAGGATAGGGTTCTCTTCAGCCTTTCTGGGCTCCCTCAGCACTACCTGAAGCCCACCAAGGCCCCACAGAGATATTAGAAACACTGCTCTGCACACTCTAAGCGGTGCTCTGCAGAGGTGCTATCTTTAGAAACTCAGGCTGGTGGGATCTCTTGCAAGGCATGTAGGGGAGTGACCATATGGAGGTCACTGGTCTCCACACACTGACCAAGGCTAGGCCTTCTGGGGGTGAATCTAATTGTTTCTTAGAAAATCCTCAGACTTTACTTAGACTTCCCCCGACACCTCACCTTCAGGTTCAAAAGAAAATGGAGATAAGGATTGTAACAGTGCCCAAGGAAGAGCCCTCTAGTCAACAACTTAATATGATTTCATGGTATTAAGTCCTTCTGGCCTAGCCTCCACCCTCACCCCATGTGGCTGAAGTGTCCTTTCCCATTAACTAGGTACATCATGAAATAATTTAATTAAATGTGAATCTTTCTTTGTAAAATGTTGTGCAGAGGAAATCTGCTTCCAGTGTTCCCAGCACTGTGGTTCCAGGCACCCGGACCAAACAATTTTAAAGTGTTAGGTAAAATTTTAAAATGACAAAATAAAAATAAAAATAAAAAAAGCAGCTTTTTCCAAGTTAGTGTTAAGGATTGAATTATAATATGTCCCCCTGAATTCACATGTTGAATCCCCAATGTGAATATATTTGAAGATGGGGCTTTTAGGGAAGTAATTAAGGTTAAATAAGGTCATAGGGATGGGGCTGTAATCCGATGGTAGTGGTGTCCTTATGGGAAGGGGAGGAGGCATCAAAGAGCACTCTCTTCGTGTGTGCACAGAGGAAAAGCCATGAGAGGACACAGTGAGAAGGTGGCCATTTACGAGCCAGGATGAGAGCCCTCATCAGAAACCGAATTTAGTTGCACTTTGATCATGGACTTCTAGCCTCCAGAATGGTGAGAAAATAAATGTCTGTTGTCTAAGCTATCTAGTGGGCAGTATTTTGTTACAGTAGCCTGAGTAGACTACATTAGTGTAATAAGGAATACTCAACACAGTGAATGGAGGAATCTAAAATGTGATTCAGAACATGAAGACGGCTTTGGTCTTGAGTACCTTTTAAAAATTCGGTCAATATAGCTTCACTTTTCAGCAACTCATAGAAAAGAGGGAACAGGAGACAAAATTCAGGGCCCAGCACAATGGTGACTGTAATACGATACTTCTGAAAGAGTTGGGTTAGTTAAATCTGCACCCATAGTGTGAAGGTGAATTAGAAATGAGCCTATCTCCTTCTCACCTGTCACTACCACCCTCTGGGAGGATCTGGAGGCTGACTGTTTATCTTAGACCTTGACACTGAGTAGACAAGAAAAATGTTTCCACTGAGAATTCACAACAGTAAGTCAGTTTTCACATGGGTTTGCAGCCTTCATATTACTTGGGTGGTTTGAAACCTCCATACTGAGAATTTTGTGTGAAGAGGTTTCTGGCTGGTAATGCCCCCAGCACTAGGCAGAAGCAGATGCAAACCCTCTCTGGAAGAACCCACCATCCACCCAGGTCTCAAAGAATTACCAGAGAGAAAATTTACCCTTCTAACCACATAATCAAACAATATAAAACAAAGAAGGAAACATGGTTCTGAGTGCAAGAGGTGAGAAAAAACAGAATCAAATTTGCAAAAACTTCAGATATTGACACTAACAGACACAAAATATAAAATAAGTATGTTTAATTATGGAAAGAATTCAAGAATGATCTAAACATAAGAGTATGGAGCAAGAGTTTATAAAATATGACAATATGACTAAGAACGTTTGAAAAAGAATCAAATAGGGCTTCATAAAGTGCAGACTACATTTGAAATTAAAATAAATCTTCAGTGAATGGATTTAACAGAGGCTGGACACAGCTGAACAGAGAATTAGTGAACAGAATGAAAGAGAGAAAGTATGAGAGAGGTTAAGAAATACTGATGATGGAGTGAGAAAGATGAACATATCTTGTCAGTCTTCTAGAAGAAGAAAAAAGAAGCATTTGAAAAGATAATGGGTAAACATTTTCCCAAGCTGATGAAAGATACAATCCATAGATTCAAGAAACTTAATTAAACAGGATGAATACAAAAAATATTCACACCTAGACACATAAGGGTGAAACTACATAACATTAAAGAACAAGAAAAGACAGTAAGAGCAGCCAGAAGGATGCTATACAAAGCAATGACAATAAACTGACAGCAACAGTGAAACCCAGAAGACACCAGAACAATATTTCCATGTGCAGAGAGAATGGAACTATCAACTGATAATCAAATGTCCAGTGAATACTAGCGTTCTTTCAAGAACAAGGGTAAGCAGACATTTTAAGACAAAGAAAAAATTACACATTAGGTTCTATGCTTACAGACTGGGTGACAGGATCCGTACCCCAACCTCAGCATCATGCAATATACCCATGTAACAAACCTGCACATGTACCCCCGAATCTAAAATAAAAATTGAAATTATTTTTTAAAAAGACAAACAAGAACTAATAGAGTTTATCATTGACAAGAAAATAAATTTTAAAGCATGTATTTGCACTGAAAGATATTCCAAAGAGAAGGACTGATATACAAGAAGGAGTGGTAAACAAATAAGTGGTCAATATATGAGTAAACCTAAGTGGACAGTGGCTTTATCAAACAATAACAATAATAACTTGAGAAAAAATTAAGGTAACATAATATACACACACCATAGAGTATGAATTGGAAGGAATGATTAAAGTCATAGTGTCCTAAGATCCTTGGCTTTTCAGGAAGAACACAAAATTATTGTTTAATGCTAGGCTTTATTAAGTAGGCATATTGCTATTTCTAGAGTATTTTAGGACAAATTTCAAAGAATAGAAATGATTGTATAATTCACAAGGTCTAAATTCTTTAGTTAAAAGACAAATGGTCAGAGGGGATTTTTGAAAATCCAGCTATACACAAAACACATATAAAGCACAAGGAAGTCGAAAAGTTAACAGTAAGAGAATAGAAAATATTTATTAGACAAAGACCAAGAGAAAACTGATGCAATGGATGGAGGGAAAAAGCCTTTAAGGTTAAAAACATTACTACAGATAAAGAGAGTTACTACATAATTATTTTTGAAACAGTTCAATTTACCAGGAAGATATATAATTCTGAGTTTTAACTTTGATGCTCTAATAACACAGTCTCAAAATACATGAAGCAAAAATTGACAGAACTTTAAAGAATAATAGGCAAATCCACCATCATAATGGAAGATTTTAATATTCCTCCCTCTGCCGTTGATTGATGAAGAAGACAAGAAAAATCAATGAAGATATAAAAGAGACAAACACAATTAACAAGCTTGATGTAATGGACATATTAGAAAACAAAAACTGCAAAATGCAGGGTTTTTTTCAAGCCTACACAGAATCTATGTGAAAAATGACCATTTCTGGTCCTAAAAGCACAAATTTCAAATGATTCAAATACAGATCAATGTTCCCTGACCACAAGATTTAGAAACAGTAGGAAAGAGAGAGTTACAAAAATCCTTTGAAAATTAAAAAATACTTCTAAATAGCTCATGCTTAAAAGATGAAACAATAATGTAAATTAAAAAATATTCAGAACTAAACTATAACAGAAAATAAATAACTGTAAAAATCTGTAGGAATGTAGCCAAAGTAGTCCTCAGAGGGAAATTTGTAGCCTTTGATGCTTAAATCAGATTGAAAAATAATGAACAAAGCATCAAAATTAAGATGCTAGAAAAAGAACAACAGAATAAACTCAAGTGCATTAGAAGGAAGAAAGTAATAAAGATGAGAGCAGAAACTGACAAATTAGCAAATAAATATATTAAAAGGAATAGTAAGAAAACAAAAATTCATTTTCTGGAAAGACTAACAAATGTTAAACCACTGCCAATACCAATTAAAAAATGATACATATTAGAAATGAAAAAGGGAATTGAAACACAACAATGGCAGGTATCATAACTATAATAAGAGATAGTATGTATAACTTTATATCCAATAAATTTTAATATTTACTAAAATGGAGTCAAGAAAAAAAAAACAGATGACCAAAATAATTCTCTAGCCATTACATGTATTAAGTCTATAGTCTAAAATCTTCAAACAAAGGAGACACCAGACCACGATAGTTTTGCTGAAAAATTCTACCAAACTTTCAAGGCAAAAGTTATGCCAATCTTCCACTAATAACCCCAAAGGATAGAAAGAGAGGAAATACTCTTCAAATCATTTTCTGAGGCTAGCAATATATTGACACAAAAATTGGCAAAGGCAATATGAAAAAACAAATAACAGGCCAAGCTCACTAACAAAATAGAAACAAATTACTAAACAATATATAGGCATGTATAAAAATGACAATACTAAATGATCAAGTTATGTTAATCTTAAGAATGCAAGGTTGGTTTGACATGAGAAAAGGCAATATTTGCTATACTAAGAGAATAAAGGAGAAAAATTATATGATTGTATCAATAGATATAGGAAGATGCTTCATAAAATTCAATAACCATTCTTGATAAAAGCTCTTAGCAAACTACGATTAGGAAGTAAATTCCCTAATTCTATTATAAAAGGAGTATCTACAAATGAAAAATAAGCTTCAGCAAACATCATACTTGATGATGTTTGATGGTGAAGAAATAAAAACATTCTATTAAATATCAAACAACGACCATAGGGGTCACCATCATAATAATGATTTGATGTTATACTGGGAGGTTCCAACCAGAACTCTGAGGCAAGAAAATAAAAAAGAAAAGGTATAAGAAATGGAAAGTAGAAACAACACCATCATTTTTTTGCAGATGATGACTATCCATGTAGAAAAGCCCAAAGAATTCAGATACATTTTTACAAGATAGTTGCTAATATAAAAATCAAAGTACAAAATCAATTGCATTTCTAAACACCAGCAAGAAACAAGTAGAATGTGCAATTTTAAAAGATTTGATTTATAATAGCAACGATAAATATAAGATATTTAGGAGTAAATATATTAAGAAATACATAAGATCTGTAATGGAAAAAATTATACAAGTTTATTGCAAGCCATTAAAGAAACCCTAAACAAATAGAGAGATATACCATACTCATGAACTGGAAGACTCAGTATCAAAAAGATATCAGTTCTTCTCCAATTAATCTGTAGTTTTGATAAAATTAAAATAAAGATTCCAACAGGTTATTTTGTGGATCTTGGCAACATACTTGTAAAATTTATAAGAGAGAACAAAGGGCACAGGAGAAAAAAACTCAACAGGAAATAAACATGAAAAAATGTATGTAGAAGTACAAACTACATACAATAACTTAGATAAATCTTAGGAACACAATTTTGAGTGAGGTTGATTAAGAATACATACATGATTACATTTATATGAAGTTCAAACGTTAGCATACTAAGCAATGTATTTTTAGGGATACACACTTAAGTGCTAAGTATAAAGAAAAACAAAGGAATAATAAACACACAATTGAGGTAATGGTTACCTCTGAGGGTGTAGGGAATGAAACAGGATTGGTGAGGAACCTGCATCACTAAGGTAACGATTTTCTTTTCCCCTTAAGCTGAACGATGGCTGCACAGGTGTTTGTTGTATTGGTGTTCTTTATATTTTGCTTATATTTTATAATCTGCTTTTTATCCACTCGATATTAATAAAAAAAAAAGTAAAAGAACTGTCTGCAGAGAATCTACCATCAGTAAGTTCTGGGTTTGAAAAACCTTGTAGGCCAACTGTCCCCAACCTAGCCCTGCCCACAGAACACCACCCCGCTCCCCAAGAGGCTTACCTTGGAGGGGTTGAGTGCTGTGATGATCCACACACAGTGTGCATTGTTGTCATACTGAATGGGGAAATTGGGGGAGGTGATGATGCCCGAGGGGCCTCGAAGGTGGGCATCACACATGCGGGCTGCAGAGGAGATGAAAGACAAGCCTTTGAATTAAGACTAGGTCCAGTTCCCCTTCTTGCCTCCCACTCCCCACCCAGAAGACACTGCATCTGTACAGTTCCCACCCTGGACATAACCTTCTGCTTCCTGGGTCCTTCCTCTACAGTTCTTGGGAGGCTTGAAGGGAAGCCGCAGTGCCTGGAGCACTGTGACTGCTGTTCTGTAGGCAATGATGAACTTCTAAGGCAGGCTAAGCGACCCCTCTGCATGCCCCACTTACCCCCACACCCCGACTCCACTATGATCATGCAATTCCTCTTTGTCAAGAGGGTGTGGGCTAGAACCTGTCAGGTTGACATAAAGCTAGGTGGATCGCAGGCACCTATGGACACCTAAGCAGCCCACGCCTTACTCTGCTGACCTGTCTGTTTCCCAATTTGCACTCCAATTCTCCAAACCAGCTGAGTGCTGCTGTGGACCTAATGCTGCTTAACTAGGAGTCTGACCTCATTCCAGGTTCTGCCTGCCCCTCAGTTCCTTCCTCCGTGACCCCCTTGGTCCTCCTGAAGAGGAATTTCAGGATATCCTTGTCAAGGCCACTCCATTAGGTCTCAGAATGTCTATGCCCAAGAGCTCTGCCAAGGCCCCTGACTCAGCTCAGTGCCAGGCCCCCAGAGTGATTTCACTGCTTCCCAAATCCGTCTCCACACTCAGCTTATCCCTGAAACTGGCTTTTGACTGGAAGCATAAAGATTCAAGGTGAATTAGAAGTGTTCTACTCAAGTAGATATAAAGTGTTATCAATCACAGCTTAATCTAATTAAGCTCTTTAAAATAGCTTCTAAACTAATTAGATTAAGTAGTGATTTATAACAGTTAAGGTACTACGTTGTACCTAGGTATTTGCTTTCTTTAAAAATGTGTGCTTAGTTCTAGCCACTTCATTCTTTAACGTTAGTGTTCAGCTATTTTAATAAAAGGTTCTAAGAGCCTGTTCTCATGCTGCCCACATGGCAATTTATCCTAATTGTAGGCAAAGTGCCTAACAGTAAAGAAATAGTGAGCAAACTCAACAAGCTTAACTATATAAAATGAAAGTGGTGTCAAACCTAGTTTCCTCTGATGGGGCCAAATATCCTAGAGCTCCTTGCCATGTGTGGAAAGGGCCATGATAAACCTTTCCCAGGACACCCTTCCTAGGAGGGTCTGGGAAGCAGGTTCTGCAGCTCCTAGACATAATGAATCTCTTCTCATTTCATGCACTCATTCCTGCGCTTAGCTCATTCATTCCAACATTTATTGAGTGCCTACTATGGGCCAGGAAAAGTGTGGGGAGAAAAAAGTGTCTGACATAGCCCCTCCTCTCTGAAGGGCCACAGCAAGTGGAGGGAGCAGGTGGAAAAACATTCACCATCAAGCAGAGCAGGTGTTGTCAGAGGGTTATTTGCAAGGGGCTTTTGGGACAGGTCTGTTACCTCCTTTTTGTTAGCTCATCACCTCCTGGGAGGAGATTTCTTCTCACTGTAGTCCTGCACTGGAAGGATCTCCTCCTCCCTCATCCTGAGCTCAAGAATCTGTTCAATCAAGTTTGAACAAGTCCTGGGGGAACCCCCACTCCATTCCCCCATGTATATCTGATTGCTCCTTTCATTCTGTACTGAGAAACACTTAGATTCCTAGATTGCACTTGATACAACTGGGCCCTATGGCAATGTGGCATGGTTAAAGCGAGGTCAGGTTTTAAAATTTATGAACTTAGCCTTCTGGATCTAAATCCATTTGCTGGTCGCTTAAGTCTGGATGAGTTAGAAAATCTGATTTTGTTTCTTCATCTGTAAAATGGGACAAATGATACCACCTCATTGAGATATGGTGAGGATGAAATTATATGAGATGATGGATGTGAAGGTTCAGCCCAGGGCCTGGGATGTGGTCAATATTCAACCTTTGGGACAAGAGATAATCAGACTCCCAATGCCATGTCTATTCTGTTTCTCTATGCCCAGGATTTCTCTCAAGGCTAAGGATCCTTTTTCTGCCTTTCCTGAAGTTTCTGGACATAGGTTTTTTTCCCCCACAAGTACACTCGAGACTGGCAACATTACTAAACAAATTAAAATAAGACAATCAAAGCCCTGATTCCGTCCCACCTTTGCAAAGAGGACCTGTGGACTCAGAACTCTAGCCCTGCAGAGAATCCTTACAAAGCTCCACCAGCACCATCTTACACCTCTTCCGGAAAGTCAGATTTTGCTGCCCAAAGCCCTCAGCTTCAGAATCAATTTATCTTGTACTTGTTTCCAAGAATTAGATGGTATATTTGCAGTCTGTTGAAACATGCTGAAGGTAATGAGAGAGAACAGGCCAAAAAGGCAGTTACCACTTTAAGGGCTTAGAGGGGTTTAATTAAAATATTACAGTCTGCAGATAGCATAGAGCACCTTAAACTAGGTTCAAAATGAAGCATTAGCTACTTTTTTCCTCTGCTATCTGAGCAAAGTCAGGGGTTCTGTGGACAGACAGACAGACATCACCCTGAGCAGCCAGCTCCATGGGATCCCATCAACAGATAGAAAGTTCATCACAGTGACCCAGATGGGCTGGCAGAATGGTAGGTGCTCAATATCTCACTAAATGAATGAACATATCATTTTGTTTCTCTATTTGCCTTTTTCCCTGAAATGCTCTTCTGGATCGCTTTCAGGAGAGACTTCCCTGAGATCTTCCATGCCTGAGCTCTGCAGCTACTCCCATTTTTCCTCTGGACATTATCATATAATGGGAACAGTATCCCAGGGGACCATAGGGAGCTACCACCTGGACCCACAGCCAGTTCTGACACTGAAACAACTTGGTGCCAAAGAAGAGAACTGCTCCGGGTGCAAGTGCCTCTGGTCTCATATCTTCTCTCCAAATCTGATTCCCATCCTGTTCCATGCTGCCTTCCCTTGCTTCTCCTATTGGCCTCCCTCCCAACCCTTTCCACAGTCCTCTGGAACCACCTCCCACTACCAGTTCTAAGGAAAACAAATCCTACTTGTAGCTGCAACATCTTTCGGAACCTCCTACTCCCACTACTGTCCTGACTGAAGCCCATCTTCCCCTCCTATGCCACTGCCTCCTATGCAGCCCTCTGTAGTCAAGATCTTGCTCCCACCCTCAAGTATTTCTTTCACAGTTGTTTTCTGAACCTCCAGTAGAGTTCATCTTTCCCCACTGAGACCTCCACTCTGTTGACAGCAATATCTCCTCTCTACCCATCAGCTCCTTCGGTCTTGTCTTCTGTCCTTATGCAAATTTGATCACATGGGCCACCATTAGGCTCATTTTCTTGCTTGTTCCAAGTCCCTTTCTTCTTCCTCCTTTCATCAGTTGCCTAGAAGACATCAGTTTGGAATGAATCTCTCTACCTGCCTTCTCCATACCTGCCACCATACAGTTGAGCTTTGCTGTGAAAAAAATCACTAGTAGGAAGATGAATGTCTATTATAAACTCCTGATTACTCATCTCAAAAAAATCCTAGCTATTGCCCAGTGACCCTACCATTTATCTCTATTAGCTCACTCTCTCATTCTGCTCAAAGACTTTTTCACATGTTCTAGACATTCCTTGAACATCTTCCTCTTCCTCTTATCTCCCCTTACTCTTAGCCGATGACTTTGGCTTTCTCTTTGGAGGGAACAGAAGCCATATAGCAGGCGGGTCCTTTGTCCCACTCTCTAAGAATGCAATTCTATCTGCACGTGTACTCAATTCCTTTTTCCCTCCTGTTTCAATGGAGAGATGTCCCTTGTTTTGGAGGGCATTGCCCTCTTATGAGATCTGACACCCTGCTCTTCCTCCAACTCATGATCAACCATGTTTATAGCCACACCCAGGGCCTTGCTATCCTGGGAGCCAGGAAAGTCCAACTCACAGATTTTAAACCCAGTCATTCCATTCCTTCCCCCACTGCCTGTGTTCCCAGCAGAATGACTTGGGTCTCAATGCACCATTGTCCTACATCATAGGCCCCTCTAGCCTTCTGGCTCCCACATTTCATCCCATCTATTGATCCTCGCCTGACCCCTCTTCCCTCACTATCCAGTCTGGACCTCAAGACCACTCACCAATACCTACATCTTCCTCATCGCTCTCATATCTGCTTGGTGAAATGCCTGCTTTCCATCAATTCTACCACTCACCTTTTCCATCTCTAATCCTGGGGGCTGGGGGGCTACCAGGAGAACTGTGGTATCACGACAGATTCATGGTTTGCCATCACAATAGAAACTTCAGCCCAAGTCTATCATTTCCCATGTCTTCCTTCACCAATTCCTTGCAGAAACAAGTTCAAATATTCAACACTTGGTTGAGTCACTAACCCCAATGTTTACTTTTCAGTTGTGATTATACTTGACCTCTCTAGAGTATCTGACACTACTGATCTTTCTCTCTTTGTGAAACTCACATTCTTTGGCTTCAGTGACGCTTTTTGGCTTTTCTCCTACGTTTCTGACCGAATTTCTTCTTAGCTTTCTTCTTCTCCACTAACTTTTTAAAAGCAGTTGTTTAAATCTAGGAAAGGGTACATGGGAGCTTTTTGCACATTAATTGCAACTTTTCTGCAAGTTTAAAATCATATCAAAATTAAAAGTTACCCAAAAAAAGTGGGGAGTGGAGGGGGAGTTGCTCTGCATGGTTCCATCCAATCTATTGACTCCGAAGGATGTCCAGGTACAATTTTCAAGTAGAAGTAGGATTCAGCCTTTGGAGTCAGGGTTTGAAATTCAACTCAACAGATGTAGCTTTGTGCCCTTGGGCAAGTTGGCTGCCCACTCTAAGCTTCAGCTAAACATAAAATATGGTTATTGCCACTTTACTCATAAAGAAATTATGAAAAATGCCTAGTGCAATGCTATATACAAGTATACATAATTTAATAAATAAGAGCTTTATCATTAGCACATATAGGTAAGGGACTGAGGGACATTCTCAGGGCTGGAGCAATGGGGCATGTACTCTAGTACAATCAGTATGTGTCATCCAGGGAAAATAAGTGGAGAGGAGAAGAGAGGAAAGAAGAGAAGAGATCTGAAAATAGAACTCTGGATAACAATTATGTTTAAGGAGTAAAACCAGAAAGCTGATCTAATGAAATCCACCAAGAAGACAGCCACCTGTAATTATCATGGCATTTAATTCACCCTGGTTTGTGCCATATTTCTCCTGTTTTACTGCCCTTTTACAGATGAGGAAAAAGATCCATAGTGTTTCAGTGATTTTCCCTGTGCCACATGGTTAATAACAAAGTCGGAACTTTAACTTAGGTCTCTAAGTCCCAAGCTTGGTATTCTAGCCACCCAAAGGCATATACATATATATGAGTTTAGCCACAAAGGAAAAATAATATATATAAGTTCCTGTTAATTATTTACTTTGTGAATCAGTAACTGTAAGAGTTTCATCTGGGCCTGGTACTCAGTCCCTAAACTCTATCAACACCAATTTGTGATCACAAGAAATCAGAGCTGGTTGTTAATTTGGTCCTCTCACTATACCAGTGGTTTACAGTGTTCCCTGGGGCCCCAGGGGTACCAGGACTCAAAGGCTACTGAAAATGGTGATGGAGGGGAGACTAGAAATCCCCTGACCCAACTTTAATCAGAGATGCTCCACTTGTATCTGTTTTATTTATTAGGGTTCTGCAAAAACTTATTTTTGAATATTGGGCTCCATATGTAAAATAAGTCTGAAAAGCTCTATATCTATGGACTCTGCCTGTATCTGGGGCTGAACAGAATTAGTTTAACAGTGTTTCACATTGCCCTCAATCTCCTTTGTGTGATGAAAATTTTCTAGGAGTCAAATTAGAAGCTTATTTCTTCTGATGGGAGGGAAAGAAAAGAAAGGCCTGTGAACGCCTAATTTCATATCTCAAAATGAGGGCACAGTCCCATATTGTTCATTCATTTCAATCACTGATTCATTCAGGTGGTCCTCAAACATTAGCTGAGAACCTATTATTTGCCAGGCCCCATGTTTTAGTAGAATTAATTGTGTGGGAAAATGAGTATTTCTAATCAAATCATATTTTAACTGCATTAAAGAAAAAATAATACCATTATTATGGTAAAATCCTTTTTAGAATGTGATCTTTTGGTAACCTGCTTGTTAGTGGAACTTCTTGGAATGGAAAGAGTTTTGTTCGTTTTCATTCTTAAGGTGGGGTTCACCTAAACTGTCCTAAAAATCACAGAATAGTGATTGCGATTAATTGAAAACAAAATATTTTAAAATAAAAACCTTAAAATTGCCAAAATAAAAAGACGCTTTACTCTAATATCTATCTCAGCCCTGGGCCTTCAGGGAAGCCCAGGACATATCATCCAAGTTCAAACCCAGGAGACTTAGCAGTCTCTCTTTCTCCTTCACAATGGCCTATAGGAGGGGAGAAAAAAGAGAGAAGAAGGCAGGAATATTAACCTGTGTTGAGAATGTACCCTCCACCACCGTCAGGGCTGGTCACTTTCTAGAAAATGCCTTGTTTAAATTTCATAATCAGTAGGCGGGGAAGATTTTGTTTTCCTTGTTCACAAATGAAGGCCTGTGGCTAAAAAAGATGAAGGAACCCGCCCAGGGCCAGCAAGCTAAAAGGTGTCAGAGTTGTGATCTAGATCAAAGTCCATGTGACTCCCAAACTGTATGATTGCAATAGGATTAGACAAGACAGCTTCTAAAAGAACCTGCAGCAACTAGAGGCTGAGGTTTGCTCCAGGGCTTGAGGAAGCTTATGTGGACAGTGCCCAGCAGGTTAAGCTGAATATGTGTGCACGTAAGTCTCACAGACGTACTGGCATCACTTCTAAACAAGGACTGCCTCATCTAGTCCTCAAAGTAACCCCACGAAGTAATGTTCTATTATCACCACTTTTTGGCAGGAAAAAAGAGATTCAGAGAGGTGAAGAAACTGGCCCAAGGGCCCCAGCTAAAAATGATGATGGTTGGATTTGTACCATGATTTCCTGTTGTTTTACAGTAGCAGGTGATGGAATGAGATGACCACGTGAAAAAGCCCAGCCCAATGCTTAGTTACAATGCAGCAGAGAACTCAGACTTCAGTGGGTCCAAATCACTGGAGAAAAGGATGAACACACTTTTTCAGCTACAAACTTCCCTCAGGTCAAAACCAGCCCTTCTCCACCCTTGGCATGTTCATGTAAACAATCATCATCTCTTGAGAACTAAGAGAACAACCTTCCTCTAGTGAAAAGGTCTTGAGGAGGGACCAGATCCCACCACTGCAAAAGGCATTGTCATCCTGGCTTCTCAAAAGGAATTCTGAAACGACAGATGGGCAGGGTCCCTTGGTCCTCAGACTTGATAATTCTATGCCTCTCTGCACAGCTGGTGTCTGGGCTCCCTGGCATTGGAGTGGTATGCTATTCAATGAGTCATTCATTCCGTCATCCATTCAACACCTGTTACTGAGTACCTGCTACATGCCACGCCCCATTTTAGGCAGTGAACAAAACAGAAGTCCTTGCCCTATAGAGCTCATGTTCTACTGGCATGAGGATATTTTTTTTCTTCTAGCACTTTTCAATTCATAAACTGCTTACACATTCACAACTCCATTCAATCTCCACATTAAACAGAAGAAGGGTAGGATACATACTATTAGCAACATTTGGAGGTAAGAAAGGCTTAGGGAAAATGGGTGATTTGCCCAATTGCTGAGAGTTATGACAAGAATTCTTTTTTGTTGTTTGATTTTTTAAAAACATAGTAGCTATGTAGAATCCTTGAGATAATATAGCTAAAATCAGTGAAAATGCAAAGAACATTATAAACTGTAGAACATGGCCACCTCAAAGTTGAATGAGGATGTAAGGCTTATTTGAAAGATGTTATAGTGACACTCTTCTAGATTACTTATGGACTCAGTTAAAAAACAGGATATGGGTTTCAGCTCCAACTCTGCCCCTTTCTCAGTATAATAATGAGATATTATTTTTCCTGGATCCTCTTACTCTGCATGAATTTTATCTTGATGCATATGCCAAAGAGAGGCAAAGAATCTCTTTCTTAGATCAGAAGGATCCAGCATGTAACTTTGCAGTGGGCAACATATCTTCTCCTCTAAAGGGGCACTCAAAAGAGCACCTGTTGGCTTTTAAAGACTACCTAACAGCCTAGTGCACAGGGGCTCTCTCTGCTGGTTCCCTGGGGGATGAGGTCAGGGGCTTCTCTACCACAGAAGCAGCTGTAGCCCTGCCCCAAAGCAGGAATACACTTGGCTCTGTTATTTTAAGATTATTTGGGGGGTAGGGGCTAGGCCAGCCCAGGCTTGGCTCATGTGACACCTGGGGATGTGGTGGCAGGGCCCTGGGGAACAAAACACCCAGATAGGGGGTTAGAAGCATGTCATCACTACATAGGTAAAAACACTCTTGCAGAAGTGACAAGTCTGTCTGTTGCAATATGGGGAAAGAAACAGGGTTCAAGATGCATGTGTGTTGTAACAGAGGGATTCAAGGTGACTGTATAAAAGGTGACTTCCTTTCCTATCTAGGTGTGGTTCAGTATCCATTCAATGAGGTAGCAAGCTGTTTCTTACGTGCCTCACCCATTAGACTGTAAGGTCCATGCAGGGCAAGCACCATAATGCTTATCTTCCCCATCTCTGTATCTCCTGATCCTAGCGCAGGCCTTGATACTGAGAAAGGGCTGGATAAGTATGCTTATTGGTAAATAAGTGCAGGGAGTGAGGGGGGAGGGGAGCCAGTCTGCTTGAGAGCCTGGGCCTCAGGTGCTGGGAGCTGGGCTTCAGCCTCCAGGCTCAGCCCAACTCTCTGGCCAGCCTCCCTTCCCCAGGGCACCCTCACCTCGGCAGACTGGCCTGTGGTCGCTCCAGGCCGCAAACATGTCGCTCACTTTCATACAGGTGATCCGCTTGGACCCTTGCAGGTCATAGCCCTCGTTGCAGGTGAACTGGACGCTGGATCCTAACCTGGGAGACAAAGTGTGTCTGTGAGCTCCATCCCTGGGCCTGCCAAGCCCCGCCCCAAGTCCTTCCTGGTTCCACAAAGAAGCCGCACATGTTATTTTTCCTTCTGGCCCTTAATCTCTGCTCCACTGTTTTATCACTAAAAATCTCCATTGGAAGGAACATCTGCTCTTCATCTTCTTTTTTCGGACTGTTTAATGGTTTTAGGATTGAGTTAAAAGGTGACTTTGTGAGCAAAACAGCGATCCTCTGAGATAAGCACCAGTTAGGGCAGCTAAGCGTGGGTGGATGATACCCATAAACTTTAAGGAAAATGGTCTCCTAGATTATTGCAGGCGCGAGTTGCCTTCTGGCGTGTCATTACTGAGATGGCAGCCCTTTGTACCCTGGGTACATAGGTTTTCTGGATAACACTGGCAGTCTACAGTTCTCTCCCCCCACTAAAGCATGGGCACTATGCCAAGGACTGAACCAGGAGAGAATGTCAAAGCCATAGCTCTTCTCCAGGAAGTGTCTGTTCCTATATCCATGCCATCCTCTCCATTTCCACCTGCAGGAAGGCCAGCCCCTGTCTTCCTCCCAGCCAGGCCACCCCACCCTTCTTGCAATCAGAAAATTCCCAAATAGATCTTACCTGAAATCCGAGCCTAGTCTTTTGCCCCTTTCGGGTATGCCAGGGTCTGGACACATATTATGTCCTTGGGACACACCAACCTGAGTTACTACAAGGCAAAAAAAAAAAAAAAAAAAAAAACAGCACACACAGAGATGGACAGTCACAGGGAGGCACCAGCTGGGGCAATGTCTCAGGGTGGGAGGTGGAGGCAGAGACAGAATGAGGCCCTGCTTTGTTGGGGCTGTGTGGGGTGGCCGGAGTCTACTGGCCTGGGGTTTCTTGGATGTGCAAGATAGGAGGCTGCTTTTGACAAATTCCTTTGTGAGCAAAGTCATCACGAGTGTGTGGGCTCAGAGACAGGCCCTCCATGCCAACCACCACCTGCTTCCCTCGTCCCACACCAGCAGCCAGAAGTGGACCATCCACAGCCCCTGGTGACCTCCCCCCACCACGCCTATGCTTCAGATCTGGGGTGGAGACTCTAGATGAAATGAGCCCCCCACCTCAGCCCCAGATGGAGAAATGACTCAAAGAAAGTTAAATAAAAGGTGGGTGCATGATCAGAAACGGTAAAGAATGTAAGAGAAAGCTGCAGTCAAAGTTCAAAGCTGGGACTTCAGCTCAAACACAGACATTTCTTCTGAGAAACCTCTTCCCATCAGATACTTCTCGAGCCAGAGTAAGCAGTCACCAGAGCATCCCCTACCCAGTGCCACCCATCAAGGGCACCGGGCAGAGATGGCACCTGTGATGGTTCTGGTAGGTGGTGCAATGCTCTGACACTTGCCAGCGCCAGAGTCCTATTTACAAAAACCATATGCACAGTTGTCTTGGCTAGAGGAGAAGCTTGGTCAGGGGGCAGCGGATACACACACAGTAGGGAGGGTAGGCAACCCTTTGGCCCCTGCCTGTTCCTTTTCGTCGGGATGCTGGTACTGAGGAGGCTGGATTCCTGGCTTTGAGGATGACCAGGAGCTGGAGCCAGGCACACAGCCTGGTCGGAGGAGTTCCACTCAAAGCCTCACCAATCCCATGACCCCAACAGCAACCTCTAGACAAGGGTTCCAGGGCATCTGGACAGCATTCGGCATTTTCCAACTTTGCGCATGTCCCTCCCATCCCATTCAATGTCCCATAAGGTGAACAAAGCACTCCATTACTCACTCACCCACTTGCTCACATAGGTACACAACAAGCATTCATTGAGCACCTACTGTGTACAAGGCTTTATTTGGATACCATGGAAATGCGAAAGGTAGTCAGATAAGACCACTGTCCTCAAGGAGTTTCCAGTTGAGTGAGGACATAAACCACGGAAGCGGACTGTGGGACCACAGTGGGGAGGGATGAAGGATGCACCCGCATGTGAGGCTGCCTGGAAGAGGTGGCATCGAACATGGACCTTCTGAGCTAATAGGATTTAGACACACGGCAACAGAGATGACAAAGATAGACAGGCACGAGGAGTGAGGTGGAAACCTGGAAAGAGAATGCGTGTTATGCAGTGTGACCAGAGTAGGAGGGAAGGTGAAGAGTGACAAGGAAGAGTGGATGGTGAGGTTTCAGAGATCAGACTTTTACGGGGTTTGAGTCTGATCCTGAAAATGATGGGGAGCCGCTGGAGAGTTCTGGTGGGGAGAAGGCGTGGTGAGACCCGCTGGCTCAAAGGTGGGCCAGTTACCTAGAGATGAGTTAGGAAATTTTGTGATTATTCAGGCTGAGGACAACAAGAGCCTGGAGTGAGGCTAGACATGAGACAGCAGGAATGGATGTGGCAAAGAAAGAATCCCTGGGACTCACAGGGGACCTAGGGCATGAGGAGAAGGAGCAGGGCATTTCCAGGATTTCCAGGGCCTGGGTACCTGTGAGGATGCAGGTGGTTTCATAGAAGTAAGGAAGGTGGGGAGCTCGTTTTAGACTCACTGAGGGAGTCTACAGTTAGAGGCCTGAAGTAGACCGTGTTTAAACCTCCAGGTAGCCCAGGCTATGGCTGGCCATGGAACCTGAGGATTTGGACAGACTGTGTGCTCAAGCCAGACACAGGTATCCTCTTGGTTGTGTGCAGTGCACGTTCAAGCCAGTTACCCCTACCCCTACTTGTCTCTTACGCCCATCCCCTTCCTTGCCAAGCCTTTACCTCCAAAGCTTTCACATCCTGAGCCGTTCCCACCAGTCCAGACACCTCAGGCTGGGAAAGTAAGATGGAAGTGCCATTCCCGAAGCAGAGGAAGCTCCTGCTTCCTGGAAGCCTCAGTTTTTTGCAAGTAATGGAACGGAGATAACTAGGGGGTCCTCTAAGGCACCCAGAAGGTGGGAAGGAGGAGGAAGCCTGAGCTGTATTTGCTGCCTTATCTGTGGTAAGCCAGGTCCCCCTAGAGCTTCACAGTGATCCGTCCCTACTGCAGACTTCCCAGCTAAGCACCCACCTTCTTTAGATTCTGTCTAGTCAACCCTGTGACCCACGAGTCATACCCATCCCAAAGTCTCTGCTGACCATTTCATGGGAACCACACAGCCCCCTTGCAGCACGTGAAGAACATATGGCGGTTCCCTTTCCCCTTCTCTTGCCCTCTCATTCAGTATTGACATCACCCAGGAAGCAGAACGAACAGAAGTCTGCCCCATCAGGACGGGGCTGGACTCAAGAGGCGAGACCATGGCAAAGCCCACCCGCCAAGCCACAAGCCCCTGACAGACAGAGCAGACCCTACCGCCTCCCCTTTCCTCAGCCAGCCCCAGGTGAAACCCAGGCACCATCCAGAAAGTCACAAACCCAACGGTGACGCGGCTTATACCCAGCCAGTGCCCCCTTCCAGGGAGGACTGAGCAGGGGATGGTGGTCCCACGAGGATCTTCAAGCTTCCCCAGGAAACAAGCAAACTTAAATCTCAGCGATCAGTTTACTGTCTGAATTATGGAGGCAAGAAGTGTTTCTCCCTTTCTTTTTTTTTTTTTTAATTCCAGTCTTCTCTGCCTACTCAAAACCAGCTGCTTGTGTTTACAGCATTGCTTTCCTGTTGGCTACTGAGGGACAGGAATGGGGAGTAATCCTTACTCTACTCTGGGAGGGCCACTATGGCAAGGGAGAAGCCGCAATGTGCTCAGGAAGGCACCACCTTCTACCCAACGCAGGGAGTCACAGGTGGGTGGGTGGTCAGAACTGATGGCAAGGTAGAGAGTTGGGTCCACTCTCCCCATGAACTTCAGGGCAGCTGTCCACAGGGAATTTGGGCAGAACACAGGAGGCCAGCCACCTGAAGACATGTGGCTACCTGGGTCTGAGGCAGCTGGAGTCACACACCCATTCTTTCTGAGGAACTCTTAGAATGGAGGCTAATATCTTCTCAATAGAGATATATATATTTATTTTGCAAAGAGCATTTGCATTCTTTCATTAGAACAGGGTTTCTCTTTATCTTCCTGAGGGAGTTTTTGGCATCTTCTTAGTCGGCTTAATGAAAACCCTGCATCCTGTCTCCAGAAAAATGCACCCAGAGCATCACATGTACTTTTTTGGCTAGTCCATGGGCCTCCTGAAGTCCTAGGTCAACAAGACCCATCTTAGATCTGGCAACACTCTTGGGAGGAAGGCAGGGTAGGATTTTGCATCCCCATTCTACAGATGTGAAAACTGAAACATTAGTGTCTGGGGTAACATGCTCCCTGAGGACACAGTTGGGATAAATATTTGATCTCCCAAGTCAGGGCCATTTCCTTAAGTTTGCCTGTGGCTCCAGGGCAAACTGTGAAATTAAACTGTGCCTGCCTCAGTTCATTGGGTCTCCTGTGGCTACAGAAAGAAAAAGCCTGTGAGGGTCAGGGCCATGGCTTGAGCCCTCTGCAGGTTCCTGGCCTGACCCTGGGCTCTCCTAGCACCCTGTCCTTTCCCCTAAACCCCCAGTCAAGCACAGAAGAAGGCTCTTCTGGTGCCCTCTGCCATCCAGTCCCTGAGGGTGGTGACTGGAGATGCCAGTTCCTGGCTGTATCCAACAGCCTGTGGCAACTGTCTCCACTCAGACAACTTCAAAGACCACAGACAATCCCCAACCCAGGCTCGGTTCAGTCGGAGCCTGAGACCAAAGTGCCTCTTCTCCTGATGTTCTCCCGGCCACACACATCGGCACAGAGCTCGAAAACCACCGGTGCCACTCTATGCCCTTCTCTCCTCAATAAGTACTTCTAGCATCTCCAGGAAAGTGAGCACATGGAGGTGAGATGGAAGGGGAGGAATGGGGAGGGTGGGAGGAGCAAGTCAGGGACAGGAAGACAAGCAGGGAGAGAAGAGGCGGGAGCAGAAGGATGAGAAGAACGATGGAGCAGAAAGTGGCAAGAGGAGAAAAAGTGAAGGGAGAGAGGACCAGAGATGCAGGAGAAGGGCAAAGGGAGGGAAGGAGAAGGAAAACCAGGTCAGTCATTTGGAGGACCAAGGAAGGCTCCCTACCACTCGGCCCAGAAGGAAAGTGGAAGGTTTCTGGAAAAAAACCTCCCCTGCTTTTAAGCCCAGTCTTGTGGAGGTGCCCAGAACCTTCCCCAGCCCTTCCTGGGCTTCAGCTCAAAAGCCCCTTAGCACAGGCCCTGATCAGGTGTTTCTGGGACCCACATTCCAGACCATTCCCCAGAACTAGACCCCTATTAACCTTACAAACACTGGTAGCAGGAACATGTTCTGAAAGATGTCATCCTCCCCATGCCCAAGAAGAGAGCCCCCAGTGCCTCCCCATTGACCCGAGGCAGGACCCACCCCCACACTTCCCCAGTCCTCTCTTTGCTCAGCCAGGTCCAGGGGCCCTTGGAGGAGGTTACTAGGCATTCCCCTGCCTCCCTTTCCCAATCTGGCCTTGGGAGCTGGAACTGGGGCCCTACAGCCCCCAAGATCCCAGCCCAAGGTTACTGACTCCTAAAAGAGGAGCTGAAGGAGGACTGTCTTAGCAGGTGGAAGTGATTCAAAAGGAAAATAAAGAGAGAAATGTAGCAGTAATGACTCCCTGGACTGCAGTTCAAATGGGAAGTGAGGGAGAAAGAGGACAAGGAGGAAAATGGGAAGAGGAGGAGGAGAAGGCAAAGGGCAGGCCCCAGGGCTGCTCTCTGGCCGTTGGGTCAGTGTGTCCAAGCGCAGAGCCCAGGATGGAGGAAGCAGGGTTGAAGGAAAGTCATTCCAGCATCATCTGGCTTCCCCACGGTTTAGTGCCTGCACGTGTGACCTCAAGCAAGAGGCCCGGCAGGCGGGCTGGCGGGCGGACACTTACACACAGACGTCTTCTGGCTGTTGTCTTTGCTGGGCATCAGCTTCACACCTCGAGACTTCAACTCAATTTGCTTCTTGACTAGAGAGGAGGTAAGAGGAAAAACAATGTGAGTTGTTGCCTGTGACCAGGGATAAGGGTCCCTCTAGAAGGATTCCCCCTTGTGCCTTGGAACATTCCATGGTGGGTCAAAGCCAGGAACTTCTGGGCTGGGACATTCCAAGGGTAGTGGTCAAGGGCAATAGGACCTCAGACATGAAGGAAAAGTTACTATCAAGGCTAGCCCTCTGAGGGAGGCCAAAAATGTGGTCTCCTACTGGGTGGGCTCTGAGAGGCTCTGGGACTCCCCCGGTGGCCTCTCACAGATGTCTGAGATTTCACCAGACCTACTGAATTCAACCTGCTCCTCAGCAAACTTTTCATGAGCGTCGACGTGTGCAGCCTTGCAGCCCACCTCTGCTTCTCCACAGCTTTTTCTCTACCTCAGTTCTGAGTCAGCCCTGACAGGGTATGGTAGATCAGAATATGGGCCCAAATTGTCACTACTCATTGTATTCTCACCATTTGCAATGTGATTTTTTAGCTCCCTCCATTACAGAGGTGGAGTACATTCCCCCACTCCTTGACTTTGGGTTTGGCCTTGTGACTTGCTTTGGCCATGGGAAATTTGGAGGCCTTGATGTGTTCAAAGGCATAAAAGCACTTGCCAGATTAGGCTTGGCCTCTTGCATCTCTGCCATCATTGTGAGACAACATAGCTGCTCCCAGGAGGATAAGAGACACATGGGGGAAGAGGGAATTAGCCAAGCCAAGCCCAGCCTACATAAGCCAACCTCTTACAGGCAGGGGAAGCTGAATCCTGGAGGTCACTGGGAGATGGGGCCTGACTCAAGTGGGTGCCTGATGGATCAGATCTGGCTTTGACCCTGTCACTAAGTCCAGCCTAGTCCTCAGTTCATCAGAACTTTGCCAAATAGCACACAAAAGGTGCCAGAGCCAGAACTCCATAATTCCAAAGGCCATTCCTCTGTACCCATCAGCCGCCTTTGGTCTGACCACCCCTGTTACCCAAGGCATTCTCTTGGCCTCTAACAGCTTCACCCTGTCTCTGGTTATATGCCTTGGAGCAGCTGTTTAATCCCAGCTACCCACGGTGCCATCTTCCAGCTGGCCCCGCCTGCTGACTTAGCCCTGCTCAGATTGATACCCAGGAGTGGTGACAACAACTGTAACTGGGCACTTCATACGTGCCAGGTCCAGGGTGCTTTACAAGTTCTTTACTTAAATCAGCGTCCTTGACTCCTCTTTCTCAAACCCACACACAATCCATCAGAAAATCCTTCCAAATATATCCCAAAGGCAACCACTTCTCACAACTTCCATTGTCTATCATCCTGATTCAAGTCTGAGATACCTTTCCCCTCATGACTGTGGCCTCCCATTCTCCACCCTTGTCCCTATATAGTCTGTCCTTAGCACAAGAACCAGAGGGATCCTATTAAAACATAAGTCAAACCATATTACATCTCTGCTCAAAGCTCATCAGTGGCAACCCATGTCTTCTAGAGTAAAAGTCCTTAAGATGGCCTGCAAGACCAATCTGTTCTCCCCATGACCTCTCTGACTCTGTATTTGGCCTCGATTGCTCTTCTCCAGCCTCATGGGCCTCTCTGATGTGCCTACAATATGCCAGGCATGCTTCTGCTTCAGCCTGCCAATTCCCCAAAAGGCCTTTCCTCAGGTATCTCTACGACTTGCTCCCCTTTTCCCTTAAGTGTTTGTGCAAACACCATTTCTTCACTGAGGCCTTCCCTGACCACTCCATTAAAATGACACCTGCAACCCCAGCTCTCCCTGCCTCCTTCCCAACGTTATCTTCCCAATGTTCTAACATACTATACCATTTATGTAGTTATTTTTGTCACTCCACATTGCAATGTAAGCTCTACAAAGGCAGGGATTTTTATTCATGGGTGTATCCTCAACGCCTAGAATCATTTCATTTGGTCCTTATACTTTCAACAACCTTGACTGGTAGTTATTATACCTACTCAATAGATAATCAAATCAGGGTTCAAAGTGGTTTAGGTGACTTGCTGTAAGTCACACAGCCAGGAAACAGCTGTGTTCTTCACTGAGCCTCAGCCTCTTTTCTTGTGATCTGCACCCAAAGCAATCTCAGGGAAACTGTAAACCTTCTCCAGGATCTGCTCCCAAGCTCAGGCTCTGAAAACTCAGGTATTTGCTCTGGACTTGAGGTAACAGGCCAATCCCCAAATCAAAGCTCACAGTAATCAGATATGCAAGGAAGGCTGCCTCCCAGTCCCCCAACTCTGGCTACATGAAAAAGTTCCCCAAGGGTTTGTTCCCTGGCAGGCAAGTCACTGTGTAATCTGAATGCCTGATAAAATTCAGTTATTACCACGGAGTCATAGCCTCCCAACATGCATTCAAACCGTTTTTATAAATGTGCATTACTCTCCATGTGTATCCAGCAGGAAAATTTCCAATGAACACTAACATGGACACACGATCAAACAGAGGGCATTAGTAGGGAAACATACATTATTCAAGCCTAGCTAATACAGTGCGGCAGGGGGATAGCCCTCTGATTCACTATCCCTGGGAGAACAGGAGCAGTTCCAGCACCACAACAACAATTTGAGCCTGATAGCCCTGGTACCCCAGCATCAGGGCAGCAGTGGGTGAGGGGTCTCTATGACCCGGTGCAGCCCATTTGTGGTCAGGTCTGTGGAGATGGCTCAGGGCACCTGGCCAAGTGGGAGGTGAAGAAAGAGTCTTCATCGTCTCCTTGTCTCTGGCTCTAGTGTTGCTAGAGGAAGGGGAATGAGGAAGGGGACCAGAGCACCACAGAGGCCATTCCCAGGGGCAAAGCTGCTTGGATTTTCCATGTAGGGGCTGATGTGGGCACTGTGAGATATGTGTGGCCATGAGGGGAGGCGATGCTAAGAGGGAGCCTCCCCTTCCTCTCTTCTCACGGTTGCATTGAGGAAAAGTCTCCTGCTCCTTGCCTCTCTCAAGGGCCCAGAAAGAATCCTTCTGATTTCTGTGTCCACCCTCTCCACTCATTCCTCCGCAAGGAAAGACTGCCTAACCTAATGGATCTGTGCTTAATATTCATTGGGCTGCTTCTAGTAATGGATGATGTCATCATGCAACGCAAGCTTGAGCTAACTTCTGTTCTTCCTCTTTTACTTCCTGCTACTTAGCATAGGATGGAGTTTGTCAAGGTGATGAGAACTGAGTGAGAAGGAACCTGAAAAGCTGCAGGGAGCTCCATAATGTACATATGAACTTGGTGATTACCGCTTTGAGCTAGGTCTGAGAGGTTATATCACCAGTGTTGCCTGTAGCCACCACATGGTCATCGGATGCATGCTAGAATCCACAGGTAGAGTCTTTGTCCTCATCATGTTAGCGCAGGGAAATACAGGGGTCACAGCTCTTTGGGCAAGGGTTCTGCATACCAACAACACAAACTCTACAAAATGTATATTCAGGCCCAGCTGATTGATGGTAGAACCTACAGTTGGCACACACCATATGGGAGCTGATTGATGGGTCATGTAAGATCCTTCACTGAGGGGTAAGCTCTAGGCAAGATCCACATCACCAGGAACATTAGCATTTTTTTTTAGATTAAATTTACTTTTATTTACAGTCTCTTCAAATGACTTTCCTTTTTTTATTATTATACTTAAAGTTCAGGGTACATGTGCACAACGTGCAGTTTTGTTACATATATATACATGTGTCATGTCGGTGTGCTGCACCCATTAACTCGTCATTTAACATTAGGTATATCTGGAGGAGCCAAGGTGGCCGAATAGGAACAGCTCCAGTCTACAGCTCCCAGCGTGAGCGACGCAGAAGAAGGGTGATTTCTGCATTTCCATCTGAGGTACTGGGTTCATCTCACTAGGAAGTGCTAGACAGTGGGCGCAGGACAGTGGGTGCAGCGCACCGTGCATGAGCCAAAGCAGGGTGAGGCATTGCCTCACTCGGGAAGTGCAAGGGATCAGGGAGTTCCCTTTCATGGTCAAGGAAAGGGGTGACAGACGGCACGTGGAAAATCGGGTCACTCCCACCCGAATACTGCGCTTTTCCAACGGGCTTAGGAAATGGCACACCAGGAGATTATATTCCGCACCTAGCTCGGAGGGTCCTACGCCCACGGAGTGTCGCTGATTGCTAGCACAGCAGTCTGAGATCAAACTGCAAGGCAGCAGCAAGGCGGGGGGAGGGGCGCCCGCCATTGCCCAGGCTTCAGTAGGTAAACAAAGCAGCTGGGAAGCTCGAACTGGGTGGAGTGCACCACTGCTCAAGGAGGCCTGCCTGCCTCTGTAGGCTCCACCTCTGGGGGCAGGGCACAGACAAACAAAAAGACAGCAGTAACCTCTGCAGACTTAAATGCCCCCATCTGACAGCTTTGAAGAGAGCAGTGGTTCTCCCAGCATGCAGCTGGAGATCTGAGAATGGGCAGACTGCCTCCTCAAGTGGGTCCCTGACCCTTGACCCCCGAGCAGCCTAACTGGGAGGCACCCCCCAGTAGGGGCAGACTGACACCTCACACGGCCGGGTACTCCTCTGAGACAAAACTTCCAGAGGAATAATCAGACAGCAGCATTCGTGGTTCACGAAAATCTGCTGTTCTGCAGACACCGCTGCTGATACCCAGGCAAACAGGGTCTGGAGTGGACCTCTAGCAAACTCCAACAGACTTGCAGCTGAGGGTCCTGTCTGTTAGAAGGAAAACTAACAAACAGAAAGGACATCCACACCAAAAACCTATCTGTACATCACCATCATCAAAGACCAAAAGTAGATAAAACCACAAAGATGGGGAAAAAACAGAGCAGAAAAACTGGAAACTCTAAAAAGCAGAGCGCCTCTCCTCCTCCAAAGGAACGCAGTTCCTCACCAGCAACGGAACAAAGCTGGATGGAGAATGACTTTGACGAATTGAGAGAAGAAGCCTTCAGATGATCAAACTACTCTGAGCTACAAGAGGAAATTCAAACCAAAGGCAAAGAAGTTGAAAACTTTGAAAAAAATTTAGAAGAATGTATAACTAGAATAACCAATACAGAGAAGTGCTTAAAGGAGCTGATGGAGCTGAAAGCCAAGGCTCGAGAACTACGTGAAGAGTGCAGAAGCCTCAGGAGCTGAAGTGATCAACTGGAAGAAAGGGTATCAGTGATGGAAGATCAAATGAATGAAATGAAGTGAGAAGGGAAGTTTAGAGAAAAAAGAATAAAAAGAAACGAACAAAGATTCCAAGAAATATGGGACTATGTGAAAAGACCAAATCTACGTCTGATTGGTGTACCTGAAAGTGACGGGGAGAATGGAACCAAGTTGGAAAACACCCTGCAGGATACTATCCAGGAGAACTTCTCCAATCTAGCAAGGCAGGCCAACGTTCAGATTCAGGAAATACAGAGAACGCCACAAAGATACTCCTCGAGAAGAGCAACTCTAAGACACATAATTGTCAGATTCACCAAAGTTGAAATGAAGGAAAAAATGTTAAGGGCAGCCAGAGAGAAAGGTTAGGTTACCCACAAAGGGAAGCCCATCAGACTAACAGCGGATTTCTCGGCAGAAACTCTACAAGTCAGAAGAAATTGGGGGCCAATATTCAACATTCTTAAAGAAAAGAATTTTCAACCCAGAATTTCATATCCAGCCAAACTAAGCTTCATAAGTGAAGGAGAAATAAAATCCCTTACAAACAAGCAAATGCTGAGAGATTTTGTCACCACCAGGCCTGCCCTAAAAGAGCTCCTGAAGGAAGCACTAAACATGGAAAGGAACAAATGGTACCAGCTGCTGCAAAATCATGCCAAAATGTAAAGACCATCGAGACTAGGAAGAAACTGCATCAACTAACGAGCAAAATAACCAGCTAACATCATCATGACAGGATCAAATTCACACATAACAATATTAACCTTAAATGTAAATGGACTAAATGCTCCAATTAAAAGACATCGACTGGTAAATTGGATAAAGAGTCAAGACCCATCAGTGTGCTGTATTCAGGAAACCCATCTCACGTGCAGAGACACACATAGGCTCAAAATAAAAGGATGGAGGAAGATCTACCAAGCAAATGGAAAACAAAAAAAGGCAGGGGTTGCAATCCTAGTCTCTGATAATACAGACTTTAAACCAATAAAGATCAAAAGAGACAAAGAAGGCCATTACATAATGGTAAAGGGATCAATTCAACAAGAAGAGCTAACTATCTTAAATATATATGCACCCAATACAGGAGCACCCGGGTTCATAAAGCAAGTCCTGAGTGACCTACAAAGAGACTTAGACTCCCACACAATAATAATGGGAGACTTTAACACCCCACTGTCAATATTAGACAGATCAACGAGACAGAAAGTTAACAAGGATACCCAGGAATTGAACTCAGCTCTGCACCAAGTGGACCTAATAGACATCTACAGAACTCTCCACCCCAAATCAACAGAATATACATTCTTTTCAGCACCACACCATAACTATTCCAAAATTGACCACATAGTTGGAAGTAAAGCACTCCTCAGCAAATGTAAAAGAACAGAAATTATAACAAACTGTCTCTCAGAACACAGTGCAATCAAACTAGAACTCAGGATTCAGAAACGGACTCAAAACCGCTCAACTACGTGGAAACTGAACAACCTGCACTGGGTACATAACGAACTGAAGGCAGAAATAAAGATGTTCTTTGAAACCAAGGAGAACAAAGACACAACATACCAGAATCTCTGGGACACATTCAAAGCAGTGTGTAGAGGGAAATTTATAGCACTAAATGCCCACAAGAGAAAGCAGGAAAGATCCAAAATTGACACCCTAGCATCACAATTAAGAGAACTAGAGAAGCAAGAGCAAACATATTCAAAAGCTAGCAGAAGGCAAGAAATAACTAAAATCAGAGCAGAACTGTAGGAAATAGAGACACAAAAAACCCTTCAAAAAATTAATGAATCCAGGAGCTGGTTTTTTGAAAGGATCAACAAAATTGATAGACCGCTAGCAAGACTAATAAAGAAGAAAAGAGAGAAGAATCAAACAGACACAATAAAAAATGATAAAGGGGATATCACCACTGATCCCACAGAAATACAAACTACCATCAGAGAATACTACAAACATTTCTACGCAAATAAACTAGAAAATCTAGAAGAAATGGATAAATTCCTAGACACATACACCCTCCCAAGACTAAACCAGGAAGAAGTCGAATCTCTGAATAGACCAATAACAGGATCTGAAATTGTGGCAATAATCAATAGCTTACCAACCAAAAAGAGTCCAGGACCAGATGGATTCACAGCCGAATTCTACCAGAGGTACAAGGAGGAACTGGTACCATTCCTTCTGAAACTATTCCAATCAATAGAAAAAGAGGGAATCCTCCCTAACTCATTTTATGAGGCCGCCTCATACCTGATACCAAAGCCGGGCAGAGACACAATCAAAAAAGAGAATTTTAGACCAATATCCTTGATGAACATTGATGCAAAAATCCTCAATAAAATACTGGCAAACAGAATCCAGCAGCACATCAAAAAGCTTATCCACCATGATCAAATGAGCTTCATCCCTGGGATGCAAGGCTGGTTCAATATACGCAAATCAATAAATGTAATCCAGCATATAAACAGAGCCAAAGACAAAAACCACATGATTATCTCAATAGGGGCAGAAAAGGCCTTTGACAAAATTCAACAACCCTTCATGCTAAAAACTCTCAATAAATTAGGTATTGATGGGACGTATCTCAAAATAATAAGAGCTATCTATGACAAACCCACAGCCAATATCATACTGAATGGGCAAAAACTGGAAGCATTCCCTTTGAAAACTGGCACAAGACAGGGATGCCCTCTCTCACCACTCCTATTCAACATACTGTTGGAAGTTCTGGCCAGGGCAATCAGGCAGGAGAAGGAAATAAAGGGTATTCAATTAGGAAAAGAGGAAGTCAAATTGTCCCTGTTTGCAGATGACATGATTGTATATCTAGAAAACCCCATTGTCTCAGCCCAAAATCTCCTTAAGCTGATAAGGAACTTCAGCAGTCTCAGGATACAAAATCAATGTACAAAAATCACAAGCATTCTTATACACTAATAACAGACAAACAGAGAGCCAAATCATGAGTGAACTCCCATTCACAATTGCTTCAAAGAGAATAAAATACCTAGGAATCCAACTTACAAGGGATGTGAAGGAACTCTTCAAGGAGAACTACAAACCACTGCTCAATGAAATAAAAGAGGATACAACCAAATGGAAGAACATTCCATGCTCATGGGTAGGAAGAATCAATATCGTGAAAATGGCCATACTGCCCAAGGTAATTTATAGACTCAATGCCATCCCCATGAAGCTACCAATGCCTTTCTTCACAGAATTGGAAAAAACTACTTTAAAGTTCATATGGAACCAAAAAAGAGCCCGCATCGCCAAATCAATCCTAAGCCAAAAGAACAAAGCTGGAGGCATCACGCTACCTGACTTCAAACTACACTACAAGGCTACAGTAACCAAAACAGCATGGTACTGGTACCAAAACAGAGATATAGATCAATGGAACAGAACAGAGCCCTCAGAAATAACGCCGCATATCTACAACTATCTGATCTTCGACAAACCTGAGAAAAACAAGCAATGGGGAAAGGATTCCCTATTTAATAAATGGTGCTGGGAAAACTGGCTAGCCATATGTAGAAAGCTGAAACTGGATCACTTCCTTACACCTTATACAAAAATCAATCCAAGATGGATTAAAGACTTAAACGTTAGACCTAAAACCATAAAAACCCTAGAAGAAAACCTAGGCATTACCATTCAGGACATAGGCATGGGCAAGGACTTCATGTCTAAAACACCAAAAGCAATGGCAACAAAAGACAAAATTGACAAATGGGATCTAATTAAACTAAAGAGCTTCTGCACAGCAAAACAAACTACCATCAGAGTGAACAGGCAACCTACAAAATGGGAGAAAATTTTCGCAACCTACTCATCTGACAAAGGGCTAATATCCAGAATCTACAATGAACTCAAACAAATTTACAAGAAAAAAACAAACAACCCCATCAAAAAGTGGGCAAAGGACATGAACAGACACTTCTCAAAAGAAGACATTTATGCAGCCAAAAAACACATGAAAAACTGCTCACCATCACTGGCCATCAGAGAAATGCAAATCAAAACCACAATGAGATACCATCTCACACCAGTTAGAATGGCGATCATTAAAAAGTCAGGAAACAACAGGTGCTGGAGAGGATGTGGAGAAATAGGAAGACTTTTACACTGTTGGTGGGACTGTAAACTAGTTCAACCATTGTGGAAGTCAGTGTGGCGATTCCTCAGGGATCTAGAACTAGAAATACCATTTGACCCAGCCATCCCATTACTGGGTATATACCCAAAGGACTATAAATCATGCTGCTATAAAGACACATGCACATGTATGTTTATTGCGGCATTATTCACAATAGCAAAGACTTGGAACCAACCCAAGTGTCCAACAATGATAGACTGGATTAAGAAAATGTGGCACATATACACCATGGAATACTATGCAGCCATAAAAAATGATGAGTTCATGTCCTTTGTAGGGACATGGATGAAATTGGAAACCATCATTCTCAGTAAACTATCGCAAGAACAAAAAACCAAACACTGCGTATTCTCACTCATAGTGGGGAACTGAACAATGAGATCACATGGACACAGGAAGGGGAACATCACACTCTGGGGACTGTTGTGGGGTGGGGGTAGGGGGGAGGGATGGCATTGGGAGATATAACTAATGCTAGATGACGAGTTAGTGGGTGCAGCACACCAGCATGGCACATGTATACATATGTAACTAACCTGCACAATGTGTACATGTACCCTAAAACTTAAAGTATAATAATAATAAAATAAATTAAAACAAAACAAAACAAAACAAAAAAAACAAACAAAAATACATTTCAAAAAAAAAAAGGACTTCTCTGCATTGGTTATTCTAGTTAGCCATTTGTCTAATCTTTTTTCAAGGTTTTTAACTTCTTTGCCATGGGTTCGAACTTCATCCTTTAGCTCATCATAGTTTAATCATCTGAAGCCTTCTTCTCTTAACTCGTCAAAGTCATTCTCTGTCCAGCTTCGTTCCGTTGCTGGTGAGGAGCTGTGTTCCTTTGGAGGAGGAGAGGAGCTCTGATTTTTAGAATTTTCAGTTTTTCTGCTCTGTTTTTTCCCCATCTTTGTGGTTTTATCTACCTTTGGTCTTTGATGATGGTGACATACAGATGGGGTTTTGGTGTGGATGTCCTTTCTGTTTGTTAGTTTTCCTTCTAACAGTCAGGACCCTCAGCTGCAGGTGTGTTGGTGTTTGCCGGAGGTCCACTCCAGACCCTGTTTGCCTGGGTATCAGCAGCGAAGCCTGCAGAACAGCAGATATTGGTGAACAGCAAATGTTGCTGCCTGATCGTTCGTCTGGAAGTTTTGTCTCAGAGGAGTACCCGGCTGTGTGAGGTGTCAGTCTGCCCCTACTGGGGGGTGCCTCCCAGTTAGGCTACTCGGGGGTCAGGTTCCCACTTGAGGAGGCAGTCTGCCCGCTCTCAGATCTTGAGCTGCGTGCTGGGAGAACCACTACTCTCTTCAAAGCTGTCAGACAGGGACATTTAAGTCTGCAGAAGTTTCTGCTGCCTTTTGTTTGGCTATACCCTGTCCCCAAAGGTGGAATCTACAGAGGCAGACCAGCATCCTGGAGTTGTGGTGGGCTTCACCCAGTTCGAGCTTCCCAGCCGCTTTGTTTACCTACTCAAGCCTCAGCAATGGTGGGCACCCCTCCCCTAGCCTCGCTGCCACCTTGCAGTTTGATCTCAGACTGCTGTGCTAGCAATGAGCGAGGCTCCGTGGGTGTAGGACCCTCTGAGCCATGCGTGGGATATAATCTCCTGGTGTGCCATTTGCTAAGACTGTCGGAAAAGCACATTATTAGGGTGGGAGTGACCCGATTTTCCAGGTGCCGTGCATCACCCCTTTCCTTGGCTAGGAAAGCGAATTCCCCAACCCCTTGCACTTCCTGGGTGAGGCCATGCCTCGCCCTGCTTCGGCTCAGGCTCAGTGCACTGCATCCACTGTCCTGCACCCACTCTCCGACAATCCCCAGTGAGATGCATCCAGTACCTCAGTTGGAAATGCAGAAATCATTCATCTTCTGCGTCGCTCACGCTGGGAGCTGTAGACTGGAGCTGTTCCTATTCGGCCATCTTGGCTCCACCTCCAGAATATTAGCATTAAGACATCACTTCCAGATGCTGGGGTCTCAGTTTTTGAGCAATCCCAGGGAAGCAGTCACACCCTGAGTTATATATAGCCATCTTGTTTTTTTAACAGTCTGCTCAGGTGGGTGGGGTGATGAGTGATCATGGAATGTGCAGCACCATGGGAAATCAGCCATGAAATAAGCTCATTGAAGAGCTAACTCAACAGACTGGGACAGACCAGGTTGTGAGAGTCAGAGAACAAAGGCAGGTCTCCAAAACTCCAGAGTGCACTACCAGCAGACCCAGTCAGAAAAGAAGGTCAAAACAAGAAGATGAACAACATAGAAAGAACATAGAGAATTTCTGGGATATATTCATTCATGTTGTTTGTACATGGATTTTTTTTCATGGAGCACCCACTAGCCTTGTCCCAATGATATTATACTGAACCACTTGTCTGTAAAAAGAAGTTTTTTACTATCAATGCAGTGGAGGTAAAATGGAACCTGGGGCTGGCTCAATGGTCTGGCTACAATTTAATGCACACCCCCGATAGTATGCTTAATATTCACTGGGCTGCTTCTCGTACTGTGCCCTTACCCATGCATACATGCACATTTCTGCGTATAACAAGCACACTCACAAGTACATATTCAAGCACATGTAAACACATGGATACAAATATTCACATACAAAAAAGAAGTCATACACATCATACATATATTCTGTGCATGGTTTTCACTGTATGTGAACAAAGTCAGGACTCCCAAGGGAAAAGTGCTGGCTGTAACTGGTTGATGGAAATCTTACTAGGTACATTCATCTCCTCCGAATGATAATGACTACAGGAGACTGCCAGGCTGCTCCATTCATCCTTTATATTCTGGTTAATTACAAGACATTTTCCCGCTGTTGTAAAGGTTAGCGGGACACATGGTACACATTTAGCTAGAAGAATCTGGCAATACAAATGTCTCTCTAGTCTGCAGCATGACTTACTGGGCTGAGCTAGTGGGAGACAAGGACCTGTTAGGAGAGGAGAGAGCAAAGGGAGGCCTAACCTGTCTCCAAGGCTCTGGGAGTCAAGAAGTGGAGGGAATCTGCATCTTCTTTTCTTCCCAATGGATTCAGACTTCCCTCTATGAGGGTGAGCCCCTCCAATAAACTAGATCATTCCCCTTGCCCTGCCACTTGCCAGTCTTGCTGGCTGAACCATCTTTTCCTTTCCTGCCACTACTCCTTCTCCAAATCCAATTTGCTCAGCCTTATACAATTTCTCCAATGTGTATCCTTCTTTCAATGTTCTAAGACACTCCTACCTATACTCATCCTTTTTTGCTAGAGTTTTCTTTGCAGATTCATCCCCTCCAGCCCATCTTTTAAAAAGTTGCAGGGGGTGATCTTTCAAAAACTGAAATCTGACCTTGCCTTTTTCCTACTTGAAAAATTGTTGGGTATACATCCTGCATTCTGCCCCTCCCTTGTAGCTGAGGGCTGCCTTGCCATTTAGCCACCTACCCTGCAGAAATGCTTTCATTACCCACAGTCTTTTGCCAGATGAAGCCAGGGTTTGGCACACTGGTTCCTCACCTCACTCAGAATTATCCCAAAGATGGACAATGCAGTGCACATGCTTGAGACCTAATGCTTCAAGGTACAGACCTTCTAGCAGGTGCTGTAGCCATTACTATGATGCCAAAGGGAAGAACAGTGATTCCTGAACAGAGATAGGGAAGCCTCAAAGTAACAGAAGATGATGTGTCTGTTGCGGGTCAATTGACTTACAAGATAAATGTTGGCACCAGATTTGATCAGGATGTTGCCAACACACAAATGAAGAGGGTGGGGTGGCACCACCATTGCTACTGTACTGGCATGCTCCATCACCATGGAAGGCTTGGTAGAGATTAGCAAAGGTGTTAATCCAGTGGAAACCAGGAAAGGTGTGATGTTATGTGCTGATACTGTAATTACCAAACTTAAGAAGCAGCCTAAACCTGTGACAACTCCTGAAGAGATTTCTCCATTTACACAATGTCTGCAAATGGAGACAAACAAATCAGCAATATCATTTCTGATGTAATCACAAATGTTGGAAGGGTGTCATCACAGTAAAGGACAGAAAAATACTGAATGAATTAGACAACAGAGATTGACCAAGATTACATCTCTTCCTACTTGAATAACATATGAGAAGTCCAGAAAGGAGAATTCTAGGATGCTTGGGATTTCCAGTAAGCAGTTAATTGTACCCACCTTAAAATTGCCAATGTCCACTGAAAGTCTTTGGTCATAATTGCTGAAGATGCTCTCAGTATGATCATTTAAAATAGGATAAAAGTTGGCATTTGGGCTACAGTAGTCAAAACTCCAGGCTTTGGTGACACAGAAAGACCAAACAAAGCTATTGCTATAATGGCATGGTGTTTGGAAGAGAGCTTGACCCTAAAGCTTGAAGATGTTCAGTTTCATGACTTAGGAAAAGTTGGAGCAGTCATTGTGACCAAAGATGATGCCATGTTCTTGGAAGGAAAAGGTGACAAGACTCAAACTGAGAAAAATATGCAAGAAATAATTGAGCAGTTAGATGTTACTATTAGTGTCTATGAAAAAGGAAAACTAGAAGAACATCCGGCAAAATTTTGGATGCAATAGCTGTGCTGAAGGTTGATGGGAAAAATGATGTGGAAGAGAATGAAAAAAACAGAGTCAGATACACTGAATGTTACAGGAGTTACAATTGAAAAAGATATCATTTGGGTGTTTTGCCTTGGTACATTTCATCCTTAGATTCACTGCTCCAGCTAATGAAGAGTAAAAAGTTAGTATAGAAATAATTAAAAGAACACTCAAAATTCTGGCAATAGCTATTGCTAAGAATTCAGGTGTTGAAGGATCACCCACCGACAGTCGAGAAAATTATGCAAAGCTCCCCAGAAGCTGGTTATGCACTACGCTCAGAGATTTTTTGAAAATGGTAGAAAAAATAATCATCAACTCAACTAAGGTTGTAAAAAGTGCTTTGTTGGATGCTGCTTCCGTGGATTCTCAGTTAACCACAGCAAAACTGAGACCACTGGAATTCCTAAAGAAGAGAAGGATCTGGCATGGTAAATGGGAAGCAGTGTTGGGAGTAGCATGTTCTAGTTCCCAGAATAGTGCTTTGTCATTATTAATAAGCCATGTGGGGTTATTCACTAACTTCGGTGAATTCAGCTGGAGACAATGATGAGAGGAAAGAGAGATGTTTAAGAAATCACTCTAGCCATTGGTTATTGGTTTTGATAGCCTATGCGGCCTAAGCAATACTGTTTTCTCTACCTGGGACATTCTTTCCTCCCCTTCTCTGCCTGGCTACCTCTTATTTGTAGGTACCCAGGACTTCACTCAAATGTTATTGCCTCCCTATGGGTGTCTACATCTCTCAGGTAGAAGTCATTGCCCTCCTCAAGACTTCCTTCAGACCTCTGTTGAAACCCCAACGCACTGCAAAATCATGTCCTGTTCTTCTAGCTGTTGCCCCATGAGCTTGTGCATCTATATTCTGTGATGACACTGAACCAGGCACACAGAAGTTTCCCAGTGACAGTTTGATGACTGAGTGAATGAACGACTGTTATAAGAATATGTGCTTTAAATTCATTTCCTGTCAAAAGGAGTGGGTTACGCTTGAAACCTGGTGAGGTCACGGGTGCCATATTTTGTGTGCCTACATCAGTAACAGGCTCACTCTGGACTGAACTCACGAGCTCAGTTTTGTGGACCCTGGGCTCCTGAGCCAAGCAGCAACAAGCCTGCAATTTTTGCAGAGACCTTTGGAGGTGCAGAACCTGGAAATTAGGCTGGAAAGTTTAGCAGATCAGCAGGCCAAGAATAGGACAAAAGAGTCAGAACATGGACCACAGGATGCCTGAAGCACTTTCATTCTGGCCTCAGATTGAAGCCAAGTCACAGGCAAGAACCCAACATGTTCAATGGAAAACAGAAGCTTCAGCTTGTTATTATAAAAAGCCTCAACCATCTCAGTAAATGCAAATGTTTTCAAATGAATAAGTTTATTCTGCAGACAATTGAAACTCAGTGCAGGACTTCTAGAAGGCAAAGGAGCCAATGGTTTTCACTGTGGAATATCTTCCATCTCTCAGTCAGCAGGGTTGACTTGGCAAGAGAGGCAGTGACAGGTATAGGAAAGGCAGGCTGGGATCTGACTGAAGGGAGGGGCCAAATGACGATCATTAGGTCAGAGTGGAAAGCAAAGAGCAGGTGTCTAAGGGAGAGCCAGAGGCACCAGCTCTTTCTCACTGTGCAAGGGTTTCACCATTTAACAAGTGAGTCAAAGTGATTGATGAATATGAGGATTGAGGGTTCCACTTCCTCAGAACCTACCAAGTGCCAGGTATTTTATACTGGGATCTTCTTTCATTTCCAATAGCCCTGTAGGGTTAACAAGAGCCCCTCTCTACAGATGAGGAGGGAGATAATGAGGGTGCTGTCCTCCCAGCCAGGGAAGCCCCTCACCAGTTGTGATTAGCAGGCATTGAGTGCATTAAGAAAGGTTCTTCTCACCATCATTTCCATAGACTTGAAACATTCCTGGCCTGGAGGCAGACGGATTGATTACACAACCTCAATAGGCCTACCAGAACTGAAAAAAAAAACCTTAAGGAACTTTAAAGTCTTGTGGTTGCCAAACACTTTGGCTACAGGAACTTATCATTTTAACATACTCTTAGGTAAATACCCACTACATAAAATACTTCAAAGAGAAACTGCTCAGGTTGAAGTAGGGGTGGAAACCTGAAGTCCCACCCACTCAGCCACTATCAAACCATGCTGGAGGACCTGTTAGTCTCCAAGGAACCCAATTTGAAAACCACTTTTTTGGCCCTATCCTCTCATGTTATACATGGGGAGGGGAATGGTGGTCTCAGCCTCTACTTTGGTTTGAACTTTTCACATCATTATCTCTAGCCCAGACCCTTCTTCCCTGAGCTACAGACCCACAGAATAGTTAACTGCTCACTAGATAGTCTCCCAATCCCTGACATCCCAACATTACCCAGAATCAATGTGTCCCAAGCAAACTTCATCCCCCATCTGTTTCTGCCCCAGACCATCTTTGTTAATATCATTTTGCTAAAACCACTTAAGCTAGATTCATCCCTGACTCCTTCATCTCCTTCAACCCCATCCCCTCCCACTCCCACCAAATCTAACTAGCCATGAGTCCAGTGGGGTTTACCAGAAATACATTTGGTCTGTCCCTTCCTTTTCATCTTCACTCCTGTTTAAACTCTGGCCCTTGTTACCAATTCCCCAAGATTCTTAACCATTTTCTCAATTTGGATTCTAGGGCAAAGATCTTCCTAAAACGAAAATGTGATCACGTCTCCCCTTTCATTAACAACTTCTGATCACTTCTCATCTATGACTCATGGAATCAAGCCCAACTCTACTGAGACTTTCACAACTTGACCACTACCACACTTTCCAGTCTCAGTGCTCGCTACCTATCCTGCTTGCTTTTCTCTAGGTGGCAGACTTGCCTCTAGGTTGGCAAACTTTTTCTGTAAAGGGCCTGATAGTAAATATATTAGGCCTGTGGGCCTCTTGTGTCAGTCATAAACTGCTCAGCTCTGCCCTGGCAGTGCTAAAGCAGCCATAGACCAGGTGTAAATGAATGAGCGTAGCTGTGTTTCAATAAACCTTTCTGGACACTGAAATGTGAATTTCATGCAGTTTTCATGTGTCACGAAATATTATTTTTTTCAATTTTCTTTTCTTCAACTGTTCAAAAATGTAAAACCCATTCTTTGATGGAGGGCCATAGAAAGGCAGGTGGAGGGCCGGATTTGGTCTGTGACTGCTGCTTTAGACGCATGGAAGTAGTTGTGGTTCATTAGATGTGGTAGTTTCATGCTTTCTTGCCTTTGCTTGACCTGGAACATATCTTCCCATGGTCTGTCTGGCATCTTTCTGAGACCCACATTTAAGTCACTGCCTCTTTTTTGGCTTTCCTTAAATCCTTCTGGCAAAACTAATTGCCCTTTTATCTCTAGCCCAGGAACTCTTAATCAGGCCTCAATTACAGCTCTTATCATGCTGTACAGAAGTTATAGATTTATGTCTGTGCCTCTCTTTAACCTGTTCTCCTTAAGAGCAGAGATTGGCCTAGGCGCATTCATCTTTTTTGCTGTCACATAGTAATGTCACCCCAAAATGCTTGTTAAACTGAACACAGTTGCCTACCTCCTGATAACCAGTCCGAAGCAGAGCCCGACTAGAACTCAGGCCTTCTGATACCCTGTGGTATTAGGTAAAATTGTGTCTGGCCACAGACATCCTAAATTCTGATTGGACTGAGACCAGAATATAATGTACTATGTTGTAGGTTATCTTTTATTTTAAGTTTACTTCTTTTTGTTTATCTGGGAAAAAATCTCTGTCAATACCATTAGAAGTTGGTAATCATTAGCTCTGAAGTGCCATAAATCACTTAAGACTATAGTGCCACAAAGCTGACTGTGGGTGAAACTGATCCAATGCCAGTGATTCTTCCCCTGCCCTTCCAGGTCCATTCTTTAAACCTCTCTGCCCTGTTCTGTGCCCCAAGAAGCTGATCTCTGTGGACTGCTAGAGAGCAAGGGAGCCTGGTGGTAATGCCAGCCAGAGATCCCAGGGCAGGGAGCAGGACAGAGCAGGGCCTCTGTTTCCTTGCTCTTGGCTTCCTGTTGGATTGGCAGATGGGAAGCACAGTGGATGGGAGAGAGAGAGGAGAGAGGTCAAGCTACTGATCCCCTGATCCCCTCCTCACGCCCTGGCTACTATGGATCCCTGTGGTCCCCTCCTCCTGCACTGCAGGTAGGGAATAGCTTTCCAGGTCTGCCAAGGGGCAGACCTCTCTTCTATGGCTCCAGCTCTTGCCACCTTCTTCCCTGGTCCCTTTGCACACCTAGTGGTGGTGTAGGCCACCTGCTGCTTAGTCCTCAGGGGCCTCACCATCTCTTGCGGGCTCCTTTGACTCCACCCTCACCTCTGTACATTGTGCCTTCACTAAACCCTCTACCGTTAAAGCTGTGCAGTATTCCTCCTGTCTCCCGCTGGACCCCTGACTGAAATCTATTTCTGCCACTGTTTTAGGGTGTATTTGCAATAATAAAGCTTAGCTTGGTCTTTCCTGGCTCCAGAGTTTTTATTCCTTCAGAGTAGTAGTTGTCAACTGGAGGTGCTTGTGCACATAGGGACATCTGGCAATGTCTGGAGACTTTTTTGGTTGTCATGACTGTGTGTGTGTGGGGGGGCGCTGCTAATGGCTGCTGGTCCCTGTGGCTCCCTCCTACTGCACTGTGTCTAGCATCTAATGGGCAGAGGCCAAGCACGCTGCTAAACATCCTGCTATGCACAGGACACTTCCTCACAACAAAGAATTATCCAGCTCACAATGTCAATAGCGCAGAGCCTGAGAAACCTTGCTTTAGAAAGTCAACAATGGAGTTACTAAACGATCACTGTATATCCTTGCACTATGCGGTCTCAGTCAGGAAAACACTAGAAAAAGCAGGTTTCAAGGAAGAATCATTTATTAACAGAATCACAATAATTGAGCATGCCAGACCCAAATCAACACTGCTGGGCTGCAAATCCTGGCTCCTACATACTATTAATGAGACCTGAGCCAGCTAGTTACCCTCTCTATGACTCTCGTTCCTCAACTGTAAAATGGGACGGGTAATAGTATCTCCTTCACGCAGTTGCTGTTAGGATTGAACAAAGTAATAAATGCCAAGCGCTTAAAATCTAGCAAGTCCTCTTTATACACTGGCGCACACTAACATGCAAAACTTCATTCTGGGCTATGCTAAGGATGATAGAGGGAACAGAGAACAGGGCCTGCTTTCAAGAAGTTTGCAACTAAAACAGTGCTTTTTAGATTGTGAGTTGTTCCCTGCTGCAGATTTGTAAAATTAATTTAGAGGCTGCAACTAGCATTTAAAAATAAAAATGACATTTTCAGACTACATTGTACACAGTAAATACCACTTGGTCATATTTTCCTTTTAGCTCTACAGATATATGCTTATACTGGGTTGTGATTTTGTTTTTTACAGTGGGGTGGGATGAGCAAAACAAAGTTTGAAAGCTACGGTTAATAGGAAATGGAAGACACCCAAAGCACCATCAGAGGAGGCCCTGTAATTCTGCAAATACAGAATGAATTAGAGCTTTACAGCTCACAGGCTGTGTGATCTTGGGCTAGTTACAACCTCTCTGAGCCCCAGCTTCCTCAGCTGGAGAAAAAATAAACAGAAATAAAAACAAATGTATCACTTTACTGTGGGGAGTACTGAGTGGGGCAATGTACATACAGTGCCTAGCACGGGGCCTGGTGTGCACAGATGTGGAATCGATGTGTGATCTGGAGACTGCCAGGCTTGGGTTCTTGTCGCCCATTGCTGGCATCAAACCTTAACCTTAAAAACTGACAAATGGGCCCTCAGTAACTTGAAATATTAGAAACACCCAGCACTTACTTAATCAGATACAATTATAGCATTCATCTCTGCTTTTGTCTTTTGAGAAACACAGCAGAAAGATACAGACAGCTGTTCCACTCACACAAAGACCCAACCTCAGCAGTGGAAAAAACATCTCCAAGAAAGCTCTCAGGGTAAGCCTTTGTTAAGCTACTGAACCAAGTTGGTTTCTTGTTTACTTTCTAGATATTTCAAATGGGTACACCACCCAAGGCTAAGTAAATTAGGCCGTTCCTAAAAGGTTCAGATTTTGAACGTAACGCTTCTTCCTTCAGAGCTGCTTTTATCCCAGTTTCCAGCCAGAAAGCCTGGCCCTAGGAGCCTTGTGGAGGGGGCACTACTCTGCCCTATGCTACCTTGAGGGTGAGCCAGCAGGCATTTGGCCTTGGAGCCCAGGGCTTCACACAGGTCCTTATACTTAATAGGTACACAATATAAGCTTGCTGTCTATTCTATTAAAACCAATAACAATTTGAGAGTGGTAATAGCTAAAGGCTTAATGAGCATGTTATGAGGCCAACCCTTGGTGTTTATCTCTATAAATTTTGAGTACTTTGAATAAACGCAATGTCGAAAAGGAATGTGCTCATCCGCTCCCATCTATCAGCTGGATTTTTGGATCTCTTCCAGTTACAGACAGCTCCTTGCTTCTGGGTTAACCCACTCCTTTTTATAGGTGGTTCTTGGGTTGGGAAATTCTTCATTATTGCAGCAGAAATCTGCTTAGCTGCGATCTCCACCTGCCATTCCTGGTCTGATCTGTTGCCACTAGACAGTTCTTCACAGATTTGAGCATCAAAGCTATCATGCTCCCTAAAGTGATTTTGGAATATATTCATGTTTTAGATAAAATGAAAAAGAGTAGAAATGTAGGCTGCAGAGGTCAGCAAAGGCTGGTGGTTAAGAGGGTGGGCTCCAGACTCAAAAGGCAGGAGTTCAGATGGCCTTGGGAAATTGGCTTAACCTCTCTGGGCCTTAGCTTCCTTGTCCATAAAGTGAGGTGATGACCGTGTTTCCTTTGCAGGATAATGATGAAGATTAAAGGAGATGCTACTTGCCAAGTGCCTAGCACTGTGCCTGGCTCTTAGCAGGCATCTGGTATTAACTATTATGATTAGCCTGGCATGTGAGGGGCAGCTCCAGCTACATAATTTGGGAAACATCCCTCTCTGGGGCAAAAGACAAGGGCAGATGCAGAGATGCAAATCTGCAGACCTCTGGTCTGCAAATAGAAACGTACAAAGAAGGCAAGGATGCCTGAAGCCACACCGGACCCAGTAGGGAGAGGTGATGAGCCCTCCAGGTGTCATCTCTGCTGCCCACTGAGGAAGCCAGACAGTCCTGGGACCTGCCTACCTTGGTATTGGGCACTGAATCCGCGCTGCCGGTGGTTGCCATCCGATGTGAAGTGCAGTCGCAGCCAGTTCTTGCTGCTGATAACGGGGGCTGGGAGGCTGGCTCCGGTGAACCTGTGGGAACAGGAAGCAGATGGGCTCAGGGACCAGAGCTGAGTGGTATAGGTGTATGAGCATTCAGGAGTTCCTCCACTTCCCTTGAGTGCCAAGGCCTCAGCCCAGCTCTGGAGCAGGAAGGGAAGGCGGTGTTGCCCCAGGCCCCTCCAGTACCCTAGGCCTGAGCAGCTTGAGATGGCTCCTCCAGGGTCTCATCCCACTGCTGGGTTTCCCTCAGCTGCTGGGAGGAGGCAACTGATCCTTCAGACCACAGCACCTCCTGCTTAAATTCCCTAAGCATTCCATCCTTTTTCTTTTTTCTAGTTCTTTGCCTTTTCTGCTTGGAATATATTCACCTGTAACGCTTTCTCCTGCCCATCCATGTCCCCCAAGATGACTTTGGGAAGCCCCTTAAGTATCACATCTGCAGTAAAGCATTCCCTACTCTCCTTGGCTTTGAAGCACAGATTTGGGTTCTTATCCAGGTTTCACCAGTGTGACCTTGGACCTGTTACTTAACCTTTTGGAGAACAGGAGTAATACCAGCCCTAAGAGTTTGTAGGAATAAGTAAGAAATCTTACGCACAAAGAATCGAGGTCAGTATCTGGCACATGTTAGCTTAATAAATATAATTTTCCTTTGTCTTCCTCTGTGATGCCACAACATTTTATTCAAATTATAATTCAGTTATAGAAGTGTGTGGTTTCCTTAAGATAACTCCTCAAAGGGGGCAATGTGGCCTAGTAGTGAAGAAACTTGAGCTCTGGAGGGATCAGCTGTGTGAGCTCAGGAAAACTACAGAAACCCTCTGAGACTTAGTGACCTTATCTAAAACATGGGGATCATGATGACCCCTCCCTCAAAAGCTTGCAAGGATTAAATGAGATAATACACAAAAGAAGATCTCAGCACAGTCCCTGGCAATAACAAGCTGTCAGTAACGGCAGCTGCTGTTCCATTCTTCATCTTGATTTCCAGCTTCTAACACCATACTGGACACAAAGTAGGCATTTCAGGGTTCCAGCAGAAAACAGGTGTCACAGTCATGTAAGAAGAGTCCCAGGAGTTTGATGAGTGACTCTTTTGCATAGGTCCTTATACCCTTTCTCTATACTCTTTCACATAGGTCCTTATATCCTATGTGAAACAGTCATTCATCAAACTCTTGGAACTATAAAGGTGAGGGCCGACTATGGGGGAACCACCCGGGAGGGGCAGTATCCTGGGGCTGGCAACTGAGGGACTTGTTACCACTCCCAATCCTGGAGCAGAGAGAAAATAGTTATCTCCAAACAGGGGGCTGCATGTAAGAAGACACCATATAGGACCCAGATCTTCTTTCACAATCTGGGGCTATAGCCAATTTGTGAAAAGCCCATCAAGAGGAGGCAAAGAATGAATACGCAGAACTCACTCTCTTCCTTCCCCTCCTCCAGTCTCCCACTGATTCTCCTGTTGATCTAGCCCAACTGGAAGCCAGAGAGCAAGAGAGCATACTGATGCAGCCCCTTAGGTAAGTATTCTCAGGCATGGAGCAAGGAGAAGGCAAGGGAGAGGATCTGGAGGTGCAAATGGAAGACATCCAGCATAGTGGGTCTTCATAAATATGCATTAAACAAAAGAACTAACCAAGGAGCTTCACGCACTGCAAAACTGAATTCTTACTAAATGAAAATGCTGACACACACCAAACTTCAGGAATATAACCCATACCGCTATGGTAAAAACTATTATAAAAACCAATTACTGTATTTCACCAGATCCCATTTAAAATAGTTTATTACAGACTGAGTCATTTAAGTTTTCTAAGGAGCCACAAACGTATTGTGGGTTTTTTTTTTTTTTTCTCCAGGCCAAATTCAATTCTATCTCAATGACAAAGCTTGGAGGCTATTTATATAAGGGAAGTAGAAGTAGGGAGAATCTACCTGAATAATTCAGGACCAAAAGCTCTTTATTGCAAAATGGAATGAGGGGAGGGTGCTGAGGTCTCAAGAGCAGGATGAGATTAATGATCAAGATTGCAGCAGGAAGTCAGTGAGACTTCCCCGGCCTGTGAGATCAGGAGAAGCCCTAAGGGGCATCTCCCACCTCCCATTTCTCCCACACATTTACCCACTCCTAGAAATCCTGTTAACTGTTAATTTCCGAGGCTTAAACTCTCAGGGCCCTGTGTTGCCCATGCAGCTTTACTCTGTTCTGCTCCTACCTCCCTGGACACAAATGTTGGGCAGTTGAGAGTTTTCTTGGCATCTATCAAAGAATTGGGGGCTTACATGGCAGAATCATCACATCAGACTCTGCCATTGAGATGGTGTCATGCCTTGCTCGAAACTCTCCAATGAAAGGAACCAGCTACCAATACCTGCAACATGGATGACTCTTAAAAGCATTATGTTGGGCCATCAAAGAGGATATACTGAGAGTATATACTGAGTGACTCATTCATATGAAACTCTGCAAAAGAGTTTAGTGAGAGAAAGCAGATTAGTGGTTGTCAGAGCTGGGGGTGAGAGATAAAGGTTGGGGACTGCCTGGCTGGGAAATAGTGCAAGGAACATTTGGGGGTGATGGAAATGTCTTACATCTCAAATGAGATGTTGATTAGATGAGATGTACACATTGGGCAAACTCCAAGGAACTGTACATTTAAAATAGGTAATTTACAGCCAGTCACAGTGGCTCACGCCTGTATTCCCAGGGTTTTGAGAGGCCAAGCGGGGAGGATTGCTTGAGCCTAGCAGTTGGAGACCAGCCTGGGCAAGACAGTGAGACCCCATTTTATTTACCTATTTACTTATATTTTGGATAGCATCTCCAAAATATAAGTAAATAGGTAAATAAAATAAATGGTAATTTTATTTTATGTAAACTATATTATAATAGAGTTAGTGAAAAACAAATCAAAACAAAACGAACCTTCAATGGATCCAATCCTCAGGGTAAAAGACCTTATTATAGCCTATAAGGCCTTGAAAAAGCCACTCTTCCTTTCCTTTTCCTGCCTCCTCCTCTTTACCCTTTATGCCCCAGCCACAGATATCTCCTCACTGTTCAAAACTGGCCAGGCCTGCTCCTGCCTCAGGGTCTTTGCAGTTGACATCCCTTCTGCCTGCTACACTGGCACTTCTCCCAGAACTCCACCTGGCTTAGCCCCTCGCTTCCTCCAAGGCTTTGAACAAATGTCACCTTCTCAGTGAAGCCTTCCCGGTTTGACTCCTGCCTGCCTTTCACCCTGAGTGTGCACGCACACACACACACACACAGTTCTCCCGTCAAACAGAAGAGTTCATGTATTCAGGAATACACGTTGTTCTTTTGTGCTTCTCTGTCTTTGCCCTTGATGCTCTTTATGCCTTTTCTCACTGTACCACCTGGCTGCACAGAGAGGTAAAGAAACTTGTTCATGGTCACACAGCTATTAAGTGGCAGAGGTGGGATTTAAATCCAGCCATCCCATCCAGAGCCTATGCATTCAGCCACTGCATTACACTCACATGTACATGCAAGCATGAAGGAAGGCAGTGGAATCATTTAGGCTGAATTCCATTCTGTTCCTCTTCTCCCCCCTCCTGACTTCCCCCAGGATCCTCTTTAATTTTGCTCCCTCTTAGAATCATAATTAAAGGAGAGAAACACAAAGAGAGATTCTCCCTTTCAAACCTTTCTGTCCACATTAACTTCACTACGGGGGGCTTGGGGAATTCCAAGTTCACCCAGAAAATTGCTATTGCAGTACAACATAAAATGTATTTAAGCAATTACACTCAATTTTTTTTTTCTTTTTGGTAAATTGACTTCTGTTAAGTGGGGCTTCATTAATGGAATCTGGCTTGGGAAGAATTAAAAAAAAATCACTCCCTGTAATGCATGTAGTTGATTATAGAAAAGTGGCTTTGAGCTCCTCTGCAGAAAGCTCTGAGCCATTCCCTTCATGAAGAAGAGCTCAGAGCAGATTTTGTGGGAAGCATTTCTTCTTAAGAAGCTTCTCATGCAGTCGGGATGTTGGGGAGCTGAGAGATACCCCCATCAAGATGACAACAGTGACTGTGCAAGGAATTGCTGCCTAATTGTAAGTCGAGGGGGAGGAGTGTTAGGAGATCTTAGTTTAAATCTTAGCATCCCTGAAAACTGACATCTTCAGGAGAACATTCATTCACGCAATCACCAAGCACATATTTTGTAAAAGGCACTGTGCTCGCAAGTGAGGGCCACTCCCACTGTGGTTCCCTAGATATAGGGAGTCCCTGAAAAGCCTGTAATGTACACGATTCAGCTGCAATGCCTTCTTTTCTGTTCAGCCTCCATTCCTTCTCCATCAATAGCATCTGGCTTCTGTCCTCCCAGAGCATCTCCTGTGGGCATTATCTGTTAAGTAAGCTATGTGCATGGCCCTGGTCTGATTCAGAGTTGAAGCACTTCTGCATCCCAGTACTAAGTATAAACCATCCCTCCCCATCCCCAAGGCTGGCCTAGGAGAATGTGAAATATAGGAGGTCCTCACCACCTTATCCCCACTCCCAAGCCCTCTTCCCTTCCCACCTGTCACCTGCTTTCCTCCCTGATGAATGGAGAGGACACCAGGATACAATCAGAGAAACCCTTTTGAAAATGTCTTTGTCAGTGGTGGGCAAATAGTCCCAAGGCCCTTGTTTGAGGCTGATCCCTCCTCTGCCAAACCTAAGCCACCTCTCATTCCTGAAGCAAACCTTTAATGACTCAGCCTTGACACCCATTCTTATCAAAATGCTTTCCAAAATCAGTTTTCCTTTAGCTAAACTCCTAGGACTTGCTATGTCAAGATAAATTCTTTCCCCAAGACAATCCCATGATGTTATATATTTTCCAGGAACTGAGTGAATGCCTGGGACAAATGGAAGTTTCTTTTGAATATGAGTTGCTGGGCCTTATCTTTGAAAAGAGGCCCCTCAGCCTCCCAAGGCTTTTTTTTTTACCAGCAGTGCCTGCCCACCCTGGTTGTGTGGACAGCTCTGAAAGATCTGAGCCAGCCTTTAAAGATTCAATTCCCGGCTACCTAGTATGTGTTTGGGGTTGGTTACTATGCTCTGAACAAACCAAAGCTTTCCCCCAGTCGTTTCTGCTCCTTAGTGCAACTGCTCCCCCTAATCTACACCATCCTCCTGGTCACCCAACCCAGGCAGCATCCTCAACTCCCCACTCTCCTTCACCCCTATCGCCAATTGTGGCCAAGTCTTCTCCATTTCATGTCCTCATCGTTTCTCACCTGGACTACAGAGATGGGCTTCTGATTTGCCCTCTGCCTCTGATCGATCTTCCATACTTTGTGGGGAATTTTGATCAAATCCCTGCATTGCTGGAAAGCCAGCAGCAATGGTTGAACCCACTGGCTCCAGAATAAAGTCCAAGCTTTTTAATGTCTTTCCTCTTCAATGACACACACTTTGAGATCCAGCTACACAGAATGGCTTGTACATCCTGGAATGCGACTAGTACTTTCGTGTCTCCAGACCTTTGCACATGCTATTCCCTCTACCTGTAATGCCCTTTTCCTGTTGCCCCACCTGGCTACTTGGGAAAATATCACTGATCCTATAAACCTAACTAAATATTTCCTTTCCTCTATCTCTCCCTCTCCCTGCCCCCAGTGGACATGGCCCTGCCATGATCCTGGGCATACCAAATTGTACTCATCTTTTGAGTTGACCATCTCTTCAACTAGCAGGCAAGCTCCATGGGAGCTGGAATAAAATCTTCTTTTTGTCTCAGTATCTCTGGTGCACAGCACAGTGCCTGGCACACAGAACAAATACATTTCATAGAACAGGGGTTGGCAAACTATAGCTTGCTGCCTGTCTTTGTAAATATGGTTTTACCAGATTGCAACCATGCCCATTCATTCATTTACAAATTGTCTGTGGCTGCTTCCACATTGCAATGACAGAGTTAAGGAGTTGTGCAAGATGATGACTTGCAAAGCCCAAAATATTTATTTTCTGGCTTCTTACAGAAAAAAAAGTTTGCTAATTCCTACCATAGAAGCCTCACAGATGATGTAGTTGGTTGGTAAATAAAAATTTAATTTCTAAGTAGGGAATCATAAAAAAGGACACAGATGTAGCTTCAACATTTCATTATAATGTAAAACACTTAAGCATACATTTATTTGCCAATCAGTTTAATGCAGGACCAAGGCCTTCCCTTTGATCATGGGTTTGTTCTCCACATTGTCTGTCTTATATAAACTACAACCACAATGCATCATTCACCATTTCAAATGTTGCTACAGATCGTCCAGCCAACAAATATTTCTTGAGCACCTACTATGTGCCAGAAATTGACATCCATTCTCATCAAGGTGATAAGGATGCTTTGTCCCATCCCCCTCCCCTCATGTAATTTACCCAGTGGGGTACAGTTGTCTCATTCACTCACACCTAATATTTAGTAAGCAATTCTTTTAAGAGACTCTCCTTCATGGAATCATTCCAAAGCATTCAATTTAGTTTCCATAGATGCAACTATATTTCCTTTCACACTCATATTTCATCAGTTTATGTGATGTTTAATTTAAATCACATAATTACAATAACAAGTATGACTGGCACTGAGAGACTTGGCAACAAACCCAACTGAATCTCGGAAAGTGCAAGACTCAGCTGATAGGAGCAGAAGTGCACAGGCATTGAGGGTGGGGGTGGGAGACTGCCTGTTGGCAGCAGTTGCTGGGGGTGCCATGGGCACCAGTCAGGAAGATCTACTGAGGCCATGGGAGTGCTGGGTAGTCCAGCTGGCTTCTTTGGGGGAGGCAGGGTGGGTTAAGAACACTTTTATTGGACATGTTTGTGAATGAATGAATAAATGAACAAACAGCAGTAGCTTACTTTCAGTGGTGGGATATCGAATTACATCCCCTCTGCTATCAGGAGAGTGGGAACCAGCTAACCTTAAAATCTGAGATTTGAGAAGGACTTCAAAGGTCTTCTAGGTCTAATGCCCAGCTATATTTGAGTCTCAACCACAGCATTCTTGAAAAACGGTCAATTATGATCTATTTTGAATGTTCCCAACAATTAAGAATTTACCTTCTTGCCAAATTCTCTCTCCCAATCTTGATCCATCCCCATTCTTTTCTTAGCTACTTCCTACTCATCGTGCAGGTGTATCAGCCCCTGGCTCAGGAAACCTGTCCTTTGTTGCTAGGTCTGGTTTACTTCTCCTTTGTCCCCTCTGGGCACCCTGCACTTTCTCCACCATAGTGCTTCTCTCACCATGCATTGCTGAACTATGAGCTCCCTGAAGACAGGAGCTGTTTCTTTCTTTGGTACCTTGGAGAGTGCTTGACATAAAGAAAGGGCTCAGTAAATATCACTCAGTGGAAGAAGGGATGATTGGCCGAATGAATGAATGAATGAGAGCCTGCTGGTGAAAGCAGAGGTTACATGTGGGGAAAAGCAGAGAAAGAGGCAGTGAGCAGGTGAGCCAGGGAATAGGAGGGAGGGCCTCCAGTGCCACGCGGGCTTCACCCGGGTTTCCCATGGCACTGCCCACTCCTGTCAAGACATGCTTCCCCAGTCCTAGTTCCTCAGCTCTGGCTGTGCCCCACTACCTGCTTCACTTAGCAGCTGCTGGTACCTTCCTGGGGATTCTTCTCATGCTGACCTATCCCCAAAGCAGCAACAGTGAGGTCTGCTAATCAATGTGGGCAAATGTTCCCCTTTCCCCAGAAGCAACTCAATAAACTCAACAAATTATCAGAACTCTTTCTTGCTCAGCTAATTGTTAGCTCCAGGGAACCCACAGAAACCACATCAGGTAAATGTTTTTCCTCCAGATGCACGGCTCTCTGGAGGACACATGTCTGAGGCTTGGAGTGCTGAGGAACAGGGAGCCTGGCTGTTGCCGGGATGAGGGCTTCCTCACCAACACGCTGGGTCTTGTGTATGGGGTGGTGGCATATTGCGAAGGTCTAGGGGTGGCTTGGTGTGTCAGTTTCCTTCCATTGCTAGCTCAGCTGCTCAGCTGGCAGAGCTGATGGGTAAGGTGTTTCCTGCCTCTATAGAGAGGATCTTCCCATCGTGCTGAAGTGACAGAACAGGGTTGGGTCTGAAGATCAGAACTGGTGCTGATGCCAAGCTCTGGGTGAAGAGGCTTGTGGGTGGATCCCCAGCTGCTTTTCTGAGTTGCCCACTCCGTCCTTTACTGTCTCCAGGTCTAAATCAGGCAGTTCTACTCTCTTATGAAGACCAGAAGCCTTTGAAGATCAGTCTCCTTCCCTCAACCCACAGCTCCTGACAGGGGTAGCCATGTACATCATATGACCCATAGGCTACAGCTGATTGGATCCTGGTGGTCATGTGTCCCAAGCTGGGCCAATGAGCTGATGGAACTTCTATCAGGAAGGTAGGTCCCTATGGCCCCCATTTGAGGTTTGGATGGAGAGAAGGGCTGAGTACTCACTTTAATGAGGAGAAGACCCCACAGGCTTGGCTTTCCCAGGGGAGATTTGGGAAATGGTGTCCTAGCATCATTTCTTCCACTTCTGTTGCTGCCTCCCCAACTTGCCCTTATTACTTTTATATGATGTCCTGAACCTTGTACATTTATCCTCCAGGAGTCAGTCTGACTGGACAGAATCTAAGAGCAGTCTCCACTCTGACCAGCTGCTGAGGCTTTAGCTGGCTGTCCCCTGTCCCCAGCCCAAGTCTCTATTATATGTCAGATCTGAGATCCGGGAAGGCAGTCCTGAGGACTGGCAGCCTCCATGCTCTAGGATGTTAAAGCCTATCCCCATCAGGCTTGGCCCAGAAACAGGGTGCAGGCCTCAAGAGCGTGGTGACTACAGCATATTCACACTCAACTCTACTCAACCCTCTTCTTCTTCCTGACTGGAGTCTCTGCCTAAGTAAAGATGACACCTATCTGGCTCATCACCTGTCTTGTTCCTCACAGAAGCAATAGGTTTAAAAAGGTTAAGGGTTAAGGGCCAGGCCTTCGGAACCAGACAGTGCTATATTTGAATCTGCGTTCTACTGTTTCCTAGTTGTGTGAACATGGGCATGCAACGTAACTTCTCTGAGCCTCAGTTTCCTCATCTGTGCAATGGGATTCCTCTGAGCAGCAGTGCTCATGTGTATAATGTGTCCAAGTCTGTGCCTGGCATACAGTAGGTGCCTCACAAATGTGAACTATTTTCCCCCTGCCTTGCTGGGGTTTGAGAAGAGGTGGTGGGATCTTACCAATGCCTTGAACCCAACCCTTCAGAGTAGACCGCAGAGCAGCCTGGCTTAGTTTTCTCCAGGGAAATGAGGCACCTGCATCTACTCTGGTGATAGAGCAGTGCAGGGGTAGAAGGACAGGGCACTCTGTGGTACCCAGACCAGCCAGTACACCTGGCCATCAACTTCCCTCTTTCTCTGGGGAACCCCAGCCTGGCCTCCACTGGCTCCTGCTTTCCCAGCCTTGCCCACTTTCCACCTGTCACTGGCAGACATGACTTGGAGAAGGAACCTGCTTCCTGCCATAGAGGGTGGCACCGCTTGCCTTGCAGAAGCCTCCGCTGCTTGTAATTAGTACTATTTCTCACCCAGAGGGACTGTTGTAAATGGCTTCTTGAGGAGCTGCCCACATCAGTGTGTGCCTGCCACTTAACTGCCACTCTGAGTTTGAGCATCATGTATGTCCCTTCCCCTGTTAGGAGGCAGCTAGTGGTCCCTGCCAGAGATCAGCAGCTCTGATGTCCAGAAGAATGAGTGAGCTGCCCAACAGCTGGAGGATGGGTGGGCTAAACATCTCACACACACTAAGGCTAGTGAGCAAGTGGTCCTAGAGTCCCATGGAGCTGAGTTCTAATCCTGCCTTCATTGTCTGCTGGCCATGTGACCTTGGAGAGGTGGCTTCACTTCTCTGAGCCCTTCTTTCCCCAGTTTATATCTCATAGTGCGATTGTGAGTGACGCTCACAAAGTTCCCTCTAAGGCCTCAAGACACGACATCTACAATTCTTGGCCCTGCCATATCTCTGTACAGCAAGGTAGACTCGTAGGCAAAGGGAATAATATTTACTGAGTAGAAACTAATTTGGGGTAGAGACTTAGCACGCAGGCCCTAGAAGAAGACTGCCTGGGTTCAAGTATCATCAGCTCTAAACTTACTGTCTCACTTTGGGCAAGTAACTGACCTGCTTTAGGCCTCAGTTTCCCCATCTATATAGTAAGGATAATAACAGCACCCACTTCATTGAGTGGTTAAAAGGTTTAAGTGAGGTGATGCATATAAAAGGTGCCTGGCACATAGCATGTGCCCAAAAAGCATCAAAAATGGGGGAGAGGAGAATTCCTCTCTTCTTGTATTGCTTGCTGCCGTCCACCTGGATTAATGCCTTATACTTTGGCTTTCAGATGGGAGAAATCCAGATCACATCCACCTACAGAAGAAATGATTGGCTGCTATGGATTGTAGCTAAACCATAGGAAGAGTAGAGTTGTAGCTGGCCCCAGGGATGGCCAGAACCAAGAACTCAGATGCTACAAAGGCCCTCTCTCGGTGCCCCATCTCTGTTGTGCTCTGCCTGCTGGCATCATTCTCTCTACTGCAAATGGCGGCTGCTTGAGGCTGGAGCCATGACCACCCTTAGTAGCTCTGTGATTCACTCTCTCACCTTCACCACTAGAGAGATGACAATCTCTCTCCGTGACTCTAATTAGAAAAAGCCCATCAGAGGCCTCTGATTAGTTTAGCTGGGGAATGTACCCATTCCTGGGGCCAAGGAGGTAGCCTCCACTAGAACCCCATGACTAGTTTGGGGACAATTCTCCAAAAGAAGGAATGTGCTCAAAAGAAGTGAGGAGTGCTAGGCAGACAAAACAAAAGATGTCTACTGTGGATGAAAGAGAAGTAGGTGGACTGAATAATCAGGGCCACTCTCCTATGCTATAAAGGAGTAGGTTTTTAAAGACCTGTGAGGAGTATCCATAGATCACTGTGTGAGTTATCAACCCAGAGTTGGTCTTGTTCTAGATCTGTCCTGTATCCTTTCATAGGTAGCCAGGCATCCCCCAACCAGGCTGATCCCATTCTGTGTCTAATCATCTGACCACTGCCTGCCCACCTGCCCACTAGTCCATTGGGCTGGGTGCTGACACTTCGCCTGGCTTTGGCAAGCCTCTGCCCTTGGGAGTAGATGCAGGCTCCGTGCTTATCTTCAGATGCTGGTGAAGTTCTATGGGTCATCCAAGTCAGTTGACCTCCTGGACTTAGAACATCCCATGACCTAGAGATAAGTTGACTAGATCTATCCAGAATGAGGATCAACCCAGATTAGAAAAGACTCACCTGAATCTTTTAAACGTTGAAATTTAGATAACTTTTTCTCCTTCCTTCTTCCCTCCTCCTGCAATACTTGGCCTTGTTCCTTCCCAGTTGCTTCCTTACCCTAGCCCCAGCCAAGGGAGTTCCTAGACTACCAGTAGAGGCTAAACATATGAGCCAAGGGGTCAAACAAGCTTGAGTTCGAAGCCTGGCTCTGCCACTTATTGCTGTGTGGCCTTGGATAAATTAATCTCTCTTTTCACGCTTCCAGGCTTCCAGAGATGATGTACCCAAAGTATGATCATCATTTTTATTAAAATATTGTGCTCACATCTGATTGATTAACAGTTCCTGGCACGAGGTCAGTGCCAAAGAGCCTTGGACTGACTGCTTATGGCCTGGCCTCCCTATCTGGTTTCTTACTATGTAGCGATCCAAGTGAATTCAGATGATTCCCTGGACTACCACCCTCCTTCCTGGGACACATCCATCCCTCAAACACTGTTCATCACTGGCCATCAAAGCAGCAGCCACACTGCTCCAGCAACTCAACAGCTATTTATTGAGATGGGTGTGTGAGTACATGAGTGAGTGAATGAACTGAAAGAACGTAAGAGTGAATTAACTGCTAAGTGAATTAGTGAATTAGTGACTTAATGAGTCAGCGAGTGAAGAAGAGTGTGCAGGATTGAATATATCATGTTCTTTTCCCTCAACAAATTGAATATGCCGTGGTATAAAACTTTCACCCTCAAATGTGTCTTCTTCATTAACACAAGCAGGGGTTAAGAATGGCAGAAGAAAAGTTACAGACCAGCAGCCAGAGGAGAAAGATACTGTGCTAGTTTCCTATTGCTGCCTTAACAAATAACTGTACATTTAAGGGCTTAAAGAACACAAATTTATTGTGTTATAATTCTGGAGGTTAGAATCCAAAATGGGTTTCAGCAGGCCAAGATCAAGGTGTGGGGAGGACTGAGCCCCTCTGGTGGCACTAGGGGACAATCCTTTTGCTTGCCTTTTCCAGCTGCTAGTAGCCACCTGCATTTCTTGGCTTGTGGCCTCTTTCCCTTGTCTTCAATATCAGCAGTGTAGCATCTTCAAATCTCTCTCCACCTCTGATCCTCTGCTTCTCTCATCACATCTCCTCTGACTGTGACACTCCTGCCTTCCTCTTACAAAGGCCATGTGATTCTATCAGGCCCACCTGATAATCCAGGATCATCTCCCTAGCTCTAAATCCTTAGAGTAATCTTATCTACAAAGTCCCTTTTACCAAGTAAGGAACAAATTCACAGGTTTCAGGGCTTAGGACGCCAGCATCTTTGGAGAGGCATTCTTCTGCCACTTGCAGATGCCTTGTTCAGAGGGTAAATGCAACCAGTGAGTCCCACTCCACAGAGGAAGGGGCAGGAGGGGGATGAAGGAAGTTTCAAAGCATTTGACATACACATGCTTATGCCAGGTATGTTTGCTGTTGTTGCTGTGGCCTGAGCACTGAGGGTTTTGGAAAGCTTAGGTGATTCCATCATGCTGCAAAATCTGAGAGATACTTTGACAGAGATATGCTAAGAGCATATGCTGCTGTAATTGAGGGTAAAATCTGGCCCTGTGATTCCTGGAGATGATGGATCAAGAGCAGGGTGTCTTTACCCTGGCTGCACATTGCTATCAACTGGAAAGATTTTTCTTTAAAAAAATGTTATTTTGAAATAAGAGTGCAAAGATCATACAGAAATGTCCTGTATACCCTTCACCCCGATTCCCTAATGTTGGCATCTTACATAACCCTGGGTCATGCATAAAAACTAAGAAATCAGCAATGGTACAGTACTATTAACTAAATGAAACATTTTATTCAGATTTCCCCAGATTTCCACCAGTGGCCCACTTTTTGTCTGTCACAGGATTCAGTCTAGCATCTCTCATTGCATTTGTCCTGTCTTCTTGGTTTCTTCCAATCTGCATCAGTTTCTTAGCCTTGCCCTGGTTTTTTAAAATCTTGACATTATTGAAGGGTACTGATCAGGTATTTGGTAGAATGTTCTTTATTTCAGTTTGTCTAATGTTTTTTCATAGACCTTGGCTATGGATTTTTGGGAAGAATATCATGGCGGTGAGATGCTGTTATTATGGCAACACAGAAAGGGGTTCTGTGATCTCAACATGACCTGTTATTGATGATGCTTACTTCGATCACTTGGTTAAAGTGGTGTCTGCCAGATTTCCCCGCTGTAAAGTTACTATTTGTCCCTTTCCATGTTCTATTCATTAGTAGTGGGTGGCTAAGTCCAGCCCACACTGGAGAGGGGGAGTGCCATCTGTTTTTATTCCTATCATTTCAATTTGTTTAATCCTCATGGCTTTATTATCACCTCACTACTTTTTAGAGATATGGTTGTAATGAGCTAGACTTGCCCAAAGTTACTCAGCTAGTAAATGGCAAAGCTAGAATTTGAACTTATATGTGTCTGGCTTAAAAGGCCATGTTCTTTCCACTTCATGTTACTGCCACCAAGTAAAGAGGATCTCACAGTCTCCGAGGCGGAAGCTCCCTCTCAGCTTGTCTGGACAGTGTTTTTCAAATCCATTCTTGGAGTGTGACCCATCAGTGGGTCATGAGGTCAGTCTGTGGGTGGCATTTTAAATAACAACATAAAGTAAAGGTGACTACAACAGAGTAGAAAATAAGAGTATGTCACACAAGTAGAAATTTTTTATCTCTATATCTTCTCTGTGCTTTGCTACCTTCATCTGAATTCACTTATCCTTGTATGGAGATAAAAATAGCCCTCCCATAGGCTTGTTATGAGGACTGAATGGAATGAGGTACATAAAGTGCTTAGAAGAGAGACTGGCTCATATTAAGCATTATATAAATATTAAGTATGTATGTATGTAAACGAGTCATGATGTAAAATGTATTTCTTATTGCAGACTGCAATCAAGATGTTTGAAAATACTGAACTCACATCTGTAGACGAGGAGTTGGCAGATTTACGACCCCCAGCTTGCAGCCTATTTTTTAAAAATAAGGTTTTATTGGAACATAGCCACACTCATTGGTTTAGGTATTTTCTATGGTTACTTTCGAGGTATAGTGGCAGAGCTGGGTACCTGCAACAGAAACCCTGTGGTTCACCAAGCCTATCATATTTACTACCTGGCCCTCTAGACCAATGCTCCTGCCTGGAGGTCATCTCATAATCTAGGGAATATTGGACACCTCTTCCCGGGCATGTGGTCTGGTCATGCTACTGTCCTTGCAGGCATGCTTGCTCTAGGCTGTGTGACTGCCAGGCACTTGGATCTCCAGAAGCTCATTACTCTTCTCTATTAAACTGATGCCTACATGGTGAAAGGCTAAAACCATGGTACTTTGGTCAGGGTCCCCGCAGGAAACAGATGGCCACTCAAATTAAAATGATTGGTGAGGGCAGAGTGTGGGAAAGTAGCAGAGACCTCAGAGGCTCATAAAAGTAGAGTTTTACCACCCTAGGCAGGAGGAGATAAAGAAAGGGGGCAATGCCTGTACTGGAAGGAGAGAGTCATTTAGAGAGGACACCTTATGAGGACCAGTGACCTTCAGTCCAGGGACACAGAACCAGCTCCAAGTGACCCTGGGGTGGGGATCCAGGAGAATAAATGCCTTGACTTAACTTTCCTCCATCTCTGATCTCCTGAGGGCCCCATTGACCAAAGTGAGATGGAAACCAGAGGGTATGGGATCCTCTGATGTGGCTCATACAGACCAGCTTCCCAGGCCAGAGAAGGTTGAAGAGAGGTTGGAGAAGGCTGGAAAGGGGATCTGGAAGGGCAACTCTTAGATACCCAGCACACAGCATTGATTTAGGAAGCCAGATTTATTTACCTTTCCTAAGCTCCCCTAAACAAGGACTTCCCCTGCTTCATCCTCCAAGTTGGAACTTTGACAACACCAAAAGGTTGACATAGCTTTTCCCTTTTACTGCCTTTTCTTCTTAAATCTGCTAGCTTCCCGATAGCTATTGTGGGTTAATCTTCCTGGATCTTATCATGAGAGGGATGGAAGGTTAAGAGGCACAGATAAGCTACTCTGTGTGTGTGTGTGTGTGTGTGTGTGTGTGTGTGTGTGTGTGTGTGTGTGTGTCTGAGCCTGAGCAGAGTCTGATGAATATGTGGACTTTCATTAAAGTTCTTCCTCATGTCCCATCTTTTGATCTCAGAAAGGAGCTGTGTCCCATTCATCTAGGCAGCCCTGCTCATGTCCAAAAAATGTGTGAGTCAACCTCTGGCCCCTTGGGAGAAAGAGCCAGGGGGAAAAAGGCTACCTAGGCTGAGAAGTGTCCCCAGAGTAATCCGTTCCTTTGCGAGACCCCCTACTAGCCCAGACTTCCTTGATGGCACCTGATATCTTATAGGCCCCCAAATCCTGCCACACAACTACAGCTTGTCCCCTGGAGGGGCTTCCCTGGCCAGTCCAGAATGCTCAATTTATGAGAGATCATTGGCTCACAGGGAGGAAGGGGATGGCTTAGGTAGGCCAGCCACCTTGCAGCAGAGCTGGGCAAGAATTCAGGATTGGAGACTCTTATTAGTTTCCATCTTTCTTTTACAGAAGATGAACACTGAAGTCTTGGAACCCTGGGAATGAACCTGGAAAAATTCAAAATATGGTCTAGTCTTAGGCAAGTTTCCTTGTCCGGCTCAGCTGCTGAGACCACATATCTGGACCCTCAGTGCCCTGGCAACAGCTCTGTGCAGGCAGGATGAAGCACAGGCTTAGGTCAAGCAATCAGCCGTCAAAATCCACACTCTCACCTGTGAGTGGCTGTTCAACCTTGAACATGTTACTTTTTATGTTAATGAAACTCAGTTTTCTAGTCCTATAAATTTGGGGCTATCATCAACCATTAAGTGATATTAAACCCAGTGCCACACAGGCAAGTACCTAGCAGTGTCCAAAGGCCCCCAGAATGACACTTTTTCATCTTTTCTCTTCCCTCCAATTGAAAGACTAGTGGAATATCTGCAATTACTTTGACCAAAAGCCAGAAGCCGGCCAGTTTGAGTGTAGCTGTTACAGCTTTGTGTTCTAAACCTAAGAAATGGGGACCCCTCACATGAGAGTGGGGAGGCTTCTGGATGTGCTACAAATTCCATTTCATTTTCATGAACTCCAGTGTTAATTAATAAAATCTCAAGGTTCTCCCCCCTCTTTCGCCTCACATTTCTTCAGAGAAATGAAGAGTTCCAACTCATAGCCCAAGTGCTCAGGTTTTAAATTAGACAACTTTGTCCTGACAGGAACCAAGTCACAGCTGTCATACCTGATTACTTTTAGAGTTACTACTAAACCCTTTGTATGGCATGAGCTGCCACTGTTCAAGGCAAACAGAAACACTTCACATTTTATCATGACAGCCCTGGATCTATCCACCTCCCCATGTTCATTATGCTCAGCCTGTCTTTGGAAGGGATGATGAGGCATCCTGAAAATCGTATAGTGAGGAAGGCAGACCCCATGGCCTGTCACTACAGCCTAGGGATTTTAAGCCCCTAAAGTGCAGCAAAACCCACTGCCTCCAGGAAGCCAAGGAGAATTATTTCTGGGGGACATAGCTGCCTCATAGCCTACTATGAATGAACCATCATCTTTCATGAGAGGCAAACATTGACCCTCAAGTAACCAACCAATACGAGCACCTGTACACAAATGCCCACAGGTGTTGGCTGGGATTGGCTGGCTTGTGGATGATGTCACAGTTTCCCTCCTCTGACTCAACAATGCCATCAGCACTGAAAAGGCTGAGCCCTGACTACAGCTCTTGCAGACAGAAAAATTCGCTGCAAGTACAGCACTTTCTAGATTGCTCCTGGAGTGTGGGAACAACAGTCTCTCCTGTCCACGTTACTGAATCCAGAAAAAAGGTGAACTTACGAACATGGGAAAAGAAATCCAGCTAAAGCCTAAGGCAAATGTCTCTTCTTACGTTCACTTTTTGCTGAATTACAGAAACAAATTCAAGGAGCAGCAGCCAAATACCTATGTTGGCTTTAAAGAGTTCTCTAGAAAGTGTTCGGAAAAATGGAGATCCATCTCAAAGCATGAAAAGGCCAAATATGAAGCCCTGGCCAAACTCGACAAAGCCCGATACCAGGAAGAAATGATGAATTATGTTGGCAAGAGGAAGAAACGGAGAAAGCGGGATCCCCAGGAACCCAGACGGCCTCCATCATCCTTCCTACTCTTCTGCCAAGACCACTATGCTCAGCTGAAGAGGGAGAACCCGAACTGGTCGGTGGTGCAGGTGGCCAAGGCCACAGGGAAGATGTGGTCAACAGCGACAGACCTGGAGAAGCACCCTTATGAGCAAAGAGTGGCTCTCCTGAGAGCTAAGTACTTCGAGGAACTTGAACTCTACCGTAAACAATGTAATGCCAGGAAGAAGTACCGAATGTCAGCTAGAAACCGGTGCAGAGGGAAAAGAGTCAGGCAGAGCTGATGGATCCAGTTTGAAAAAACAAAATGCCATTCAACCGTATTTCCTGTTCCTGGTCTCATGTGTGGCATTAGAGTAGCTGTGACTGATGCTTTGTGGAGGAGGGAGTGGCTTGGTAGAGGAGAGACTGATCCTGAGGAGGGGAACGGAGAGGACGGGAAGGGAAAGAAGGGGAAGGGAGGAGAGGAGGGAGGGGAAGGGAAGAGAGGGGAAGGGAAGGGAAAGGAGGGGAATGGAGGGGAGGGAAAGGGAGGGAAGGGCTGGCTTTGAGAGAAGTGTCAGCAGTAAACAAAAGGTGTGACTTGGGCCACTGGGTGGGAGCCTCCAGGTGTAAAGTAGCAGCAGTCATGGAGGTAGAAGCACCGTGGTTCTGAGTGGTGATCCAGGTGAGAGGACCCTACTCAGTGTCAGGTTCAGGAACATGACGTCTGACTCTGCTAAGCAGTGGCAGGACTGGGAAGACTGCCAGGGCTAGAAGGCCTAGAGTTCAAGCTCACACTTGAGGCCCCAGGAGAAACATATGGCATCTGAGTTGAGACAGGCCTGAGGGAACCCAGGATTTCCAGCAACACTTAGATACGCTCAGTGGGGCCAGGGTGAACTCCCAGGGGTGTTCCCTAATCAGGAGGAGGCAAGGGGCAGATTTTACCAAAAAAAAAAAAAAAAAGCAGGGGGCTGGGGAACCAGATCAATCGTTTTTCAGTGGATAGATGTATAATATGTGGCCTCCACTCCTCTTCCTCTTGTTCATAGCACTCTGACTCCCTTTCGTGACCAAGGCTGGATAAGAGGGCAGGATCGCCTTGGCCACAGTCATTGGCTCAGTGGTGGGCATGTGACCCAAGTTGGTCCTATCAGGGTGGACCTCTGGACCTGTGTAAGGAGTCCTGGGGGACACCGCAGTCCAGGGAATGTGGACAGCCATTTGCCATCTCATAGGGCCCAAGAAGGAGGCCGAGATGCTAGAATCCCTGTGGCATCAGAACAGTCTCCTAAACTTTTCATTGAAGATGAACAACACATTTCATTTTTTCCCTGACATGGTTTGACTTAGGTTTTTTCCTACTTGACTATAATTTGACACAAATGGGATTGTGCTGTAAGTGTCTGTCTGGTAACTAGATTTTTCAGGCAAGAATATACTGTAGGCAACATTCCATACCAATCAATAAAGATTGAAATGGAATATTTTGAAATGGTTCTTCTGACTTCTTGACATCAAAAATACTGGGCCAAAATGCAAAGCTGCTTTTTTGTCACCAGTTTATACATGCAACAGATCTCCCTAACTCCACCTCTAAGGACCCCTATTCCATGATAGAGGGACCTACACTTTCTACTCTACTGCGCTGAACAGTAAAAATACATATTTTTGAACAGTCTTTTAGAACTGCATGAGCCTTTAGGGGATGAGAGGTAATACAGTGATTTAGAAATTCAGGGTCTGGAATCAAACAGGTCATTTGTGGAGGATTTTCATGTGCCAGGCCATTTGCTGGGTACAGGGAGGCACATTACGCACTACTGCTAAGTTCCCGCCCTATAAAAAATTTCCTTCTGACAGGAGAGATGGACTTGGGCATAAATTGCAGCACTGCAAAGCAAGATGATGAAAGTGAATGCAGAAAGTAATGGGGGAGGGACTGGGGACCACCCAGCAAGCCTGTGCTGCAGTCTTCATGAAGGAAGCAGCCTTATTCCACTTGACAACTTTGTAGGCATGCTGGCAAAATTCCCGTTCCGCATTCCCCACAGCTGCTATTCCAACTTGGCTCTGCTTCTCTTCCCTCTCAGGAGACGCCCGCATTTTCTGCTTCATTGAGAAAATAGAGATCCTCAGATATAAGTGCTCTCAGTTTCCTTCATTCTTGAAATGTAATCCATACCAATCCTTTCCTCCTGGTCTCACCCCTCACGGAGAGCTATCCCCCTCCTGCTCTTCCTGCCCTCTCCCTGCCTCCCTGGGGCCCTTGCTCCTTACTATAAGGGTGCTGGCCCTCCAGCCTGTACACTCATACAAGTTCACTTGATGCCATGATATGGTGGTCCCCACCTTAATGTTGGCAGAACTTAGGGCAAGTTCTCATTCCTCTGAGCCTCATGTTCTTATCTGTGCAAGGAGGATAATGCCTGCCTTACAGGTTGTTTTAGCAATTAACTGAGGTAATACATGTAAAAGTATTTGGCACAGTCCTAAATCTAATAGGTAATATAGCGGATATACTCTAGGGTGGCTGTTCCATAATCCTTTCCTCCTTTCTTGGTGTTCACACCCTTGTATAATCCCCTCCTATTAAGTGTGGGCTGGACAGGTGACTTTCTTCTAACCCATAGAATGTGGCAAAGGAGATGGGATGTCACTTCTGTGATTATGTGATGATAAATAATACTATATATTGCTAGCCACTTTGCTCTAGGGATTCTCCTTGCTGCTTGATGAAGTAAGTGGTCAAGTTTGAGAAGCCCATGTGGCAAGGAATGACAAGGAACTGTGGGAAATGTCTAGAAGCTGAGGGTGGCCTCAGACCATTAGCCAGTGAGAAACAGAAGTTCTCAGTCCACCAACCACAAGGAACTTAATATTGCAGCAGCCACACAAGTGGGTAGGTGAATCCTTCCCCAGTCAAGCCAGCAGATGAGAACTTGGCCCTGGCTGACCAAGGCCTGAAGCAATGCACACAGCTAAGCTGTTACTGGACTCCTGACCCCACAGAAACTGTATAAATGTAAGTTTAAAACTATAAATGTTTAAACCATATGAGTGTATTTTGTTTTAAGCCACTAAGTCTGTGGTAATTTGTTACACAGCAATAGAGAATACATTACTCAATAAATGCCCTCTTCCTTATAATTCTAGAAGAGACTGTCTTTAATCTTGTTTCTATCTCCAGCCTCTACCTTCCCCATTTAATTTCCTTTCCTTTGTTACCAATCTCTTGTTACCAACATCTTGAAGGTGGAGGGCCACCTCCCACCGTCCAGTGCTAATTAGATCCTGATTTGTATTACCCAGTAGTAGTTCCAGTTGGGTTGTCTTGTTTCCAGCCTGAAATGTGGGCTCTTGGTGGGCAGCAGCTGTGTGATGTACCACACTCCTCTCTGGGAAGAGGGCCCCCACACAGCTAGGCCCCAGCTCTCATGCCACCCCTTTCTGGTTTCCTGTGTGATTAATTATGTGAATGTGGGTGGCCAAGTCAGAGTTTTGACAAGAGTTTGCAGTTCCCCTGCTGAAAACTAACTCCATTAACAGTCCTTTATGAAAAAGACAATAGGAGGGTCTGAATCTGCTGGCTTCTAATGACTGTAATGTAATGACAATGGAGAGAGAGGGAGGGAAGGAGGAGGAGAAGTTGGGGGAGCCTGGACCTAAGATAATGGGTGAGAGAAAAAGTAGATGGACAATCTGGTGTGGTGCCAGCATTCCAGGCCCACTCAGCTGGCCTCAGGTGCTCCTGTCCTTGAGAAGAGGAAGGCAGGCCCATCACCATCTTGATGACTGAATCACTCAACTCTGATCCTTCTCTCCTCAACCGTTTTTCTGTGTTCATGTAGTCATTAATTTACTTACTCATTCATTCAACAGATATTTACATAAATCTTATGCCTGCAATATAACAGCAACTATTCTGGTGCTGGGAATACAACAAGGTTCCTCATCTCTCACGTTCCGGTGAGGAGAGACAGACAATTAAAAAAACAACAAATAGGCCAGGCGCGGTGGCTCATACCTGTAATCCCAGCACTTTGGGAGGCCGAGGTGGGTGTTTCATGAGGTCAGGAATTTGAGACCAGCCTGATCAACATGGTGAAACCCCATGTCTACTAAAAATACAAAAATTAGCCAGGTGTGGTGGCACGTGCCTGTAATCTCAGCTACTCAGGAGGCTGAGGCAGGAGAATTGCTTGAACCCAGGAGGTGGAGGTTGCAGCGAGCCCAGATTGCACCATTGCACTCCAGCCTGGGTGACAGAGTGAGACTCCATCTTAACAAACAAACAAACAAACAAACAACACAAATACATATATCGAATCAGTTTTTGATAGGGTAAAGTACTCACTAGAAAATAAACGTGGGTAATGAGATAAATGATGATAGATAGGATAGAGGGCACTTGAAATGGATGGTCAGAAGTTTTCTGCGGAGCTGGCATTTGGGTTTGGATTTAAAGGGCAAGAAGGAGCCAGACAAGCCAAGGTGTAAGAGAAGAGTCCTCCAAGCAGCAGGGAAGCAAGTGCAAAGGTCCTTGCAGAAGCGAGCTTGGCATATTAGAGGGACAGAGGGAGGCCGGAGCAACTGGAGGTGTGAACAAATGGGCGAGATGTGTTTGGAAGGGTGAAGGCCTTGGCAAGGGGTTTATGTGGAAATCTAAGTGCAACTGAGAGCCACAGAGAGATTTCAGTAGTGGAGAACCACGTGCTTCCATCTCTGACTTTGTGTTACTCATCATTCTAGGGTCTTCAGAGACTATCAAGTGCCAACAAGGGGATTACCCCTCTGCCCCTCTAAAGGATTGCAAGAAAGAAGACACCAAATCCATGGCATTTTTTCCCTTAGGAAAGAAGGGAGATAATGAGAAGCCTCCACTTGGTATTCCTTGGAGCAGCTGGAAGCTAAAAACCAAATGTGGGAACTGTGAATCCTATCTCTGGGATATGTTTTCTCAGGAAATGGAGGAAATGGGTGGGCACGGGTGGCAAAATATTCCAGGGGAATACTTCTTCCTGGGCCTTGTGGGGAACAACTCCCAAAAGGCCAGTGGTTCTCAGCTTTAAGCCTGTGTTAGAATCACCTGCAGGGCTTATTAAAACACAGATTGCCGGGCCTTACCCCCAGAGTTTGATTTAGTATTTCTGGGAGTTGGATCTATAATTTGCATTTCTGAAAGTTCCCAGGTGATACTGATGCTCCTGGTCCCAGGACCACAGACAAATTCTCCTTCTTGTAGCCCCTCATTCACTCTGCGTAGGAGGCATGGCTCATCTGGCTGGTGGGTTTGGGAGGAGGAGCAGACCATGCTCAGTTAGCCCTCCCCACTCTCCCTTTCTCTCTCTCCCCATCGCCCTAGCTGCAGAGCATATTCAGACAGCTCTCCAATCAGTTCATCAGTAATAAAGGTGACATGCTGATCCTCATCTGTTTTTCTCTTGCATCTGCCAATTGATTCTGCACTTGAGAGGGGAATAAGTATATTTATTTATTGGGTTTCCCTCAAATTCCAACAGAGAAGTTGGTATCAGTTGCAAAACAATCAACTGGCATCCGGGCCACACAGCAGCATAGGAATCTTGGTTTTAGCTTCCACTAAAATATCAATTATTTGAGGGCAAAAAATGTCCAATTCCTGGGCCTTTAAGATAGGAAGTCAGGTCTGTGGATGGGGTGAGGTCACCAGGATGAGGTCACAAAGGCATTGATGCCCCTTTGTCCTATCATGTGACCACTTGTCACACTTCCATCAAACAGTACCTGCCCCTTAGGTGTGCTAGGGAATAAATGAAATGCCTGGGACATCATCGTTAAGTGGCATCTGATGCATAAGCAGTGCCCTAGGAATGGGGTTGCCTGCCTTGGTCTCTAAAGGATGGGTTCAAAAGGCAAGAGCAGCACACAAGAAGATAGCTTCAAGCAGGAGATAAAGCTTGGCCCAGGGCCCAAAGGGGATACGACCCTTCAGGTTGGCCCTGACCTCTGGGTTGGATTACCAGTGACACAATGAACATTTCATTATGAGGCCATCCCTTGAGGTAGTTGCATTGCAACAGCTCTCCCTACCCAGTGCTGCATTTCCAATGCTTTCTCTGTTCAGGCTGCTGGGTGACATTTCTATGTCTCCCCTTCAACGGTGAAATATTTCAGTGGTTGTCCATCACCTATGGGAGTCTGACATGGCATAATCAGGCCACTGGGGCATTGCTAGTTGTGCTGTCCCTGATATTCACCGTGGTAGGCAGTTTCTGAAATGGCTCCCAGTGATCTCCAACTCCTGAAATTCACACTCTGTGTAATCCCCTCCCTTTGAGTGTGGGCTAGACCTGGTGGCCAAAGTGATAGGATTTCACTTCTGATGTTAGGCTATGAAAGGCTGTGACCGCTCTCTCTGCCTCTTCTCTCTCACTTGAAGCAAACTGACATGCTGAAAGCTGCCCTATGGAGAGGCTCATGTGGCAAGGAACAGAGGGTGGCTTCTGGCCAACACCCAGTGAGGAACTCAGGCCCTCAGTCAAACAGCCTGCAAGGAACTGAACCCTGCCAATAACCGTAAGTAAGCCTGGAAGTGGATCACTCCCCTTTGAGATGCCTGCAGCCCCAGTGGACACCTTTACTGCAGCCTTGTGACGGACTCAGCTAAACTGTACCTGATTCTTGACCCATAGAAACTAATAGGTGTTTCATGGCACTAAGGCTTCAGATAATTTGTTACAAACTGAAATGATGAGTACAGATTTTGGCATCAAGAGAAGGATAGTATCATGACATATACCTAAAAATGTGAGATAGCTTTGGAACCAGGCAGTGGGCAGAGGTGAGAAGTATTCTGAGAAGCTTGTTAGAGAAATCTTCAATTGCCTCAAAGACAATTGAAGACACTGTAGAAATCTGGACTTTGAGGATACAGCTGGTGGGGGCTTAAAAGAAGTGATGAACATGTTATTGGAAACTAGAATGTCTTTGTCCATTTTCTATTGCCTGTAACAGAATATCTAAAGCTGGGTAATTTGTAAAGAAAAGAAATTTATTTGACAGTTACCAGTTACAGAGGCTGAGGAGTCCAAGGTCAAAGGGCTGCATCTGGTGAGAGCCTTCTTATTGGTGAGGACTGTCTGCAGAGAGGACTGAGCATGTTGATGTGCCTGCTCAGGTCTCTCTTCTTTTGTTTTGTTTTTGAGATGGAGTCTCGCTCTGTTGCCCAGGCTGGAGTGTAGTAGCGTGATCTCGGCTCACTACAGCCCTCACCTCCTGGGTTCAAGTGATTCTCCTGTCTCAGCCTCACAAGTAGCTGGGACTACAGGTGTGTGCCACCACATCTGGCTAATTTTCGTATTTTTCATAGAGATGGGGTTTCACCGTGTTTGCCAGGCTGGGCTCGAACTCCTGATCCACCTGCCTCAGCCTCCCAAAGTGCTGGGATTACGGCACGAGCCATCATGCCTGGCCTCTTCCTGTTCTTATAAAGCCACCAGTCCCACTCTTGTGATAACCCATTAATCCATGGATGGATTAACCCATTCATGAAGACAGGGTTCTCATGATCCAATCACCTCTTTAAGTCCCCACCTTTCAACACTACCATATTGGGGATTAACTTTCCAGCACATGACATTTGGGGGACCCATGCAAACCATATCATGGAGGAGGGACATCCTTGTTAGGTAGTGGTAGAAAGCTTAGTGCCACTATTGTCTGCAGTTACATGGAAAGCAAAATATGTACCTAATAAACTTAGTGATCTAGCTATGGAGATGTCCAAGCAAAGTGTTGAAAATAATTTCTTCTTACTGCTTATGTGAGAAGAGAGAAAAAAAAAAGTTAAAGTGAGACAGGACCTGATAGTTTTGAAAATTCTCAGTCTCCCAAGTCAGCAAAAGGTGCTAAAATTAAGAAATGGCATTTGAGCAAGAAATGGTGGTCTGAGATAAAGCTGTGGGTGTGACTGTGGGCCTTTGGTTAAGACTTCAGAAAGATCAAAAGATCATGGTATTATTCAGTCATACAAAGGCCCTTTAAAGAGATTAGGGTAGGCCTCATAGATCCTCCAGATCAAACAATAGGGACTCTAGGAAGCCAAGGGGCTGTCCCTTGGCCATCTTTTCAAGAGGCTCAGGTTGAAAAGTTTAGTTCTCAAAGAAATTTGTGGGTTTGTTTTTTTGTGTAATAGAGGGAATCTCAGTGCAATTTACAGAAGACCCAGAAGGTTTCTGAGAAAACCTATGAGAAGAAACACAGCTGGGACAGAAAGGAACAGAGACAGTACAAAATAAAATGAGGCCATTGGACCCCTAAAATTCTCAGCAGGAAACAGGCTGAGAAAACAAGTCAGCTTTAAACACAGGTTTCCTTTCATGAAAAAGGAAGGATTACTCAGAGGGAAGAACCAAGAGCTTAGAAGGTGGAGCTAAGAGTCATGGAGAATTATCCCCAGGCTTTGAAACCTAACCAAGAAACTTGCAGTCTTTTCCTGGCTGGATTTCAAAATTGTTACGGACCAGTGACGCCTTTGTTCCTCACATTTTCCTCCCTTTGAGTAGCAGTGTTTATAGCCATTCCTCTATACCTAACCTGCCATTGTATGTTGGGCATATGGGGGGCAGATAATTTATCTCCTTAGCTTTTCAAATCACCAAATCTGTAGTAACAGTATTCTAGAACTTGTACTTAAGGAATTATACCCAAGAGCCTCATCCACACCTGCACCTGATTTAGATGATGAGATCCTGGACTTTCAGTTGGTGCTCCCACGGGAGGAGATGTTAGAGACCTTGGGAAGGATGATTGCATTTTGTGTGTGGAAGGGACATGTATTCTGCATGTGGAAGGGACAAGAATCATTGGAGAGCCAGAGGGTAGATTGTGATAGGCAGCTTCAGAAATGACTCTAAATTTCTTTCTCTTCTGGTATTCATGTCCTTGTGCAGTCCCCTCCCTTTGTGTGTGGGCTGGACCTAGTGATTTGCTTCTAAAGAATAGAATACAGAAAAAGTGATAGAATGTCACTTCTCATATCAGGTTATAAAAGACTGTCACTTCTGTCTTATCCTCTCTCTCTGGCTCTACTCTCTGGCTTGCTCTGATGAAGCAGCTGGGTTGAAAGCTTCCCTTTGGAGAAGAACTGAGGGCTGTCTCTGGTCAATAGCACTGAGGAACTGAATCCAGCAAACAATTATGTGAAGAAACTTGGAAGCTTGTCCTCCCCTCTAGTTGAGCTTTGAGATGACTGCCGCCCTAGTGGACACCTTGATTGAAGCCTTATGAGAAACCCTAAGCCAGAGAACCCAATTAAGCTACGCTTACATTCCTAACACAGAGAAAATATGAGCTAATAAATGTTGTTTCAAACCACTAAGCTTTGGAGTAATATGTGACACAGCAACAGACACCTAACGCACCTGCCCTAAGGTCGGGCTACACTGCATTTTCCCCAGAAACATTACACTCTCTCCTCCCCAGGGCCTTTGCACATACTTCTCATCTCTCCTACCTTTTAGGTCTGGTAGACTTCAACCTGTTCTACAGACTTAGGTCAGGTATCCCTTCCTCTAGGAAGCTGTCTTTGATGCTCCAACTCCCTTGTGTGTTCCCATAATAGCTTATGTAAGTTCATACAATGCCATCCCAATGCACAGCACATTATAGCAACTGTTTGTCCCCTCAACTGGTAGAGAAGGGAAGGGATCTTGCCTTATTCATCACAGTGCTCTAAAATTTAACACAATGCGTCACATGGAGTAGAATGATAATAGCACACTTTTATTGAATGCCTACATCATACCTGGTAAGAAATAATTCATTGCAGGATTTGGGCTTGTGTTAGATGATTTGGGTACTGTTTGAAGCCATTTAATGCAATTATTTTACTTAAGAAAAACATTCAATGAGAGCGGTACTTTAAACACCCCATTTTACAGACAACTTGAACAGCAGGTTAGGTGCTCAGTTCATGTTTGATGGAAAATGAACAATTGAATCATGAGAAGCATGTTTTTTCTTCTGTCCTGTGTCTCCCTTCTCTCAAGAACTCTTTGCAAATACCAGAGTATTTGTATTTTGTGTGTGGAAGGGACATGTATTTTGCATGTGGGCCAGAAGGCCTCCTGGGCATCTGGACATCCACTTTGTGCTTGACTGGTCATGTTACCTAGCTTGGTATTTCCAGATAAGTACCTGGATCTATCCCTGGGTGTCTCAAAGGGAGGGCTTGGTTAGCACCCAGAGAGTTTGATGGGCACCAGAAACCACACCTCCAGCTCTTCGCCCACAGCTGTGCCTCTGGCTCCCAGACAGAATCAGCATTTTCCTCTCCCCACACTCTGTCATTATAAACCACGTAAATTCCTCGATACCCATGTTACAACGAACAGATGCGGCTCTGTATTTTTAATGTATTATCTCTAATTAGCAGCAGTGGGCATGGAAGAACTCTGTGGTCCCTGGGGCTGTCCCTCACTGATGCAGCTGCGAGTACATTTGTGATGAAGAATCTGGCCAGGCTCCTCTGGCCCGCACAGCCCTGGCAAGTGGGTGAGGGAACTTCCATGTGCAAAGTATCTACTCTGCCAGGAAGTGGGAAAGGGCCGCCAAGGCCTGATCATCAGTCCACTGCTCATCTAGCCCCCACTCCCACCCCTCTATGCTGTCTAAATACCCTGAGAGGATGTCCTTCATTGGGATCCCAGAGACAGGGCAGACAACAGCCTCCAATGTCATGGGCAAAACAGATTTTTCTAGGTTTGAGGTCTGCAGTGTGAAGATCTGTGAAATGCAAAAAGAGAATGCTTCAGTGCCCAGGGCAAACATAAGGGGCGGGGGAACTGCATGGACTTCAGAAAAGAAGGGGGCTGGTTAGTGAGAGCAAATGTATGCTCCTTAGCTCTGTCCAAAGAGGAAGGGTATTTCTTATAATAAATGTCATGCTCATGACTGACATGTTTTGGGCGTTTACTATGGACTAAGCCCTATTTCTAAGTGTTCTCCAGATATCATCACGTATAATTCTAGAGGCAGTGTCAGCCCCCGGCCAATGACCACCATGGACCTCCCTGTAGTTGAACAAAGTTGGGTTTGCTGACTGGTGGCAGTGAGGGAGAATGCACACCACAGGGAGCTGTGCAGTGTCTCAGTAAGAAGGTAAGAAATAATTCACTGTAGGATTCGGGCTTGTGTTAGTTAATTGGGGGAGGGTTCAAGGAAGCAGAGCTTTGCCCTGGATTGGAGACTGGAGGTAGGTGTAATTCTCTGGTTGGGTACTTCATAAATTTTATTTACAAGGCAGGAGGAATGAAGGAAGATAAGAGTTGTAATTGGTAAAGAAGCAGCCATCACTCACATCAGCCAAGAGGTGGAGGGAGGGGGGCTGTTAAGTCATCTTTGTATTTTGAATAATGTTCTTGTTTTTGTCTGAATTCATGATGTTGAAATGGTCTTGTTTTTGTCTTCATCTATCAGGGTCCTAGAGTGGTTTTGTCCGGCATTGACATTCAGTGAAATTGTTTATGGTCAACAGGAGAACCCCAAGGTCTAGGTGTAGGTGCCAGGCCAGCTCTCGGCAGCAAAAGGCCTTACTGATAGTGCCAGGCCAGCTTGCAGCCATCAGGGGCTGCTGTTCTCCTTCTCAGCAGGCCCTGTTACTATGCCAGTTTACAGAAATAAAGAAATTGAGGCAAAGACAGATTGCCTGGTCTTAGTTGTCTCACAGCTGGGAAGCAGCAGAGATTCCAGAGTCCCTGAAAGTCAAGTGAGCATCAAGAGACAACAGAGGGAACTAAAGGGGAGAGTTTGTAATTACGGGAAGCCAGCCTGACCATGAGGGGAACTGGTCAAGAGATAGAACACAGGATTTGTAGTCAGAGATCTCTACCTTGGGAATCTGTCATTGCTACTTACTAGCCATGTGGCCCTGGGCAATTTGTCGAACATGAGAAATTCACTTTATTCTTATGTATAATGGCAACACCAAAAGCTGTTTCTCAGGGTCATATGGGAATAGAATGAGAAGACATGGCATAAAGAACTTACGTACCACTTGGGACACAGATGCTGCCCTGAGTATTTACTGAACGCCAGGCACTGTTCTAAGTCCCTCGCATGTATTTACTCATCTATTACAGCAACCCTTTATAACCTGTGGCTTGCAGGTGAGAAGATGGAGACACAGAGAGGTTAGGCGACTTGCTTGAGGTCACACAGCTATCAAGTAGCAGAACTCAGGCATCCTGGCTGCAGCACCCACACTCTACCATGTGTCATAGTAGCTGTGGGGTCATTGCTCCTTGTCCACTCTAAGTGCTCCAGATCATGAGCTTCAAGACCCTAGTCTTATTCTGATGGTGATTTAATGCCCTGGAACTCTCAAGGCCCCAGACTTTTGCTTGTGAATGGGTCTAAGCTGCTTGCTTGGCTCTGGTCCGGAGAGCATTCATTTCCTTTTAGAAGGTCAAAACATTCTTGGCATGACAGATAATATAGATTCAGGTTGCTGCAGTCTATAGATCAAATAAAACATAGTATTGCCTTATTAGTATTTCTACACCTTTCAGTAAGTAGTAGAGTCAGAGAAAACCCTGAAAAATGAGTATAAACTAAAGAGGGTAGGAGAATGACTCAATGCTGCAGCACAAGCCCTCTTTTGGCAAGATCGATGTGTGGGCAGAAGGCAAATGGCTGCTGAGAGGAAATGGGCCACACCTGGCTGGTCTTATTCTATCCTGTAATGGCAGAAAGCTGTTCAGGATGGCTATGGCGCACAGCCCAGGGCTGACTCAGCATTGCCTCTTCCTAACCTGTTGAGTGGGTTTATAGATTGTGTCACAAGTTCTGGGAAAATGAGAGGTCAGGATTCCTGGGCCCAATGGCTCGTTAACAGAGGTCCTGTGTGCCATCACCCCCTCCAGTCCTTGTCCCACTGGACTTGTCCCCCTTGTCGCACTGGGGGAGATGAGGGCCTGGAACTCACAGCAAAATTCTCTCTGTGGCTTGATGCAATCCCAGATCCTCACCATCAACCTTTGTGAGGCTCATCTGTTCTTAATTATATCTCTAAATCCCGAGGCATTACAACTCTGAGAATTTGGGAAATTTAGCTGCTTAGAGGATTCATAATAATCACAAAATCCCTGGTATTTACAGAGCTCCCTTTTGCAGACTGTGAAAGGCAGACAAGACAATACTGTAGTGGTAAAGGCACCCCGAAATTGCTCTCAAGTTCTCTTCACTGAATGCCAGGCCCTTAGTCTGTATTATTTTGTGTAGCTCAAGGGGGCAAATTGAAAAGAATACTTTTCCCTATTACTTTCTGAGAGAGACCACAGAGAAGAGAGAGATGTTAAGTTAATGTCGAAGATATGCCCAGGGTTGCTGCCAAGCCCCTGCCCTCTTTTCAGGATTGCGCTGCTGAAGGGAGGGGCTCCTGCAGCTATACTGGTACAAGCTGAGCTTGCCCCTTTCTAGCTGCAGCTGATTGGACAAGGAGTGGAGACACTCGACTGATGAGTGGAGCCAATCAGATTCTCTCTCTTGATAGTTTGAATTAAGAGATGTGGAAACTGGGAGTTGGGTTCCTGGATTTGAAGGTCAGGCAGACTCAGGGGCTGGAGTGACCATTTGGGACCAAGCAGAGAGAAGGGGAATAGACCATGTAATATCTGAGAGTTGCTTTTCAGCACTTTCTGCCCATGTATTTGTTCAGCAAATTCTCTGATTCCTAAGCCAGGAGCCATCCCGTGAGGCCGTTACTGCAAACAAGCTGAAAATCCTGCTTTGTTTCTTTTGGACACAACATGCTTTCCTTCAGCTTCAGTAGACGATGAGGCCAGCACCACATGGGCTAGATGTACATGAGATGTGAGCAACCACACTTCCCCTCTGACGGGGACAGACAGCATCACAGGTGAGTGGGAGACCCACATGTGGTCCATTCCAGACACCCCCGCTGCTTTTATTAGAAGCCAACATGGGCCTCCCTTGAGCTGCCAGGTGTTGGGTGCAGCTGCCCCTCACCTCCCTAGCTTACAGGAGAAGGACTGAGCAAAGTCTCTTCAAAGGAGCCATTATTGTGACACAGCACAGCCATCTGCTCCCCGCATTGATCTGACAGTGGCAGCAAGGGCTGAAAGCAGTAGTAGAGGCCCAGGAGCACAATTCAGTGAACAGCCCTCATTGATCTGTTTACCTGCTTGATGGCTGGCCAAACTCTCTGTGTCCGAAAGACACCCTTGGAAGGTCAGAGCTGGAAGGACACCTTAGGGAGGCCTGAGGACAGTCCAAGATTGTCACAAATGGGAAAAGCAAGCCCTAAAGATACTATTGAGATATGACCTTTCCAATTTCAATCAAGGGAACTCAGATAACTCCCACTGTTTATGGGACAGCCCTGGGGAGGGGGACAGGGTGCTATTGTGCTTTGTAGTCCTATTTGCCACAGGTAGTAAAGCAAAGAGAATATCTATTTATATGAATCCATAGGACTGAATCATAAGCTCTTGAACGAAAAGAAAAAGCACATTCTTCTTACCGCGGTAACAATGTGTGGTCACTAGTTCAGAACTCCCACTGTCCCTAAGCCACAGGATGCAGACCAACACAATCAAAGAGTTCTCTCGGCTGGAGGTTCCAACTGGAATGTGTGAGTTGGTGGCTTCTATGGTGCCAGCTTTTGCTTAGCCTTTGCTTGGTCACATATTCAGGGTCAACCTGCCCTGTCCCAGTGACAATTGTCTCCAGCAGGAAATTCATTATGAGCCCCTTTTCCACTTGTCGAGTAGATTCTGGAAATAGTCTGCTGTCCTCCCCACCACCTCCCACTAAGATCCCAGGAGCCAGGGATTTAGTCCCTGGAATCCCTGCAGCCTTGATCATTAACCACTCCACTTAAGTGTGGCCCATCTGTCTGGTTGGTCTGCTTCAATCTCTGGTCCCATTTCTTGCTCCCCCATGGGCTAGCAGTTTTGTGAAACTGTTTCTGGATGGATGGACTTTGGGCCTACTCTCCCAAGGGTTGGGATTTATCTTCCCCATATCTATTAACCCACAAATGTCCCTGACCTGAAAGTCACACAAATACCTGAGTCATGTGACCACCTCATTCCCTTAGACTTTGCCTTCCCAAAAATGCCAGTCCTGATGAGGGTAGGAGATTTTGTCTTACAATATTGGGTGGCTGATAGCAAGCATTGGTGTCTCTCCCCCATTCCTGCTCTAACCACCACCACTATAATCATGAGCATTGGTTTTAGATGAAGAAAGAACTGGCTTTGAATGCTGTTCCCACTACTAACTGTATGAACTTGGCAAGTTAGCAAACCACATTCTTCTGATCCTCCTTCTTCTTGTCCGTGTAAAGGGTGAATTAAAACCTACTCAAGGTGACAGGTGTAGAGCAAATGAGAGAACAAATGAGAGCATGAATATAAAGAATTTAGCATAGCGCATCACACCTGATACTAATATGTAACACTCATTGAGAGTTTATAATATGTTAAGTTCTATGCAAAGTGCTTTGTAAACATTACCTTATTTAATCTGCACAGTAATCTAGTAAGATCCTATTATCCAAAATTTTAAAATGAAAAACCTGAAGCTTGAAAGGTTAAGTAAATTGCTCAAAGTTAACAGCTAGTCAGTGGATGAGCAAACACTGATTGTGACCTCATGGAGACCAAAAATGATGATTTATCTAATTTAATGTCATTGTATAATGCCTATTATATACCAGGCACCCCAAAAATGTATGCTGAATGAGTGTATGGCTCCCAAGTCAGTGCCCCTTTGCATAGCTGGGTTGAGAGCTCAGCTCTGCCAACTTACTGCTTCTCTCTCTCTCTCTTTTTGAGGGAGGACATAAAGCTGTTTTTATTTCTGCCAGCATTTGTGTTCTTATCCCTAGTATGGCTATTACTGGATCTTTTAATACATTCAAACTTTCTATCTGAATGGATACATTTCCATACCACCTACTCTTTAATCAGAGATTAAGAGATCTTAACTCACAGATTCAGCACTTGGACAGAGCTAGGATTTTTGAGCTAATGTGTAGTCGGTATGGGATTTGCATTTAAAAACTATTTACATTAAAGTGTGACCCACATATGAGAAAAGACTGCGCTCTTCACTTACAGCTCAGTGGTTTTGGCTCTCTCTTTCTTCTCATAGTCTATGAGATGAGAAAAGATTTCCATAAAGATTTTATGAGTCCAAGAGAAACATTACTCAAACAGGATTTATTTCAAAGGCATCATTCTTGTGGCATGCTGTTTAAAGGGGAAGCAAAGCTCATATTGGTACAATTCTTATACTCAAAGAAAGTACAAATTTTGCAGAATATCCTCTTAAGACCTACCAAGGGGACAACTTCTTCAATTTGGTTCAAATTAGCAAAATATAAAGCATTTTCAGCATCTCTGGGCTCATACTTGAAACCAGTGATAAGTGACAATAAGAATATGATTTTCCCCCATTCACCCTGAAACAAGGAGAAAGGTAATTACTGTATTGTTATTTTTGGACCTTCATGCTCTGGGACAAAAATATATTTATGATGCCCAGGCACTGTGCTAAACACCACAAGGCAAACAAGGCACATTTTCTGCTCTTAATGACCTCGCTGGTAGGGAAGAGACATGTACCCATAAGCAACACATTACGCAGGGAGAAAAGAGTTATGAGAGAAATAGATACAAGCTGGGAACTCATTCTGGAGTTCTGTCAGGGCATTTATTGTCTTTCTGTCTAGTGGACAAACTCCTATTCATTTTCCTGCAACCCTCCTCTGTGAATCCTTTCCTGATCCTCTGAGACAGTCAGTCTTCCCTCCTTGGGGTTCCCACAAATGTTGAAGAAAAGTAAAATGAGAATAACAGCTACTAAATAAGTAATTATTAAGTATATAAAAACTGTTCTGTAGGAGAAAGGGGCAGGAAATAATTAACTGTCAAGGAAGAAGTGGAGATGCCTGAATTAGTTCTTGAAAAATGTGGGGAAGGTCGTTTTGGCTAGGGAAAGCAGGAAGCATGAAGGCATGGCAGCATGGCAGTATGCATAGTTATGGTGTGTTTACAGAATGCCAAGCAGCGTGGGGTAGTTAAAGCAAGGTGCAAGGGAGGGAATGGTGTGGGGAACTGAAGATGATGGGGAGGAAGTGACAGAAAATGAAGGAGCTGAGTTGGGATGGAGTCGGATTATAAAATCTTCTGTTAGAAAATTTGTTCCTAATCCTGTAGGTGGTGGGAGCTTTCAAAATATATTTTAACTTTTACTTGTTTTTCTGTGTGCAGAAAGTAATATAAGCTTATTATAAAACTTAGAAATACAAAAGAACATAAATAATAAAATGCATTAGTACTGTGTATTTAAACTACATATTCAGTTTTGTATATTAATTTTTTAACTTAATATCCTATATTAAGCATTTTCAAATTTATTCGAAAGTTTCTGAAATTATAATTTTAATCCCCATGTGTTGTATCAGCCACAGGTGCCAGTTTATGGAACCATTAATATTGGACATATACTGTTTCCTTTTCCCCATTATAATAAATAATGCTGCAGTGAACATCCTTGCACATATCATTTTGCACCAGCCTCTCACTATTCCCTAGTTCCTTGGTATAAATCCCTAAAAGTGGTATCCACATTTCACGTTTTAATTCCTACCATGAAAATTACCTTCCAAAAAAGTTGTGCCATTTATAATCCCACCAACAGGACATGAAGTTCTAAGAGGTTCAGTGACTTGTCTAAGATTAAACAGCTATGAATGGAGAACTGGAGGCAAATGTGAGTACTGGTATCCACGGGGCTATGGCAGAACTTCAGTGGGGAGATGGGAGTGGGGTGGCCAGAGGTAATTGAGTCTGGAGGACTGAAAGTGACTTAGGTGAAGACTGATGGTCTAATGAGACAGCTTCAAAGGACAGGCTGTCAATGGACAACATTTGTAATTTCATACTTTCTCTAAAGCTGCCTATGTCACGACTCTTCCCACTTGAGAATGTTCAGACCAAAGAGAAATGAAACATATCTACCTTTCTATTGACTGTTAATCCTTTGTAGAATAGGGCATTAGGCTGGCATTAGTGATAAGGGCACATGTGAAAACTTGCCTGTTTCTCTAAAATTTGGTTCAAGGAGGATTCCCCATTAATGCCATGAGTTCACTGCAGAGGTCAACACTGGGCATACACTTCAATCATCCATAAAGAAAAATGGAGGTACCTATCTCTTTGAGGTCACAGCATGCTTTCTCAGTTGTTTCCTAGTTAAGAAATTACTCAATAAAGAATGGAAGATTCAGGATCCATAGTTTTCTCAATCCTCATACCCTGAATTTACTAGCTAACTTCCCCCTTTCCTTTCTTCCTTCCATTCTTCCTTCTTTCCTTCCCTTCTCTTCCTCCTTTTCTTCCCTTCGTGGCTACGGATGCAGTCTAGAGCCAACAGGAGCACCAAATTCAGGCAATCAAGTTATCAAAGCTCCATATCTTACTCATCACAGGCTTGAAAGGGATTCAGAGTCATGTACTCCAGCCTACTTCATAAATTCTCTCTACCACACCAGCTGGAGGCTGGTGTTTGTCCAGCCCCTCCTTGACTCTTCCAATGGTCTCCCCAAGGAAGCTATTCCATTTTATTACAAAGATCTTTGCACTGAGTCAAGGTTTGACTCCTGCAACTACCCATTGGTTCAGTTTCTCCCAGTTATTTAAACTTTCTTCCATAGAATGGACATTTAGCTACCCAAAAACAGGGGCCATTTTCCTCTCAGTAGGTGATATATTGGTATATGTCTTAGGCTGCGGAGTAAAAAAGACCTGGGCTTCCAATTTTGAATCTGCCAGCAACCAGCTGTGTGTAGTTGGGCAAGTTGCTAAATATCTCCGAGCCTCAGATGATTTCCTCTAGAATAAATGATGACACATTTACCTCACCTCATTTAGTAAGGACTAAATGAAATGTCAATAGTAGGGCAAATTGTGGATGGTTGTTAGATGTTAGGTCCCCTCACAGTTGCCTTTTTTTTTTAAGTCAGTATTTCTCCAAGGTGGTCTCTGACTAGTTGTATCGAGATAGCCTAGGGTGAGTATTGAAAATGTAGATTTCCGGATCAACTCCTAATCAACCGAGTTATAGTCTGTGAGTGTGAAATCTAGACACTTTCATTTGTTTAGTTCAGAGAAGTATCCATGGAGCCAAGAAGTTAGAAGGCCTTAACACATATGGGAACTCTCCAAGCCTTCTCAGGGAGTCTACAGTCAAAGACCCATATGATCCCTGGGACACATGCCTTGAATTGGGAAACAAGGCCCCACTTTCAAGATGTTTCTTTTGCCCACTCTCAGATAGAAGCCTTCCCTCTTATTATGGAATTTGGACTTGGAAGAGATTGGCAATGGCCAATGAAGACCAGGGCTCTTCAATATAACTTAGAAGGAGTTAGAAGGAGAGGGTCAGCCCTAGAAGGAGGATGAGCTGGGCAGGGCGGGGCTGGGGTTCATGGGCCAGTGCAACAGACTGGAATTCAGTGGACTCTCTAGGCCAGGCAGGAAGCTAGAGGGCCTCCCATGACCATAGCAGACACACAGTGGACACACAGTGGAATTCCCAGGGCTTTCCCTGACATGCTGGATGTCAGCGCAATCAACTCCATGCCCACCCTCTCTAGTGGATGAGTCTAGGCTCCCAGGAAGTCCTAATACTCTAATTTATTCTGCTTGTCCTCTTGTCCTCTCATCCTCCCTTTTTCCCTGTTGTGTCCCCGTTGTAAGCTCTCTCCTCACACCTAAGCTGATGGCTCCCAGACATCTATTTTCAACCTTTACTCCTCCCCAAAACTTTAGATCCTTACATCCTTCTACCTCTGGCATCCCAGGGGCACCTCAAACTTAAGATGCCATCACCCCAGGGGCACCTCAAACTTAAGATGATCACCCCCTTTGCCACTTCCTGCCATCCCACACACTGGCCACTCAAACCAAGGGCTGACAGCCATCTTATTCCTCCTCCCGCTTTGTCCCTCAGGTTAATTGCATTGCTAACCAAATGATGCTGTTTTTAAGTCTGTTAAACCTCTCCCTCCTCTCAGTCTCCACTAATACTGTCTGTGTTAATTCAGGCCTCATCATCTCTCACCTGGGCAACTGCAACAATGAGCAGTTTGTGTCTGTGCCTGCATCCATCCTTCCATCCTGTACTCCAGCAGCAGCCAGGGTGGTCTTTCAAAAATGCAAAGCTGATAATGTTACTCCCCTGCTGTAAACCTTCCAGCGGTTTCCTATTGCCTTCAGAATAAAATACGAATCATCTGGCCTCCATCTATCTCTCCAGGCTCATCCTCTCTCAATTTTCCATATCCTTCAGGTACTTTCCCAGGCATAGAAGCTAAGAATTCCCCCTTTGTCCAGAGCCCTAGGCTGACCAAGCCCCACTGAAGACCATGCTTTCTGATTTCTGCCTCTGTCATTTCCTTATTGTCCCTGCTCCCAATCCAGCTCACTGTCCAATTCAGCATGGACAGGAGAGACATGGAAAGAAAAACAACTGTTATAATTATTGCCAAAAGCTGTGTTCTGTTACTATGCATTGTGCATAGTAAGAGTTCACATTAAATTCCTCATTTTAATTCTCACAGTATCCTGTTGGGACAGACAGATGAAGAACCAGAGACCAGAGAGTTTAAGTAGCTTGCCAAAGGTCACACAGCAGTGTAAGCAGTACGGGTGATTCTTAAGCCCACATTGTTTGACTTCCGAGACATATCAGAAAACTACGTCAAAGAACACGCACAACTCAGACCTATTTCCAGTGGCCTATGCAGAAGAGCTACCCTGCTTGAATGGAAACCCCTTAAGATACACTATTCTCAAAAACCTAAGTGCTTAGCCTGGCTTATGGAGGAGGCAATGCAATCTACCACAAGATGATTAAGACAACAATGAACTTAAGACCCAGCCACTGCTGGAGAATATCTGCCTGTGAATTCAATTTGGTTCAATTCAATCCGATTTAATTCAGTGCAGTTATTGAGTGCCCACCACATACCCCATAGGGCTGGTCCAGAGAGAAACGCAGGGGTCCCTCCTGGGAAATTATAACTAACCCAAGCATGGGCACCACATGAGGAAGCAGGAATGGGGGTTCTGGGATCTGGGGTTCAAGGCAGGAATCTTGTGGTCAGCCCTGGAGCACTTAGGAGAAGAATCTGCCAAATTCCTATGCCAGTGTCTGGTTGGCAGCAAGCTCTATAATTTTTAAGTAGTATGAATTCTGTGCCCATATTTCTTACAAAATATGTGTATGGAGAAAGATACCACCAGTTTAGTCTAATAGGTATTCTCAGGCCTAATATATATGAAAGAAATTGGGACTGGTGAGTGGTTAAGAGCATGGGCTTGGGAGACAAAGTCTTGGCTCTATTACTTCCTAGCTGAGCCATCTTGGGCAGGCTAGGTTAACTTTCTGGGCTCAATTTCCTCATGTGTCAAAGGGGAATGAAAATAATACCAGCCTCATAGGGTTATTAAAAGGGTTAAGACAGATTATGCATATCGAGTGCTTAGCCTGGCCCCAAAGTGCCTAGAAAGGGTGCAAAAAGTGTTAGTGAATACAATTCTTATGGTCGCTGATACTTAATAAATGTCTCCTGAATAAAAGAATGCATGAGTGGAATGTACAACTTAGGAGAGACAGATAGCTAGAGGATACTGGATGCTGAGCTAAGGCTCTGGACTATATTCCATGGGTGACAGGAGCCATCAAAGAGTTTTCAGCAAGGAAACAGCACAGCCAGATTTGGTTTAGAAAGGTCACACTGGACCAGAATAGAGGATGGGCAGGAGGGAGAAATTCTGGAGACAAGCAGGAGGCTGCTTCAGTGTTCCAGGTGTGAGAGCACCTAAACAAAGTCGGGCGTACTGGTGTTGCAGAGAAAGGGAAAAATTGGAAAGATACTTAGGAGGCAGAACTGGCAGGACTTGGCAACCAAGAGATGGGAGCAGATGACAACCACCCTGCTCTGTGCAATGTCAGAAAAGAAGAATCCAGTTAGGGAATCAGGGGAGAAGCTGATGGCCTCTCTGGAAGCCCCCAGCCACTGTTTTCACCGGGAATGCTGAGTGCTGCTTGTTCCTCTGCCCCAGCACAGAGCAGAGGTTCATGTGTGGCCTGCACACAGCGTGGGGCACAGTGGGCAGCCGATGGGAAATTCTTCTGCATAACAGATCTCAGAGCTTACAACTGGGGCCAGCAGCCAGCCGCAGGAAAGGGTTTCCCCTTGGCAGACAGGCCTCGGCTAAGGGACAGAAGTCATTCCTAATTGCAGCATGTTTTTCAGGGGAAGTCTCCAAAGCTGTTTAGAAAATAAAACCTCTGAAAACAGTCCAAATAAAGGGAAAGTGACTCCCATTTGTTTAGAGCTACTTTGTGCTGAGTGCCATCACTAGTTTGTTCTCACTCAGCCTTCAGCATGACTGAAGAAGAATTAGCTGCACATTTTACAGAGGGGGACACTGAGACTCAGAGGTTTTTTTTTTTAAATTTATTTAAATACGACCATTTTTCAGTGGAGGAATCAGAATTCAAACCCATCTCTTTGACTCCAAAGTCCGTTCTCTTTCTTCTATGACATATTTTATAATCCTTAATTTTAAAAGGTCTGTTTCCTCGGACATTCACATACTGTGGCAGTGTAAAATGATCAAATGCTTTTAGAAAACAATTTGGCAATAAGAATCAAGTATCTTAAAAAATATTCATTCTGGGAATTGCTCCTAAAGAAATAATCATAAATTCAGAAAAAAAAAAGCTTTGCACACAAAAATGTTCCTTGCAGCAATATTTATAACATAAACAACGAGGAACAGCCTAAATGTTCACAGAAAGAGGAATGGTTAAGTAAGCTGTGATATATCCACTTAATGAATATTTTGAGGTCAAGGGTTTATAATAACAGAGAAAATGCTAATGTTATAAGTGCAGAATAATCAGGATACAAAATTGTACTTAGCCTCATCAAGCGATGGTGTTACAGAACCACTGGGTTTCCATTTAGAGAACTTTCCTCTCCAACCTCTATCAGCTCCTTCCAAATCACTCCAGAGTTTTTAAAAAATAACACTACTTAATAAGAAAAACACATAATTTCTTAATGTTATATAATGGGAGAAAAAACTCTAGAACTAATTTTGCTGTTTTTATTGATCTGTAATATAGAATTTAGTAAAAGCTATGCTTGCCTTTAAGTCCCTCTTATTCAGAAATTCTAGAGCTGCCAAACCTATCACTCCTCTTTAATATAATAATTCTGGAGGCAGTAGTCATATAAGAAGCCAAAAAAAAAGCATCCATGTGGGAAAGAAGAAATAAAATTACATTACTTGCAGCTAATATGATTGTCTAATCTAGAAAATCTAAAATAATCAACTTTAAAACTATTAGGGCTGATGAGAGAGTTCAGTAAGATGGCTGGTTACAGAAGAAATGTACAGAAATCAATAGCTTTCTTATTTACCAGCAATAAGCAACTAGAAAAAAAATGCAGTGACAAATGGCCCTATTCACTATAACAATAAAAACTATAAAAGGACCTAGGAAAAAAACCTAACAAGAAATTCACTAGACTTATGTGATGAAAACTATAAAATTTTATTCAAGATCATTAAAAAAGGCCTGGAAAATAAGAGGCATACCATCGTCCAGGATAGGAATATTTACTGTAAAAATTTTAATTCTCTCCAAATCAATCTACAAATTCAGTGAAATTTCAACGAAAGTCACAGTGAAATTTCTTTGGGGGAAATCTGAAAAATTTACTCTAAAATTCATCTGGAAAAGTAAACGCACAACAATTGTCAACAAATATTTTCAAAGTAATAATAATGAAGGAGGTCTTTTCTGGGTAGAAAACAAAAATTATTACAAAGCTATGGCAAAATTCAAATGATACAATTATGACACAGAAATAGATTAACAGAGAAATAAAATAGAAGAAAAAGTCCAGTTGTAGAACCATGAATAGAGCTGAACTCAGTTTATGATGAAAGGACTATTTCAAATCAGAAAGGACAGGTTTGGAGTTAATTCATTATTCATTTATAACTAAAATAAAGCTAGATCTATAGCTCAAACCTCGTACAAAAATATAATTCACACAGATTAAATAGCTAAATGTAAAATATAAAAATTCTGAGAGTTCCAGAATAAATAGAGAAGACTATTTCTATAATTTCCAAGCAGGAAGGTATTCCTAACCAAGACACAAAACTGAGAAGTTTTATGTGATCAAATCAGGAGATCAACTGATTTTTGTTGTTGTTGTTGTTGTTGTTGTTGTTGAGATGGAGTCTCCCTCTGTCGCCCAGGCTGGAGTGCAGTGGCGCAATATCGGCTCACTGCAAGCTCCGCCTCCCAGGTACATGCCATTCTCCTGCCTCAGCCTCCCTAGTAGCTGGGACTATAGGCGCCCGCCACCACGCCCGGCTAATTTTGTTTTGTATTTTTAGTAGAGACGGAGTTTCACCATGTTAGCCAGGACAGTCTCCATCTCCTGACCTTGTGATCCGCCCACCTTAGCCTCCCAAAGTGCTGGGATTACAGGCGTGAGCCACTGCGCCCGGCCAAGATCAACTGATTTCAACACACACACACAAAATAAAACTTATGCTGTGAGAGACAACAAAGTAAGGCTAAAAGACATGCTACTGATTGATAAAACCTTTTTACAACATATATTGATTTTAATACATGTTAAAAATATACAAAGAGCTCCTATAAATGAATAGGAAAAACAAACATGACCTGATAGAAAAATGGGTAGAGAATATGAACAGGCAATCCAGAAAATAAAAGTGACCATGGACATATGAAGAGATTACTAACTACACTAATAATTGGAGGAATGTTTTTCACCCACTGAGATGGATAAAAACAAAACTTTAATTTGGAAAAGAGTTAGGGAAATAGCCACTGTTATACATGGTTGATGGAAACATGAAATTGGCACAGTCTTTCTGGAGTACACTTTAGCAGAGTCTAAATTTAAAAATAATGTATACTTTGACCCAGAAATTCTATTTTAAAGAAAGCTATCCTATTAATGCTCCAATGTGCACTGAGGTATATTCATGATGATGTTAACTATAACATTATTTGAAATAGTGAAAAATGCAATTATTAGGGAAATTGTTAAAAAAAATGAGGCTGACATATATATATATACTGACATTGAAACATATTTAACGTAGACATTTAAGAGAATAAAAGCAAGCTGTAGAATAATATGTTTATGTTTCACCTCCTATCCTGTGTGTGTGTGTGTGTGTGTGTGTGTGTGTGCATGCGCCAGCGTGTGTGTGTGTAATGCCTAGGCTAATAGACCAACTTAATAATGCTTAGGGAAGACAGTGGAATTAGGGTAGGGATTTAACACATAGACGACTTTAACGTTTTATTCTGTACTCTCAGGTATGCTTTGAATTTTTCACAAAGAGTATAAATTACTCATAATAAAAAGTGGGTATATACTTAAACACATACACACACACTCACACAATACTCTATGAACACAGCTCTTTAAAAACAAAGCCATACCTATAAAAAAAAGAGAAAGAAATGAATCAAAATGTTCATGCATAGAGTTTCTTTATTCAGTTTTTCTCAATTTTCTAAATTTTCTTTAATGACCATGCTTTATGTTTACAATGGAAATAAAAAATATAATACTCGTCTGCTTTTGTGGGGATCTAAATATATATAAAAGAATATACATATTCTTTTTCTTTCTTTTTTTTTTTTTTTTGAGATGGAGTCTGGCTCTGTCACCCAGGCTGGAGTGCAGTGGAGCGATCGTTGCTCACTGCAAGCTCCGCCTCCCGGGTGCACACCATTCTCCTGCCTCAGCCTCCCAAGTAGCTGGGAGTAAAGGCGTCTGCCACCACGCCTGGCTAATTTTTTGTATTTTTAGTAGAGACGGGGTTTCACCATGTTAGCCAGGATGGTCTCGATCTCCTGACCTTGTGATCTGCCTGCCTTGGCCTCCCAAAGTGCTGGGATTACAGGCATGAGACACCGTGCCCTGCCTATTCTTTTAAAATTAAATTTTTTTTTGTGGGCTCTTTTTTTCAGCCCGCATCGCCAAGTCAATCCTAAGCCAAAAGAACAAAGCTGGAGGCATCATGCTACCTGACTTCAAACTATACTACAAGGCTACAGTAACCAAAACAGCATGGTACTGGTACCAAAACAGAGATATAGATCAATGGAACAGAACAGAGCCCTCAGAAATAACGCTGCATATCTACAACTATCTGATTTTTGACAAACCTGAGAAAAACAAGCAATGGGGAAAGGATTCCCTATTTAATAAATGGTACTGGGAAAACTGGCTAGCCATATGCAGAAAGCTGAAACTGGATCCCTTCCTTACACCTTATACAAAAATTAATTCAAGATGGATTAAAGACTTAAATAAACGTTAGACCTAAAACCATAAAAACCCTAGAAGAAAACCTAGGCATTATCATTCAGGACATAGGCATGGGCAAAGACTTCATGTCTAAAACACCAAAAGCAATGGCAACAAAAGCCAGAATTGACAAATGGGATCTAATTAAACTAAAGAGCTTCTGCACAGCAAAAGAAACTACCATCAGAGTGAACAGCAACCTAAAAAACGGGAGAAAATTTTTGCAACCTACTCATCTGACAAAGGGCTAATATCCAGAATCTACAATGAACTCAAACAAATTTACAAGAAAAAAAAAACAACCCCATCAAAAAGTGGGCGAAGGACATGAACAGACATTTCTCAAAAGAAGACATTTATGCAGCCAAAAAACACATGAAAAAATGCTCACCATCACTGGCCATCAGAGAAATGCAAATCAAAACCACAATGAGATACCATCTCACACCAGTTAGAATGGCAATCATTAAAAAGTCAGGAAACAACAGGTGCTGGAGAGGATGTGGAGAAATAGGAACACTTTTACACTGTTGGTGGGACTGTAAACTAGTTCAACCACTGTGGAAGTCAGTGTGGCGATTCCTCAGGGATCTAGAACTAGAAATACCATTTGACCCAGCCATCTCATTACTGGGTATATACCCAAAGGATTAAAAATCATGCTGCTATAAAGACACATGCACACGTATGTTTATTGCGGCATTATTCACAATAGCAAAGACTTGGAACCAACCCAAGTGTCCAACAATGATAGAGTGGATTAAGAAAATGTGGCACATATACACCATGGAATACTATGCAGCCATAAAAAATGAAGAGTTCATGTCCTTTGTAGGGACATGGATGAAATTGGAAATCATCATTCCCAGTAAACTATCGCAAGGACAAAAAACCAAACACTGCATGTTCTCACTCATAGGTGGAAATTGAACACTGAGAACACATGGACACAGGAAGGGGAACATCACACTCTGGGGACTGTTGTGGGGTGGGGGGAGGGGGGAGGGATAGCATTAGGAGATATACCTAATGCTAAATGACGAGTTAATGGGTGCAGCACACTAGCATGGCGCATGTATACATATGTAACTAACCTGCACATTGTGCACATGTACCCTAAAACTTAAAGTAAAATAATAATAATAATAATAATAAAAAGAAAACCCTAAAGACACCATCAAAAAAAAAATGGAAATTTATTTTTTGTCACAAATATGTATATTTGTGACAACTATAGTATATACACTAGTGAGTTTTTCAATAAAATATAATTTGCATTTAAAGTCATTTAGCTTTTGGCAAACTGGAGGACACCATGTCAGACATATTTAATTTCATATGGGGGGATATTTTAAATTGAAAATAAAAATAGGATTAAAAATTTTAATCTTAAAAAAAATTATTGATTTATTTTTCATTTCAATAGTTTTTGGGTGTACAGGTGGTTTTTGGTTACATGGACATGTTCTTTAGTGGTGATTTCTGAGATTTTAGTCCACCCATCACCTGAGCAGTGTATACTGTACCCAATATGTAGTCTTTTACCCCTCAACCCCCTCTCAATCTTCTCCTCCAAGTCCCCAAAGTCCATTATATCACTCTTATGCCTTTGCACCCTCATAGCTTAGCTCCCACTTATAAGTGAGAACATACGGCATTTGGTTTTCCACTCCTGAGCTACTCCTCTTAGAATAATGGCCTCCAGCTCCATCCAAGTTGCTGCAAAAGACACTATTTCATTCCTTTTTATGGCTGAGTAGTATTCCATGGGGTACATATACCACGTTTTCTTTATCCACTCATTGGTTGATGGGCACTTAGGTTGGTTTCTTATTTTTGCAATTGCAAATTGTGCTACTAATACTCTCTATTCTTTTAAAGTTCTGCTTACTTTTTGCTGTAAGCAAATTCAGTAAAATAATTTCTCTTTCCCTCTGAGTCTGGTTGGGTGACTTTGAAGCAGAAAGTGAGGCTGGGCATCCCTGGGCCCTCAGCACCAACTTGAGTGCATTCGTAGGAGGTGAATGACCAAATGCAGACAGGCTCAAGAGCAAACAGGTCTGGTGAAAGGGTTCATGTTATCCTATCAAAAATGATTAATGGGATTTCCTAGCATAATAGTATCTGTATAATAAATTGATGATGCTTGATTATGACTGTGAATGGATCATCATGCTTTGCATCCATCCAATTCCCACATCACTAGAAACATCTGGGTCACAGCTCTGCCTGGTACAATCTGAATGGAAGAGGAGGGGAAAGAAATTAAAACAGAAAGGGAGCTAAAATTACTTATAAGAAAGGAGGGGGAGTGGCTATCATTGAGTACTTGCTCTGTGCTACTTACCTCGTAAGCACAATTTTTGGCACTATTCTATCTATTTTGCAGCTAGGAGCACTGAAAGATTAGTCACTTGCCTAAGATTGCCCAGTGGAACTTGGTTTATCTGAGTCCAGATCCTGGCCTCTTCCCATGGGCCTTCCAGGCAGAGGATAGGAGAGGGGAAAGGATGGGGAAGTGAAGCACAAAGCAGCTTTCACCTACATAGAGAAGAATGTATCTGAACTCTGAGCCCTTTTCTTCCTCCCCAGGCTGAGCTCTGAAACTTCTCCTGGCAGTTCAAGAGAGCGATGGAGGGAATGCTGGGGCACATCTAAATAAAGCCTCCAAGTGGGAGTTCCTGCTCAGCTATGCATGAGCTCTTTGTGACTTCATCTCCCAGCCTACAACTTGTGAAATAAGCACGACTTCACTCAGAGCACAGCCAGAAACATACAAACTTTCCAAAAATATTTGAATGTTGACAGCAGACTGTCTTGCATTCCAGTGAATAATTGGTTTGTATGAGTGTGTGTGTGACCTAAATCCACAGAACTTACCATTCTGTGGCTATACAAAGTAAGTTTCATAGCCCTGATTTTCCAAATCTCAATGGTTAATTGCCAAGCTAGCAGGCAGCCATGCCTTTTTCCAGGATGCTGGGGTGGCTGATACTGGACTTTGAGGCAGTCCTCTTGCTCACTGGCTGCAGCCTGCTAGAAGGGCAGGAGATCAAACATATCCCGATGTGGGGTCTACAGCTGTTGTCTGACAGTGGTGACAGGGACAGGGGGATTACTGTTAATGGGGCCACCTGGATAATGGATTCTTCTTTTTTTCTGTGCCTGCTTGCTAGGACCACTGCCTACACCACAGGTTTCTGTGGATTCACTCAAATTTCAGTGGCTCCCCAAGGCTGAAGGGAAGGTGGTCCTTCCAAGGGTCACTTTTAGTGAGCTGGGTCTCACTCCAGAGCTGCCTAGGCCCCCAGTGTTACAGCTCTGTCAGTAACACTGCCTTTTGATACACGTACACCTGTAGCAGGTGGTGCCAGTGTCCTTCCTGTAATACTCGATCTTTCAGAGTGGGCCAGCTGACTGCAAGCTCCCAGTGTCTGCATCCCTGTGCTCGAAGGCTTTTTTCCCCCAATGCTAGGCCACTTTGCCCATGTGCACAGCAGGCTGGAAGGGCTAGGGAGTTAATAACCCCTCAGGAGCAGCCCTCATTCAATGACTTTCAGGAATTGGTGTATAAATACCTCAGCTCCCTCATTCCTTGGGTGGGATAATTCTAAGATCTGGGTTCTGCAGACCTGGGTTTCCTAGAGTGTCCCTGTGGGATTATGGCCCAGACCCCCATTGTGGTAGCTGGTATGACCACCCTTTATTAGCTACAGTCTCTTCCCTGTATTATGTCCCTCTTATCTGCTAGTGTCACCTGTGCTTCCTAATAGAACACTTGTGCTTGAACCCTTGTCTCAGGCCTGCTTTTGGGGAACCCAAACTTGGAAAATACCCTGGTTCCAGAGGGGCAAGAACTCCAGCATCAGACACATAATATGCCTAGGAGCAGCCCTCTTCTGGGACCTCTGTCTTGTTGGGGCATCCGGGTCACTGACTGGGTCCCCATCTCCTGCAGGGCAAGTCTCCTCTCAGGTATCCTGTCTTCCACAGGGTCCCAAATCCTTTTCCCCCAAGATGCCCCAGGTACTTCTGTGGAGAAGAGGTGCTGCTTTGCTCCTGTCAACCACATCCAACCCCAACATCTTTGAGCTTCCACTTCCACATCAGAAAAATTGAAGTAATTCTTGCCCACCTCAGTCAGTGGCCATGAGGATGAATATCAATAATCGCTACATTATTGAGTGTTACCTACATGTTGTATGTTAGATTCTCTGCTTAATGCTAATTTGAAATTGACAACAGCCCTAAGAAATATAAATTATTATTCCTGATAGCATTGTTTTAAAGCTAAAGAAACCGAGGCTCAGAGAGGTTAAATAGCTTCCCCAAATCCCGGAGCAGAGCTTTGAATCCACATCTGACCTTAGAGCCCTCTAGGCAAACAGCTTCTCATGATACAGGCACAGAGCACCTGGTGGGAATGCCTGCAGGGTGTATGGGTTTGTGGGTCAGGGGTGAAAGAGGCAGGGATTGGCCCTACATGGGGGTACTGGGAAATGGTCTGAGTCCAAGGAGGTGTGGGCCAAAATTGGTAGTAGAGCGGATGGGGATGTATGGTGGATGAAGTGACAGAGGTTTGGGAGGCTGGACCTTATATTGAGGGAATCATGGGTAAGACAAAAGGTTAGCAGCAGCAGGGCCACCCCACGGGTGGTGGCTGGGGAAGCGCGGCTTGAGGCATTCATGCAGAGCTTGAGCCCGCCCTCTGGAGAGGCAGGGGGACTTGGTGCAGGGATATGGCTTAAGTGGCCTTGGCAGAAAGGTGGCAGGCTACACTGGCCGCCCTCCAGAAAGGCTGAGAGGGGGATGCCGCATCTCATCCGGGTCCCTAGGCATGGGATGCAGGCTGTTCCCAGCCCCCATGAGTTTGTGGGGTTGTGAATATTAAACAACTTTGCAGCCAGGTCTTTCTGGGTTATGGGATGAGGGGTCTGAAGCCGCAGTGCTCAGGCATCCCAGGGCCTGGTCCTGAGCAACCAACTCCCCTCTCAACTGTAGCACCTGCTGGCACCTTGACCCAGTCCCTGATGAGATACCGTCATCTCCTCCAAGACGGAAGCAGTGGCATCTCCCCACGCTTCCCAGAACCCCAGAGTCTGGGAGGCTTGCAGGTCCCTAAATCCAAGCTGAGTTTTCTTTTGTTAAGTCACAGGATAAAGCACTTTACATATTAATCAGGTTAGGAATATGAGAGCACATATCAGGGGACTGAAATATGTAGATTTTGATGATGAATTCATGCTCATCAGAAAACCAATGAATCATCCTAACTTCATTATCAGGAATTATTTGATGGGGGAATTGGCAGAGGGGGTAGGAGGGTAAGGAGGGGAGTAGCGAGGGGGAGAGGATTTCTTGGTTCTCAGCACAGACTGTGTTCTCTTCCATCAGCACATTTTTGCAGTAGGACCATTTGTTTCTGTGACATGGGTCTTACACATGGCCACATACTGGAGGCCTCGGTGAAGCTTGAGGACATCACCTGGTGAGGTCACACCAAGATTCAGGGCAAACCAGGTAGAGAGATATAAATAACCCCACAAGTACAACTATTTTTACCATTGTTTTAAGATTACCCCAGCAGTCCCTCCTGTGACACTAACTCCCTGGGTGACTTTGGCAAGTCACATGCCACCCACCTGTGCCTCAGTTTCTTCATCTGGCGAAGGAGAATGATGGCTGTGGAGCAACAGGGCTTTCAGGACTGGAACCAAGAAGAGGGGTTGAACTCCCAACTTCCAGGCTCCCTATGAGCTAGGCACACTTTGAAGTGTGAGGATCTGGCTGAGAAGGAGCAAACATGGGCAGACACTCTACTGACTGGGAGGAGGCATCTGCCATTTTAAATAGGTGATTGGGGAAGGCCTCACTGTGCATATGATCTTAAAGGTGGCACCTGAAATAGGGGAGGGAGTCAGATGTGTGGATATCTCAGGGGGAGAGGATTCCAAGCAGAGGGGAAAGCACGTGCAAAGGCCCTGAGGTGGGAAGAGCACGCGTGGCATCTAAGGACCAGCAAGGAAGCCATTGTGGCTGGGGAAGGGAATAAGAGGGAGGGTAGGAGAAGGTAAGGTCACAGAGGCCGTGGTGGAGGGGGCAGGGTTACAGGGGGCAAGCCTGTAAAAGAGGGTATTCAGGCCAAAACAGTATTGTGGAAAGGTGAGAAGATGAACCAGAAGCTAAAGTGGCTCCTCTATGGGGTAAACTGAGGCACTGAGGCACAAGCAATGAGGAGCCAGGACAGGCAGACAGGTGAGGAACACCACATGAAGTAGGGTTTATGTGGATTCAGATCCTGCTGGAGCCAGGTGCTGCTGTGACCCTCTCATGTGAAGTCTACAAACGCCGGCTCAGTGCTAGGTGGCCAGCAAACATTGAAGGTGGTGGAAACAGATCTGGATCAGACATGAAGAGCTTCGATTCTGCCCTGGCTCTGCCACATGTTTGCTGAGTGATGCTGGGACTCAATTTCCTCATCTGTGGAATCTGGCAACTGGACAAAACACTTTCTGTTGAACTTTCTGGAAGCCAGATTATTTTATTTCTCCAGGGCTTTCTTTCCTGGGGTAAACAAGCTGCTGCTGCTGTCTTTAACAATGCAAGTAAAAACCTGTGGGTTCATACTGTGTATGTCCACATCATGACTGAGGTCAAGAGGTCACCCCTCCTGCAGCCAGCACTGCTTCCGTGGGGAGCAACTGAGGACACAGCCGGGTGACAACAGAGCCAGGAGTCTCAGCCTCACTGTACTGTGGAATCACCCAGGCACTACCAGGGACAAAATGAGCTCAATTCACCTGAGATGGGGAGCGGCAACAGCTCACTCCAGGGAACCTCACTGAGCGTCTTTGAGGGAAATACAAAATGAGTTGATTCAGGTTTGATAAACATGTATCAAGGGCCCTCCATGGGCAAGGTGGTTCCACAAATGTTATCTCCCTCAATTCTCCCAGAGACCCGACGGAGGAGGTATTTCCCTCCCATTTTGCAGATGAGGAAACCAAGGTTCAGAAGTCAACATGGCTTGTGAGTGTGGGTGTAAGGTGGTCTCAGTCAAGACCCTGGGTTCCTAGTCACTTTGTAATATTGCCCCAATTAAACCCTTATCCTGATCCTTGGAGTTAGATTGAGAGAGGAGGACATTGAGGTTCAGAGAGGTGAAGGGACTTGCCTAAGGTCACACAGACATTACATGGCAGAGATGGCATTTCCTGCCAGCTCATGGAGTCAGGTTGCTAAAAAATGCTATTACTATTTCTCTTGCAGTCATGATAACCAAACATCCCACTCCCCAACAGCCCATCTGAGTTGCGGTTCTTGTTGAAGGGATATCGTGGAGTCATTGCCAGACTCCGAAGAGATAAAGCACTGCAAATTGAATGAGAAAATCTATTTTCACATCCTGATGAAGACATAGCTGACAATGAAAGAGTGAATTGTTTTAGACAAAAACACAACCCCCTGCTTTTTCCTTTTTTAAAAAAACTTAAGAGTTACAGCTTTAGAAAAATAGGAGCAGCTGACTATCACAGATAAAAATGCCCTTTTGCCTAATTGGATCTTTAATAAGGAATCCTAATTAATCCCCCTGAATAAAGAACTTTTACACTGGTGTTATCTCAGCCCCTGTGCTGATGGGGCTGGTTATTTCCAGACACAGAATAATGAATCTTTTCCAGCCGGGGCTAGGAGTCGCCAGAGACTTGTCAACTTCCCTATGAAGGTAATTACTTGCTAAGGCACCAGGGGAATGTGGGGCTGGGGAAAGGGTAATTACAAAAAGAGGGACTGAGGGCATTGAGGGGGAAGCTTAGGAGGGCACTGTTGAGCCAGGGCTGAAGGAAGCTTGGCAACTGTGAAGGAAACCGCTGGTGGAAAGATGGAGGCCACGTCAGCGTCCAGGATGTCATTCCCAGCTCAGAGTGAGGCCTGAAGGACACTTGCCCTCATGTGAAAAATGTCACTTGATGGAGCTTGACAGATTCCAATAATTGTGAGAGCCAAACAGACAGCAAACAGAAGTCAGGAAGCAGGCCTGCCTGTGACTCTTCCTGGTCGGTGCAAAGGCTGGGCTGTCATTGCCCGGAGACCTCTGTGGCATCCATAAAGACAACACTAAATGAAAAGGGTTATCTGGACAACTCAGGCCACAGACCAGCAACGAGAAGGACGTGACGGATGTGGCTAAATGACACGGGCCATTTATCTGCATTGACAGGGCTCTCTTGAAAGGGGAACGCTGATGGCAGTCTGTCCCACGCTCACCAGGGCTGGCATCTAGGGAGCTGGCAGGATGTGGGAGCCAAGGCCTCGATGAGCCTGGCTATCTGTGAAGCCAGCCCACATCAACCAACCACAGCCCAAGGCCCAAAAGCAGCCCCAGGGGGAAGAAGCTGAAGCCAATGGCATAGGCCCAGGGCCATCTCTCCAGGATACCCAAGGTCTCTTTCCAACCTCCAAAATCCAGAGGGGCAGAAAGAGCAGAGGTTGGGAGGCAAAGGGCCCTGGCTTCAGGCTGCAACTTCCTAGCTCTGTGACCTTGGGTAAATGACCTCACTGAGTCTCGGGTTCTCAGAGTTGCTTAAAGGCACAAAGGAAAAATCAGTGTAGACTCCTGGCATGTCGTTGGTACCCTACACATAGTAATTGTATTTTCTTCCTTAAAACCCTCTCAGTTCCAGAAAAATCACCTTAGGAGGCAGATCCCACTGGAAGGGAATCTGTGGGGTTGGATTTATATGTGAAAAATTAGGAGGTCTCTGTACACCAATCTGCATGTTCCCAGCAGGTTACAGTGAGGGTGGTGAGGACCCATCACCTGCCTTATAAAACTAGGGCAACTGAAGTTCAGAAAGCTAAGTGACTTGCTGTGAGAGAAGAGTAAAAGCCATTATTGTTCAACCCCGACTTTCCCCATGTGCCCTTCAGGGTACTGCCAAATGGCCCTGGGACCTCAGGGCTGCCTGGCCCAAGGAGACATGACAACCTCTTGCTGTGGCCTCTGCCTCGGTCAGCCTGAAGCTGCCTCCCTGACTTATCAACTGCAGAGGCCAAGACCCACAGGACCTTAAACCTCTGAAAGAAGCTGTGTGTAGCTGTCTGCACGGAGCATATGCTGGGAGGCTCTGGGAGCAGGGTGAGAGGGGCAGGGGAGGAGGGGAGGAAAGCCCTTCCAGGTGCTGTAACCATGAAAGGGCAGAAGAAGGACACAAGCTGGATTTACAAGCTGGGAATCTGGGGCTGTTCAAAGTCTTCTGTGCCCAATTATTTCTTATAACTGTATGAAAGGCCTTGAGAGGGTCAGAAAGTTAACTGAGGTCACACGATTAGTTGGTAGCAGAATTGGTATTTGAACCCAACATTGAGTCCAAATGCTATCTATGCTCCATGGTGCCCTCCTTGGTGTCAGGAAAGAAAATGAATTAGATCCCAGAGGAGCAGAAGAGAAAGAGGGGTAGATCAGGATTTAGAGTCCAGATGATGGGGATCCAATTTCTGGCTCGGACACTTACTAGCTATATTACATCAGGTTTCTTAATCTCTTTATGATAATATTATTATTTTACAAGAGTTTTGTGGCTGGGCGCAATGGCTCACGCCTGTAATCCCAACACTTTGGGAGGCCATGGTAGGTGGATCACCTGAGGTTAGGAGTTCAAGACCAGCCTGGCCAACATGGTGAAACCTTGTCTCTACTAAAAATACAAATAAATTAGCCAGGTGTGGTGGCAGGCACTTGTAATCCCAGCTACTGGGGAGGCTAAGGTGAGGAGAATTGCTTGAACCCGGGAGGCAGAGGTTGCAGTGAGCTGAGATCATGCCATTGCACTCCAGCCTGGGCAACAAGGGCAAAACTCCATCTCAAAAAAAAAAAAAAGAGTTTTGTAAACATTAAATGAGACCATGCATATAAAAACCTTAGTACAGTGCCTGAAACATGGTAGCTCTCAAAGTGATTATACTGTTGAAGGTATATTAAGGCAGGAGGAAGGCAGATAGAGACTCAAAGAGGACAGATTGCATCAAAGCCTACTTTAAGGGTGAGAAATGATCCTGGAGTGGCTGGCCTAGGATCTGCAGAGGGAACAAAATGGGAAAACCCAGCTGGGGAGAACCACGTGTAGGTGAGGAGGAAGCTAAGTCTCTGAGGCTCAGTTTCTTTATCTGCAAGATGGGTATGCCAATACCTAACTCAAACTTGGGGGTGAAGACCCAATGGGGCAAGATGGCATTCCACACATGTGATGGCCTCAATTCAATCATAGAGGCAAACAATGAATATTTGCCTGTTTATTTATCTTGACATTGGTCCTGTTGCCAAAGGGCTCTGACACCAGGCGAGGTGAGCCAAGTGCCATATGCTTTTCCCTTTGATGCTGGTGAGATGCGGTTGGCTGTGAGAAGGTGCTGAGACTCTAAGATCTCAGAGGCTATATTTATTCAACAAATTGTCAGAAAATCTTTACACCTGTCTGTGCCAGGACTCTACTGAGCCCTGAGGATTCAGAGATGATGGGCCAAGTCCATGCTCTGAAAGAGTTCATGTTGGGAGGAGGACTCTGTATTCTAGAAAAGTTTGGCTTGTGCCAGTGCGTCGTAGGAGCCTGGGGTTGCCCAGTGTGGGTGGGGCTGAGGGAGGGCACAGGTCCCAATGCATCTAAAGGTTTCAGGAGGGAGACCCTTGCACAGGCTTATACCAGGTAGACAAGGAGGTGAGACTAGACTTCAAGGCTAAACTTTAGCAGCTCCTTGAAAGGTTGAGACTTCCTAGTTCAGCATTGTAATCACAAAGCTTATCACAGAAACTGGCACAGAGTAGGCAAGGAAAAATATTTGTGAAATAAATAAATAAAGTTTACTAGGAGTCAATGTGCTTCATTTTATGGAATAGATGTGCTTGCCCAAACTCACGCATAAGCCATAACCAAACCTATACGTCAAACATAACTGGGGAGAAATTCAATAATGAATCAATTCATAAAAAGACAAATCATTTCATAATGGGCAGAATCTACTTCCTTTATATTATCACTCTGGAAAGTATTCTATTTAGGCCCAGGGTAACTCTTAAACTTAAATCTATTTCAGAACACCCAGGAAAATGGTTAAAAATACTGAATTAGTTGAGTTCTATTCTCAGGAATCCATGATTTTACAGAGGTGGGGCTCAGGAATCTGCATTCTTCCAAAGAGCATTCAAGCAAGTCTTCTGAAGCAGGGAGTTGGTCAGTGCAACCCAGTTTGAGAAACACAGGATAAGTCCTAGAGGGCATTTTTTAAAGGAAACACAGGGTATTTTTTTTAAAAGTTGGGGGTGTAACTGAGATGGATCAGAAACTGCAGGGCTCCTGGAAACCGCCCCATCTGGCTGCCTCTTCTTCCCTTACCCTGCCTGACACAACATAGAGAGATGTCCCTCTATTTCCAGAAAGACAATCAACTCCTGAAAAGCCCATTTTCTACTTCACTCTTTGATGTCCTTCATAATCTCTTTCCCAAAAGCCTCTCATGCTCTATCACATCATGTTTCTCCTCTTTGGTGCACACGAATCCACAGTGAGCTGTAAAAATCACCGATGCCTGGGTCCCTCCCTGGGCATGCTGACTTATTTGGTCTGGGGAATCACCTTGTCACCCTGCTGGTTCTAATCAGGATCCGAGTTGCATGGACTGCACTAAACCCTTTATCCCTGCACCTTTTTTTCTGGCCCGGAGATTAATGTCCACAAACCCCTCAGCTTTCGCTAAGTATCCCCCTCAGCCATATCTCCAGTGACCAGAAGAGGTATCTAGAGAAGAAAGATAAAGCCACATGCAGGACTGGCTCTGGAGGCTGGAGGCTACAGATAAGGCTTAAGAGGGGTCCCTGGCGGTCCCCAAGTTCACTCCTGAGAGTGGGAAGCCTGTTCATCACCCTCTGATTGCCTTTCCTCCTGTCTCTCTGGGTTTTGTAGGCCAGAGACATAGAGCACTATATGGACTCCTGGTGGGACAGGTTGCTGGCAAATTGATTTCACCCCAACCCCAGGGTGGGCAAGCAGACAGTACCCATCAAATCTCTCACCTCCTTCCTGCCAGACACAGGGCACTGCAGCTCAGAGGAAGTGAGTGAATAGCTGAAACTGACGTGGCTGCAGAAATTGACATCAAGTGCCAGACAGGCATTTGCTTAGCAAATTGGCTAATTTTAACCTCTGCCTCACAGACCAAAACTCTCTGGAAGGAAAGAAACAAAAAGAAAGTGATATTTAACACATTTCTATTTCTGTGCTACACAGTCTCTCTCTGAGGTTGCAAGTTTGAGCCTAATTGATTTCTTAGTCAAAAGAAAAAAAAGCCAAAAAGGAAAAAACAAACAACTGAGAGAGATCTCACATTGCAATCAAACCTCTCCAGTTCTGTTGTCGACTGCTGAGCTTTTTTTTTTTTTTAAAGACTGGCCAAGTGACTTGCATAATTTAAGATCCTTTCTAGCACTGATCAGCCCGCTCTGGCCAAGCAGTTTGCTGATTAATTATTAATCAGACTGAGTTTAGGATGAGTAATCAGCAAGAGTCAGTGCTAATTTGCAAATGTCCCCCAGGAAGGTTATTACTTAAAATACTTGGTGGAGAGGCTCCATGTTAACCTTTGCAATTAGCCACAGGACATTGTAACTGGCAAGGCAGAAGCAGATCTCTCCTCCAAACAAACCAACCTTGGATACCTACTAAGTGCCAAGATGCACATTAGGGGCTTGTCACGGTTCTGCTGGCAATGGCAGGGGAGGGGAAGGGCACAGAAGAAAAAGAAATACGTAAGTAAGCAAGAAAATATCAGGTATTGATGAATGTTTAAAATAAAACAAGATCCTCTGATAGACAGCAAGGGTTACTTTAGGCTGCATGGACGGGAAAGTCTTTTCTAAAGATAGGAAATTTACATTGAACTCTATATTTCAAAAAAACAGTGGTTTTTGTTTTTTGTTTTTTTAACTTGGAAGGAAGATTTGAAGACTGTGAAGGAGGAGGATCCTAAGCCCTGGGAACAGCTAGTGCAGAAGCCCGAGCAGGGAACCTGCTTAGCCCACCCTAGGGACAGGATGAAGAGCACAGAGAATGGGTGTGAGTGAGGGATAGGAGGGAAGTCAGACAGGTAGGCAGTGGCTGGACAATGTAGGGTCTTGTAGGATTTTATTCTAAATGTGATAGTAAGCCATTGGGAGGCTTTAAACAGGGGAGACATGATTTGATTAATAAACCCAAGTCACTCTAGGTGCCATCTGCAGAATGGATTACAGAGGGGTAGAAGCAGGGAGACAAGGCCCCCGAGCAGCCCAAAGGTGCTGGCGGAACCAAATGGGCAGAAGCAGCTTCCTCTTAGGAAAACAGATGTGGGAGGTCGTGGAGAAGGCTAAGAGAACAGATTATGAGTGGGGAGGGGATGAGAAGTCCAAACTGGATGGAAACAACCCAAATGTCCATCAACAGATCAATGGATAAACAAAATGTGGTTTAGACATACAAGGGAATATTATTCAGCCTTAAAAAGAAATGACGGCCCATCTCCTTGTCGCTACTGTTCCATTTTCTGCCTATGAATCTGACTATTCTGGGTATTCTTCTTTAATGGGCATGGAGTTCCATTTGGGAAGGCAAAAAAGGTACTAGAGATAGATAGTGGTGTTATCCACCACTAAATAGCCAATGTGCTTAATGCTACTAAGTTGTACACCTAAAAATGGAATGATAGGTTTTTTTGTTTGTTTTGTTTTGTTTTGTTTTTTGAGATGGAGTCTTGCTCTGCCGCCCAGGCTGGAGTGCAGTGGCACGATCTCACTGCAAGCTCCACCTCCTGGGTTCATGCCATTCTCCTGAGTAGCTAGGACTACAGTCGCCCACCACCATACCCAGCTAATATTTTGTATTTTTAATAGACATGGGGTTTCACCGTGTTAGCCAGGATGGTCTCAATCTCCTGACCTCATCATCTGCCCGCCTCGGCCTCCCAAAGTGCTGGGATTACAGGCATGAGCCACCGTGTCCAGCCGATAGGTTTTATGTTATATATATTTTTCCGTTTTTTTTTTTAAGAGACAGGGTCTCCCTATGTTGCTCAAGCTGGTCTTGAACTCCTGAGCTCAAGCAGTCCTCCCACCTCAGTCTCCTAAGTAGCTGAAACTAGAGGCACATGCCACTGTGCCCAGCGATATGTTCATTTTAAGATTCCTGTTAATATGCATGAAGCCCAGAAGACCCTTGAGGACTGAAAATTTAAATCAAGAGCCACTGGCATCTAGATGATATTGAAAGCCCATGTGTGATTTGTTGGGGCTAGCTGGGAAAGAGAATAAAAGAGAGGAGAGTCCCAGGACCCTCTGGGTAGTCCAAGCATAAAGGCTGGACAGAGAGTGGACGTTGGAAGAAACAGCAAAACAGACTAAGAAGGAATGGCCATAGGGTAACCAGCTACATGGTTTCATAGGAGCCAAGAGAAGGAAATAGTTCAAGAAGGACTGGTGATCAGTGTCATGTGTTGCCAAGAGGCTGAGTCAGATGAAGATGGAGAAACGACACTGGAATGGGCAACCTGGAGGTTGCTGTCAATTTTAGCAAGGTCAGTTTTAGTGACAAAGCAGGGCAGAAACTGAGAAAGAACTGTCTCAGCAATTGGCAGTGGCTGAGCCATTCCGTGGTAGCTGAGTGGGATGGAGTAATAGGGGTTTGATGGGTGCTGTTTTTATTTTGATTTTAGGTGGCAGATATTGGAACATGCCTTTATGGTGTTAGAAGTGCTCAATAGAGAGAACAATTGTGGAATGCAAGGAAAAGGAGATACATATAGTAGGGAAATTTTGGAGGAAGATGAGCTCTGGAGTACAGGAGAGGGCTGGCCTTTGACAGGAACCACGGCATCTTGTCTACAGAAGCATGAGGTGTGGCAGAGAACTCGGCTCACCAAGCATCTCATCTGCTCATCCCCGTTTCCTGGCTCCCTTGCAGCAAAGCTGGACTGTGTGACTGTTTGTGGCCAATGAAATATGAGTTGGAAATTATGTATAGCATATCTGAGCTAGAGTGGTGGAAAGCCATGCTGGATTCTCCACTCATTTTCCCTGTCATGGTATTAAAGAAGGCCACATATTTCAGATGGTGTGGTTAGAATATGGTGCAACCCCCTCGAGCCTGGGTACCCACATGTGTGATGATGTGGATCAGAGCCACTCCCACTGGTCCATCACAAATCTGTAACATGAGCAAGAAGGAAATCTTTGTGGTGTTATACCACTGAGTTTTAGGGTTAATAAAATTTAAAAAAGGAAGTGGCAAGATGTGAGCCTGGGGTGGTTACTTAGGCAAGGGTTAGATCCAGATGGGCCTTGTGTGCCCTATCAAGGGATTGAATTTTAATCTGTAGACAACAGAAGATGATTGAAAGCTTTTGCCTGGGGCTTAGCATGTCAGATCTGCATTTTAATTAAGCCATTCTCGTAGCAGTGAGGAGGATGAATTGGACAGTGCCAAGATGCTGGGAGATCAGTAAGGAGGCTATTACATCCCTCAAAGAAGAAAAGATGATGGGCTGAATTCAGGCAGTGGTAGAAAGGATGGAAAGGTACAGTATATTGGGAGAACTTAGCAATTAATTGAATGTGGCTGGTGAGAGAGAGGGATTAAATAGGGATATTCCCAGATTTCTGGATAACTAGGTGGGGAATGGTACCATAAACTAGGAAAGGACACAGACTGATGATTTTATGGGTCAATTATGAGCAAAATTGAGACAAGTTAAGTTGGAGATATTGGTGGTCCATCAAAGTGGAGATGTCCATCAGGTAGCTGGCTCTACAGTTTGACTGGCTCAGTGGGTAGGCTGGGCTAGGGAGCCATATTTGGGAGGAAATAGGTAGTACCTGAAATCTTGAGAGCAGGTAAGACTACCCTGGGAGATGTGTGGAGTGAGCAGAGCAGTACAGCAAGAAGGAATGGACATCAAAGGAGACACGGAAGGAATGGCCAGAGAGATCCAAGAAGAATCAGAAAGAGTGGCATGGAGGCAAGCAGAAAGCAGAGCCCCCAGAGGAGAAAATGACTGACAGTGTAAAGTAATGCAGAAATGTCCAGAAGGTGAGACCTGAAAAACGCCTTCTGGCATTGGTAATTGGAAGTGGTAGTCTTTGGAATGGGGTAGGGGTGGGGTTGGTTATTTGATGATTATCTTTTTTTTTTTTTTTTTTTTTGAGACGGAGTCTGGCTCTGTCGCCCAGGCTGGAGTGCAGTGGCGTGAACTCGGCTCACTGCAAACTCTGCCTCCTGGCTTTGCGCCATTCTCCTGCCTCAGCCTCCCGAGTAGCTGGGACCACAGGCGTCTGCCACCACGCCCAGCTAATTTTTTTTTTTTTTTGTATTTTTAGTAGAGACGGGGTTTCACCCTGTTAGCCAGGATGGTCTCGATCTCCTGACCTCGTGATCCGCCCACCTCGGCCTCCCAAGGTGCTGGGATTACAGGTGAGAGCCACCACACCCGGCCCTTTGATCATCATCTTAATGTGAGTGATTTCAGGAGGAGGCTGGAGGGTTGAAGAGTGGGAGTGAAGTAGGTAAGGAATGAATGGGGAGAGAAGACTTGAGGGTAGCCAGTGTAGACCACTCTTCAAGAAGCTTGGGTGAGAAATTCCCAGGGATGCTAGAGATCTACCTCGTCCATGAAGCCACCTCATTTTGTTCAAAGAAACTCTGCCTTCTCCCTCCCCAAATGACCCAAACTGTTGAGATCCACCATATGTGAATTTGAACTGTTGAGTTTCACCATATGTGAAATGGTGATTTTGCCATTTCATCGGACTGTCATTGCTAGTTTTTTGTGTGAATCCTGCCTCTCTGGTGAGTCTGTGGATGTCACCCATCAGCCACTGGATAAAGAGAAACTAGGATGAAAAGAAGTACAGACTGGGCTGGGCGTGGTGGCTCACCTGAGGTCAGGAGTTTGAGACCAACCTGACCAATATGGTGAAACACCATCTCTCCTAAAAATACAAAAATTAGCTGGGCATGGTGGCATGTGCCTGTAGTCCTAGCTATTCGGGAGGCCGAGACAAGAGAATCACTTGAACCTGGGAGGTGGAGGCTGCAGTGAGCGAGATTGTGACATTGCACTCCAGCCTGGCTGACAGAGCAAGACTCCATCTCAAAAAAAAAAAAAAAAAAAAAAGAAAAGTAAAAAAGAAAAAAGTACAGACTAAGGGATAGAACTGAAGACTTAAGTCAGTCTTGGGAACCTGGGAAGTGGTTGCAGTAGCAGGAGAGACGCAAACCAACGTGAAACAACATGTAGGTTAAGCTGAGAGTGAGTGGAACAAACATTCATGGCCAAACATGAAAACAGAGACCAGGAGGGGGCCTTGAACATTCAGAATGAAGCAACATCATTCCAGAAGACAGGTCTTGCCAGAACAAGGGGCTCTGGAGGACCCAGAACAACTCCTTCCATCTGTCTTAGCGGCACCATCAGGCATCTGGCAGCTCCTCAAGAGAGGTCGAGGACAGCATTTTGTTCTCTGGTGCCCTTCACAGTCCTGGCACAGGCCGCCTCGCAGATGAGGCACTTAGTACAAACCTGTTGCATGCAGTCAGACCCATGGGGGGCAGGCCAGCTGCCCGACCTCAGCTTCCCATGCACAGAACTTTGCCAAGTCACAAGCTTTAGCAGAGCCGCTGTGCCCACTGCGACAACACCAGTTCACTTCCTGCTCCTCCCAGCTGTGACTTTTGTTCTCTTTTTGAGAGCAAGTTCTCACTAGTGGAAGCAAGGAAGTCACATTGATACTCCATGTAGAGTGCTGGAGCCCTGGCCTTCACTCCTCCGGACACATTTGTGCCAGCAGCATGCTAAGGCACTAATCTTTTCTTACTGCTCCGCGGCAGAGCTTGTAATGCTATTTCCAACTCCAAGAGATACAGGAGACGAGATTTTAAAGGGCTGGTTATTTATGGCTTGGCTCCTGATGGATACAGCAGATGCAATTTCATGGGCTCCATCAAAAAAGGACAGTTACTTAGTGTGACTTAAAGAGTTGTGATGTGTCAAGGAAGGAGAGAGAAGCAAAGGCGTCACAAGCCCACAGGAAGGCAGGAGGTCTGAGGCTCGGTTAGAATGGGCCTTATTCGCTTACCAGCTCAGCCAACATGGGTTCAGCATCCTTAGTCATGCACCATCTGAGCTGTTTTCTGAGTGTCTCTGCTAGCTTGAGACCTTGACTCTGCCTTGCTCCTGACATTCAAAGAGGAAACCTCAGAGGACAGGTACCAGGCCTATGCTACCTCCATGTACGAAGTTCAGGAGCAAATAGGACATTGAGATGATAAGCCTTTACATGTGCAGCTCCCTCTGCCTGGAAAGCTGCCACCTGAGTTCTTCCCCTGTGGCTCCTTCTCAAAAGTCAGGTCTCAGCTTAAATCCTACCCTCCTCAGAGAGGTCAGATTTAGAATAGGGTCCCCACTGCTGTTATTCCCCATCCTGTTCATTTCCTTTATGACATGTGTCATACTTTCTACATTTATGTTTGAATATTTTACTAACTTCAGTCTCCCCCAAATAGACCGTAAGTTCCACAAAGGCAGAGGCCTTGTCTTCTCCACCATTGCATTCCCAGTGCCAAGTTCAATGTCAAGCAGGAGAAGGGCCTGAGTAGTTTGTTTGAATGATTGAATGATGATGGAGAGATGCTGGTAATGAAGATGAAATGGTAAGATGACAGTGACCATAATGAAGGAGATTTTCCCTATGAAAGACGATGCTGGTGCTCATTGTGAAGATGACCGCTCATGGTCCTGCCAGGGTATTGAACACCAAGCTTTCAGGTGTAGCTGTTGATTTTATCTGACCACCTTCACCAGTCTTATCCCAATGACTGTGAATTCGTAACCAAGGGCAGCTGTGTCCCAGCACATCCAGCCTTATCTTCTTCCTTCTTGCAGCCTTGACTTCCCTATTGGTGCTCATTTTGTGCTGGAGAGACCAATGGGCATTGCCATTCCCCACTCCACCCCAGCCCACTTCTTCTCCTGTGTTCCTCTCTTCAATACATGGCCCCACCATAGTCATTCAGCCAGAACTTGATAATCATCAGCCCCTCCTCCTCTCTACCCCTTCATAGCTGCCTCAGTTCAAGGCTGGATTCTCTTGCCTGCAGAGTCACAAAAAAAGTTTTATAGCTGATTTCTGGGCCTTCCTGTTTAACCCACTTAAAATTCAGAATGATTATTTTACTTCCCTGCTTAAAGTCTCTTAATAGCTTTCCACAGCTTATGGAATCCTCTCTGGCTTATGAACAAGGGGCAGGGTTCTTGCTCCTGGTCCATGCTCCTCCTGTGTTCATTTTGGGCCTCATATCCTGCACTTCCTCTCTTGCTCCCTGCACCTGACTTGCAATGCCCCAAATGCACCAGGGCTCTTTTCGGCTCCATGCCAATGGCAAAATCTTACCCCTCAGTTCAACTCAAAAATCATCCTGTGGGACTAATTTTTCCGAGCCCTTCCAGCATCACCGCCCTCTTACAGGAAGGTTGATGACTTGTTTCAAGGACAGTCTTAGTTTTTGTCTTGCCAGGGCTTCCACTCCCAGCCTGAGTTTTGGGGAGGGCAGACAGTCACATGATCTGGATCCAGCCAATGAGGACATCCCTTGGCTACACTGGTATTGAGGGGTGGGCACATGACTCAGGCTGGTCCACCAAGGTTTATCCGAGGGCTTTTGTAGGACCCATTAGGAAAGATATGCTCCCTTTCTGCTGGGATTGCCAAGAGAGGTAGGTTATAGGGAGCTGAGGGTGGTCCCCTTTGCCACCTCTTGGGAAAGCCTGCCTGAGAATGAAACTAACACACAAGAGAGCAAAGCCTTGGGATGGGGAGAAACATTATTTGCATACCTTGATCCAGCACTGCCTGAAGTCAAGTTCTGGACTTTTCAGTTAAAGAGGCCAGCACATTCCCTTTGTAGCGTGAGTTAGCTGGAGGTGGGTTTCTATTTCTTAAACCCAAAGAATCCTGGCTATTACATTTCTCCTTATTTCCTAGGGGAACTTCTTTATACCTCTTAGAAAAGCACCTAACACATGATATTGCAAAGCATTTAATTATATTCTGCCTCTTTGCCCCGACTGTGAGCTTCAGGGTCCAGCACAGTGCTTGGCTATTACATAAACATTTGTGGAAGGAATAAATAACTCCTTAGGAACCCAGACTGTGGCTTTGTCCCTCTAGCACCTAGGAGAGCCTCGTTCATAGAAGAGTCTCAATAAATGATTACAGAAAATAAATAGGGGAAAAGTAACAAAGAACATGAATGAGCTAAACCAATGGTTTGATAAAGCATATGTGAATAAATAAATAAGTGGATAGTTATTATTAACAAATCTCCATTGGCGTGCAATTCTCATTCTAACTATATCTGGATCTAATGGCTCTTAAATGAGATATCTAGTTAAACGTCACTGAGATCAAATGGTTCTAGTTGGCTCAAATTCCATGGGTAAAATGCCTAATAATTAAAGCAAGATCATTCAAGAGGAGAAAGAGTGTTGCTAGCAAAATTTTCAAAGTGAACGTCTGCAGAGTAGACAGTTTTTGTATCGCCACCTACAAAAACAAAAGCAAATGAATGAAGGGAATGAAGTGAAGCAAATCCGTCAAAGCTCTAAGGACATGAAAAGGAGGGATGAAATTAAGGAAATTTAATGTTGAAACTCAAAAGGGTTACTTGCTGGACCTAGAGAGTAGGTTGAGCCTGCTTCCCAGGGAAATTCTCTTTCCAAAAACAGCCAAAGTCTACCCAGTGGCCACAGGGCCAGGATCTGGGAAGTCCAGACAGATAGAGCAGGCATCCTATTCTTCTGCAGGTGGAGGGAGATGCCTAGGCTCAAAGGTAGATGCCAGAGCCCCGGGGTGGGTGCATGCTGGACAGCATCTTCCTTAGAGAATTTCTGGGACTATTTCTTCTTGGACTGTGTCCCAGGGATCAAGGAACTCCCACACTTTGGCCAGGAGGACTAGGCAGAAGCCCTAGAAGAATGCGCTTCCCACCACCTCATCTCCTATATTAAAATGGTATGCATCCTTCTCGACCTGTCTCAAGTGCAGCCTCTGCCTTGAGGCCTTGGTCTCCTGCCCCAGGACAGTGTCCTCCTCTGAGCCCTGGAAGGTGCTCTCCTTTCTCTTCCTACTTTGAATGTTTGGTGGAGTTTATTAGCACACAGTTTTGTGGGGACTGGGCCTGGGAGTGTGGGGACATAGAGAATGGGCAGGCAGAGCCCATCCAGGGTGATCCGAGTGAAATAGATAAAAAAAGAAAATCAATATACAGTGGCCAGGGCAAGGAAGAGAGACTGGGAACCACTGGCCAAAACTAACCCACAGAGTCACAGCCAAGGAAATTGGAGGGGCAGAGGTTTGTTCCAGGATCTACACAGAAATCCCACGGGTGGAAAGGAGCTTTGGACGACCCCCGCATCATACACCCCCCCACACACACTCCTGAGGCTGGCACTTCCACTGGCCCCCAAGACAAGAGTGGCTTCAATTCTGAGTGCAGGTCAGACTCTGTCTGCCTTCCCTGTTGTAGGAAGAATTTGCCCCTTGGGGAGGGGTAGAGGAAAGAAGGAGAGAAGAAGGCCCAATAGAACCCTCCAACCACATGGTCCAGAGAGAGCGAGGGGGCACAAGCAGAGATGCCCCTCCCATCTCTGGTAGTTGTCTCCTGAATGCCTTCTCCATACTTATGGTCCCTGCCCCCCTACTCTGTGAGCACCCCAGTACAGGGGCTGTGCCTGACTCACTGTGGAGTACCTCTGCTTTCCTAGTCCTGCACAGAGCTCTTAGTGGTAGCTGAATTGGTAGAATCCTCTTCTGCTTTTCTTTTTCTTTTTGCTTTTTAGACAGAGTCTTTCTTACTCTGTCTCCCGGGCTGGAGTACAGTGGCACAATCTCAGCTCACTGCAGCCTCTACCTCCAGGGCTCAGGTGATCCTCCCACCTCAGCCTCCTGAGTAGCAGCGACTACAGGTGTGTGCCACCACATCCGTCTAATTTTTGTATTTTTTGTAGAGACAGGTGTCTCCATGTTGCCCAGGCTCATCTTGAACTCCTAGACTCAAGTGATCCACCCACCTCAGCCTCCCAAAGTCTTGGGATTACAGGTGTGAGTCACTGCATCCGGCCCTCTTCTGCTTAACAAAGCAGCTAACTGGCCAGTGTGGGGCTAGATCCAGGAACAGAAGTGATGCTATCCATAATGTGCTTGCCAAGTGCAGCTCTGGGAAGATAGTTCCAACAAAATCACTGTCCCCTCTTCTAACTTTTGCAAGGACATCCTCCAGTCTCACCCAGAGACTCTCCCCACACTAACCTTATCTGAGTTTCCAGGCAATTCCCCTTGAGGCTAGATAGAGTCAGGGCAGCCAGGCTGTGCCTTTCTGCTGGTGAGATGCCACTGGGCTGGAAAGCTCATATGTTGGCTTCAGTGGGACCACCAAAAATAGGGCCAACGAGGCTCTGAATTGCTGGGGTTGCTCCATCTTACTCTTTTCCTCTCAAAGCCTCATTCCAGGAGTATTGTACTTATGGTGAGCCAGGCAGCAGTTGCCACGTTTCACCCTCTCAAAGTGTTTTGTAGGTTGGTATACTGAGACCCATTTTTCAGATGTGGAAACAGGCTCAGAAAAGCTGGTAAATATCCTAAGATGACACAACTACTGAGAGGTGGCTGGTTTTGAGCCCAAGTGTCTCTGCTGACTCCCAAGCCTACCCCCTTCCCAGTTCGATGCCATGGTGCAGGCTCGATATCTAATTCCAGAGAAACTGCACAAACTTCCTCTCCTATATTCTAGGAGAGGATGTCTGGCTTTCCCTCCTCTCTTTTAATCTGGGGATGGTTCTGGAGAGACTCAGATGGAGAGTGTTGGGTATGAGACAGAGGAAAGAGGAGACAGATTCTGGATCTAGTGGCTTCTCAGGGGGCTTCACTTTGCTGATTTTCTCAACCAATGGAGAGGTCAGTTCTGTGATGGGCTGGAGATCACTTCTACTCAGTATAACGTGATCCTGATATCCTTCAGGGACCTACATCCCCATATTGTTAAAAGGGTCTTCTGTATCCCCAGTCCCAGTCCTTTGAAAAAGTCCTGGGGCTTCATGAGGAAGCTTATCAAAGGTGAGAGTGTTTTCTTAGAACGTGATGGAAAGGAATGGAGCTCCATGATGGTCAGAGCCAAGTGACTGGGTCAGAGCAGAGCAGAGAAAGAAAACCCACCACCCCCACACTCCAGCAGGGTCAGTGAGAGAAAGTCTGGCTCCTACATTGAACTGGAAATGGAACTGTGTGTAAGGGGGGACAGGTGTGTACATGTGCTTAAGGTGGTCTGGGGGTGAGGGATGACTTGGTGATGTGAATTTGGCAGTGACTTGGAAAGGTATGTGTCAGAGACGATTTGGCAGTGTGTGTGTGTGTGTGTGTGTGTGTTTGTGTGTATGTTGGGTGAGGGCTGCACACATGTATGTGTAGTCAGGGTGTAATACCAATTCTTCTCTGTGGGTTGTAACCCTCAGTCAGTCCAAGCCCAGCTTTTGCTCATGGTCACACACACAAAAATGCAATTAACTTTTAGGGGGAGTAAGTCTAAAATACTAGGGAATAGCTCAACATGTCAGAGCTACAGGGTTCAGTGCTCACCACAGTAACAGCTTTTTCCTGTTCAAAACATGTATTGTTGGATTCCCAAAGGCTGGACCGGGACCAGCAAAACAGGGAGAACTGGCCCACTGATTGCTGCATGTATACTGTTGGCCACTCCAGTGATGGGCACATACTGTTATTTATGTGTGCTCCCCGCACCTTATCTTTCATGATGTCAGGACAACACTTCCAATTGATTATTTCCTGCCACAGTTTTGGCTTTGAATTGTCCTTTGTTTTATGAATAATATTCTGAGGAGTTGGCAGGTTTTCTTCTAACATCCTTACTTGGCAAAATAAAAAATGACCAATCCTATGTTTCTCCAATTGTTTGGAAATTTTACTAGTCCAGAAGCCCTAATTTGTTGCTATCCCGTTTAGGGGGAGGGGAAGAGTGTGGAAACTGAGTCAGGGACATTGCATGCCACTCTCCCTTCTGAATCAGTGGGAACTTGTTATCTGGTAAGGGAGGTAGTGGATTTTTTTTTTCTCTCAAAGGAATTCTTGTCTTCTTGATAGGTGAAGGGGGTGCCCAGTTGTCCAAATCCATCTTTGCTAACAGGATCTGTTGTTTTTCTATGCCTTGGCACAGAATGCAAGAGAACATCCTGAAATCTTAATGTATGCTTACAAAAGCAGTATACTCATAAACCAGCAGCATCAAATTTTTACAGGAATCCAGGGATCCATAAAGGAGAGGGGCAAGGGAGAGAGCTGATTCTTCCCACACATACGTCCTGAGTCTCCAAGTTTGTTTATCCATAATTGCTATGCAAGTATAAATTAGAACAACAAATGCATCCATCCTGGCAGTGGTGACACCAACCCTGTAAATAATTATAATGTAATCTTATAGCAAAGAGTTCTGAGTGACTCCCCTAATAATTTCCTCTGCTTAATTCCTTCCCCACTGAGTGACTTAATAGGAAAAGGAACTCTTTCAGATTTGTTTCACTCCAAAAGTTTGGACAACGTGTAGACTCACACCTGGAGGGCAGAAGCTGTAGGAGACCATTTGGCCCATGGATAAACAAGTGAGTCGAAAAGGCCTTGGGACTGGAAGACAGGGAACTGGCAAGGGTATTCGTCTTGGCACCTGTTTATAGAAGTGAAAACTTGGGAACCACCTAACAAGAGGTCTGATGAGTAAACTATGCTACAGTCTTACAAGGGAATGCTACATAGCCCGGAAAACTCATCACAGATATCGCATGTCATAATAGCATGCTGTCATGGCTTGGAAGACAGCCTTTAGTATCAGATTAACCTGGGGTTGAATCCCAGCTCTGCTCCTTACTCGCCGGTGTGATCTCAAGCAGGTAGTATAACCTCTCTGGGCCTCATTTTCCTCTTCTGTAAAAGGAGGAAAACTATGCTACTTACTTCATATAATTTTTATGAAGATGAAATGAAATTATAGCTCTAAAGAGCTTATAACCTGTCTGGCACATATTGGTAGTAAAGGGTCAACAAATGATATTATTATCAGACCTTGTATATTTTGGAGGCATCTGTGATGGTACAGGAAAACATTTCATGACACAATAATTAGCTAAAAATATATAACTACAGATATTTTTAGATCCTAATTTGGTCATATTAAATATATATAAATAGCCAGCTAGCTTAATCTAGGCCAAGAAAAAAGGTCAAAGGGGAGTACATCAAAATTGTAATAATTTTAATTTTTCCATACCTTTGTAGATTTTCCATGTTTTCTACAAGGAGCATATGCATTACACTTACAGTCAGTAAACAGGTATTTTACAAAAGAGGCAGAGGTCCAAGGGTCTTCACACTGCGCAGATCATCAGGATTCCAGTTGAGTGAAGACTCACCTTAACCTTCAACCCAACTCCTAGCTTAAAATCACCAGCTTTTCCTCTTGGACTAGTTTATAGAATGTCATCCTCCACAGAGCAGGTTGTCCTCACTCACCTGTGCTTCTCTCAGCCCTCTGACCAGGGTAGGAAATGACCTGGCCAGCTTCCTGTGAGAAGCTCATGGTGACACCAGGGTCTTCTGACTCCCATGTCGGCTCACCTTCCACTGCACCAGGAAACTTGAGTTTTCTGCTTATGCTAGTTCCCAAATCTGAGCCTATACTTGGGAAGAATCCATTCCCCCTTTATCCCTCTTAAATATTTAATAGTCACACTTGGCTCCTACCATGGGTTTGTCTGATTTTCTTACCTAACAGATAGATAGACAATGAGCTCCTTAAAAAACCATGTCTCACTCAACTGGTGTTCCTACCGCCATGAAACCTGGCACAGGGAAGGTGTGCAATAAACGTGCCCCATTCCCCTCCTTTTCTCCTCTCCTTCCCATCTTCCTCCTCCCTACTCCCACTGACTGCCACGTCTCTGTCTTCTCTGACTCTTGCAGACACCCACTTTCTGCTCCGCTCAGAATCCTCAGTGACACCTCCTCCCACCCCTATGCCCTCCGTCCATCCACTCCTGGAGCACAGCCCCGCCAGACCTGGCCGGGCCCAGCCCCGCACCCAGGGCCTCCACCAGAACGCTATTCCCACTGCGGCACCCCCTGGTAGCCAACGCCGTGACTCCTGCCTGACATCAGGAAGTGGAATCCCCACCTTCACCTGACACTATGCAGCAACTAAGGCTCCAACGATGCCCCATCCTTGCTTGAAGTACACCTGGACATATCCTTCTATTGGCTCCTCATGTGCTAACAAAAGTCCTCCTGATAACACAGCCACAATGAGAATACAAGAGAGTGTTCCAAATGCCACAATACCACTTGTGATGCTTCTCACCCAAACAGAAAGCCAGATACTTCCTCAAGCCATCCTCAATTTGAGCACATCCTGCAAGCCCAAGTCTGGGATAAGCAACGATGGCTTCAATAACTCATATCCTCCCTAACCCATCAACAACTGAGACTCTCCATGAAGCACACTACAGAAGAGCCTGCACTTTTTTAGCAAAGCCAGAACAAGAGGGAGAAAGTAAGTCCTACCCTTCAGACACTGGGACATAATGCCTTTCTGATGTATCAGGACCCTTGGAGTGGGAAGAATTAAGACTAAAAATGTTCTAGTCTCAGCAATGGTCACTTATGGTTCTAGTCCCTTTTTGGATGCTATGCATATGTCTTCCAGAAATGGAACAATATTTTGAATCATTTTACTAGACCCTGTCCACATCCTGAGACCAGAACATTTTTAGTCTTAATGCAAGTTATTCAACCAAGACCCATCATAAAAATCTTCAGCAAGAACATGTTTCAAATCAGATATCAAAATCACTATAAAAATTACCCCAGCTCTAAAAATATGCAGTGCTTTTTCATTAGGATGAGATGAAAGGACTCTAACAGTAGGTATAAGGAAGTGGCTAAGAGGCCTCTGGCTGCAGGTCCAGGCACTGAGGAGACTGCAAGCATCCCAGTAATTCACAGTTGCAGAGAATAGGGTAGGAAAGGAAGGTGATGTTGTGCTTACCAGAGGGAGGAGCCTTCTGTCCCAGTGACTTCCAGAAAGTCGTAACCATCCTCCAGCTGGAAGTCAATAAACACCAGGGCGATGGTGTCCCCCAGCTCAGCCAGGATGGTCCATGTGCAGTCGGCATTGTTATGGTACTCCGAGGGGAAGTGGGGGCTGGAGATGATGCCACTCTGGCCCCGCAGGGTCCCACCACAGGCATCATCAGCTGTGGGCACAGAGAGAAGAGGCTTACATGAGTAGTCTGGTTTTCAAGCCCTAGCACTCACCATGGGCTATACCTGCAATACATCCTTCTGTCTCCCAAGAGTACAATTCACAGTTTGTGGACATAGATAAAGCAGCAAATGACTTTGTTTGGACAAGTCCATCTGAGAAGCCTAACAGAGGAAGTGTCATTAGAGCTGGGTTTTGATGAATGAGTAGGAGTTCACTAGATGGAGAAGAGGGGGAAGGACATTTCAGGGAAGAAGGAACCAAATGGTCATAAGCAGAGACATATGAACGTGCAAGGCATGTCTAAGATAAACAGCTCTAGATGACTCATCACAGGGTAAAAAAGATGAATAATATAAGATAGTAATGGCATGTAGGAGAAGTCACATGGCAGAGAACACTGAGCCAAAAAGATTTGGAGACAGGGGAGTGCATTGGAAAGGAAATGGATTTTAGGGTAAGGAAGGTCTAGATTTGAATTTAGACTCCACAATTTCCCAGCCACCTGCATAACTTTGGGAAATTTATTTTTTTTAAGGCTCAGTTTGCTTCTCTGTTGTGATAACTGAATTAGATAGTTAATGTGACAGTAACTAGCATTAGCCAGTGACTGACATGTGGGTAGATGCTAATGCTAGATTCTCCTTTTTCCTTCTACTTCATCTTAAGGATCAAAGGCAGTGAAGAAATGTGATTAAACTTGCATTTTAGAAAGAACACTGGCTATGGTATAAAGGAGGTCTGAGTCAGGGAAGCGCATGGGATGCTCTTGGTATCACCAAAACCACCACAGTCCAGGTGAGGCTGGATGAGATCGAGCTAAGGTCGTGTGGAGGGTGGGAGAGGACTTATTTGAGAGATATTTAGGAAGCAGAATCTCCAGAATTCAGCAACTAGGAGGTATAAAATCCAGGTTGCTGGTATAAGCATCTGGATGGATGAAAGGTGCTATTTCCTGAGGCAGAAAACCCAGGAAGGGAGCTCCTTGTGGTATGGAAGGCAACCAGGAGTTCAGTTTTGGACACGCAGAAGTGGGTATGTCTGTGGGGCCTCCAATGGTGAGATCAGATTAACAGATATATAGGAGCCATCTGGGCTAGAGATAAAAGTGATCTTGTTTAGCAGCTCTGAACTATTCTTACTAATGTTCTTTACAGGGTCAAGAGAATCATGAGCCAACTCATAGCATTTCTCAATGCTAACTTCTAAGTTTCTATGAGTGCAGAAATGTAAGATATACACCTACTCTCCCAGAGTAGGTGCTTATGAAGGTTTCCCTCCTATACCCATTAACTGAGCACCTACTGTGGGCCAAATACTGGGTAGGGCCAGCACTACAATGTGAAAAGCTTGATTTCCTCTCTGCCTTCAAATGCTTCTGAGGGAGGAGGTGGGCAGGCAAGCCAGCAATGGCAACACAGAATAGTTATGATGGGGATGCTCAAGGCGCAGTGATAGCACATAGTTAGGAAGGGCTTTATGGAAGAGACAGAATTTGTGTTAATATATTCATTCACTTATTCATTCATTCATTTAACAAATGCTAACTGAGCACCTACTATGTGTCAGCCACTGTTCTAGGTGCTGGGGATTCAGCTGTGAATAAAACAAAAATTCCTATCCTCCCAGAGCTTACATTCTGGTCAGAAGGATAAAGACAACTCCAAGATAAATAATTAACTCTATAGTAAATGAGCTGGTAAGTGCAGAGGAAAATGGGCTATCTGGTGTTGGGAGTGGGGGTGTGGATATTTCAGAAAGGGTGGTCAGGGAAGACCCCACTGAGAAGTTGACATTTGAGCCAAGACTTGAAGGAATGAGAGAGGAAGACACATGGTTACCTGGGGGAAGAGCATTCACGGAAGATAGAGCAGCAAATGCAAAGGTCACCAGGGTGCAGAGGCCTGGCACCGTTGAAGAGCATCAAGAGACCCAAGGACTGGGCGCAGTGGCTCATGCCTGTAATCCCAGCAATTTGGGAGGCCGAGGTGGGCGGATCAACTGAGGTCAGGAGTTCAATACCAGCTTGGCCAACATGATGAAACCCTGTCTCTACTAAAAATACAAAAAAAAAAAAAAAAAGTTGGCTGGGTGTGGTGGCGCACATCTGTAGTCCCAGCTACCCGGGAGGCCAAGGCAGAAGAATCGCTTGAACCCAGGAGGTAGAGTTTGCAGTGAGCCGAGATTGTGCTATTGCACTCCAGCCAGGGCAATAAGAGCGACAATCTGTCTCAAAAAAAAAAAAAAAAAAAAAAAGAGACCCAAAGGGCTGGAATGCAGGAAGAAGGAGGAAAGTGGCAGGGGAGGCAGGGCTTCCGAGGGCCTGAGAGGCCGCTGTAAGGATGTGGACTTTTACTCGGAATGAGTTGAGAAGCCAGTGGAGGGTTCTGAGCTGAGGATGATATGATGTCATTTGTGTATTAACAGGATCCCTTGGGATGCCATGTAGACAGCAGACCAGAGAGGGCAAGGGAACAAGGTGGGGGCCTCTTGAAGCTACCCCAATAATCCAGTGAGAGGTGATGGTGGCTAAGACCAGGTGGTAACAGTGAGACATAGTCAGAGTCTGGCTTCATTTCCAACACTGAGCTGGCAGCATACATCAGCTGAGGGTGCCTGCCTGGTAGGCCTCAGGGGAGAGGGTGTTTTAGGCAGAAAAACAGCAAGGACAGTTCAAGTTGGGGAGTGTGGCATGTTTAGGGACTTATTAGGCAGGACCGTCTGAACTGAAAGGGACATGCAGAGATGACAGAGCTGGGCTGGACAGGAAGGCAAGAGCTGGACTGCGAAGGTCCTTGAATGCCGAGTAGAGGAGCTGAGGTTCTGTTCTCCTCCCCTCTTCCTCCTTTGCTACCCTCAACCCAGCTTCCCAGGCCCCAGAAAGCAGGAAGGGAGGGAAGGTAGGCAAGATTGGCCTTGCTTGGCTTTAAATCCAGTTCAGTGGTGCTGTTGATTTGTTTTATCAAGTTGCACAGTATTTCTGCCTTGAGTATCTCTCTGGCAGGAGGCTATGATGTCTGACATCTGAGGCAGAGTTTGTCGCCTTCTGATGTAAATAAATTCACCATGAACATTACCAGGGAGATAAGCCACAGGAGCCAGCCAACAAGTGGGAGATTTGCCAATATTGTTCCGAGCAAGCACCGGGCCCACTGGTCCCCAACAGTCCTGTCACTGGCCCTCACTACACCAGGTGGAACTGTCTTCGCCCTGGGCACAATGGCTGAGTCTTGACTGTACTGGGGAAAGGGATCATGGTGAAGAAAGGGACATTTAGCCCGAACCTTCAAAAAAGCACAGGAGTGTGCTGGAAGGGGAAGAAATAGAGGGGTTCCAGGCAGAGCAAACAGGCCCTCAGAGGCAAGAAGGCCTGGAAGGGCATGCTGCTTGGGGGAAGGCCTTGACAGCACTGCCGAGGTGTTTGGACTTTCCTCTGCAGGTGCAGGGGAGTCATGGTAGGTGTGGAGAAGAGGGTTTTCAGCAGGAAGTACAAGTCCAGACCTATTTTAGAAAGATGATTTGGTCCCATAGTAATGGATGAAAGATATGGTTTGGTGGCCAGGGAAGGTTGCCGGTGGGGAGATCAGAGACAGAGAATGGAGAAGAGGTTTTCCCATCATCAAAGCTGCAACTAGGCAGGGAGGAAAGAGAAGCAGCAGGAAGGGATTTAGGAGGCAGACTGTGGAGGAATGAGAGGGTGAAGTCTCCAACAGAAAATGGATGGTGAAGGAGAGAGCAGAGACAGGGACGCTAGAGGAGACGCAGCTCTGCAGGAAGTGACGGCCCTTCCTCCCTGCTCTTCCCCACTCCCATGCTGAGTGTGAGATCCTGGGGAATAAACAGATGGGGATACCTATGGGCCTGGGATCCCAGAGACTGTGAGGCAGGGAATCAGCAGGACAGAGAGGGAAGCTCCCACCACAGGAGTGGAGAAGGCTGGGGACTGAACAGACCTGTATGGAGCAGGCAGAAGCAAAGATACCTGAAAGAAGAGAAGGTGGGAAGGGAGGGGCACTCAGGTGGAAAGTAAGCAGGGGCCAAAGAGAAACATTAGAGGGGGAGGGAGTGGCTCAGGAGCAGGCACAGCCACTCTGTGTGGCCAAGTCTCCAATCAGGCCCTTGGTCCACATAGTCTCATTTAATCTGGCCTGCACATCCAGGTGGACAACAAAGAATTCCAGAAGAAAAGCAGGTCTTGGGGGAAAGACAATGACTCCAGAGCCTTCTGCCTACTTCCAGTCTTAGAAACCCAACTAGATATTCCACATTGCTCTCAAACCCAACCCAACCAAAATCACTCTCATCCTTTCCTCCCAGAAGCCTAGCCTTCTTCCAGACTTTCCCATCTTGGAGGGTCAGCACTATTCACCCACTTCCTCATGGCAGAGGCTCAGGGGACATCCTCAACTCCTCCCACACCCCCACATCCAGCCAGGGACTCAGCTGGCAGTCCATCTAGGTGGCTGTCAATCCTGTCCCCCGCCATCACTGCCATTGCTGTACCCCAAGCCATGTCACACTCCAAGTTAACCACAGCCATGAAGCCCCCTCCTGGTCTCCAAGCCTCCTTCCTCCTCCAGCCCATCCATTCTTTTGGTTTTTCAGTTTTTTAAATTTTATTTTTAATTGACAATAATTGTATGTCCTTATGGAATACACTGTGATGTTTTGATATATGTATGTATTGTGGAATGACTAAATCAAGCTAATTAGCATATCAATCAACTCACATACTTTTTTTTTGCATTGAGAACTTTATCTTGGAGCACTCCCTTAAAAAATTTATTGTTATAAAATATTTGTACATTTTTATGGGGTATGCGTGTTATTTTTTGACATGCATAGTAGGTGATATAGTTTGAATGTCCCTCCCAAATCTCACGTTGAAATGTAATCTCCAATACTGGAGGTGGGGCCTGGTGGGAGGTGTGTGGGTCATGGGGATGGATGCCTCATGGCTTGGTGCTGTCCTTGTGACAGTGAGTGAGTCATCTCGAGAGCTGATTGTTTAAAATTGTGTGGCACCTCTCCCTCACTCCCTCTCTTGCTCTTGCTCTGGTCATGTGAAGTGCCTGCTCCCACTTCACCTTCCGCCATGAGTAAAAGCTCCCTGAGGCCTCCCCAGAAGCTGAGCAGATGCCAATGCCATGCCTCCTGTACAGCCTGTGGAACCATGAGTCAATTAAACCTCTTTTCTTGATAAATTACCTAGTCTCAGGCATTTCTCTACAGCAATACAAGAAAAGCCTAACACAGTAGGTGTAATGATCCATTCAGGGTATTTAGGGCATCCATCACCTCAAGAGTTTATCACTTTTATGTGTTGGGAACATTTCAAGTTCTCTCTCCTAGCTATTTTGAAATATACATTGTTGTTTTAACTATAGTCACCATAGTCTGCTATTGAACATTAGAATTTATTCGTCCTTCTACCTAACTCAGGGGTCCCCAACCCCTAGGCCATGGACCGGGACCTGTTAGAACCTGGGCTGCACAGCAGGAGGTGAGTGTTGAGCAAGTTATCTAATGCCTGATGATCTGAGGTGGAACAGTTTCATCCTGAAACCATCCCCCACCTCCTGTCCATGGAAACATTGTCTTCCATGAAATTGGTTCCTGGTGCCAAAAAAGGTTGGGGACCACTGACCTAACTGTGTATTTGTACCTGTTAACCAACCTCTCTTCATGCCCTACATCCTCCAATCCTGGACACACACAGCCTTCCCAGCCTCTGGTAACTATCAATCATTCTACTGTCAACCTCTATGAGATCCACTTTTTTAACTCCTCGTATGAGTGTTAGGTGATATTTGTCTTTCTCTGCCTGGTTTATTTTACTTAGCATAATGACCTCCAGTTCCACCCATGTTCCTGCAGATGACAGGATTTCACTCTTCTAAAAAAAAAAAATAGAGATGGAGTTGTGCTGGACATTGCCCAGGCTGGACTTGAACTCCTGGGCTCAAGAGATCCCTTGCCTCAGCCTCCCAAGTAACTGGGACTATGGGCGCATGCCACTGCACCTAGCTAATTTCATTTTTTAACATCTGAGTAGTATTCCACCATGTATGTGTATACCACATACACACATATATATTACATATACCATATTTTCTTTATACATTTATCTAATGGTGTGCACTTGTGTTGATTCCATATCTTTGCTGTTATGAATTGTGTTTCAGTAAACATGGGGTGCAGGTATCCCTTTGATACATTGATTTCCTTTCCTTTGGATAAATACTCAGTAGTGGAATTGCTTGATCATATGGTAGTTCTATTTTTAGTCTTTTGAGAAATCTCCATACTGTTTTCTATAATGGCTGTACTAATTTACATTCCCACCAACAAAGTATAAGAGCTCCCTTTTCTCCATATCTTTGCCAACATCTGTTGTTTTTTGCTTTTTTAATAATAGCCATTCTAACTAGGGTAAAATGATACCTCACTGTGATTTTGACTTGCACCTCCCTGATGATCAGAGATGTTGAACATTTTTTCATATACCTGTTTGCCATTTTAATGTCTTCTTTTGAAAAATGTCTATTCATGTCCTTAGCTCACTTTTTAATGGGATTGTTATTATTATTATTTTTTTGCTGTTGAGTTGTTTGAGTTACTTGTACATTCTGGACATTAGTCCCCTCTCAGATGAATAGCTTGCAAATATTTTCTCGTCTTTAACAGGTCGTCTTTTCACTTTGTTGATGGTTTCTTTTTCTGTGTAGAAGCTTTTTAGTTTAATATAGTCCCATTTGTCTATTTGTGTTTTTGTTGCCTGTGCTTTTGAGGTCTTAGCCATAAAATCTTTGCCTAGACCAATCTCCTGGAATAACTCCCCTAAGTTTTCTTCCAGTAGTTTTATAGTTTGGGGTCTTAAGTTTAGGTCTCTAATTCATTTTAAGTTGATTTTTGTATATGGTGAGAGATGGGTGTTTAGTTTCATTTTTCTGCATATGGTTATCCAGTTTTCCCAGCACTATTGAAGCAAGCGTCCTTCCCCTAATGCATGTTCTTGGTGCCTTTGCTGAAAATCAGTTGGCTGTAAGTATATGAATTTATTTCTGGACTCTCTATTCTGTTTCATTGGTCTGTGTCTGTTTTTATACTAATACCATCCTGTTTTGGTTATTATAGCCTTGTAATATATTTTGAAGCCAGGTAGAATGATGCTTCCAGCTTTGTTCTTTTTGCTCAAGATTGCTTTGGCTTTTCAGGCTTTTTTGTTGTTCCTTATGAATTTTAGGATTGTTTTTTCTATTTCTGTGAAAAATGACACGGGTATTTTGATACAGATTACATTGAATCTGTAGGTTGCTTTGCAGCCTCTGTCCATTCTTCACAGAGGCCAGAGTAATACGGGAAACCATGGGCCTGATTACACCACTCTCTCTGTTGGAACCATCAATAACCCCCATTGTCACTCAGGATAAAGTGGAATACCCGATGACTCACAAGGACCTTACAGGGCCTTGCCTCATGCCAGTCTCTCTGTCCCTACTATCTGCAGCCACCCTGGCCTCCTCCCAGCTCTTCCGATTCACTAAGCATTGCCTTGCTCCAGGGCCTTTGAAAGTGTTATTTTCTCTTTCTGGAAACTTCTTCCCTATCTCGTTGGGCCTGACTGCCCCCTCGCCCTCAGCCTTTAGGTCCCGATCCAAGTGCTGCTTCCTCGAGGATCTTTACAGAAATAGAATAATCCCTCCCCCATCATATACTTTCTGAGCACCACATATTTTGCCATAATTAATGATTTTCCATAATTAATTGATCAATTATATCATTACTTAGTTAACATGTAGATAGCAAACTCCATGAGAACAGAGGCCATGTCTGTTCTGTCCCTAGCACCTAGCAGATTTCCTGGCATACAGCAGGCACTTGACTAATATCTGCTGAACAAATAAATGTAACAGAAAACTGAAGCTCAGAGAGGTTAAGTAATGTTCCCAAGGTCACATAGGGAGTGGCTGAGTCAAGATTTCAGTTGAGTGTCTCTGGTACCAGGATGGTAGTCTCCTCCACATCCCTGCTTGATAGTGGTTTGGTAAGCCATCCCGAGATTTTCAAACTTCCCAACTGTAGGCAATGATTTCTGGACTTGTGCTAGAACTGAGGACTTGAGAACTTGAGATCCTCTGGCCAGAGCTACCAGTCTCCTCTGAAGGCGGCACCTTTACCATTTTAGCCATCCCTGCCTCTTGGGCTCATCCGACACCCTGGCCCTTGCATCATCCTGTTTTGATTGAAGATCCTGCAAAAGCTGTTTGGAGGTTTTCTCCCACTTTAGACAAGGCATCATATTTCATGGTTACAACTCCAGAGTCATAAAATATAACCTTCAGCTGACACCATAGTCCTAAAATATTCATTTACACTTTCTCCTTCTCTGGCAATGGGCATTTTGCACCACCATTAAGTCATGCATATTCTCAGGTGCAGGTGTGTTATGCTGATAGTTGCCTTTCCAAGTTTATGACTTTATTTATGATCGACTTTAAGTTCTACGGAAATCTCTTCAATTAGCCATAATTTTAGAGAACTCTCCCTCAATCCTCTTTGATTTCTGTTAACTCTACAATGACTGACAAATTTCAGGCAGGAAATGGAGAAAACAGGACATTATCCTCTCTACTTCAGGCCAGCTCTAGGGTACCATCTTGCATGCCTAGAAGATTTGGGGTCCTTGGAATTGGCTTCTGTTCATATCATCTTCCCCAGGACCCCTCAGCCTCTGTGGAAATGAAGATGCCAACAGGCCCCAAAGGAGAAGCCACCATCTTCCAATTCCAGTGCAAGACTGAGAGCACCAGGGCAGGAGTGCCCCAAAGTTGCGGCCCACCCCCTTTTCTTGTGGTGAATGGTTTCGTGTGCCTAAACATGCTGGGGCCCCCAGAACTTGCTCAACTTCTTCAGTCCCCTCTTCCTGGGGGCTTTGGACTCTGCCCATTTATCCTTGGCTTTATCAATGACACTCCTTAAAATGAAGAAATGACCAATTCTGAGAACATCACTATTGCTCCCAGACTCCTATAGTTACAGCCACCTAAGGTATCCTTCTGAGGGGAAGAATGTAGACAGGACATGGTATTTGATTACATGACACTCCTTAGTGAGCTTTCATTATGGGCCAGGCATTGTGCAAAATGCTTCACCTGCATTTTCCCCTTTAATCTTCAAACCCTCGAGAGCATAGGTATTATCGTGCACATTTTACAGATGAGGAAACAGAGGCTCAGTGAGTTTTTAAGACTTCCTTGTGGTCACATAGCTACTAAATGTTGGAGCTAGGGTTTGAACCTAAGACCTTGTGACTCCAGGCCCACACCATTACCCACCTATTTGTCTGCCTCCTGGGCCTCAGTCACTATAATCCTGTTCCTGACATGGGCTAGGAGCAGGCTCCTGGAAGCACCAGACCCTGGAGATGGGGTTTTCCAGGCATGAGACGCTTCCTCCTGCTCCCTTCTCTTCTGCCTGGGGGCCTTTGTGCTGCCTCAAAAGTGCTGGTCCAGCTACCAGTGCTTAAGTGGAGGTGGGTGAACCTTGGGTCTGGCTTTCTTCATAGGATGGAAAAGTAGTTTCCAGCCCCCACCCTGAAGCAGCATCTGTCCAACAGAATGACCTCAGGCCCTTTCCCAGAGGTTTCTCTCCTCAGGAATGCATGGAAGGTCAAGGGGAAACCGCAAGAGACTGCCAGTCCCTGACTGGTGGAGCCATGCAGGGGATGCCTGCACCTGCAGGCCAAGCTCTCAGGCCCTGAACCATCAGGCTGGAGAAGCTCTGGAAATCACAGCATCATTGTGAGTCTCCTGCTGTGGGCCAGAGGCCACCATCCTTGCCTGCAGTGGAGGGTGGTGGTCAAGATCATGGCTGTTAGGCACGTGGACTTGCGCTGAATCCTGGCTCCACCACTCTCAAGCTGTGTAATCACAGGTAAAGCACTGCACCTCTCTGGGCCTCAGTTTCCTCACTTGTAAGAGGAGATAACATTACCTTAACCTCCTTGGGAGTTGTGAGGATTACAACAGGTAATGCAGGACCTGGTACTTAGTTAGGGCTCAATATGGTGGCCAGTGAGGCTGTGGCAGTGAGAATGACAATGATAGATACCCCTCACTGAGTCATAACTATGAACAAGGCCCTCTGCTATGTGCTTAGCATTTATCAATGTGAACCTCACTGCCAACTTATGAGTTAAGTACCATTATTATTCCCATTTACAAATGAGAAAACTGGGGCATAGAGAGGTTGAGTAACTGGTCCCAAGCCACTCAGCCAGTGGGTGTAAGTGGCAAGGCCAGGATTTGAATCCAGGTGACTGGCCTCCAGAGCCCATATCGTGAAACGTTCTGGTATAGTAACAGTAATTGCAAAAGTGATGGAAGGCTAGTTATCCCAGTAGCAGTAGAGTTACCCTATCGTAAAGAGTGGCCTTGGGTAGCTGTGGTCGCTGTTGAGGCCCCAGTGCTCAGAATCACTCAAGGTGCACACTGCACCCGGCATAGTGTTTAGTGCCTTCTCCA